>NC_000002.12:71042625-71667625 GCF_000001405.40 Homo sapiens | reverse complement strand
TTGACCAAATCTCAAGGGACCCACTGGCTCCTCTGGGATATCCATGTTGTCCCTGGGGTTGGGGCTTTCTGGAGTTCGAGGACTCTGGGACCCAAGGGTCAAGGTCCTACCTGCTCGATGTCTGGCTGCAGGGGGCTGTAGAGGGGCCGTGACTCCACGTGCTCCGGGACCAGGCCCTGCTGCTGAAGCACATGCAGAGCCAGACGCTCCTCCACTGGGCCCAGGTGTGGGTTTGGGATCCTGCCAGCCTCTGCCCCAGAGAGAAGACAAAAAAGTTGCAGGAGCTGGGGAAGCGAGAGATAATGGGGCTGCCCAGTGAACAGGCTGAGCAGGGCTGCCTAAGAGTCATAAGAAGCTCTAACCCCCGCAGCCTCACCCCCAGCACAGATGCACTTTTTCTGGTCCTCATGTCTCACTTTTGATAGGGGAAATCTTGCTGTCCACTAGCTCCAGGCTTAAAATCCAGATTCCCCATTGCCATCATTTCTACCAAGCCTGTTCTATAGTTTTTATTCCTATTTTCCACCATACAAATCCTCCTGTCTCCAAAGCCTACTTCTTCCAGGAAGCTCTCCCTGACTGCTCCCAACTCTAAGCCTCAGCAACCTTTACTCCTAGATTTGGCATCTTAGTGCTGTTAGTATTATGCTCTCGTTCACTTAAGTTGTTCTACTATTAGCAGTAGCTAAAATAATAGCAATAACAGCAAACACTTCCAGAGCAGGAACCACGTGCCACACACTGTTCTTCAAGCTATTAACATATTTAGTCTTCATGAGGATCCTAGAAGCTGAGTGCTGTTATTATCCCCATTTTATAGAAGAGAAATCTGAGGCACAGAGAAGCCACACAACTAGCAGCAGAGCAGCTGAGATCACATGCTCACTTAGGAAAGGTGCGTGACTAGGCATGAACCTAGGTGCCTGTCCCCAGGTGCGTCCCAGGTACAGCTCCTCCCTGCTAGGGAATGGGTCAAAAACTGGTGCTACAGGTGGGGAGAAGACATGGGGTATTCCTGACCCAGAGAAGCCTGGCCAACCATCCAACAACATGAACTTGGAGCCCACTATGTCAAAGGCCTTGGCTTTGGGAGCTGATGGTGGACACACACATCTGTACATGTACCCAGGTGTGCTCATGCACACCTATATGTACACACACATGTGTTCACCCATCAGACCTGCCCTGCCCATTTCAGTAGGGGCCTCAAAGGAAGAGGCATGCACCTCAGAAGGCACACAGGGCCAGGAACCTGGCTCTGCCCCTAGCTGGTTGGGTGACGTTGGGCAGGTCGTTCACCACTCTTGGTCTTACCAGCCTCATCTGTAAAAGCAGGCAGATGTTGGACCTCACCATCTCTAGCTTTCTGGCTTTTGTTTCCTATGACTTTATGACCATGAGCCATGGCCCTGTGCTAAAGTTGCTCACAGACTAGTAGAAGGAAATGAGACTCCCCCGAAAACAGATGCTCATTCTATGGGAAAAGGGAATGAAGGGGGGCAGGGCTGGGGGCGCCTTATGGCCGAGCCTGGCTCAGCCATGACCTGGGAGAGTCAGGAAAACAGAATGAGAAGGAGGAGGGGGTGGGGGATGGGGGCATCAAAGCCATCATTTCCCTTTTATAACCTTGGCACCAGCTCTGACATCAAACATCTCTGAAGCAACCAGGAGGCAAGGGGCCAGCTGGGCCTGTAAACACCTCTGGGGAGTCTGAGCTGCTCTGAGTGGGTGATGCAGGCCTGCGGGCATCTCAGACACACGGAGAGCATGTGGCGGGATTCTCAGCCAGGAGAGCTGGGCAGGACCCTGGGCAGGACTGGGGGCACTACAAGGCCTGCCTGCCTTGGGATCCTTTAGATGCATGGGCTGTCAGTGGGGAGCTTGGAAGATACCATCAGGGTCAAGCTGCCAGGCTGGTGCAATTCAAGTAGAAAACTGTTTCTGAGAAGTGGACTGTACCCCAAACTCCAACCAGAGTCAGACCAGCCAATGCCAGAAAGAGACTGAGCCTAACTCTGACCCTGACACTGGCTTCAGACTCACCTCTGATCTTGCCCTCGGATGGGCCCCAACCTGGCCTTGGACTGCACTCTGACCCTGGCTGTGCCCTGACCTCTAATTTTCACAGTGGCATCACAGGTCAGTACTGATCCTCAAAGTACCAAGTGCAAGTGGAGCCCATCTGTGCTGCCCTGGAGAGACCCACAGCCTGCTGCTGTGGGTTATGTCCGCTTGGGTCTTTTATGGTAGCAGAGGGTCTGATGAGAGAGGGAGGGATACAGCGAGAGCCCACCATGGTTTGGGGTCATGTGGCAGCTCACCTATCTCTTCAATGGAATATTCTTTATCCTGAAACATTACACGGTCTGTCCGGTACACAGGTGCCTTGACTCTATGCTGCTGGCAGAAGAGGTGGAGGAGCTGGGAGGGGCGGAGCTGGTCCCGCCACTGGTTCGGTCCAGAGCTGAGGAGCAAGCACAAGACATAGATGAGATGCTTCAAGGACACTCATGAGGGTAGAGGGGCATGCAGGGACTGGTGTACCCCCATGTACAGCATTGCCCACTCCTTGCTTTTACAGTGGGTGTCCCATCTGATTGCTCACCATGACTGGGCATCCCCATTTTACAGATGGAGAAATGGAGGCTCAGAGAGAAAAGGACTCATTTAAGTACGGAATTGCAACTTAAATGTTTTCAATTTCCAGAGTTAGATAATCAGACCCAGAGAAGACTTGAGATGGTGGGAAGAGGGGTGCAGTCCTCACATGCATTCCCCTGACATAAACCATCACAAAATTCCCCTTCGGGCCCAGTTGCAGCACACATGTCCTCTCATCTGTTTCCCCTGCTTCTTTCCTGCCTTCCTTCCCTCTCTCCCTTTCCAGGTACCTAGCCCTCTCTAGGCCTTCTATGTGCATTACAGATAACTGGATTATAACAATGTGATGAGCCAGGTTCTTGGTTCAAATCCTAATTCCACCACTTACAAGCAATAACATCTCTGGGCTTCAGTTTCTTCATCTGTGGAGTGGGGATAGGACTCCCATTGGACTCAATGAGAGAATGCCTAGGAAGTGCTAAGCCCAGGGCTGGCACACAGTAAGTGCTCAGTGGTGGTGTGTTGTCAGAGAAGACAGGGGTGGTGTGTTGTCAGAGAAGCAGGCAGCCAGCCCCCATCCACGTACACACAGTAGGTCTGTGGGAGTCCACAGCGAGCCCCAAACTTGGACAGCAGCCTGTTCTCCAGGTCGACGACCGTCTCACCGATCTTTTCGTCCTTGGAGAGGAGGTCATAGTCATAGAGAGTGATCTTTAGGTCCTTCTCCAGAGGCAGAGTGCAGGTCAGCTCGAACATCCTGCAGGAGGGGCAGATTCCCGATGTCAGCCAACACGGGGCACCCAAGGGACAGGCAGGGCAGGACAAGAGCTCGAAACTACCCCAGGGAGTCTTCTTTCCTTGGGCCCCCTACAGATCTTACAGGCCCAACCACCCACAGCACTGCTGTACTGGGCCTGAGTGTGTGTGTAGGGGGAAGGGGGACAGGACTTTCCCAAATAAACTGTGCTGGGCATAAGGCAAGTGCCTGCCTGATGGACCACAGACCGAAAGAATGAATTGGAAATGCACATTAAAACTGAAGCTTTGACCACGACACCAGGAGACAACAGATGCAAGAGATGTGAAACTCCAGAGCCAGGGGCCAGAGCTTTGGAATTTACCGACGACTGGTACCTCCAGTCCAGGGAGGACTCCCGGTAAATTGGGGGACTCCAATTTACCGACGACTGGTACTCCAGAGCAAGGGGCCAGAGCTTTGGAATTTACCGATGACTGGAAACTCCAGGCCTGGGACCTGCTTTCTGGACTCTTCACATCCACTTCTGGGATGGGATGGAGGGAGAATTTGTGAAAAGATTTCTCTGGCGAGAGCTCTTGCTGTATCTGAGAACTCCATCTACCATGTGCATCAAAGGGAGAGGTATTCTCCCTTCTCCCCCTAAAATGAGCTCCCTGCAGGTGAGAGACACAAGCCTGGCACCTGGTGCATGCTCAGGGAAACTTAAGCAACTTGTGGCATGGAGAAGGAGGGCAGGGGCCACATTTGGGAGGAGCTGCACTCTGGCCCATGCCTGGGCAAGGAACACAAGGACTTCCTGGGAGGAGAAGAAACCACTCTGAGGCCAGACTGGAACTGCTCTGAATCCTGCCCTGTGAGACCCCCAGAGGGTTGTAGCAGCGAGAGATTGTGGAGTTGACCATCTGAGAACCAGGGGCTGGGGACAGCAGCTAAAGGGACGCAGCATCTGCCATATCCCAGAAAGTGCAGTGGGAGGGCTCACGGGGGGCTCTCTGAGGAACCTCTGGAAAGCACCCACAGGAAAATAAGTCGGCTTTCAACATCCGTGGTCCAGAGAGTACCCGGATGACAGCGGTGGTGGGCACATGAGACGGGCCCTCTCCCCAGCCCAGACACTGCAGGAGTCAGAACCTCAGAGGTCAGCCAGAGCAGGAAGGGAGAAACACTGGACCAGGAAGGGAGGAAGGCAGGGCCCTTCCTTCCCTACACCACGCGCGTGCGCGCACACACACACACACACGTAAACATACACAAATATACACACACCACACACATATGCAGACACATGGACACAGACATACACACACAAATATGCACACACACACACATGCACATACGTGCACACATATACACACACAGGCACACAAATGTACTCACGTACACACACACACATACATGGACACAGACACACACACATACACACACATATACACAAATGCACATATACACACACCACACACAGACACACAGACACAAACACACATACACACACACATACAAATACACATGCACATACACGCACACATATACAAATACACATACACACACATACATACAACACACATACATATACACACACCACACACATACACGGACACATGGACACAGAGACACATACACACAAAATACACACATGCCACACAGACACACAGACACACACAGACGCATACACCTACACACATGTATACACACAAATACACATGCACACATATATACACACACCACACAGACACACGAACACAGACACACATACACATATACACACACATACACACAAATACATACACACGCACGCACATATGTGCACATATACACACATACACACACATACATACACACATATACACACACAACTGCATCCAAAGAGGGGACACACTCCCCTAGAGCCATCAGGGAGCTCGGGATTCCATACAAATGGGCAGTGGGTTATGGCCTGAGACTGGGTTCGTGAGTTAAAGTGGCTGAGCTCAATGTGAGCAGAAAAGTCACCTGCCTGTCAGTTTCCTCAGGGGAAAGGAGAAGGTAACGCCATGGAATACATGGTGACAAAAACCACCTCATGCGTTGTGTTCGTCTGACACATGGGTTATAGAATGGAAGGGTTTCTGTTGTGATCTGAAGGAGGCTTAAAGCACCAGGCAGACCAGCTTGCCCAGGATTGGGGGGAGATGGGGAAACAGGCATGGGAGGGGTGTGTTCCTGCACTGGCTCCCCTATCTCCCCTGAGTCCTGACACACGCCCACCCACTGTGGAACAGGCCCTGCCCACTGCCCCATCAGCATTAGCCTGAGGTCCTGCGCCAGCCCCTGGAGCTCGCCAGCCCCTGGAACTCATACAGAGTTCCTCTCTCCCACCTACCACTTCCCTCCAATCCCTGCTTGGTGGGAGCTCATCACTGGCCAGGGCTGGTTCACCTTCAAAAGCTGCATTTCCCCAAGGAGACTGGGTCCTCACTGCAGGGTGAGTGACCACAACTAACTCAACAGACCCCGGTTTATAAGTGCAATATGTGACTTGATGACATCGGAACAGTAGGTGTCTTCTGCAGGTGCGAGAGAAATAGCTGCCACCCTCCCTCTGCATCCTCCCCTCTCTGGCCTAAACAAGCTCACATCCAAACAGCAATTCAGGATGCCTAGGAATTACTCCCATGCAATGGGCATTGATTCTTCCTTTCCTTGTTCTCAGATTTCAGGAATCATTTTACTATCTTGGGTCTACATTCTTCCTCTAGCTCTTGCTACAAACACATGTGGGACACTTACAGAGAATTAATTACTAAATGCAATGTCGTATAACAGATTGGATCCTGAGACATTAGTAAGAGGACATTAGTGGGAAAACATGAAATCCTTTAAAAAAAAGTCTAGTTTGGTTAAACGTAATGCACCAATGATGATTTCTTCATTTTGACAAATGTCCCATGGTTAGGTAAGATGATACCAGTGGGGGAAATTGAGTAAGGGGTTACCAGTGGGGGAAATTGAGTAAGTGGAAATTATGCACTGTCTCTGTAACTGTTTAGTAAATCTAAAATTATTCCAAAGTAAAAGTTTATCTTAAAAAAAAAAAAGAATTAGCAAATGCATCTTCTGAGCTTACACACAGATTTCTACTTTTTCTTTCTTTTTTTTTTTTTTTTTTTTTGAGACAGGGTTTTGCTCTGTCACCCAGGCTGGAGTGCAGTAGTTTGATCACAGATCACTGTAAGCTCAAACTCCTAGGCTCAAGGGATCCTCCCACCTCAGCCTCCCAAGTATCTGGAACCACAGGCATGCACTACCATGCCTGGCTAAGTTTTTTATTTTTTGTAGAGATGGGGTCTTGCTATGTTGCCCAGACTGGTCTCAAACTCCTGAGCTCAAGCCATGTAGATTTCTGATCTTAGACGTAATTGTTTAGCATTTAACTAGGAGCTTCTGTTGGGATCAAGTCTTTAGCAGCTAAAGAAGGGCTAACTGAGGCTATGCCCCCATAGACATGCAAGATTTAAGGAATACAGTTTTGCTCCAAGAGATACGGACTTCACAGTGCCAGTCACATCTCCCCCACTAGACTGTGGGTTATCCTGTCTGGCTCCTCCACCCCAAGACCCAAGATGCCCCAATTTACTTTCCAAATACGGGCTCCAGCGTGCAGGGGATGTAGTTATCCTGGTCACTCACTGATTTCTTCCCTATGGAGATCTTGATGTAAGGATCACACTGGAGGAGGAGACAAAACACTTCTGTGAAAACACTTTCCAAACCTGTCTTTGAGGCTTCATGAGTGCCTTGCCTCTGGATGGGATGAGGGAGCAGCCATCAGGAAGTTGAGATGTGGGCTGTGTCCTGCCAAGACAGGGCCCCCTCCCACACACCACACCACTCCACTTGGACCCTGACATGGGCTTCTGGTCTTGGCTCCAGCCGTGGGAATGGGGCACCTGAGTCCTTCACACTCCCAATCTACTGCTCCATTGGGAGAGGCCAGGCCCTTATCAGAAACACAACAGTCTGCATTACACACATGACGAGACCAGGCTGGGGTCCTCTCTGTGACCTCTGCTTAAGCATATGGAATGAGAGAGGGGTGGTCAGCCTATGTCAGCCTAGGCTAGCCCAGGGAGGTCTCCCTCCATGCTTCCTGGAAGCAGCAGCACCCCTCAGCCAGCGACCCAGCAGCTGGGGCTGCAGAGTGCCCAGGGTTAGTCTAGCATCAGGAAGGCTTCAAGCATATAAACCAACCCACTGGCCATGACCACACCTTGGAGGCCGTCAGTGGTGCCTAGGCTGAGAACTGCTCCATTCTGTCCCTTGAAAGGTGAGGCTACAGGGTGGGATACCAGGCCTCCGCCCACCACCTGAAGGACACATGCTGGGCCTAAACCTGCCTCAGGAGACAAGAGGGGACCCTAGCCTCATGCCTGTAAAGGCAAATCAGGCCCCACCCCTGCCTCTCTTCTTTCCTCTTTCTTTCTCTTCCCAACATTACTCTGCCTCCCACCTCTGTCACCTCCCCATAACTCCAGACTCCTTTCCTCCTTCAAATCTCCCCTCTCCATCTCAGGCAATGACTAGAGGGAGACAGCTCACGCACTTATCTTGGGCACAAAATGTAAGGAAGGGCCAAAATAGTTATTAAGATAAACAGTACTTTAATGAAATATTTTAAAAATTAAAATCAGTGTCAATAGTCCATGATGAACAAAATATCAAAATTTTAAATAAAGACCGGGTGAGTGTTACCAGCATTCCCTTTTACCTGGGACTCTGCCATGACTAGGCATAGCAGTCACTAACGCTGCTCCTTTCCCCCATCACTCCTCCCCATTAACCATTGAGAGTCCCAACCTATACCCTCAGCCTTACTTATCTTTCTGCTTTATTCTTGTTCTAGACACACATTAAGCAATTTTCTTTCAAACCTTTGCCTATGCTTTTGGCCCCTCTTAAAACACTATTTTCTTCTCCCTCCCAGCCTATCAAAATCTCATCTATCCTAAGAGTCCTATTCCTTCCAGGAAGCCTTCCCCATTTTCCCAAAGTCCTGTACTGACACTGGCCTTCCCTGACCTTCTAGAGCACTTGGTCCTTAACACAACTCCATCCAGGCACCTCTCAGTTTTGTGTGTTTGTCTGTTTCCCAACCTACTATGAACTCCCTGAGGCAGAGTTTGTGTCCAGGTTCTATAGGCCACTTGTACCTGAGCCTGCTACTCTGGGGGAGGTGAGGGCTCTAGGAAAGTTACCTTTCCATTGGGGTCCTTGGGCTGCAGGCCAAATGCTCGGACAATGTAGATACGGACCAAGCACTCCTGGGGTCCCTGGGCGGCCAGCTGGTGGAACTGTCTTGGGGGCATGGGGATGGCTGGGTCTTCTGGGAGGGGATAAATTTTGAAGAGGCCCTGAAAAGAAGGAAGGGTTAATTTTCATTTTTATCATCATTGTTGATATGGTTTGGCTGTGTCCCCACCCAAATCTCAACTTGAATTGTATCTCCCAGAATTCCCACATGTTGTGGGAGGGACCCAGGAGGAGATAATTGAATCATGGGGGCCAGTCTTTCCCATGCTATTCTCGTGATAGTAAATAAGTATCATGAGATCTGTTGGGTTTATCAGGTGTTTCTGCTTTTGCTTCCTCCTCCTTTTCTCTTGCCACTACCATGTAAGAACTGCCTTTCACCTCCTGCCATGATTCTGAGGCCTTGCCAGCCATGTGGAACTGTAAGTTCAATTAAACCTCTTTTTCTTCCAAGTCTTGGGTATGTCTTCATCAGCAGTGTGAAAACAGAATAATACAGTAAATTGGTACCAGGAGTGGGGTGTTGATGAAAAGATACCCAAAAATGTGGAAGCGACTTTGGAACTGGCTAACAGGCAGAGGTTGGAACAGTTTGGAGGGCTCAGAATAAGATGGGAAAACGTGGAAAACTATGGAACTTCCTAAAGACTTGTTTAATGGCTTTGCCCAAAATGCTGATAGCAATATGGACAATAAAATCCAGGCTGAGGTGGTCTCAGATAGAGATGGGGAACTTGTTGGGAACTGGAGCAAAGGTGACTCTTGTTATGTTTTAGCAAAGAGACTGGTGGCATCTTGCCTCTGCCCTAGAAATCTGTGGAGCTTTGAACTGGAGAGAGACGATTTAGGGTATCTGGCAGAAGAAATTTCTAAGCAGCAAAGCATTCAAAAGTTGACTTGGGTGCTGTTAAAAGCATTCTGTTTTAAAAGGGAAACAGAGCATAAAAGTTCAGAAAATGTGCAGCCTGATGATGCAGAAGAAAAGAAAAACCCATTTTTTGAGAAGAAATTCAAGCCAGCTGCAGAAATTTGCATAAGTAGCAAGGAGCCTAATGTTAATCCCCAAGACCATGGGGAAAATGTCTCCAGGCCATATCAGAGATCTTCACAGCAGCCCCTCCCATCACAGGCCCAGAAGCCCAGGAGGAAAAAGTGGTTTTGTGGGCCGGGCCCAGGGTCCCTGTGCTATGTGCAGCCCAGGGACTTGGTGCTCTGTGTCCCAGCTGCTCCAACCGTGGCTGAAAGGGGCCAATGTACAGCTTGGGCTGTGGCTTCACAGGGTGGAATCCCCAAGCCTTGGCAGCTTCCACGTGGTATTGAGCCTGTGGGTGCACGGAAGTCAAGAACTGAGGTTTGGGAACCTCCACCCAGATTTCAGAAGAGGTATGGAAACACCTGGATGCCCAGGCAAAAGTTTGCTGCAGGGGTGGGGCCCTTATGGAGAACCTCTGCTAGGGCAATGCAGAAGGGAAATGTGGGGGCTCTGATGCCCCACATCTGGGGCACTGCTAGTAGAGCTGTGAGAAGAGGGCCACCTTCCTCCAGACCCTAGAATGGTAAATCCACCAACAGCTTGTACCGTGAACCTGGAAAAGCCTCAGACACTCAACGCCAGCCTGTGAAAGCAGCCAGGAGGGAGCCTGTACCCTGCAAAGCCACAGAGGCAGAGCTGCCCAAGACCATGGGAACCTACCTTTTGCGTCAGCATGACCTAGATGTGAGACCTGGAGTCAAAGGAGATCATTTTGGAGCTTTAAAATATGACTGTCCCACTGGATTTCAGACTTGCATGAGCCCTGTAACCTTTTGGTTTTGGCCAATTTCTCCCATTTGGAATGGCTGTATTTACCCAATACCTGCACCCCCATTGTATCTAGGAAGTAACTACCTTACTTTTGATATTACAGGCTCATAGGTGGAAGGGACTATGCCTTGTCTCAGATGAGACTTTGGACTGTGGACTTTTGGGTTAATGCTGAAATGAGTTAACTTTGGGGGACTCTAAGGAAGGCATAATTGGTTTTGAAATGTGAGAACATGAGATTTGGAGGGGCCAGGGGCAGAATGATATGGTTTGGCTGCATTCCCACTCAAATCTCAACTCCAATTGTATCTCCCAGAATTCCCACGTGTTGGGGGAGGGACCCAGGAGGAGGTAACTGAATCATGGGGGCCAGTCTTTCTCGTGCTATTCTCGTGGTGGTGAATAAGTCTCACAAGATCTGATGGGTTTATCAGGGGATTCTGCTTTTGCTTCTTCCTCATTTTCTCTTGCTGCCACCATATAAGAACTGCCTTTCCCCTCCCGCCATGATTCTGAGGCCTTGCCAGCCATGTGGAACTCTAAGTTCAATTAAACCTCTTTTTCTTCCCAGTCTTGAATGTGTCTTTATCAGCAGCATGAAAACAGACTAAAAACAAATACAATTGTCACTGACACAATCACCATCATGACCACCACTCTCATCTCTACCAGAGTCACCACCACTGAGATCACCAAGCCCAACACCATCCCATCACCAGTCAGATTCTGCGTCAGCGGCATCACCATCACCACCTCCATTACCCATGTGGTCACCAACATCAGCACCAGGGTCACCAGTGTAGGTACGACCCCTCCCCTTCACTTATTGCTCCAACACCACAGTCTTAGGCCCACCTGGGTTAGGGACGTCTTCGAGGATTTACCTTAAATTCACCAATCACAGATGGATCTTCTGTCTCCTCCTGCGTCTTGCCCCGGTACAGCTTGAAGGTGTTACAAAAGTCAGACAGGCCCTCAAAGGCCTCCACATTCTCCAGCTGTGTGTCATAGACCTGCCACACATGGGGATTAGAGGAGGGGACAAGAGACAGAAAGAAAGTAGAACAACAGCAAAGGAAAGGAAACAAGAGAAGGAGGGGAAACATGACAGTGTGAGAGTGAATAAAGAGAGAGAAGGAAGAGAGAAGAAGAAAAGGAGGGAAAGTGACCAAAAACAAAATAAAGGAATGAAGGCAAAGAAGAGGGCAGGGTTGGAGAGATGGAGAGGTCACAGAGGGAGCCAGAAAGGAACAGAGGAGGAGATGGACAGAAAATTCCAGGGGAAGGGAGCAAAAGGAAAGATATTTGTTCAGCTCCGTTAGGGAATAGGGTTTTCTGGTCAATAAAATATTGTAAGTACCTGAGAGTCATCAGAGACATGGGCAGTACATTTTTTAAAAGAACAAGATTATGAATGAGCAAAGGGTGGACCGACATTTTATTTGAAGACTGTGATAGATGTCTGGAAAATTAACAGGTCAGCATTTCAAGTAAAAATGTTCACATACAGGATATCCAATGACAATGGTATCAAATATCAATCCAAGTGTATCTTTGGAGCATCACTTTAAACTTGTTAGCTCAATTCATTTACTTGTCTCTTCTCAAACAGCCAATGATTATTATTTGTTAAAGCAGTGCTTTAGAATTGCTTAGGATTTAATAAAGCAGCAAGCTGTTTTTTATTATGCTGATAAAATGTACCTAATAAACAGTAACATTAAACAGGTTAACATACATGCTAAATTCGTCATATCTGAAATCATCTTTCCAAATATTATTTCTCATTTAGGCCCAGCTCAAATTCTGTCTCTTCCTTGAAGGTCAAGTTCTATCTTTTCTAATAAATATTTAATTATGCAAGTGACACAGGTTCATTATTAAAATTTAGAAAAATATAAGCAAATATTTTTAAAAATTAATATTGTCTTAAATTCTAATTCTCAAAAATAACTAGTTATTTGATCAGCATTTGGTATATGTCCTTTTGAATATTTTCTTTATATATATAATTTTTTAACCAAAATTATGGACTCAAAAGATACAAACTTGTAACTTGTTTTGTGGATGGGGGGTGCAAGTGAGGGGAGAAGTCTCACTCTGTCACCCAGGGTGGAGTGCAGTGGTGCAATCATGGCTCACTGCAGCCTTGAACTCCTGGGCTCAAATGATCCCCCCACCTTAGCCTCCTGTAGCTGGGAGTACAGGCGTGCCACCACACTGAGCTAATTTTTATATTTTTTATTTTATTTTATTTTTGTAGAGATGAGTTCTGGCCATGTTGCCCAGGTTGGTCTCAAACTCCTGGACTCAAGCAATCCTCCCACTTCATCCTCCCAAAGTGCTGGGATTACAGGTGTGAGCCACTGTGCCTGGCCTGTAACTTGTTTTTTAACCTAATGATGTACCATGAAAATCTTTGCAAGGTCAAAAAATATACTTCTATAAAACTCTTCCTTCCTAATGGCAATATGATATTCAATTTTATAAATGTATCACAAGATATGATGAACATTTAGTTTTGCGGTTTTTCAATATTATTATTTTTATTTTCTGTAGAGATGGAGTCTCGCTATGTTGCCTAGGCTGGTCTCCAACTCCTGGCCTCAAGCAATCCTCCCACCTCCGCCTCCCAAAGTGCAGGGATTACTGGCATGAGCCACCAGACCCAGCCATCAACATTATTTTTTTAAACCACTTATACGGTGTGGGAGTTTTAAAATCTCCTATCCAAGTGTTTTGTGCACTTGTTTAAATTCATCTTTATTATAAGCTCCCAGAAAAAGAATTCCTGGACAAGGAGTATGCACATTTTAAGACCTCTGATGTGCACAAATTGCTCTCTGGAAAAATTGTATGGATTTATATACTCCTATCTACAGTGTTCAAGTGTGCCCACACTCCCAGCCTTTCACCATCACTGTACACTTTCACCCATTTTTAGCTTTGTTAATTTGATAGATAGAAGATGGTATGCTGAATTTTAAATTGCATTTATTTAATAGAGATAATAATAATAGAGAAACTTGCACGGGTTTATCAGCCATTTGTATTTCTTCTGCTCATCCTTGTCATTTGTACATTTTCCATCTGTTGGTGTTTGTTTTCTGTTCTGTGGTGATTTGAGAGACTTCTTGGTATATAAAGGATATTAAACTTTGGTCTATCAAATGTTTGTCCCAGTCTGTCACTTGCCTTTCAGTTATGTTTATGTTATATTTATGATATTTTTATTTATGGTATGTTTATGTTTGTGTTTATGTTATATTTATGGTTACGTTTGATTATCTTATGTTTATATTTACAATTTTTAGCCATATCAGAAATTTTTTTTATTATTATTATTTTTTAATTTTATTTTTTTATTATACTTTAAGTTTTAGGGTACATGTGCACAATGTGCAGGTCTGTTACATATGTATACATGTGCCATGTTGGTGTGCTGCACCCATTAACTCTTCATTTAACATTAGGTGTATCTCCTAATGCTATCCCTCCCCCCTCCCCCCACCCCACAACAGGCCCCAGAGTGTGATGTTCCCCTTCCTGTGTCCATGTGATCTCATTGTTCAATTCCCACCTATGAGTGAGAACATGCGGTGTTTGGTTTTTTGTCCTTGCGATAGTTTGCTGAGAATGATGGTTTCCAGCTTCATCCATGTGCCTACAAAGGACATGAACTCATCATTCTTTATGGCTGCATAGTATTCCATGGTGTATATGTGCCACATTTTCTTAATCCAGTCTATCATTGTTGGACATTTGGGTTGGTTCCAAGTCTTTGCTATTGTGAATAGTGCCGCAATAAACATACGTGTGCATGTGTCTTTATAGCAGCATGTTTTATAATCCTTTGGGTATATACCCAGTAATGAGATGGCTGGGTCAAATGGTATTTCTAGTTCTAGATCCCTGAGGAATCACCACACTGACTTCCACAATGGTTGATCTAGTTTACAGTCCCACCAACAGTGTAAAAGTGTTCCTATTTCTCCACATTCTCTCCAGCACCTGTTGTTTCCTGACTTTTTAATGATCGCCATTCTAACTGGTGTGAGATGGTATCTCATTGTGATTTTGATTTGCATTTTAGCCATACCAGAAATTTCTAGATCATCTCATCTAAAGATCTTTTTCTTTATAGTGTCTGCCTCTCAAATTATACTTACAATGTCTTCATAGCAAGATTATTCAACACTCAATTCAATTTGGTACCCAGCGTGAGGCAAGAATTTAATTTATTTTTTGCTAAATGGTTAGGCAATTATCTAAACATCATATTTGTTTAAACTTCTTCTCCCTTTCCCATGACTTGTGTCATATGCCAAATGCTCACGCCTCCTTTTGTTTGTTTGTGATCTCTTCTCTGCTCTATTGATCTGTGCGTTTTTTCACCAATACCATGTTTTAATCACTGTGGCTTCATAACCTGTTTCGTTACCTGATGTTCTTCCAGATGAAATTTTAAAACATTAAGTTCCATTCTCAACAAAATGTTTCTTTGGAATTTTTGTTAGGCTTGCATTAAACTTAAAACTAATTTTCAACAGGGGAATTGTTATCTTTATAGTATTAACATTTTAATACAGGAACATGATCTGATTCTTAACTTACACAAGACTTTTACTATTTATAGGCATCTTCATACAGAGCCTATGTGTTTATTGTTGAGTTTATTCCTCATGAAGCTTCTTTTGTTGGTACTATGAATGTGAATCTTTCTTCCACTAGATTTTCTAAATAGTTGCTGCCATCTTACTGGGTTCTCCTGATGGTTCTACTAATTTTTCAGTTGGTTCTCTTCAGGTGGTAAGCAAGTCAGTCAGACACAGGGATAATTTTGTCTTCTCCTTTCTAAAATGAACGACCCGTTTCTTTTTGTTGACATTGAAATGGTTAGAAGATATGGACCAATGTTAGTGATAACATGAACGTGATCACAGTGAGTCTTGTCTTGTCTTTGTGAAAGGACTGCCCTAGTGTTTCACTCAGTACCTTAACCTATATTGAGTCACAGAGTGCTTCAGTAATCTACAGTCAATAAGCCATGGACTCTCTCCCCAGACAAATGCACTTAGGAACATTCTTGAGAAATACAAGTTCATTTTCTACAGTAAAGAAACCTTCTGAAGTCATGAAGTTGGATGTTGGCTGTTAGCTTGAGAGATGTTCTTTTTAACATTAAGGAAACTCCTATTTCCAATATGTTACTTGATCTTATAAATCATCAATAGATATTAAACTTTATTGAATGCTTTTCAGCACCAACTGAAATAATCTTTGTTAATGTTACCTACTGATATGATGAATACTGTTCATGATTTCCTAATGTTGAACTTTTTATATTCCTGGAATGAAGCAAATTCGGTTATCATGACATTATTTTAATATTAGTTAGGTTTCATTTGCTATTATTTCTCTAAGATTTTTCATATATATTCATGTCATAGATGATATTTATACATATGGCTGAACTTTATCAGATTTTGATGGTAAGGTAATTCTAGCTCTATAAAAATCGAGGTTTTCTACATTTTAATATTTTCTCTGCTGTGAAATACTACATATAGCACAGGAATTATTTATTCTTTGAAAATTTAGGAAATTCACTTTATAATTCCCTGGCTCCAGCTCTCTCTTTGAAAGTAATTCTTTGATAATTTTCCTGTTTCTTTCATATTTTTTGCTGCTTCTTGAGACAGTTCTGTTTCTCTTTTCCTTCACATTATCTCATTTTAAGGACATTTTCAAATCTATTAACATAGAAATATACTTAGAATTTTTCTAAAATTCCTAACTCCCAATTATCTCTGCTGTTATGTCCCTGTTTTCATTGCGGATTTTGGCTTGGTTTTCTCTACTTCTCTAAAGTAGACTAGCTGAAGAGTTATCTATTTTAGTTGATTCATTCCAATCAAAGTGCCAATTATTTGATTTTTTTCAATTCAATTCTATAATTTTCTCTTTTCTAATTTTTTCTGCTTTTCCTTTTCCTTTTCTCTTTTTTTGTCCTGCTGTTTTAAGGGCTTTTCATTATCATTATTCTAGCTTCTTGAATTGAAGCTTTACTTACTCCCTTTTTCCAGATAATGAAAATAGTTACTCATATGAAATTGCCTCTGCTCACTAATGTCTTGGCATTGCCTCATTTGTTTTGATACATGTTTTCATTTTCATTTTCCCGGCATTCTGTAATTACAGTTTTATCTTTATTATTTGATCCCAGAGTTAGATACTTAATTAGTTTTCTTTTTTGTAATTAACATAATTTCTTAAGGCCACAAATTCCCTCTGAACGCTGCTTTAACTATAACCAGTAAGTTCTAATATGTAGTGTTTTAGCACTGTTTCCTAGATGTTCTGTGCTTTCTGTTAGTATTTTCTCCTTCACCCAAGAATTGTTAAAATAGAGGGTTTTTTAATTTTCCAGGTAGAAGAGGCCTTTTGGGCTTTTGATCTTGTTACAAATTTCTAATTTTATTGCATTACAATCAGAAAATGTTTTCTTGGTATTGTCACTTTCTGAAATTTATTAAAGTTTTCTTCATGGCCTGTTACATGGTCAATTGTAGTAAAAGTGCCACACGTGTAGTCTTTATTTTCAGGCTACTGGGTTAAATCAGGTTACTAATCATGCCAAGCCTTCTACATCCTCTGACCTTTTATTTTTTATTTTATTTATTTATTTATTTTTGAGATGGAATCTTGCTCTGTCACCCAGGCTGGAGTGCAGTGGCACCATCTTGGCTCACTGCAATGTCCACCTCCCAGGTTCAAGCGATTCTCCTGTCTCAGCCTCCTGAGTAGCTAGAATTTCAGGTGCACGCCACCACGCCTGACTAATTTTTGTATTTTTTGTAGAGACAGAGTTTCGCTGTATTGACCAGGCTGGTCTTGAACTCCTGACTTCAAGTGATCTGCCTGCTTCGGCCTCCCAAAGTGCTGAGATTACAGGCTTGAGCCACCACACTTGGCCTCCTCTGACATTTTTGTCTCCTTGATCTGACATGAACTGAGAGAAGGGAATTAAATCTCCCCCTACCAACCAGTGTGTTTCCATTGCTTCTCATATCTCCTGTAAGTTGTGTTTTGTAAGTATTGATGTTGTAGTATTTAGCACATAGATATTCTCATAAGTGTCATATCTTGGAATTGTACCATTTAGCATTATAAAGTGTCATCCTTTGTCTCATTTAATTTTAGGAACCTGAATACCCTCTCATCTAATATTAAGATGATGACTTCTGCTGTCATTTAATTTGCATTTGCCTGGCACACATTTTCTTAATCTTATTTTCAAACTTTATCAATCTTTTCATTTGAGAGTTAGATTTTGCTCTGAGATCTGATTTAAATTTTGTAATTAGTAAGTGACTGATGTAACATGTATTGACAAGACAGATATGTTTGGTCTTGGTTTTACTTGTTTAATTATATAGTCATGTAATGTATTTATATCACATTTCCTCATTTCATAGGTTCTTTTTTTTTAATCTTTGCACGGTCCACTTTCTGTGTGTGGGGCGGATGGGAGTGGTGCATGTGACAGTTCTGATAGCTGGAATGATCTCAGCTTCTGTTCTAGTATTTATATACATTTATATATTCTGATAATACTTAGTCCTCTATGTCTTTAGGCATAGTATTTATGGGGTCCCTACTGTAGCAATAATAAAATAATCCAATTTTATCTCCCTCCTTCTCCCTATCACCCAGTTTTAGACAAGAATATCTTCCTTAACATTTACCTTTGTACTGTTTGCTTGTATCTTGCTTCTATGCTTATTATGTGACTTGCCAATTTCAAATAATATCTGTCCACTGTATTTATTTTATCATATGTCAATCATTGTCCTTACTCTATATTCCATACTCTTTTGTCCTTCTCCACCTAATTTTTGTCAGTTTTACCATCTCTACATTTTCAGTATATATGATATTTACATTCTTACCTATTACCTTAACCCTTCCATTTGTTTTCATTTTGAGTCTAAGGTAAAATATGACCATATTCACTTTTTTTTTTTTTTTTTTTTTGGAGACAAAGTCTTGCTCTATTATCCAGGCTAGAGTGCAGTGGTGCAATCATAGCTGACTACAGCCTCGAACTACAACCAGTCCTTCTGTTGTGGTTTCTCCAGATAACTTCCCAGGTTAGCTGAAGTTAATCCCCTAGGAGTTCCTTCAAGACAGGCTCATTGGAATCACATTACTCCAGTTCCTGAATATGTACAAATGGTTATCTGTAGCCTTTATGCTTGGAGGGGAGCTTGGCTGAACATATAATCCTCAGGTCACCCTGTCTTTCTTTGATGATCTTATATCAGTGTGTTATTGTCTTTGGATATGGAATGCTGTTACGAAAAAATGGAAGCCATCTTGATTTAGTTCCTATTTTAAATGACTTAATATTGCTTTTTTCTTTTCAAGAGGTGGGGAGGAGGTATGACTACCCAAAGAATTATTTCTTTATCTCTAAAGTACAGTAATTATATTAGAATATGTCTCAGATTGACCAATCTTTGTCAGTTTTTCCTGACACACCATGAACTTTTTCAATATGTATGTTCAACTATTCTTTCATTTCCGTAAGGTTTTATTAAACCATTATGGTTTTTTCTGTAATTTTTTTTACTATTTTGGTTGTCTTCCTTGGAGACTCCAATTATGCAAATGTTAGGTTTCCTTTCCCTGACGTCTATATCTGTCATTTTCTCTTTGTTCCTTTATAACTTTTTCATTATTTCCATTTTCGTTTGCTTACTTTTATAGTTTCTGTCCTCTGTGCCCTTGGTTGTGTTTTCCATGTGGCCCTTCTGCCCTGTGCTCCTTCCAACTTCACGTTTTCATCTCTTTCTTTCCTGAGTCCTGCCAGCCCATAGTTTATCACTCATTTTATCAGCCCTTGACTACTTTCATTTTTGCTTTGCATTCTGACTGCCCCATTTCTAAAAAGTTCATAGCAAAGCATTTCATCTCATCTGCTCCTTGGCAAAATTTTTCAAGTAGGTATATGTCCTCTTCTACTGATAAGTTTTCATTTTGATTTTCTTTTCTTTTTTGCAGGATTTTTGAATTCAGGCTACACCGTTTTAAAAAATTATTTCTCACTAAATGAGCTGAATTTTGTTCCCACCACAGAGGCAGACTGCTTCCTGCAAATATGGCTCATTTGTGTAATTCTTGTGTAGCTCCACCTCTGCTTCTCTGAATCAAATCAGGTCTAAGAGGCTTCTGTCATCAGCTTCAACCTGTCTCCAAAGTTTCCGTATCCACGGTTGTAAACAAAGGATGTAACATTTATATTTCATGGTGAAACCTCACTTTCAGGAACTGTATTTTGAAACTATTATGAAAATTTTCAAACACACACAAAAGTAAAGAGAATAGATAATAAACCCCCATGTAACCATTATCTGTCCTAAATAATTATCAACATTCTTCCATTAGAAAGTATATTTTTGCTAGGCTTTCTGAGATCTGCTACTACTCTGATCTTTCAACATTCTGCATGTATCTTCTCTTCACTTACTGCTGAGTGGCCTCTAACCAATTTCAGTTGTCTTTGAGCAGCCCTTACATATATTTTGAAGTCTGTGGCTTCTGTTTGTTTCCAACTTTTCTGAAAATGGATTTTGTGGGTTTGAATGATTTCCAAGAGAAAAGGGGAAAAATGCTGACTTATGCAGCCATGTTCATACTGGAAGTCCCAATAAAATATTTTTTAAATTTCTAAGCGGTTGAACTTTTTGTTTAAACTTTTGTTATTAATTTCTCATTTTATTGCATTATAATCTGTCTTGTATGATTTCTGCTTTTGGTAACTTACTACAAAACTAATATGTGATCAAATTTTGTAAGTATTCGCTGAGCATCAGGAAAAAATGTATTCTCCATTTTTTATTATTTTTATTCTCTATTTTAAAGCTATAACTTTAATTTCATGTAGCTTAAAAAACATTTACCTTGTTATTCAGATCTTTTATCTTCTTATGTATTTGTTGTCTGCTTGATAGTTAAGGAGAATGGTGTAATGAAATCCCCACTGCAACTTTAATTTCTGTCATTTTGTGCTTTTATCAAGTGTGAGATATCAGTTTATACATTCTTATCCATTTTTGCTTTAAGTATTTCTAAGCTTTACTATTCTATGCATAAATATTTGAGAGTCTTTTCATTGAAATATACATCTTTTATTTATATAAAACTCTCTATTTTGTTTCCTTTGCTCTTCACTTTAAATTCTGTTTTCCTTTGGTTTACACTTACCTTGTTTGCTAAAATATTGTTTTCCAAAATCTTTATTTTTTAGCCATTCTAAGTTGTATTGTTTTAGATGTGTCTTTTAAAGACAGTACAATGAATTTTGACTTTTGATATAGTCTAAGAGTCCTTGTCACTTAATGGGGAAGTTTAGTCCATTTTTATTAATTAGGAACATTAAGATGTTTTGTTCTTTTTTTACTATGCATTTTCTGTGGTTTCTGTTTTTAATGCTTTCTTGTTGTGTCTTTTGTTCCTTTATTTTTCTATTTAGATTAGGAGTTGTTTTGTCCCCCTATGCTAGTGATTTCTAAAATCTGTTTTCCTGCACCCACTGTGTGCTCCACTCTCTCCATAATGTGGCAGGCTATTTTTCAAAGACCCACGTTGGTGATGGTGGTTTTCTTCCATTTACTTATCTTTAAAGAACCAGCGTTCCTTCCAGGTCTAGTTTTCCCCCCAGAAATAGTTTGAATGCATTTTGCTTTGGACAGCCTATTTTCACTTGGATGCTGTCAGAGACCTCCTCCAGAGGTCAAGCAGGAGGGCTGGGTGCCAATTCAGCATCCGCACCTGAGGGAGCAGCGAGGGGCCAGGGCCATGGGCCACCCTGGCAGGAGTCCTCATTCTTGCTTGGGTTGTCTGACTTTTTGGCAAGGCCACAGGACCACATGCCAGACCTAATGTGTCAGACCTTCTTCCTGGTACACAAATAGTTCTGTCTCTTTGCCCAACCTCACACACCCAACTACCAAGTCGAGGAGGAACTTGCTGCCTGAGGATCGCAGCTGCTGCTGCCTGTGCCTCATCTCTGAGCAGCCAGGTCTCCAGGCACAATTCACCAGGCAGGCCCATAGAGCAGAGACAACTTTTGCTGACTGGTGAAACTGCCCTCCAGAGTGCCTAGCAGAGACTCTGCGCCAAAAGAATCACCTGAAAGCCCAGGCCACCTGCTACCCTGACAAGCTTCAACTCTCTCTCATCCAGTCCCCTCCAAAGGGCTCTTGGGGCCTTTCCTATGTGTCTAACAGCCTGTGCCCACCTCTCATTTTCTCCTCTCCAAGCCTGGGAGGTAATTGCGGGGTACAGAGTCTCCCCCATTTATAATCCAGAAGTAGTGTTGCCAGATTTAGTAAGTGAAAATACACAATTTCCAGTTAAATCTGAATTTCAAATAAATAACTGATACAGAACGGGGTCAGGTAAGTGCTGGGTAGAGGAGGACGGTGTCCCTGGCGAGGGCTTCATCCCCCGGGCCTGTGCCACAGGCCTAGGGAGGACAGGCATTTCTGTTTTCTTGCCCAAATGCTGCATTTCCCAAGACCATCCTGGCCTGCCACACCCCCATTCTGTGCCTATAAAAACCCCCAAGACCCTAGCGGGCAGAAACACAAGTTGCTGGACATCGAGAGGAACACACAAGCAGAGGAACACACAAGCGGCGGGATGTCGAGAAGGACCCACTGGCGTAGGAGCACACCAACAGGCCTCAGCAGGCCAGCAGGCCATTGACCAGCGGAACAACGTGGAGTTTGGTCCTGGTGGTGGGAGGAGAGTCCAGGCCACTGAGCAGCGCGACTCCAGGGGAAAACCACCTTCCCATTCCATCTCCCTTCTGGCTCCCCAATCTGCTGAGAGCTACTTCCACCCAGTAAAACCTTGCACTCAATCTCCAAGCCCACGTGCGATCCAATTCTTTCAGTACACCAAGGCAAGAAACCCCGGGATACAGAAAGCCCTCTGTGCTTGTGATAAGGCAGGGGTCTAATTGAGCTAACACAAGCCGCCTACAGATGGCTAAGCTGAAATAGTCCTCTGTAACACACATCCACTGGGGCTTCAGCTGTAAACATTCACCTCTGGACACTGCTGTGGGGTTGGAGCCCCACAACCTGCCCATCTGCATGTTCCCCTAGAGGTGTGAGCAGCAGGGCACTGAAGAAGCCAGCCACACCCCCACTGCACACCCTGCAAGGGGGATAAGGGAACTTTTCCTGTTTCATAACCAATAATTTTTAAAGAAATATGCCCCGTGCAATATTTGATGCATGCTGATATTAAAAAACTATTCATTGTTCATCTGAAATTCAAATGTGACTGGGCATCCTGAATTTTAACTGGCAACCCTAGCCAGGAGACCATGCAACTCCTTTAAGGAGTAATTTCTGAGTCACCTCTGATTATCTTCTTTAAAAGTAGTCTACTTTTTCAAAGCATAATTATATTTGTATAATTTCCTCAAAATACCACAATTTGGCTGACTCATTTCTGTTTTTTTCCACAGAAACAGGGTTTCCCATATTTTCAGATTTGTAGGTAATTTTCTGGCCCAATTGTAGGAGTTAGGGGTCAGGAGTACATTCTCAAACCGACTCTCTTTTTATTTTAACACAAATTTTCTACTATAGAAAAGTTCAAATAACACTGAAAGACATGGGATAGGACAACAAATCCCTGCGTACCCATCTCCAAGCTTTAACTGTTTTCAATGTCATGCAATATTAATAATGTTGACTATTTTGAAAATCGGTGAGGGGGCCACCCTGATCTTGGGAAGGGGTAGGGGGCTGGGGCACGTTAACACAGATCATTTCACCTCTAAACACTTCCATATTCTTCAGCATTCTCCTGGGAATACTGTCTTGGTTATCCCAGCCCACACTTGCTTCGGGCTGTAAATCGGTGGGTGGCTTTCTCACCCAGCTGGTCTAGCAGCATTCATCACCCTCAGACACCGAATGAGGAGACAAATGCAAATACATCTACTGCATGAGCTCTCTTTCTGTTGTGTCTCCCACTGCCCAGTACGCACACACACACCGACTGTCAGACTGAAGAGAGGCCTTACCTTCAGGGTGTCAAAATCCTTCTCCAGGTAGGAGCCGCACTTTTCCCTCTCCCCTATGGAGGCAAAGAATTTGCTCCACCAATCGATGAACTCTTCCTCCTGAGTGGGTAGAAAGAAAGAGACCATTTCAGAAACAGGACTCGCCAAGCAGCATTCTTCAGAGTTGGAAACCCTCCCTCCGCTGCTAGGCCGCTCTGGACCACAAGGCTTTCCTAAGGGTGATGTGGGGGAGCAGAGAGAGGAAACCTCCGCCTCTCCTGGGGCAAAGACTGCAGACTGAGGAAGAGGTTTCAGCATTTGGTTGGTGTTGAGAGGCGGAGGCTCTAGCCCTGGCTCTGCCCCCCAAGCATGTGTGTTTCTGTCAAACTCCCCAGCCTCCCTTTTCCTTTCTGTGAAGTGGGCATAAGCATCTTTGTAGTTCCTGCATCCCAGGGACACAACACACTGAGACCAAAATCAGAGGGTACATAGGGTAGCTCTTAGGGGAAAATGTCAATAATGTATTATTTATGAACAAAATGCAGTAGATCCAGGAAAATTCAGACCCAAAAGAGTTTTATCTATTCTGCCCATCTGCCTCCCTACCCAGGCAATAAAGGAAGCATTGGAAATCAGCACTTAACCTCCCCAAGGTCAAATCAAGGCAGAGTCCCTGAAAATCAACTAATACTAAGTGCCTTTATTCCAAAGACACTGCTAAATGTGAGGTATTAGGTGAGAAGAAAGGAAGTATGTGACAGCACAAATTTTCTGTGTGACATCCGCATCCTTCCTCCAGTCACTCCTATTTGCAGGAAAAGATGGACAGGCCTGTTGTGGCAAATCCTGACCTCCCCACCATTTAACTCCTCCTGTACATGGTGTGTCTGCAGGCCCTCTTAGCTCTGGTGTCTAGAATATTCCTTCAGCTGTGTCCTGTCTCGGCAGGTGGGGTGTCCTATCACCTAGAGGGTCACCAAGCTCCCTGAAGCTGGGATGGTCAGTTCACCCCAAAAGCCCACCAAGGTCCCATCACTCACTCTGAGCCCATCTGTACCATTAGAGCTTATCTGGTTTAGTGGGAAGGGCCAAGGACACGGCTTCAGGAGCTCATTCTGGAACTCGCTTTCCTCCTCTGTATGAGAAGGTAGGCTAGAAGATCTCCCAGGAGCCTGCTCTAATTCTCCACCAGGAACTGAACACCTATCACAGAGTTTCTGAAAATGCTGGTGGCCCCTTCAAACTAAAGCCAAGTGCTCTGAGCTCCAGCTTACTAAAGGCAAACACAAGCTGGTGCCCCGCCAAGGGTTCCTGAACAGGCATCCTGGGGAGACGGTAGGATGAGGTTCTCGAGTCTCCACCCGTCCTGGAAGTGTGGTCCTAACACACCTTGTGTGGCCAGGTGTCTCCAGACACACCACACAGGGAACGTGTACCAGAGTGAGGCTGAATCTGCAGCCAGGCCCTACCAGACCCACTTACCCGGAGGGTCTTCTGCAGCCAGGAGAGAGGAAACAAGGTCAGGTGGGGTAGCGTACAGCATGGCAGAGCTTTCTGACTTGTAACCACTCTAGAAAAAGCCAGCTTAGAGCAAGGCAGACCCAAGCCTTGATGTTTAAAGTTCAATTTAAAGAAAAAGATGCTATGGGTGACACACATATACAGACATACATATCAAACTCACAGGATGACCCACACGCAGAAGAACTGACTTACACAGTCACGTCCAAAGGAGATGTGTATGCTAAAACACACATATGCCCCCACAGAAACACACAACTGCACATACTGGCACACAGGCAAACATGGACACTTAGGTAGAAATGGTTAGAATGGAATCCAATTTAGCTGTTGAGTTCCCCTAAATCTTTATTTTTCTTTCCCAGCCCAAATACTTAAAGGTTTGAGTTTATAACTCAGGCTCAGAGTCAGGCACAGACAGACAACCAACCAGTGAGTTCTGTACAAAGAAAAGACAGGAACAAGAATTGTGGGGAAGGTATCACACTTCCCTCAATCCTGAATAACCAAGTAAATTTCCAAAGGAATTAGAGACAGATAGTCTGAATAATACCATTAACAGTGACAACTAAATAGACAAACATTATTTACACTAAAAACAGAAGATATACCTTCTTTTCCAGCATCTTTGGAGCACTTAGAAAAAAATAAAAAAGCCACAGAGCAAATCTCAGTAAAGTCCCAGAAATAAAACCACTATCAGTCACATTTTCTGACCATACTGCAATAAAACTAGAAAAATGAGAAATTTTAAATAAAATACTAACCTTTTGGAAATTTAAAGGCATATGCTTAAAGCCCTCCTGGGTCAAAGAGAAAACCAAAACTAAAACCTCGGATACTTAGGAAATACCAACAATAGGAGATATATGTCCCAAAACGTACGAGTTGTAGCTAAGCCTGTCTTCAAAAAAAAAATTTTATCTTAAGTGTTTTCACTTTTATACAAAAGGAATGAAAATAAATTACCTGATAATTCAAGAAATTAGAAAGGGCAGAAAGACCAAAGAAAATTGTAAATAGAAATGAATATATTAGAAAGGAGAATATTATAATTGATGATTAAACCCCAGAGCAAGATTTCAAAAGACCATTAAAATAGATAAACATTTATCCCAGCACTTTGGGAGGCCGAGGCGGGTGGATCACGAGGTCAGGAGATCGAGACCATCCTGGCTAACACGGTGAAACCCCGTCTCTACTAAAAATACAAAAAAATTAGCCGGGCGTGGTGGCGGGCGCCTGTAGTCCCAGCTACTCGGGAGGCTGAGGCAGGAGAATGGCGTGAACCTGGGAGGCGGAGCTTGCAGTGAGCCGAGATTGCGCCACTGCACTCCCACCTGGGCCACAGAGCGAGACTCCGTCTCAAAAAAAAAAAAAAAAAATAGATAAACATTTATCAAATCTAATTTTTAAAAGTAGATATACTATTAGGAATGAGAAAAATCAAATCAAAAGATATTATAGCAGACAATGAAAATATCAATAGGTTTATGAGGCTGAAACCAATGACAGAATCTTAGAAAATGTAGATGAAGTGAATGATTTTCTAGGAAAATAAAAATTGCCAAAATTGATTCAAAAGTAGTAGAAAACATGAAGAGATCAATAACCTTAAAAGAAAGTGGAAAAGATCTCAATGATCTACTTCCAAAAAAAGACAGGAGGCCAAGATCATTTCTTTGGGGGAAAATTCTATGAGTGTTGCAAAGAATAAATCATTCTTTGTTCCACAGCATAGAAAAAGATGAAAGTTTTTACATTCGTTTTATGAAGCAAAACTTGACGAAGCAACACACACACACACACACACACACACACACGGATTAATCTCATTCCTGAAGAGAGACATAAAGATCCTAAATAAAACACTAACGAACAGATGGCAGCAGTCAATCTGGCGTGGTCAAGCTGGGTTATTCCAGAATACAAGAGTGGTTCAGCATCAGTGAGTCAGGAGAGGAAACCCACAGGATCATCTACAGCAGAGATTTGAAAACTATGGCCTACTGGCCAGCCACCTAGTTTGGTAATTTAAATATCAATATATTTTGTAGCAGGTTTCAGCTACAATTGCAGAGTTGAGTCTTTGCAACAAAGACCTTATGTCCCCCAAGCCTAAAATACTTACTATCTGACCCTTTAAAAAAAATTTGCCAGCCCCTAGTTTATAATATGCAAAACAAAAACAAAAAATGGATGTTTAAGAGGTTAGAATTTTTCATTTATTCTCAAATGAACCTCTCAGTAAATTAAAAATAAAAGGAAGCTTTCTTAGCATTATAAAGAATATTTTAAAGCAATAGTCAGCATTGTGTTTGACAGTATCAGGCTTTCTCCCTTCTGGGCTCTTGCACATATAGGTGCCTCTGCCAATAATTTTCATGTGATATAGACATAAAGAAGCAGTAAAGCAGGGTGGGTGAGAGCCAGGACCCAGAAGCTAGACTGCCAGTGTTCAAATCCTGCCACGCTCAGTGGTGTGACATTGGGTCACTACTTAACCTCTCTTGGACTCAATTATCTGTAATGGAAAAATAATAGTATCAGTTTGACAGTTATTGTGAGGAATCAATGAGTCAATATAGAGAGAGTGCTCAGAACTGTGCCTACACATAAATGCAACGTAAGTGTTTATTGCTCTTACTGATAATAGTAATATTGCTGTTGTTGCATAGACCTGGTTAGCTTCTTGGCCAAGAGCTAATCTCCTACAAACTGCTGGTGGGGCACGGATGGCCACAATCATTCCAGAAGGCAAACTGGCTGCACGTTTCCATAGCCTAAAAGAACATGCACTTTGACACAGCAATCTTATTCCAGAATTCTATCCAAAGAAAGCAATCATGGATATGCATAAAGATTTTACTTCATTTAAAAGTGAAAAATTGGAAGCAACTTAAGTGTCCAACAATAAGGAACTGTTTGGACCTGAACTGCTTGGAACTGAACGGTACCTCCATATGATTAAACATTACACAACCTAAAAAGTGATGCTGGAAAAATATATTTACTGACATGAAAAGTTACTCACAACTGATGAGATTTATAAAGGGTTAAAAAATAATGTGATCTCATTTTAACAAAAGGACTAAACCCCAGAAGTTCATAGTGGCACTCTGAATGGTAAAATTGTACATGTTTTATTCCTTTTTGTGTATAACTCAAAAATTTCTAATTTTTCATTGTATGCAAGTATTCCTTGCATAGCTTTAAAAATTAAAAATTTTTAAATAAAGAACAACAGCAAGATGCTTCAAAATACACTACCAATAAAGTGAAAAGACAACTCACAGAATGGGAGAAAATATTTGCAAATCATATATTTGATAAGGGATTTGTATCCAGAATATATAGAGAACTCACAACTCAATGATAAAAAGACAAATCATCCAATTTAAAAATGGGCAGTGTATTTAAGTTGACATTCCCCAGAGAAGATATACAAATGGCCAATAGCACATGGAAAGATGCTCCACATCATTAGACATCACAGAAATGCAAATCAATACCTCAATGAGAAACCACTTCACACCTGCTAGAATGGCTATCATCATAAAGTCAGATAATAAGTGTTGGTGAAGACATAGAGAAATTGGAACCCTTGTACACTGCTGGTGAGGATGTAAAATGTTGCAGCACTTTGAAAAACAGTTTGGCAGTTCCTCAAAACATTAAACGTTAGAGTTGCCATATGGCCTAGCAATTCCATTCCTAGGTATATATCCAAGAGAAATGAAAACTTATGTCTACACAAAAACTTGTACATGAATGTTCAAAGCAGCATTATTCATAACAGCTAAAGGGTGGAAAGACTCAGATATGAATCAACTGATGCGTGGATAAAGAAAATGTGATATATCCTTACACTGGCACATTATTTGGTAATAAAAAGGGAATGAAGAACTGATACATGTTATGACATAGATGAACCTAGAAAACCTTATGCTAAGTGAAAGAATTTAATCACAAAAGACCACATATTGTAGGATTTCATTTATATGAAGCTCCAGAATAGGCAAATATATAGAAACAAAAAATATTTAGTGGTTGCCAGGGGCTGGGAGTGGTTGGGAGAGACTGCTCACTACTTAACCTCTTTAGGACTCCATTTATCTAATCTGTCATGGAAAAATAATAGCATAAATTTGACAGTTATTGTGAGGAATAAATGCTCTTCAGTACTTTTTTTTTTTTTTTTTGCAGTGATGAGGATATTCTAAAATGGATTCCGGTCATGGTTGCACAACTCTGTTAATATACTACAAACCATTAAACTGTACACTTTAAATAAGAACCTGTATTCACATGGATTATCTCAATAAAGTTGCTAAAATTAAAAAGAACAAATGATCAAATACAACCATATAACATCAAACAAAAGAATAAAAGCAGGAATCTCAAGTGTTTCTTTCTAAGGAAATAAGAGTTCAATTTTTTTTTTTTAATAGAACAAGCTATTTACCACCAACAGGACCTAAATCTTACCACACTGTTTTCCCCAAGTTCCCCTCTTGGCTGCAATTCCCTCTTCCTTCAAAGTTCCAGGTGATGTCTGGCAGCTGCTGTTCCCCAGCAGACTCACAGCTGCTGAGACGAATGGCCTATGACCTTCCTCCCGGCCACACCAGCTGGCCGGCTGCTCAGTGACTTTTGCCCCCATTTTCGTCCTGCATCCCACAGGTAAACCCTCTTCTAATCAATGGCCTGCACCTTTAACAGCAATTAGGCATGTGGCAGAATCATGATTTACATATTAACTAATATTTTCTTGGTCCTACAATGCTTTGTTTACCCCCTTGCCCTTTCCTTCTCCTAAACTCCTTCCACCTCTCTTGTTCCATTGTACTTCTGGCCAGTGCCACCTGGGGTTAAATCCAGCTCTTCTCCACTTCACATCAGCCCCCCACAACCAAATGTGGCTGAAGGAAACCATGAAACCAGCTGCTGGGTCTCACACCAAGTTCCTGGCACAGCTTCAAGGAGCCCCAGTGCCGCCCGGCACCTCATCTCACTTCCCTGGCCCTTTACTCGCCCCTTCTCCTGATACCACCTGCCACACTGGCCCTCTCCCCAGCCCTCTAGCACCTCCTCCCTGGCCTCATGCTCAGCCCATGTCCCTGCTTCCTTTCTCCTAAAAGCAGAAGCAACCAGAAGAGACTTCCCCAAGCCCCCACCAGCACCCATGCCACGTGCTACCTTCCCTTCTGCTCCTGTGGGTGCTCGGCTTGCACCCCAGCCCAAGGCCAACCTCTGCCCTCATGCCTGGGGCTCATCCTCTCTGGTCCATTCAAGGCCATCACTCCGTGACTCTCCTCACCCTCTCCTGTGTCACCAACATCCCTCCCCTCTGGGTCATTCCAGTTAGCCTTCACACATAGGCACCAGTGCCCCACTATTCACAGAATACGTCTCTCTCTCTGCCCACACGTTCCCTTTGGGCTTCCACCTCATTACCTTCGCCCCTTTATAGAAAAACTTCTAGAAAGAGTTGTCCACACTTATTGTCTCTAATTTTTATGTTTCCATTCTCTGTCCTCCCTCAAAACATTCTTGTCAAGGTCACCAATGACTCAGGCCTCAATAATCAATCCAGGAGCAGTATTTGGCAGAAGTGGTCACTCCTCTGTCCCTGAAGCATCTCCCCTCGCCTTGCAGAGCTCCACTGTCCAGAGCACCACAGTGCTGTCCTCCCACCTCAGCGGCCACACCTGCTCAGTCTTCTTTGCTGCCTCCTTCTTGTCACCCATGCTTTGGCCATCTGAGTGCCTCAGGGCTCAGTGCTTGAGCCCATCCTCTCTATCCACTCTCACTCCCTTGGGTTCTCCCTGGGTCTTAGCTCTTTAAATAGCACATACATTGATGAGTCCCACCTTGAGCTCTGTCCAGCCTGGGTGCCTTCCCTGGACTCCAGCTGCCCATGTGACATCTCCCACTGGACATCTGATAGGCTTTGCAAAGCTAAGTCCAGATTCCTATCTCTGAACATCCCTGCCCAGTCTGCTCCTCCCACATCCTTCCTCATATGAACAAATGGCAACTCTCTCCTTCCAGATGCTCAAGCCAAAATCCCTGCACTCACCTTTGACTCCTGTTCCTCACGACCTGCACTTAATCCATCAGTCACTCATGCTGGCACTACCTCCAGTGTATACTCAGAACCAGACCACTCTGTCACTACCGCCCCAGTCCAGCCCCATCATCCCATGTGGGATGACTGCAGCAGTTTCCTAACTGGCCTCCCCACCTTCACCTTTGCCGTCCTGCTCCCTGAATCCGTGCTCAACCCAACAGCCATGTACATCGGATCTTGTCACCCTCTGTGCAAATCCCTCCAGTGATTTGTCAGCTCACTCAGAATAAAACTAAAGCCCTTGTAATAACTTCTAAAGTCGCTTGTGATCGAGCCCTCACACCTCCCTGACCTCACGTCCTTCAACTTTCTTCCTCACTCATGCTGCTGCAGCCAACAAGCCTTCCTGGTCCTGAACACTTCCAGCACCCTCATGTCCTTCCCCTGGCAGGAACACTATTCCCCCTGATAGATCCCTAAGCCACTTCCTCATTTCCTTCTTGTCTTGATTCCAGTGCAGCCTCAGTCTCACCCTCATTATTTCCCATATTGTAAATCACAATCCCGTCTCAAGAATTCCTATTCCCTCTTTGTTGCTTTTTCTCCACAGTGATTATCTCCATCTGATATCCCATAGATTTTACGTGGGTATTAATATTGTTTATTGTATCTCCTTCTCCATGAAGGCAGAGCCCTTCATCTTTTTTCTTTTTCTTTTTTCTTTCTTTTTTTTTTTTTTTTTGAGACAGAGTCTTGCTCTGTCGCCCAGGCTGGAGTGCAGTGGCACTATCTCGGCTCACTGCAAGCTCTGCCTCCCAGGTTCAAGCAATTCTCCTGCCTCAGCCTCCCAAGTAGCTGGGATTACAGGTGTGTGCCACCACGCCCAGCTAATTTTTGTTATTTTTAGTAGAGATGGGGTTTCACCATGTTGGCCAGGCTGGTTTCAAACTCCTGGCCTCACATGATCCACCCGCCTCTGCCTCCCAAAGTGCTGGGATTGCAGGCGTGAGCCACCGCACCCAGCCCCCTTTATCTTTTGTAACACTCATAACCTCAATGCTTAGAACATTGCCTGAAAGACATAATTGCAGTTCTGTCAATATTTGATGGATACAGGAATGCCTAAACAGCAGAATGTGGGGAAAGAGGGGGTGATCCTTGGCTTTTAAGTTTACAAAGGCTGATCATGTGCCATTAAAATAATAGGTTTAAAAGAATGTTTTGTCCAGCCAGTTTTTCCCCATCATAGGCGAAAGAAATGAAAGTGTAGAAGGAGAAAGGAAGCGAGAACTAGAGACTTGTGATGGTTTCTGATAAGGCACCGCACACCCTGCCTCCAGGTCAGCTCCAAAGTGTACACGGAACAGACCCCTCTATAACTTTGGGGGTCCAGGCAGCAGCAGCCACCCGGAAGTTGCCAGAGGAATTGGCTGTGGGGCAGTTGATTGGAGATGGCTGCATGGGTGTCATGGGAGACAGAGCCTAAGCCCTTGGAATTTCCCACAGACCCCAGAGTGTCATGGGAGAGCTGCTTAATGGTGCCCCACTCCCTGTAGGGCTTGAAAGTTAGTGGAGAGAGAAAGAGCCAGGAAAACTAGAAGGATTTGGGGGCTGAAATGAGAAGATGCAGTATGGCCTGTGTGCCCAGAAATCAGTGGGTCTCTAAATGTCAGAGTAGACACATACTGGTGACCAGGACTTCCTCCCTGTGGAGGTCATGACATTATGGAAGCCCAACCCAGAACTGAGCTGCCTCCCAGGGTTAAGGAGGAAGATAGAAAGCCCAGACTGCCTAAGTTTAAACCTAAAATGTTGATGATTACCGGGGTTTTTCTGCCATCAGGAAAAATGTGGGCTCACAGGAGAGATTAAGTTGATTTACAGAAAAATAAAGTTATATTTTTAACACACTCACAGATGTGACTTGAAAATGTCATTTCTGCTATTTCACTCATCTGGCTTCTGATGGAGTTATTTCAAGCCCACTTCTCCCTTCTCTTCCCCGGGAAGTCCAGGAATAAGTTAGCACAGCCATAAGAAAGAGCCCCACAAAAAACAGGACAGCTATTCCATGTCTGAACTCAGAGGTGCCAAAGCCAACTAACCCTCTGATGTTAATGGAATCCCATATTCCAAAGCTCCAAAAGGGAAATGGTGGTATGTTTTCTCATTCCAAATGTGTTTTTTACCTCATTTTGCAATAGCTAAGCATCCAGTTTTGGAACATGGCAAGGAGGAAAAAGAAACACAAAAGGTTTGATATTTGAAGTGTCACCTTAGGCTTTAACAAGAAGTCTGGCCATTAAAACACCACTCCCCCATGCTCAAGGTTCAAGGCCCCTCATTGTGCAGTCAGCCAACCCAGTAAGTCCGACCAAGGCATGGACTGGAAGCCTCTCCAGTTTCAGCTAATAGCCAATATGCAGTTCCTGGGCAGCCAGAGAAAATAGCGGAGATCTATTTCTCCAGGCTTGATCCAGTCTAATGAGCACCTTAATCCCCCTGAAGACCCAAATCAGTATGATACGTTCCAAATATTTAATCTCCCATCATCATTCAGTAGACCTAACACATTTCATGAATACGGGTGGAAAAACTGGCAATAATAATTCCTTTCTGTGAAGTCAGGAAGCAGGAGACAGGGGGCAGGTACAGAACTTGTTTTCTCTCCCCAGGATGACCAGTTGGATCAAAGAGAAAAATTTCTGGTCAAATCCATTTGTCACCGAGGTTATAACGTTAAACCTTGGGTCACTATGCAGAACTATATGCCCAACTCTTAAAAAAAAATGTGGTCTATTATTGTTTATAATTTTAAGTAGCCCTTCATGCCTATGTCAACCCAGAGATAGACATCCTAGACTGTGCTGAAAGTAATTTCCCTCTTAGTACAAATCATCATCATCAAGATAGTAACATAACAACCCAACACTGGGGTTACTGTAAGGCTCAGAGTAGATATCTACAAAGATATGCTGTAACCTGTAAAGTTTACCATGATTAATGTTCTTGTTGATATTGCCAGTGTCATCAGTTTGATCTCCAGTACTGCTACCCCATAGCTCTACATCTGTAGTACTGGAATCACGGTACAAAGGTTCCTCTAATTCTTTCATGTCCTGAGATTTAGGAAATGGACTATTTACTCATGCACACATGAATAAACACATAAATAACATAAAATTACTCATGCCTACATGTAGACCAGACAAAACCCCAGACATGCAAATACTCCGACTTCAAAACTACTCCACCCTGTGTATACCAAATCACTTATGCCCCCCAAAGCCACAAAGACATATGCCCACAGCCAGCCACCACGTTGATTCAGCAGAACTCCACACACTTATAACAAAAGTCACTTAATTATTTCTACAAGTGGAACACTGGGCTTTCAACCTCTTGTTGACACTCCCTGCAGTCCAGCCTCCTCATCTGTGGAGGGGATCATTACTCCACCTACTCTGATTTCTGGATCAGCAGAGGTGGGAAAGAAGTAAAGACCTTTAACCAAAATGCTGAATTGCTTCCAAAGGCCCAGAGACTACATGGGCCTGACATCCAGTAAAGTCAAACAGATGGCAAGGGGACCTGATCACTTGACTATTGGCCTGCTCCACCAGATGGGGGACTCACAGAGAGTCGGGGAGCTGTGGGGAACCCGAGGTTGCTGGTGCTTTCTCAATTCAGGAGTCTAAGATAGATCCTTGGGGGCCCATGACTGGATTCTCTGAGGGCACCATGATCCCACACAACTATGCAGAAAGCCTAGAGGAATGGAACCTAGCCAGTAGGTGAATGAAAGAAGCTTCCATCAGACTCTTCAAACATATGAAGAAAGCAACAAAACATGACTAATTCAGAATCTGTGACAATTCCAATAGGGCCTGGGCAGCATACCTTATCTTCCTTCTGCTTATGTAGACAATTTTGCTTAACAAGAGTTACAACTACTTAAGAGAAAAACTATTTTTGAAGGCCTTCCCAAGACTGCAGAAGCATTCATCAAGCTACAGACACTAATATTAGCTCTCCTAAATTCAATTTTAAGAGGATTTGGGGGGAACCTACTATGTGCCAAAGTCAACCTACTTTCTAGTTACTGTATGCATTTTCATATACAAAATCACATTACTTTTCAAATATTTTATATTTTGAACTTGTTGCTAATTTGCTCTGATTTCCCTGTGCCTTGGTTAATGTAGAGAAGAGTTAAAGACAAAAGGTGGGTTAATAAGCTTCACCAAGCACACTCAGGGGAGTCTTGTGCTCAGCAGCTAGCGCTGTACCAACTTCCAAGCACTATTTTGACCCAGGCTAGGGAGTAGCCAGTGCATAGGACCAATAGAGATAGGAAGACATCAAGTTAGACCTCAGAGACAGTTGCCTATGCTGTAGATTTCCAAGGGAAGCCAAGAATATCCCTCTAGGAAGAGATGAGTGTTTTTTCTCTAGATGGGAAAAGAGATCCCTCTCAGACCAGGGGAAAGACCTCTTGGGGCAGGGGGTGGTGGAGGGGTTATGTCAGGATGAGGTGGAGGCAAGGAGCGCCGGATGGTGGAAGCCAGGGCCTCCTCCTCCCTGATGGAGCCCTGAAGTTTGCCAGACAAGTTTCACCCCAGGCTGTCCCCCCTGCAGTGTGCAGCGAGGGAGGAGGGGTGCACTCCCGAGGAGACCACAGGAATGCCAAGCAGGGAAAAGGCGCCCCGAGCCAAGGGCTCCGGCAACGAGGATCCAATATCGGAGGGTGACTCCAGCCCCCGTAACAGGAGAGACCGTGAAGTATGTGCTCTGCTTCCCAACCAGCAAACACAGCAAATAACCAATTACTCCAAATAGCTAACAGATTTCGGCCCTGATTCCCTCCCCTCGCCTCCCCCTGTGCTTTCACTTGTCATTTGATGGGCGATTTGTATTTGCTCTGAGAAAATGAGAGAAAGAATGAGTCACAAAGGAAGGTCCAGATTACACCAGTGACGGGCATCAAACCTCCCTAATCAGAACTAATAGGAGTGGGGGGAGGCCAGGCTTCACTGGCAACACTTCTGAACGGGTGATATTTTTAAAGAAGTACAGTTACTTTCAAGCACATACAGTAATTCTTGCTAAACCAATATTGCCAAATACATGTCCTTAGGAAACCTACTTTAAGGAAAAGATAAGTGACTTCCTAATTAGCACATCTGATATGTACAAAAGTACAGGTAAAACCATGAATGTTATTAAAGTTAAAATACTCCCCCTCTAAGTCTCAAGCTCAGAGGTGCAACCATGAAGTTCAGAGACAAACTGCCTTGGATGCCTTCTGAAAATGCTTCCTCACTTGGGAGCCACACCCTGTAATTGATTCCTTTGCTCAGAAAACCTTTGCTTCAAAGTCTTGGAATAAATTGTTGTCAGTACTCATGAGCTGCAATAAGGCATCCCACATCCCCCCAACCTGGAATTAAGGGAAATAGGGCTGCCCTTAGAGAATTAGACCATGAAATAACTTCATAGTCGGTGAGAGCAAGGAGAGGCAAAGTCACCTCAACAGGGAAGAATGCCTCCTACACTAAGACTTAACCATAATTAGGAAGAATGTATTAATCCAGAGAAAGAGCATATCCATGAAGAAAGGTACTAATCAGGCCTGAAGAACAGGCAAACAGGAGTAAGGAGTAAACACTGACAGGTGTCCACACCAGCACCATCAGGGGAGAGCAGACCTAGGCTTAGGGACTAAAGCTGCCCCTACCTTTGGAGATGGATGTGTCAGTGCCAAGTCAGCTGGCACTAAAGTTCAAATTACAGAACTCTCTCTCCTCATTCTGATTTCTCACTCTTAATCACAATTTGGCTTCCCACTCACTGAGCCTATAGGAGACTATGGGCTGGACCAGCCACCAAGGTCACATGCCCCAGGGAGCTATATTTCTCATGTAAGTTTACACATCTAGCCGTGAGAAAATTGACCCAACAGGTGTCTGAACCCACAAGGTTAAGGATTCACTCAGCCAAAACTGTAGAAACTTCCCTAAAGTAACACCCTGCCTGGTGGGCCTAGTGGGAGAGGGTCAACTCTACTTTACTTAAGAAATTCCTACATAGGAGTTCATTGGTAGGCGCAGCAGCTCTGGCCCTCTGGCCTACCCTAGCTAACCCCTGACTACCATAACAAACATAGGAAATAAACTCTTCAGCCCAGAAGAATAGCCCCACATAGCTGCCTCTGATCCTGGTTTCCTTCTTACTTCTCCCACCCTGCTGGATTTCTAACCAGCAAAGTGAAACTACTGCAAATCTAAACTATTTCCTTCTTCTTTTTGTCTGAGTTTGAGATTAGAAGGGCCCATGAATTTATGGAAAGAATCTAACTGAGGTCCCAGTATTTGACAAGCAAGGACTTCCCTCTGTAAGGATAAACACAAGGAAAAAAAAGAAGATATTAAGGGCAAAAGAAGAAGAGCGATCTGAAGACAAAGACAAATGTCTCCCAATGCTCTTAAAGAGTTGAGTAAAAAGCAGAAGAAAACAAATGGCTCATGTGTATTCATAGGAAGTCTTAAGAGGAAACTGCAAACAAGAAATTAGAGTACACAACCCTGAAGGAGATAAACCTGCATGATGAAAACCATGACTTCAAATTTAAACCTCTAATAAAGACATTGATTTCCAGCAAAATGACAAATTAGACAACCAGAGAAACCCTCCAAGTAAGAACACCTAAATTAACAGAAAAGATATTTCTAAAATCCATTTTAAATGCATGGCTGAGCTGATGGGAATGTAAAGAAAATTCTTAAGGGCAAATGAGAAAGGAAAAATCCAGAGAAATAAGGAGCCAAAATGCATACTAACTAGTGGACCCAAAAAGCCACACACTGAACATTTAGTTTTAAGTTAATCTGTGTTTATAGTGTCTCCAGACATCTGGTAAAAGTAAACACATATCCTCTCTAAAAGAATGTAACTTCCACCCAGGCCCCAAAGAATTCTCAGATAAAGTTCCAAGGAACATGAGTTCACAATCAAACACATAAGGAACTAGGCACCATGAGCAAGAGCCAGCTAGAGCCAACCAATTGCAGAATCAGACAACAGAAGTCAGAGTAGTCAGAAATAGGGCTTTAAGGAAAAACTGTTTAAATAAATAAAAGGCATTAAAAATATTGCAAAGGGACAGGAGACCTTCAAAAATAAACAAGCAGATTGGGGGAATAAAACTTTTAGAAATAAAAATATAGTACTTAAGACTGAAAACTCAATAGATAGGGTAAAATAGCAGATTAGAAACTGCTAAAGATCAAGTGAACAAGAAGATACATCTTCAGAAATTAGCCAGAGTGCAATCCAAAGAAATAAACAATATGAAAGAAAATTTGACAGACATGAAGAATAGAAGAGGTCCACTGTATATCCAGAGTTCCAGAAATGATGAGAGAATGGAATCTGTAACATTTGAAGAGATAATGGTTGAGAATTGCTCAGAATGAATAAAAATAACATCTTTTAAAAATTAAATTAAACTAATTTTACTTTTTAAATTTTTTTTTTTTTGCAACAGGGTCTCACTCTGTGGGCCAGGCTAGAGTGCAGTGGCACAATCATGGCTCACTGCACCCTTAACCTCCTGGGCTCAAGCGATCCTCCCACCTCAGTTTCTTGAGTAGCTGGGACTACAGGTATGCACCACCACACCTAGCTAATTTTTTGTATTTTTTGTAGAGACGGGGTTTTGCTACCATTGCCCAGGTTGGTCTCGAACTCCTGAGCTCAATGATCTGCCTGCCCCAGCCTCCCAAAGTGCTGGGATTACAGGCATGAGCCACTGCACCCAGCCAAAACTAAACTTAACTTTAAAATAAAATTTTTTTAAGTCCTCAGATTTGTGAAAACAATAGCACAATGGAAGCCAGAAAAGAGTGCTGACAGAAAATAACTGTTAGTGAAACTATTATTTCCAAGATAAGGGTGAAAAAAATATTTTCAAACAGTTAAAAAGTGAGAAAGTTTATAATGAACTGACCTCAATTATAGGAATTTCAATAGGCCCTACTTCAGGAAAAAGATGACGGATATTAAAAAAAAAAAGTAAATGTGAATATAGCTAAAAGAAAAAAATGATTACTTAAAATAAAATAATGCTTTAAAAAGGTAGGTAAAAAAGATAAAACTAAAATATTGTACAAAAGTTTGCAAATTGATAGGTGATTGGAGTTAAAGCAGTCTAAGTTCCTTGTAATATTCTGGAGGAAGATATAAATACCAATTAAATTTAGACTTTGCTAAGTTAAATATGCCATGTTAAAATTTCTATACTAATCACTAAAGAAATAGAAACATATATAGTTTTGAAACTAAAAAGAAGAGAAGGGATGGAAAAAAGGAGGGGAATATTTTAATTGAAAAAAGGCTGATAGAGATACAAAATAAGATGGCAGAAACAAATTCAAATATATTAGTAAAGATTGTCAGAATGCATTAAACACAAATAGAATCTATCTATTTGCTGTTCACAGGAGAGATAGCTAAAACTTAAAGACAGAAAAGTTGAAAGTAACAAGGTGGAAAAAGCTATACAAGGAAAATACTAACCAAAAGAAAGCTGGGGTAGCTATATTAACATGAACAAAACAGACTTTAAGAAAAACTCATTAGCAGAGATTTTAAAAGACAGAAATGGGCAGAGGCTTGCTACATATTGTTAAAAGATTCAATTCTCCAGGAAGATATAAGAATTCTCTATAGAGAGAGAAAAAATATAGAGAGCATCAAATATATAAAAGTAGGTGGAATTATAAGGAGAAATTGACAAATGTCACATCAAAGCAGAATATTTTCATGTCTCGCTCAGAAATTGATAAACCACACACACACAAAAATCAGGAGTACAGATTTTAATAACAATTAACAAGCCTGTTCTAAATGCACATTGAATATTTAAGACATCTGGACAATACACATTCTTTTCAAGCACACACAGGACAGTTACAGATTTAAACTAGACCATAAAGCAAGTGTCAGGCCATTTCTAAGTATTATATCGTTACACACAGACTACACTCTCTGGACCATAGAGACCATTCCAGTTAACCTAGAAATCAATAACAAAAGATAATTTAAAATATAAGTTAGTAACTTCCAAAAACCATATTTTTAGACAATTTAGGTGTCAAAAAGAAATAATAAAAATCCGAAAATACTCAGAATGGGAAATAACAAAAATATTACTTGTCAGAACCTACAGGATGCATAAAGCAGTAGTGAGAGGGAATTTTAGAGCCTTAAATGTTTACATAGAGGTTAAAATATAATAAACTCCCCCAAAATGGAAGAAAAGAAATAAAATGGAAGGAATAAAATAGAAGAAAAGAAGTTAATAAATTATAAAATAAGGAAATAATAGAGAAGATCAACTAAAAATTCTTTGAATAGACTGAAAAAAATCTGATAAATTCTGGCAAGAATAATAAAATATAATCTTGAGAATGAAAGGAGGCATAACTAGATGGAGAAGAAATTCTTTTTGAAAAATTAAGAGATCATAAAAAATATTACACCAATATTTTTAGGAAGAAATAGATAATTCCTAGAAAATTTAAATCACCAAAAGTCACTCACTTAGAAACAGAAAATCTCAAAGGTCCTATAAACATTTTTAAAAGCTGCAACAGCAATTTAAAATATTCCCAAAAAGAATACTAAGTCTAGACAGTTTTATGAGTGAATCTACCAAACATTTAGGCAACGGATAATGCCAATCTTACGGCTTACACAACAGAAGTCATTTTATAAACCTGAAAATAATAGTATGAAAAAGAAACACTTTAAGCCAATATCATCCCAAAAAATGATGCAAAAAAAGTCCTAAACTTACTGTTTGCAAACTGAGCCCAGCAATGCAGAAAAAAGATAATATATCATGATCAGCTTAGATTGTTTCAGAAATGCAAAGTTGTTTAAGTACTAATATAGATATATTTATTACTGTAATTAAGCTCTCTGAAGCTGAAATTCCTGTTATATATATTTTAGATAACTTGGGTTATTAATTAACATATGTAAATATATTATATAATTATGTATTATATATTAATGTAATTCACTACATTAACAGGTTAAAGGAGCAAAATTATATGATCACTTCGATGGATACTTTAAAAACATTCAATAAAATTTAACAACATTCATGAAAAAAAACAGCTAACTAGTAAGATTCTAACAGGTAACTAGGTTCACCTGATAAATTTGATGATCAGTGGTAAAACATAAAAACATTCATTTTAAAATTAGGAGCAGAAAAGAATACTCTCTATAACCAAGTACATAGAACATCAGCTGAAGGTTCTAGTCAATGGCAATAAGACAAGAAAATAAAATAAAAAAGTAAAAGAAATATAGACAGAAGAATTAAAATTGTAATTAATCACAAATTATATGATTGACTCTATAGAAAATCCAGGAGAATTCTCAAGCCAGTATAATTCATAAGAGAGTTTAGCAAAGTTTCTGGATATAAAATCTGTATATGAGAATCGATTTCATTTATATACAAGCAAAAACCAGTCAGAAAATGTACCTTTAAAAATTCAAGTAAAGAGAACAATAATGCATAAAATTGCTAGAACTAAATATAATAAAAGTTGTACTAGACATTTTTGGATAAAATTATAAAAATGCATTAAATTACCATTAAAGAAGGCCTAAATAAATGGAAAGATATATTATGTTCATGGTTAAAAGGCAATATAATAAAAATGTCTGCTTTCCCCAAACTGATCCAGCAATTCACTATAACTCTGTCACAAATCTCAACTTTTTTTTAAGTTGACAAGCTGATTCTAAAACTGAAGTGGAAAAGCAAAGGACTAGAATAGCAATGATACTTCTGAAAATGAACAAAGTACTTCCTTATCAGAGATCAAGACCTATTAGAAAGCTATAGTAAATAAGATACTAAAATAGCCCAGAGAAAGACAAACAGACCAATGGAACAGAATAGAGAGCCCACAAATAGCCCACACTTATATGGAAACCCAACAAATGACACAGCTGTCACTGTGGATCAATGAGAAAGCACAGATCATTCTATGATGATATTAATTCATTGGTTAGTTACATGAGAAAAAAACTCTACCTCACAATTAACACGCACGCAAAATCAATTCCAGGTGAAATAAATACTGAAGTGTGAAAAGCAAAACTTCAGAATTTTTAGAAGAAAATATAGACAAATAGCTCCCTTTAACAGTCTTTTCTAAACAAGAGAGAGAGAAAGAGATAAAGTGATAACCCAAGATATCTAGAATACATATAATAGGAATTTCAGATTGAGAGAGCTTAAAAATGACTTGAATGTAGAAATTAAAGAAACTAATCTATTATAATATCAGCAGAATTTTTAAAGAGCTGGTTCTTTGGATGGAAAACAACTATAAAATAGATGAAACGATATGAAGCCTAATAAAAAAGGAAAATAACATAAATACATAAAATTAAGAATGAAGATGAAAACAGAATAGATACAAAGCTTTCATTATAGTAATATGTACAAATTTATACCAGTGTTAACAGGCAGTATCTGATGACATCTCAGCTACCAAATTGATTGAAGAAGTACAAAATGATCAAAGAATCCCCTCCAGAAAATGTGTTGAGCCCAGTTTTACGAATGCATACAAGACAGTTGCATCTTATACAATTATATAAGATATGCGTTCCTGAAAATCTTCTATAATTCAAAACATATAACACCATTTTAGAGAAAAAATGATGGCTATCCCGTGTTAGGAAACCATAGATACAATTTCACCACCTTTTAAATTACATGATTGTCGGTCATTTTTTTTAAATTTAGGTTTCCTACTATTACACATTTTGTACATAAAGCCAAACTATTGAAATATTTGTATCATATAATTTCCAAATTGCATAATTTAAGTTCATAAACAGTGGCTCTGGTGTATTTTAGGGCCTTTCAGCAACAATAATTATCATGCCACAGAGCCTGTTTAAGAGCACAGAAAGTAGAAGTACACCTGAAAAGCCTTTTAAGGGACTAGTATAACCCCGATATCAAAGTGTAACAAAGACAACTCGAAAGTCATACTTATTAATAGAGACGTAAAAATCCTAAGTAGTAGCAAACCTAACTCAATAATACATAATAGAAGCTCTCCTTAAAACTTCTTAGCCAGGATTAACAAATGCTGTCTGTCCTGTCTGCCAACAATCTGCCTGAGGTCCAGAACCACTGACTGTCCACAGCTGTTCTAGGATGCCCACTGCAGCTCCAGAAGATGAGCTGGGTTGTACTAATATGGTAATTGGATAAACAAAGTATATATTTAAAAACACATAGAATTTGAATATAAAAAGGAAGGGCATTGTATCTATGAAAACTAATTTAAGGCTTTTGTGTTTTGGTGAGGTTGTTTGTTGCAACAAGGTCTCACTTTGTCACCCAGGATAGAGTGCAGTGATGCTATCACGGCTCACCGCAACCTCGTCCTCTGGGGCTCAAGCAATCTTCCCACCTCAGCCTCCTGAATAGCTGGGACTACAGGCATGTGCCACCACACCTGGCTAATTTTTGTATTTTCTGTAGAGACAGGGTTTCACTATGCTGCCCAGGCTGATCTCAACTCCTGTGCTCAAGCAATTTGCCTACCTCGACCTCCCAAAGTGCTGGATTACAGGCAAGAGCCACCACACCTGGCTTGCTTTTGATTTTTTTTTTAAGTGATGAATATCAAGTACAAGTGAGATAACATAAAAGGTGGAAGGGCATCTTAAACTTTAAGAGGACTCTACACTCAGATTTTTTTTTTGCAAGTATCGTTAAGTTCTCATCAAATTTTAATAAACCTAAAACTAAAAATCCTGGATAATGCATTTTGGATATGATTTATACCAAAAGGATGACATGACACACAAGTCAGCACATCCAAATTCAAAAAGAGGGTGTGGCACATGTCAAATGATTGGCAAATAAAGTTACATGGACATGGTTAAAAACAAAATGTTTGTGGTACATTTGCAGGACTTTTAATCAGTAAACTATCGCAAGAACAAAAAACCAAACACCGCATATTCTCGCTCATAGGTGGGAATTGAACAATGAGATCACGTGGACACAGGAAGGGGAATATCACACTCTGGGGACTGTTGTGGGGTGGGGGGAGGGGGGAGGGACAGCATTGGGAGATATACCTAATGCTAGATGACGAGTTAGTGGGTGCAGCGCACCAGCATGGCACATGTATACATATGTAACTAACCTGCACAATGTGCACATGTACCCTAAAACCTAAAGTACAATTAAAAAAAAAAATAAGTCCCTATTTAATCAACTTTATCAATTAGCCAATCGACTACCTGTCTCGATTGCATTGGATAAGAAGGCTGCAACTGTAGTAAACTATAATACCATGACCAATTGACCGATTTGGGTTTACCCCAGGAATATAGCACAATTATACACTATATTAACAGACAATGGAAAATAAAATTATCATCTTAATAAATGCCAAATGACATTTGATAGAATTAAACTTCCATGACTAATTTTTAAGCTATTAATAAACTAACAATCAGCTAGGTGCGGTGGCTCACACCTGTAATCCCAACACTTTGGGAAGCCAAGGAGGGTGGATCATTTGAGGTCAGGAGTTCAAGATCAGCCTGGCCAAGATGGTGAAACCCTGTCTCTACAAAAATACAAAAATTAACAGAGTGCGGTGGTGGGCACCTGTAATCCCAGCTACTCAGGAGGCTGAGGCAAGAGAATTGCTTGAACCCAGGAGGCAGAGGTTGCAGTGAGCCAAGACAACACCACTGCACTCCAGCCTGGGCAACGGAGCAAGACTCCATCTCAAAAACAATAAAAAAATAAACAAACAAACAATAAAGGACACAACCTTGCCAAAATCAAATATCTGTCTGAAACCATCAATCATCATCCCAATTAATGGAAATCTGGTAGAGGCAGTCTCATTAGAATGAATGACTAAATAAGTCTGCTCAGCAGCATCTCAAATATCAAATGGTATTTGGAAAAAGGAATGAGGCATTACTATTAGAAAGAAACTAACACGTTTATCATTATTTGAAGAAAACAATCTTACCTACTTGGAAAACCAAACAGAATCAATTAACAATAGTCAGAACTAATAAATGGGCCTTAATAAAGAGTCAGTTCCAAAGTAAATATACAAAAATATTGTTTTCCTATATTCTAGCGATAGTTCGACAAAGTCATGAGGAAAACATATATTCCATTTAGAACAGCACCAAAGACCATAAAATGCCTAGGAATACACTTTAACAAGAAATGGCCTGAACAGATGTACCTGGGCGTAACAAAAAAAAAAAAAAAACAAAGAAATCATCTGAATGGACATATATAAAGTGAACTAAAATAAGTCCTTTAAGGGACAAAAGAAGACAATAGGAGAAATAAACAAATTAAATGGCAAATGATAGGGAGTAGTTAAAAGTTTACGAATGTTCATGTGACATGCAGTCATATCTTTAAAGAATATAAGAATAGGCTGGGTGTGGTGGCTCACGCCTGTAATCCCAGCACTTTGGGAGGCCGAGGCGGGCAGATCATGAGATCAGGAGTCCGAGACCAGACTGGCCAACATGGTGAAACCCCGTCTCTACTAAAAATACAAAAAATTAGCCACGTGTGGTGTTGCGCACCTGTAGTCCCAGCTACTCAGGAGGCTGAGGCAGGAGAATTGCTTGAGCCCAGCAGATGGAGGTTGCAGTGAGCCAAGATCATGCCACTGCACTCTAGCCTGGGCGACAAAGTGAGACTCCATCTCAAAAAATATATATATAATATACATAACATACATATTATACATATATTATATATACACACATACAAATATGGAAAAATATTCATATATACTTTTAAATTTAAAAAATCCAAATTATAAAAAAGTATGATTCCAATTTTGTTTTTAAAAAGTATTCATGTGAGTTTAAAAGATATCTAAAAAATCTAGGCACATCAAAACCCTAACAGTGCCTATCATAAACTGGTAGGAATAAAAGTGGTTTTAACTTCCTACTTGACACTTTTTGTGTTTTCCATATTTTATTTAAAATAGATAAATCAGAAAAAAATATGTATATCGATAGCCTCCTTCTAGAAGCTCATGAGACCCCCAGTACAACAGTGCCTCCTCTTGACACCATAAGTAGAATGTAACTCGCTGCCTTTAGCAAGTTCTGTCTCTTACGCCACCCTCCACAGGTCAGGGGCTCCCACTGGCCCTCACCATGGGACTTCAGGAGCGCATGCTGAAGGCCAGACATCAAAGTCATCTTCCTAGAGGGACCCACAGCCCAGAAAGATGACACCTAAGGAATCCACTCAGGCAAGCAGAAAGGAGCCCTGCTGGAAACTGCAGGAGCAGACTGTTGGCCCCAGCAGACCTCTTAGCACCCGAGGGGCCAGCCAGGGTTCCTCAGTCACACACATCCTTCACACATCAGGGAGGAGCACAGAAAGTCAGCCTGCCGTCTGAGGTCCCACGCCCAGAAGAGCCTTCTGGGGTCCCACACTCCAGAAGTCAGAGTCTAATTGAGAGATTTCCCCGCTTCCACTGGCCCATGCAGCCCCACCTAAGCCCCCAGCCCTCACACAGGTAAATAAGGTAAATCCCAGGAAGTAACCTAGGGGTGTCCATTTCTGAGCATCTACTCCATAGCTTTCTCTCACCCCTCCTTTTCAGTGAGGCAAAGATAGGTGACTTCCCTGCTAGGGCTCAGGAAATACCTCCTTTCTTCCCTCCCACTCTCCCCTCCCATTTCCCTCCTAACCCCCCTACCCCCAGCCCCACAAGGGAATACAAGGAGCCCACAAATAAGTAAACAGTACATACATGAGGACTGGATGGAGGAGAAGCCGTGTTAGTGGGGGCCAAGCTCGACAGACCGTCTGCAAGCTACAAATGAAACATGCTGGTTAGCAACAGGATTAGAGAACCCACTTTAGGGAAGGCTGGACAGTCTCCAAGAGGTAGCGCTCTCTGACCAGGCACCCTCTGCTCTTCCTCCAGGGAGAACATGTGCTTTGGAGTTGGACAAGCCTGGCTCCAACACCTCACCAGATGTGTGACTTTGAGCAAGCCCCTTGACCTCTCTGGGTCAGCGTCCTATCTGGAGAATGGGCCCAAAGCCCACCTCACAGGGCGACAGTGAGTATGAATGAGACGAAGGCTGTGCACGCCCAGCACAAGGCAAGGCACGTGGAAGGGGCTCAGCCAATGCCTGACTCTTGCCCACTCTCTCATATGTCCTCCCTCCCTCTCCAAAATCTGCCTATTTCAGGGACACTCCAACCCCAGCATCCTAACCTCTGAGCCACACCAACACTGCAGGGCATGGTTCCCAAAGCTACAGCAGGTTACTCAGTCTTCCCTCCTCCAGGACAAGAACCAGGGCATCATATGTCTTCCCCAAAACCTGACATCAGTGGGGACTTTAGGAGTCTTATAGTCCCACCTCCACTCCATGCTACAAATCACTTTCTGCATCCTTTTCTGAGCATCAGCTCCTTGCCTACAATCTCCCAGTACTGTGAATCAATCTCCCTGTACTGTGAATCCTTGGGCTGCAGCCTGAGGAGGGCCTCAGGGCTCAGGGCTGAAGGCAGGAAGACTTGTTCAGAGACCACTACGATACTCTAGGATAAGGGGATGGGGCTCTGGGTGAATGAGTACCAGGCTAGCAGGTGGGCAAGGTGAGAAGACGCATGCTAGGCAGAGGGAATCGCAAGCGCAAAGGTAGAGGGGAAGAAAGAAGCACAGCCCGTTCGAGAAAGAGCAAACGGGTCAGGAGGGTAGGTGCTGGGAAGCAGCCAGCTAGGACCCAGAGCTGCCGGGGCTGGCCCCTCAACCTCTAAGCCTTGAGCAGGGGGCTCTGGGAGGACTCCAAGGGGCGAAACCCCAGGCTGCCCTGCCTTCCTCAACAGGAAGATCCTGGAAGACACTCCCCCGATGCCCAAAGAAACCCACGGAAGGTGAAGCCCTGCTGGGCCCAGGAGGGACGTTTGGGGACTCGGATCCCTCCCTGCTCTGTGAAAAGACACATCACTGAGGGGCCCCTCAGGGCTGTTCAGAGCCAGAAGCATACGCAGGAGGGCAGAATCAGCCTTGGGCACCTAGCCAGGGCTGCTGGATGGCCCTGGGGTGCTGGCCACATGTCGTGTGACCCCTGGAATAGACTGGGTGAACTCCACGTGCCACCCCTAGCTGGCCAGAGACGGGCCTCGCCAGGCAGCAGCTCTGCCCCTCCCATTTGCATCCTGAACCCCACAGAAGCCTTACTGTTATTTTTAATGCAGTTCTTTTTTAGAAAGGTGAGAGGGAAACCGGCAGTTCACCAGAGCAAAATAAAGCTAAACATAGTGCTCCAAAGATCTGGTCCAGCTTCAGAAATTACACGTTCCCCTTTGGGACTCGGGCATAATTTGCCACTCCGGTTCTGGGAGCACGTTCCCACCTTCACGGCATCCCAGAGACTATAACTGGAGCAGCAGGCTCAAAATTAGCCCCAGCCCCAGCGCCTGGGAGCCTGGGAGCCTGGGAGTCCCAGAGCCGGCCAGCCCCAGCACCCACCCGACAGAGTGAGGAAACAGTCTCCCGAGGCCTCCTGCACACTAGCAGGCCAGGCCTGTCTCCTGCTGGCACCCCACGCTCACCACACACACAAAAAACACACTCACACGGACACACACCCACCACCTCTACTCCACATACACACCCACCTCTGCCACACACACCATCTCTACCACGCACACACACTCACATCCCTCTACCACACACACACCTCCTCTGCCACACACACCACCTCCTGTAACACACACACCACCTCTACCACACCCACCACCTCTACCACACACACACAACTCTACCCCACACAAACACACACTCCACCTCTACCACACACACACACCCCACCTCTACCACACACACACCTCTACCAAACACACACATCACCTCTACCACACACACACCTCTACCACACACACACAACCCCACCTCTACCACACACACCCCACCTCTACCACACACACACCACCTCTACCACACACACACACACCACCTCTACCACACATGCCACCTCTACCACACACACACCCCTCTACCACACACACACCCCATCTCTACCACACACACACACACCACCTCTACCACACACACACCTCTACCACACACACACACCTCTACCACACACGCCACCTCTACCACACACACACCCCACCTCTACCACACACACACATCCCATCTCTACCACACACACTTATACCCCACCTCTACCACACACACACACACACACCACCTCTACCACACACGCCACCTCTACCACACACACACCCCACCTCTACCACACACACACCCCATCTCTACCACACACACACCCCATCTCTACCACACACACACACACACACCATCTCTACCACACACACACACCCCATCTCTACCACACACACATATACCTCACCTCTACCACACAAACACCTCTACCAAACACACACACCACCTCTACCACACACACACCTCTACCACACACACACACCTCTACCACAAACACACCTCTACCACACACACCCCACCTCTACCACACACACACACCCCATCTCTACCACACACACTTATACCCCACCTCTACCACACACACACATATACCCCACCTCTACCACACACACACCACCTCTACCACACACACCACCTCTACCCCACATACACACACACCACCTCTACCACACACACACCCCACCTCTACCACACACGCACACACCCCACCTCTACCACACACACACCCCACCTCTGCCACACACACACCACCTCTGCCACACACATCACCTCTACCCCACATACACACACACCACCTCTACCACACACACACACACCACCTCTACCACATACACTCATACATACACACACGTACCCCTTTGCCACATAAAACATACACACAGAGTCCCACTTCCAAGCCTTTGCCCGAGCCCTTTTGCCTGCCAGGAAAGCCTCCCTGTCCTCCCCTGTTCACCCACCCGCCTCAGAGGCCGCCTTCCCGGAGAAGCTTCCCTGGTTGCTTAGCCTATGGTGAACTTGCAGGGCCAGGAGACTCCAAGAGTTTGGTCTCCTTGTTAATGAAACATCTCCTCACTTTGACATCACTCATTTGAGATCTTCTGGACACCCCCTCATCCCTTGTCTCTTTGTGACCAGAGTCGGAACTTCCTAAAAGTTATTTCTCTAATTCTTCAACACTCACATATTCCCACCTCCCGAAATTCTCCTTCTCTGAGGACTTGAAGAGGAGCCCCTCTACCTAGGAGTGCTCTCTCGGAATGCTAAGCAAGAGCCGCCCTTGCCATACCCAGCTGGCTCTGGGGGCATCTCAGTGCCTCAAAGGTGCGATTTCTGGGGGCACAGCCTCTATTTGGAGCTTCAAGACCCTCTATAGGAAATGGACAGGGGGTGGCAGGCTCTCTGTGTGTTCCTGAACACTGTTTTTCTTCCCCTAATCATAATCATAACACCAAGAACTGCCTTAATAAAAAAACAACAACAACTAGTGAACAAAGGCCTTAATTTTATTTTAAAGGTAGAAATGAAGTCAGAGACAGAATCAGAGACAGAAAGAGAAACCTAAAAAGAAGAGGAAAGAATGACAATGAAATGTTGGGTGCAGTGCATTCAAATTGTGTGTTTGGATGGAGGTAAGCCCTATTTTTTCATTATTTTTCTATATTTTCCAAATTTTATATAATGAACACGTATCATTTTATTATCTGAAAAAATGAATATATCGTTTTCTAAAGCAGAGAACTAGATGGAATAGGACACTTCTGCTCTCCCTGTGTGAGGACACACCCAGGCCTGCCCTCAGAAAGTTCAAAGTCAAGGCCACAATTCCTGCAATGCCACCACCAAGCTTAGACACACCTCTGGCCAGCACCCATGGAAGCTCGTGCACACACCTGCTCCTACCACCCCCACCTGTCATGCTCACTCATGTGCACACACCACCCCCACCCCTAGTCTGCCACTCTAAAGTCTACACATAGGATGGCTGCACAGACCAAGAACAAGTGGTGGAGTTAATACGTGTGAGTATTTCTCATCCCAATCCTCATCACCATGGAGAACAGTTTAAACAGGCCAGGCACCCCCTAAACAGGGCCCCCCACCCTTACCCTTAGAGACAGACACTGATCTACGAGCCCTGGGATGCTGAGCACAGACCTGCCTTATACACGTTTTGAGTCACCTCCAGAATTGGCCACTCTCGACACAAACCAAAACATTTCTAGAAACCTAAGAAATACTCCGTGGTGAGTGCCAGCCCATGGCCTGAACATCAGGCAAGGGTCTCCGGTGACATGTTCTAAATGTGTGGCCAGCTCATCCCAGGACCTAGGCAGATGCTGGTAAGAAGGCTTTGGGAGCAGAGAGAAGGTGTCACGGAGGAAAGTGACAGGAAGGGACCAAGATGGAAGGGTAACTCTGGCAAGAGCAGGTTTGAGCTAGGAGGGGTCCTAGGACCACAGCCAGGACACAGTGAACACATCCAGCACCAGCCAGGGCTGCATCAACTGTGAGGATGGAACAGGCTGCCGAGAAACACCGGTGGGGCAGACAGAAGCCAGCCAAAATCCAGATTCTGCCAGACCTCTCGTCCCTCCTGTCCCCAGAAGCCAGGGCCCTTCATGCTATCTGCACTGGGGAAGGAGGGAGAGGAAGAAAGCCCAGCCATAGTTATCTAGCAAACCACTGGAACTGCACCCGGGGTCAGCTGCCTCCTGGGTTGGCCTTGGAGCGCCTGTCCTTCAGAGTGCCAGGGACAGGGAGGAGAGGCGAGTGAGTGAAAGATTTCCTGGATCAGCCAAATCAGAGCAATAGATCTCAGAGAAAAACATGGAACAAAGTCAGATACCAGAAAAGGGGCTTCCCCAGAGGGCCAGGGCTCCCTGCAGAACAGAACTGGTCTCCCTGCTGGGTTTGAGGCTTTTGAGAACAGAGTTTTGTCTCTTTCATCAGACAGGGAGCTCCATGAGGGCAAGGTCCAAGCCTCCCCCATCAGAGCAAATCAGTGTCATTTCCTCCTCCTCCCCTGTCCCAGGCCAGGGGAGGCCCAGCCCCTCCCCAGGTGGGTACACCTCCAGGAGCCCCATCCCAGCTCCCACCAGTGCTGCTGGTCTGGCCAGCAGCTCTAGCCAGAGTGGCCGTGTGCTCCCACAAACAGCACAGGCCCAGCTCTGGCTCAGATCCCAGCCCCAGTTCCCTCATGTCAACGCCGGGAGGATGGCCAGGCTGGGCCTCCTCATCGTCTGCCTCTGGCTGTGCTTGTGGCCAGCAGGACCTAAAATAGTCCCTCCCCATCTGAGTGTGTAGACATTTTGAGGGCAGCACACACAGAACGGAAATCCTGCTGGGCAGGCCCTGCACTTCCCTGCACAATCTCAGACAGGCCCATGGAGCAGCCGGGAAACAGGAGCCAGGAGCAGGCAGCCAGAGTTTGGGGCAAATTATCTGCCTAATTCAGCTATAAACACCCAAGCAGCCCAGAGGCACTAGCACTGAGTTTAGCTAAATTTCACATAGGGACATCTGAAATTTCCATTTGGGTTTCCCCAGCCAAGAGAGAGATTCCTCCTCAGATCCATACAGACAGTAGCCAGAAAATTCGTCCATCCATCCATCAACCCATGCACCCATCTACCCACTTGCCAAGACAGACAGACTTTCATTAACACCTCCGCTAAGCGAGGCCTTGTGCTGAGCATTGAGAATACAAAGAGGAAGGAGCCGCAGTTGCTCCCCTGAGCTTAGCCTGGGGAATATGCTAACATTGACAGAGACAGCAGGCCCTAGAGCAGCACAGTGACCCAAAGATAGGCAAGTCTCACAGGAGAAGAGGAGCCAGGAAAGACTCCCCCAAAGAAGCGACCATGCCTAAGTTAAGTCTTAAACAATGATCAAGAGTTGGACAAGGGACAGGGGGCAGGAGGTCTTCCCAGCAGAAAGGCTGGCAGGGCAGAACCCTGGAGAGCCACAGAGGCTGGAGAGATGGAACACAGGGCTTCTGAGGACTTTTAGCATCAGTGAAACTACAGATGCAGCAAGGCCCGAGGACACAGGTGTTGTCTATACAGGCCTGGAGGCTCTGCCTCTGGGTGGCCCAGAAGTTCTGGGAGCCCCAGGGTGCCAGGGGTATGACCAGTATCTTGCAAAGCCCAGAGAGGAGGGTGACAACCTGGAACAGATGGTGAGTTCAAGGCTGGTGCTCACAGTGAGACCTTTCTCCATGTCTACTGTGGGAAGGACCAGATGGGCTCAACCCTACAGAATCCAGAGCCACTCCATGGCCCACAGTCGGGGGAGCGCTGCCCCTCAGCACAAGGTGCCACAGACCTCCTGCCATGCTCTGTGGCATTGGCATCTGCATCACAGGCTGGCCCTCAGTTGCTGAGTATGCAGCAAAAGGAAGACTCCTACCTCCCCCAGGGCTGGAGACCTTAGAATAAGGCCCCTCCCTGCCTCCTTCCTCCTTTTCCCTGCAGATGGAGGAATGGGGCGAGATAGACTCTTGGCTTGGACACAGCCTCTTCTTTCTAAGCTGTCTCCAAGGAGCCACCAAGCACAAGCCCACAGAACAACCTTCCCCCTAAGAAGGGGCCTGTCCCAGATAGGGAGATGGGGCTGGAGGACCCCAGAGATGGCCCACTCACTCCCTCCCCTGTCGTCCTTCTCTCATTTGCTCCTCACCCTGATTTTCTGGTGATCTCCAGGAGAAAGCCCTCACCATGGCCCCCAGGGTAGATGGCCTATTTTTCACATATGCATCCAAGAAAAGGGATTGAGTCTTGCCCAGATGAGCACACCCCACCCCCCTCAGCCAGACTGAAAGCTCCCATCTGGGTCTCTCTACTGGACAGTGTCCAACCGCAGAGCCCAGAAGGGGATGTGTATAGAGGCTGTGTGATAATGAAGGGTAGGGGAGAAGGGGTGGGAATTGATGAGGAATGGAGGGGAAAGGTGACCCAGGCCTCCCTGGAGGATGCCCATCCTACCTGGATGGGGATGAGGGGCTCCTTGTCATCAATGTCGATGAGCACGTCTTCCCCAGGACTGAGTAGGCTCACATCGTCTGCAGGGGAGGGAGCCATCCAGGCCTGAGAGGGGCTCTCTCAAAAGGCTCGCCCCTCACCAGCCCCAGGGCTCAACCAAGGGACCAAGACAAGACCCTGCAGTCTCTCCACATTTCTCAGTCGGTATCTCTCTCTTCCTACTTCCCAATAAGTCCCTCTCTCATCTCCATCTCTCCCATCCTCCTTCACATGCTCTGTCTCCCACTTCTGTCTTCCTCTCCTCACATTTCTTTCCTCCCTCCCCGCATCATTGTCTCCCTGCCCTCTCTCTCCCTCCCCCTGGGCCCACTTTGAGCCCTCACCCCTCAGCTCCAACGGGTATCAGTCACCTGCTCCTGGTGCCCCCCACCCAGAGCTAGGCTCTGCCCTAAGGAAGGTCTCCACCCTGTGGTCTAGCAGAGCAGAAACCACTTCTCATTCAGGTCTCCGTAAGAGAAGGGTTTCAGGATGCATCTCAACTAGGAAGGGTAGCTTGGCCCTGAGGCTCCCCCTTCCCTGACCTGCCCATCATCTCCCCTTCCCCTACCTGGGCCACCCTGTGGGGATGGACTCTCCGCCGAGTAGGGGTCACACAGGAAGCTCTCCAGGGAGCGGATGGTACACTGGCCCACCACAGGCCGGCGGCCAAACTGGCGGTTATCGATGACCTTGACGGTGATGGGGGGGCAGTAGAGCTCCTCCCTGGGCAGCATCTGGGTGGAGGAGGAAGAACGCACTGGCCTGAATCCCCCTCTGGGAAGTCTCCAGGTCAAGCCCAAAGAGCAGAAAATGACTATAAACCGCAGATAATCCCCACAGCCAGAAATCCAAAATGGTGGCTGGCCCAGAGCTGGGCAGTCGAGCGAAGCCACACACCTTTTCTGTCGGCCCCTTGAATGCTGCATGCAGAGGCCGGCTTTCCCCCCACAGCTTTACCTTCCAAATGCATCCTGTTCAGCCTGAAGTGGAAACGAGGCTGCGCTCCCTCACTGGCTGGGGAGCGGGCGAGGGGAGTTGGCCCGGGACTCAACATTTCTTACAGACAGTCCCCCCAAGTGGATACTCAAGAGTTGGCTTACAGACCCAGATTCTTCCCCCCACACACCCCAAAAGCACTTTGAACACAACTTGAAATAATTTATATGCTCTCCTTCAGGGGCGGCTTTGGCTCGGCCAAGAGGAGGCTTCTGTTGACAGCCACTGGGCCTGGAATTTCTACAGCGCTTTCATCTTGCAAACCATTTTCTTTTCCTCAGACCTGCCTTACTCTGGCCACTAGGTCTAGGCATCCCAGGGAGGTGGAGAGGCCTGGAGGGCCTGAGGGCTGTGGGGGTGAGCTCCTTTGAGGGGGCCCAGGCTGGGGGAGGACATGGTCAGAAAAGGTTTGGAGGAATCCTGGAAAGCCAAGCCCTAGCAGGTCCCCAAGGGCGCTCCAGGGGACTGAAACCTGTCCCAGAGGGACAACAGCCAGGGGATGTCTCCTTGGGACTTTCGCTGATCTAGGATTTGGGTATAGGAGGAGCAGGTTGGCCCCGTTTGTCCTACTCAGAGGCCTGAACCCTTCCAGTGAGGAGGGTATGAGCATTTCTCCCCATGTTCACAGGAAAGTGAGGGGTCCTACCCTGGATCCCGCAGGGAATTGGAGCACAAGCCCCAGGCTGCTCGGGGACATGTAGAACTTCTAGCCCCAGGACTCTGGAAGGGGACAGTAGGGAGGTGGGGCTCACCACTTCCATGAAGAGGGTGCAGATGTCAAAGTTGGGGTTCTTCCGGAGGTTCCTGATGACACAGGACTGCACCGTCTGGCCCCCACACTCTACCACGAGGCTGGGGGAGGAGATGTTGGCCAGCTGGTAACTCTTCATGTTCCGCAGGCCCCATGCCAGGATCTAAGCACACAGAATGAGGAGAGTGGCTCAGAAGGCCCCGGGCCCCAGGAAAGGCTGGGGCCAGGAAGGGGAAGGGCAGGCTGCTCCCAGCCCCCACGCCCAGGCCCGGACGGCTCACCTCGATGGCGGTACGCTGGAGCGCTGGCTTGATGTTCTGAGGAACCATGTAGATGTTGGCCTCCCTCTGGGGTGGTGGGTAGGGCAGGTCTGTGTCCTCAGACTGCAGTGGACAGCAGGTAGAATGGAGACAAAGGTGGAAGGAAGACCAAGGCAAAAAGACAAGAGAGAAGGACAGATAGGACAGAAAGAAATGCCAAGTGCAGGGAGAAACAGAGAAGGAAAGACAGAAGTGGACAAACAGGGAGGCAGAAACGAAAAAGCTAAGTCAGTTTCGGCCAGGCATCATCTTCTCCAGGATCACAATTCCAGCACCTTCATCCAGGGTTCAGGTCACCTTGTTCCAACTGAATCCCGTCACCCCTCCTCCCATAATGCAGGCTCTGATGCCCCCTGAGCTGCTCCGGGTCTGCCCCTCCCTGATACGCACACAGCATATGCGTGCACACACTGCCTATTCCATCCTGGCAGATCCACTTCAGCCCCTCTCAGTCCCAGAGAGGACCATGTGCCTGCCCGCCAGCCTGGTTCTCCTGCCTCCTGGCTCAGACCCTTCCGGGTTATCATCTGTCCTGGTATTTCTTCCCCACCCCTAGACACCTTCCAGCCCCAAACCCCCACCTCTCACGCCTGTCCCCTGTGAGGACAGAATACTTGCATTGTGAGCCAGAAAGAGAACAACTGAGCAATGGGAGAAGGGGCTCCCCAGAGCACCAAAGCACACTGCTGGGGAGGGTCTCTCTCCACTACAGAGACGAGCAAGTGTGTGTCAATTCTGGCCTACTAAGAGTTTGCCAGAAAGAGTTGGGCAGGAATCCTCAATGATCACAAAGAACTACATGAGGAAGCAAGGTGGGGCAAGGGAGGCAGGTACTGCCTTAGATAGTTAACCACCAATAACAGCAGTTAGGAACACAGGTGTGAGTCCTAACTCCACTATGTATGACGTTAAATAAATTATTTCACCTCCTATAGCTGAATGTTTTCATCTATAAAATGGTTAGCAAAAGTTGTCAACCTCTAAAGGTTAGGGTGAGGGTTGAGGAAGTTAATACCTGTATAACCTTTAGAGCTTCATGTAAACCTTCAACAGGACTATTAGCCCATGTGGTGTCTTTGTGACAATTAGAGAAAAATGTGCTTAAGACTCTTTACTTCCATGTCAGAAAGTTGTCATATTTTCTGAGTTTATTAGAACAAGACACTTTACTGCCACCTATTGGGAAATTGTTATAATAAATACAAGTATATGGTGTCTGTGCTAGAAATGCAGCCCCTTAGACACAGTGTCCTTGTGCAGTGCCCAACCTGCACATCCATACATGGAGGGCCTGACACTCCGGAAATGTTAACTATAATTAAAAGGACTGTGATAGACACTTTACAGAGCTTGCCTCATGTAATCTCATTTATTAAACAATGAAATCATTGGATTCATTCTCCAAGTGACTTCTGTTGGGTTCCTTCTGCGAGGATGGTACATCCATACAGACGCTCTGCCATAGATGGTGGGAGCAGTCAAAGCAGAGAAAGATATCAGCTTCCCCCCACCTCCATGAATCACTTCACAGCCAACCCAAGCCACACTCCTGTGCAGCGACACCCTGATGACACCATGTTTCCCCCAACCTACAGCAGTTGGAAGCTTAGTCCTAGAATCAGACCTCAACTCTAGTTCCAGCTCTGCCACCTCCTCGCCATTAGGCCTTGGACAGATTACTCAACTTCAGTGACTCAGTATTCTCAGATGAAGATCTGAGATAAGCTGCTCCGAGAATTAAATGAGAGAACACATCTGAAGAGCGCCTGGCACACAGGAGGCGCTTAGTAAATGGCTGTGACTGTAACTATTACTAGAATTGTTGTTAGTACCATTGTTTTTGCCATTGGTGTTGGTGTTGATCTCCCCAGGGTGACTTCAAGAGAGCTGAGCCATTAGAAGCATCTTTCAGAGCAACACTGGCTTTATTACTATCTCTAAGTCACCAGGGCATAAAGCAAAAAAACTTATCATTTTCCTCCAGACCCACAATGCAGGTGACATGATGCAGGAAGCACCTGCATTCCTGACCGTCTGATAAGCAGGGGTGATGGACAGGGCTGCTGCAGTGCACAGCTCCAGGGGCTGCTATGCATGTCACAGTCCACATGAAAGGTGCCCTTGGAGGATGGAGGCAGGGCCTACACAGCTTCTGCAGTGACCTGGCTGCTATGGGGACCCCCAGTTTGATGTCCTCCCTGGGCACTCCAAGGCCACCAGCTGCAGGTGGCAGCACAGCAGGGTGTCCTCTTTAAAGACAGGGTTGCACTTGAATGCCTGCTTGTGGTCTGTTCATGGCCCCTTATGGCTATGCCCAACCCAATATGGACCCAGAGCCAAAAACCCAAGACAAAGAGGGGCCAAAAAAAAAAACCATCAGGGAGGGAACAGCCCCAGGATCCCCTGAGTGGAGTGGCAGAAAGACCAATCTTTCTCATACACTTGTTCTCTTAAAATCACTAAGGAAAACTCATGAATACATTCCTCCCAGAATATTTCCTCTCTAGGCCCCCAAACGCTGGGCAGTATCCACTTTATCCCTCATTTCCTCGGTCTGTCCCTCGGGGCTCCCTCGAGCTCCGTGGTGATGACATTCCTCTCTAAAGGCTGGGGACCAGGCTCCGCATCTTCAGGAGCCTGCTTGCTGAGGACAGGGGAACAAGAACCTGGAGAAGGTTAAGCTCCAATACCGTTTGGAGAAGGCCCTGGAGGAAGAAGGCAGGAGCACACAGCTGCGGAGCGTCGGGCCCAGCGGAGGCAGAAGGAAGAGACAGGCAGAGACAGTGGTTAGAGGTGTGTCCAGGCAGCTTCCTCAGCATGAGGCCACAGCATGCATCCCAAGGCCATCTCTGTCCACCGTGCTGTCCCCAGGGGTCCCAGGACATGCTTCTTCCCTGCCATTTCCTGCCACCTCCCAGGGTTGCCTGCCTCTGTGGCTCCCCCTCTGACCATGCGTCCAAATGCTCCTCCCCAATTTTTCACACTATCTCCTGGATCTGCTCCTTCCCAATTTAAAGACATCCCCATCTCCCAAATCCACCCGCGCCCTCCTCTCTGCAGGCTCCCTCCTCTCCTCTCTCTAATCCTGTCTCCATCCACTACCTCTCCTCCCTCATGTCCACACCACCTGCTTCCCAGTGCACCCTGCTTCTGCCCTCAGCACCCCTCCCCGGAAATTTGTCTCCAGAGTCCCCTACCCGAAGGACACTCGTGGGCTCTTCTCTCTCTCACCCCCTCAGCAGCATCTGGCCAGCTAACCTCATCTCCTTCCCAAACAGTCTCTCTGGATCCACACTGCTGGCCCTCACCCTGTTTGCTGAGCCTCCTCTGCAGCCTTCCCATCTTCCTCCACCAAGCCCTGATCTGCTCCTTAGCCCTCTCCTAGACTTTCTGCTCCCAAACATCTCTGCTAAGCCCCAATATCTTACTGCTTAGTTCATTAATGTGTCCTACTGGCCTCTCACACTGAACTTGTCCAAAACTGGATTCTTCATCTTCCCCCTCAGAACCTGCTCTCTTCAAGTCTGACCCCACCATCTAGACAACCAAGCCAAAAGCTCCCACGCCACCCTTGGCTCCTCCTGCCCCTCATCGCCCTGCCTGACTGATCACCAAACACTGGTAATCCTGTCTCCTGAACATCTCTCACGCCCGCCCACCCATCTCCTTTGCTCAGTGCAAGCCACTACCCTCTCTTGCCTGGATTCACCAGCATCCCCCTTTCACTTGGTTTTGACACCCTCTCCCAACAGCCCACGCGTTCTACAATCTGCAGCCAAGGCAGGCTTTCTAATAATGTCACTCTTTGTTTCAAGTCCTCCAATGTCTTCCCATCTGCTCAGGATGAAGTGCAGACTCTTCAAAGTAGCCTCCACAAGACCTCTAATCTTCCAGCTCCTGCTGCCTTCTCTGGGCATGTCTCTCATGAGATAAATTTCCCCTTGATGACCCCAAGTAGTGATGAACCACCTCCTGGGACACACGCAACCCCTGCCCTTCTGAATGCTAGCAGGTTGCAGGAGGCACCATGCTCTTTTAGCTTTGAGGCTTGGAGCTCAGTGGTCCCTCTGTCTGAAATGCACTTCTACCCCTACTCCTCCTGTACTTCCTATTCAGACAGCAGGTGTCCATTTAAATCTTTCCTGGTGCCCCAAGCTTAAGTACCCCCGTAGCTCCCATAGCAACTTACACTTATTCCCATAGAAAGACACATCAATCCATCACCCATGCTATCTCCACGTGTTCATTTGATTGTGTCCTTGGTTAAACCAGCAATTCTGTACACAGGGACCATAGCTGAATTCCCCCGTCCAACAAATAAATGATTATGAATGGATAACTGAAGGGGAAGAGGGAGGGTGAAGACAGAAGAGTGGGTGGATGGGAGGATAAAGGAATGAATCCAACACGCACTGTCCTCCTTCCTAGCACCCGTGCCTGCTCTAGCCTGACCCTGGGTCCTCCCCAGGCCTGCTCATTACTCCCTCTGGTTCAATGGGCTTTCTTTACTGCCAACTGAATCTAACCCATTTTTAGGGCCTAATTCAAGGTCTCTAGAAAATCTCCCCAAGACGCTCCAGAAACGTCTTATAACCTGACTCTGACTCTCTTAACCCCGTCTACATGACCCTTTCCCCACATACCCCATTCCTATGGTCCTAAGGGATCTCTGATCATCTCCCAGGCAGGAGTCCTGAGGTCTCTGCCAGCTCTTGAGCCTGGTTTTCAACTTTTTTTCTGGTCCAGCCCACTTGAGGGGCACAGCACCCCCTCTCCAGGACAGTAATTCTCAGTGAGGGTGCTGCGACCCTCACTGCAACTGGGAAGCCTCTCAGCACTGCTGGGCAGATGGGGTGTAGACTGAAAGTGCCACCAGAACATCCTGATTCACTGTCCTAGGGTTGATGGAGGACTCTGATAAGCCTAATCAGAGGAAGCCACATTTGACCAGCTCCCGTCTTGCTCCCTTCAAATGCAGGGCAGACCAGGGGCGGCTGCAGAGATGGGTTCTACAGGTGTGCAGAGTGTTGATCAAGCCAGCCCAGACCAAGAAGACCCCAAGAACAAGTGAAGCTCTCTCCCCTACCAGAGCTGAAGCCATCCTCAAGCCCACTTCAGTCTATCAGTCCCGCTGGCCAGTTTACCACGAAGAACCAAGGCCCTGAGCCATGAAAGGGGCACCCCCAGCCCAGTCTAGGGGCCACCATGTTAGACAGGAGTCGCTCCCAGGGCAAGGGAAGTGTTGGCAAGCCTCCTGCATCAGCCGGGTCATCAGTAGCCTATGGACCCTCACCTCACCCAGCAGAGGACAGAAGACGCTGCAGTCACATCCTGGTTCCTCGGGGAGCTCCAGGCAGGGGGCAGCCAGGCAGGCTGGGAGGGCTCCATTGTCTGCCTGCCCCACCCAGCTCGTTAGGAACAATATGTTGCTCTAATTACACTTCCCAGGAAAAACAGTGTTTTAAATTAAGGCCTTGGGGGAGGAATGGGGGATGGGGGACCACTGGCTTTATTTTCCTGATTGCAAAACACCAAATTTTTCCTTCCAGTGGACTTGGGGGTACAGGAGAGTACCCCGGGTACATCTTAGAGTAAAAGCCATATACCCTGCAGCCTGGATGGGTGGATGGAGTGGTATCTGGTGGCCCCCACCCCTGAACTGGCAGTAAAATCAGCCACAAAGCATACGATCCCTCCCACCAGGGCATCCCCTGCCCCAGCAGGAGAGCAGCAGCAGAAGCAAGGGTAATTCTCTAAACCACACCCCCTCCCCTCCCCACCTCCCCGAAATGGTCAGGATCACAAGCCCCATGGGTCTTCTTCTACACATGTTCTGTATCCTAGGGGGCCCTGGGCATTCAGGGACCCACGATCACCTCAGCTGCTGTGTGTGCGTGCATGTGTGTGCCCTCGAGAGTGTACACACTCGCACATGCTCACACGTGCATGCACACATTCTCCAGTTCTCAGGAAATCTAAAATTGCAGTTTCTTTGAACTCATTCCCCTTGGCAGCAAGGACTGCCTTTGTTCTCCAGACAAAAAGGAAAAGAAACCAGACAGAGGGCTCAGAAGAGGCGGGGAGAAGGAGGAAGCTGGGGCCAAGGAGCAAACAGGAAGAGTGAAACACGAAAGGAGAGTGGGAAGAGACTCAGGAAGAGAGGGAAAGACAAAGAAAATGCAGACCGGAGAGCGAAAAGGAAACCCTTCCCTCCATCTGCTCTGTCTGCGAGGACCCAGATCTCCCGGACATCATCAAAGCCTCAGACACACCATGCAACAGCCTCACTTCCTGACCAAGAGCTGCAGAGAGAGGTGTCCCAGATGGGCATAAAGCCTGGGAGAGGGGAAGTTTGTTGTCCAACAGGCCACATCCAGGAGGTGACATGCCCCCAGCCCAAGACACTGCTGCCTGGGCCACCTCCCCACATTTTCTACCAATCCCAACTTCAAAAGCTAGCTCAGTGGCACCTCTTCCAGGAAGTTACCCTCACTGTCCTGCTCTGGGAGCCTTCGACAAGGGCAGACAGTATTTCATCTCATTCACAGGCACTGTGGCTTGGAAATCTCTGCACCTGGCTGCGCTAGCTGAAAGGCACTTCCCACAAGAGAGGATATCCTTAAACCATCCTTCAGAGTCACTTGCCCCATCCGTTCCTACTGGCCTGTCTCCAGTCCAGGCCCCTATCTCAACTGGCTCAAGAGCCTCCTAGCTAGTCTCTCAAACCCACACCTCCTGCAGCCAGACAGCTCCCCAACACACCCATCTTCCCTCACTGCCCCCTGACTCTCATGGGCTCCCATGGCCAGGGGCTCAGGAGGAGGCTCCCAGCCCTCCAGAAAGGCTTGAGCACTCTTCACAGGGATCGGGCCAGGAGCCTGGGAGCAGCCAGATGGGAGATACAAGGCAGGAGCTTGGTCACAGCAAAGAAGACAGAAACACCCTGCTGCGGTCCTACTTACAGGAGGACCAGTGGCAACAGAAGGACCACCCAGCCCTGGGGCTTCTTAAAGCGAAGAGGACTCAGCATCTTGGCATCAGGCTTAGCCTTCAAGTGAGAAGGACATGGGCTGAGCTAGGGGTCCCAGGGCTATCCCCTGGGACTGAGGGAGGTCACAAGGTCATCTTCTGGGGCTGGTCCCTGGACCAGCAGATCATTCATCCCACTGGGATAGGTCCTCCTTGGACCCTTTGAACCTGCTGGCCTGGCCCAGCCCTGTGCCTAGCACACTCCTAGGACTTGCTCTCCCCTGGCCCTGCTGACCCACACCCACCCTCAGCCTGCAGCCTGCTTGGCCCTGCAGGGGGCACTCGGTGCTCTTCGGGCTCTGGCCCATGAGCTGCAGTTTTGATTTGCTTTCTGACGAGACTGCAGCCAGATCCCTGCCCTCGGAATCTGAGCCTTCACTGTTACATATTACGAATCCAGTTATTAAGGATTTTAACTTTTTTTTTAATAACTCATCCCTGGGCTGGGTCTTCTTCAGAGCAGGCTGTGGGTTTTGGCCACAAAGTGCACTCAATCAACAGAGAGGGCTCCGTGCTGCTTCCCTGGACAGGACTCCACCTCCCTTTCCAAATCGGCAGTCTTTTGCAACTGCAGCCAGAAGCAGGAGGCCGCCTGTCAGGCGCAATTACAGCGAGCTCACTTGGCGGACCCCACCTCGGTCTGGGAGCAAAAGGAAGTGAGGTAAGGGGTGCGGGGCCTGTGGATCCCACATCCTGACTCTGCACTTCAAGTCCAAATTACACTGAAAATGTCAAATAGTGTCCGCTGTCGGTCTGGGGATTCCCTAATGGCAGGAAGTGGCTGCCCTTTTCCCAACGCCTCATCTGACCAGGGCTCTCCTTCCTGTCTCTCCACCCAGGTCTCTGCCACCCACCCTCTGGCCTGGCTCACGACAATCCACCCACAGATGCACAGGAGGCCATAGGGAACGTGCATCTCTCCTCCCATGGCAAAGGATGCAGCCTTGCTTTATCTAAATGCAAACTCTAAACTTCTTCCCGTCCCTAGGAGGTCCCCAGCTCGCCCCATCCCCCAAACCAGCCAGGACCCAAACTGGTCCTTGGCCTTTTGAGCCAAAGCCATGTTTCTCACTTTCTTCCTAAGTGCTGATGGGCATAAAGACATTTGACTAATGCCACCTCCACCAGAAAGGCTTCCTTGACTACTCTGGCCCCTTCCAAACAATTTATTCTTCAAAATGTGCCACCTGGTACTTAATCATTTAAGAATCTGTATTGCTATTCATGTTGTCTGGGTGAAATCTGGCCTCCTAGCAGGACAGCAAGCCTTCTTAGACCAGGATCACCCCCAGGACACACTCTGGGCAGCCCTGAATCCACACACAGCATGGGGAATAAAATCCAGACAGGTCTCCATGTGACAGATGCCTGCTGGGCACCAGGAACCTGGAAGGCTCCAGGTGTGTGCTTGAAGGCTGGCTTCACCTTCCCTCTACCTCGGCCCACCCATCCCAACCACCACGCCCAGCTCACCTCATCCAGGATCCTTGATGTCTCCTGCACCTGGCCCACAGCCATGGGATGTGGCACATCCAGGAGATGGTGAGAGGGGTTGGAAGGGGAAAAAGTTCTCTATTAGTATCAAGGCGCACTAGGCGGGGCCAGAGGTCAGCATGCCAGATGCCACCACTAAGAGGAGCCAACAGAAACCACCTCCCACCAAGGGTAAGAATGATGCACTTCCCAGCCACGCCCCTAAAGTGGTCCCTGGGAAAGAAGGTGTGATGGATGTCAGTGCAGAGGGACGCTGGGAAAGGCTAAAGCATAAGCCTGGACGCCAGGAATCTCTGGAAGCAACAAAAGGAAAGAGAAGAGCAGCAGGTGATGGGAAGGGCTTGGGAGCCTGTGGCCTTGGCAAGCTGAGGAGAACCAACCTAGAACCCCCAGGAGCGGGCAGCACTGAGAGCAGGAGCTTAGGACAGGGAGGGAGAGCTGGAGGGGCAGGGCTGGTGAAGGAGGGCTTGCATGAAGGGAGGGCCTCCCAAGAACTCTCTAAAAATTGTGTGGGCTGCCTTGTGAAGGACAATGGAGGTGTCCAAACACAGCCCAGATGACTACTTCTCATAGATGCAGCTGAACTTGGCATGTAATCAGGTAATGCATCCAGTGCACCTGGGTACCAGTCAAAGCTCAACATTTTCTACCAAGACCTCCAGAAGAAGGAAGGAGAGCAGCAGTAAGGGAATGAAGCCCCCGTCCAGGAAGAGGAAAGAAAATGAGGTCTTGGTAAGAACAATTCAGTGGGAAATGTGGTCTGAATCAGGGCTTCTGAAACTCGTGCATGTGTGAGAAGGCCCTGGAGGGCAAGTTGATACAGAGGTTGCTGGGCTGCCCTCAGAATTGCTTCAGTGGGCTTGAAGTAGGACTCAAGAATGGGCCACACTTTCAGAACCCTGGGGCTAAGTCAGTGATTCTCAGTCCTGGATGTGCATTAAGATTCCCTGGGCAGTGCTGTCCCGGAGATTCTAATGCTCAGCCAGCTGAAAGCCACTGGGCTGGACAATTATGAGGATCCTTCCATCTGGGATTCTGTGGTTCTTGGACTTCGCAGAGAAGGGCAGCAAAGGCCTGAGCTTGGCAGAGACTTTGAGCTCCCTCCAGCCCGGGCCCTCCTCTGCTTGAAAGAGCTTCCCCGGGGGCTTGAGGCAGGATCGCGGTAATGCCTGGCCACCCTTCCTAACCCAGAGAGATGCCAAACACAGGGAGACTGGCAATCAGTTTGAAGAAGGAAAGGTCAGAGCAAGACTTACCTCAAAACCAGGAATATGGTGGATGGCCGGCTGGAGTGAAGAAAAGAGAGCTCTGGTCATGTGCTTGTCACCTAAGGCCCCCATCACCCTCATGACACTCATGGACTATGTCAGTGATCAGACAGTCCATGGTTTGCAGCCTCTATTCCTTGAGGGTAGAAGGGATGCTAGGCTGGCACTGTGCCCATTCCTCCAGACACTTCACCCAGAGCAGCCCTACTCCTATTCAGTCTACTTATTCGGGTTCACATCATACTAAGAGGAAGTTTGAAGGTACAGGTCCAACCCAAACCTCTCATTTTACAGCAGGGGAGTGGCTGGCCCAGGGCCATGAGGCTAGGTCATGGTGAAGCCAGCAATGCAACGGGGATCCTGCCCTTGCCTGTCCCTGGAGTCCCTCACATTGTGGCAATTAAGGCTCCCTTAATCAGACCACAGAGGTCCTCCTCCCAGAAACCACGTCAGGAGATGACCCAAGGAAGATTAAATCCAGTGACCAGAGGACTCAGACATTCCTGATCCCCAAATTCTATTCCGATGTTAGATGGTGTCCTGACTTAGGGTTCAGAAAATGGGTCTCAGCAGGAGGCCTGGCTTCAGAGGAGGTGTTCCAGGCTCCCACAGAGGGTTGGCCCCCACCCCACTCCTGCCTGGGCCTCCTGGATCTGGATATAGACCAGCCTCACCTTCTCTCTCTGGATGAGCTCAAAAGAGGCCAGCAGCTCCCCCGACGGCTGGCTGCCCCTCGTCAGTGGGAACCAGGCCAGCCGTGGCATCCGTTCCAGACTCGGTTGACAGATGCAGCGACCCATAAACTCGTCTGCACCCTAGACCAAGCGTAGAGAGACAAGAATCAGCATCCCTTACCCAGGGCTCTAGGGAGCCTCAGAGAGATCAGGTCTACATGTGCCTTCTGAACTAGAAAGGGCCTCAGTAGTAAGGGCACCCCCTCCCACAGAATGGTGAATTCTGCTCTCCTTAGCAGGACTCAAGGACAAAACAAGCTGTGAGCAGCCTGTGGTGACTGTCACTAGGTTTGAATTCCCATCATGGTCGGGAAGTCCCTCTGGACAGTTCAACACTGTCCAACTAGTGTTTGCCCTGCTACAATTTAATCAGCGCTAAGACTATTGGAGACCAGAGAGACGGCCTCCTGGCATTTCTCTAATGCGCTCAGCAGTACAGGTTTTTGCAGTTCCAGGGACTTCTGTATCTCCTGCTCATTTCACCCTTAAATTCCCACCCACTTTGCAAATGGGGAAACTGTGATCACGTTCATCAAATTAAATGAGCCTGGACAAAATGATGTTTTCATCAAGGCAGGTGCCTTTTCTTCAGGCACTTTCCTTAACTCCCTGCCGCCCAGAAGACAGATCTGTCACACTGGATGCAGGGGCAAGCCCCCTCAGGGCTCTGGCAGCCTGCAGCTCATACCGCTGCCCTCCCGCCCTGTTCTGCACTTGCACTCAGTCCTGCCGAGTCCCCCCGAGAAGTGCCAGCCCTGCCGCCTGCCTCCCTCCTGCTCCGAAGGTGCCAGGGCCTGTGCCCTTCTCCAAACAGTCCCACATGGACTCTTCCTCCAGTTGCTCATTCCTTCCCATGGTACCAGCTTTTCCTTCCAAGCACCCCAACGTTGCATCCCCAGCCCAGGCCAGCTTACCCATGGCCAGCTGCCCCTGCCATCTGGTGAGGCATATAGACAGCAGCACCTTCCCCCACCCCTGTTCACCACACCCACCCAGGGAACCTGATGTCTGGTCAGGGCAACTCTTACTGACAATGTCTTCCAAACCCAGCCCCTCCCCTTTCATCCCACCGCCACCTCCAGCGCAGGCCGGGCCTCTTTACCTTGCGCCCAGTGGATCTCTTCCGGCAGCATCCAGCCTCCTCTTCGGAAAATGCTGCCCTGACGTCAGCACTCTCCTGCTCCCCTGGCCTCATACTCCCTTCTCCTCCTTCCAGGCCTCTGCCTCGCACTGACACCCCAACCCCACATTTCCTCCAGGGCCTGGGTCTTTCCCAAAGGCTTTCCTGACATTCCAGCCCATAGCACTCTCTCCCTCCTGGGAGCCTCCTAGAGCTGCTCTGTCCAATACAGGAGCACCAGCCACCTGCAGCTATTTAAATTTTAATTTTACTTCGTTAAAATGAAATAAAATTTACAATTTCATTTCTCAGCTGCACCAGTCCCATTTCCAGTGCTGGGCAGCCTCGTGCAGCTAGAGGCTCCCTTTTTGGACAGCACAGCCCTAGAGCTCGCCTGTCACCACAGGAGGTCCTGTGGGACAGTTGTGGTAAGAGGCCCTGCCTGTGGCACAGAGTTGAGAGGCACTCGGGGACCCGTGCTCTCACATGGAGGATTCTCCACTGTGTGGGTGTCTGGGCTCCCACCTAAACAAGGAACCCCAAGTGAAGGGCCACTCAGCCAGTAACGTAAGTGTTTGATGTACATTTAAGGATTCCACGCAGCTCCTCGATGAGAAGAAGGGACTGGCCTGGGATCACACAGGCGAGGCAGAGGCAGAGAAAACCCAAGCCCCTGACCCACAACCAAGCGCCTTTTCCGGATATGTTCCCTTCCACTGATGAGCAATGTCTGCTGTGGGAACGGCATCTGTGCTAGCAATCCATTTTTAATGACTCTAAAATTATTTTAATTGTTCTAGGGCCCGTGGAGTTAGGAGAGCACCCATCTGGCTGGGCAGCCACGAGTCCCTGGAGACCCCACCTTTGCACATGGTCCCTCCCTGTGAGGGGACGAGGCAGGAGCTGGGCAGACTCACATAAGTGTCATGGTCGTACAGCTCCACCACAATGCTGGGCGGTTGCTCAGCAACTGTGGCCGGCTCGCCAAAGATCTCGATCTCGTAGAAGATGAGCGTCTGGTCCCAGGTGGGGTTAAGGGTGTTCTTCACCACCACCGTCTTCTGGCTCTGGTGCAGGAAGGAGACGATGGCATAGGGATCTGCATGGGCCGGAGAGGGGGAGGGGAGACAGGACACAGCAGGGACCCTGAGAGATGTCTTCTCCAGAGCCATGTGGGGCCACAAAGCTGGAGCAGGGTTGTGGCTGCCACTCTGGAGCAACAACATTCATGCTGGGATGCATCTTCCCTATGGGGCTCTCCTAGCCCCACCATGAGGCCAGCTGGAGGCCACGGTGGGGACATGGAGCCTGGGTCCTGGCAAATGGGCACAAGATCCAGAGAGCATCCCCTTTTCTGCCGCTTCCTGAGCTGTGGCTGCTGGAAGCAGGGTCCAGCTGGGGGAAGTGAGTGCCTGTATGGTATATTCATCTATTCATTCATTCATCCAGCAAGCATGTATTGAGTGCCTTCTTTATGCCAGGCTAGGTGCTAGGTGCTAGGGGCTGAGAATACAATTTGAACTAAATATAAAATATCCACACAAGCTAACGTAAAATTACAATTTGGGTCAGAGCCTTGAAGAATAGACATAAAATGCAGTGAAATGTGTTAGGGAGGGATCTGGCTTCCTTGAGGAAGGGGAAGCAGAGCAGAGCTGCTGGTGTCTGTGAGCTCTGGGATGCCACCAGACTGACGTGGCTAGGTCTGCGTTTCAGCAAGCTCACTCTGGCTGCCACATGGAGAACAGACTGGAGGGAGCATGAGGTCTAGGGAGACCAGTTCTGAGGTCACTGCAGTGGTCCAGGGAGGAATAATGGTGGCTTAGATGGGTGTGGGGTGCTAAAGGGAAGTGCACAGACTCAGCAGCTATTTAGCAGTAGGGGTGTGCGAGAAACCCAAAGGCCCCTGCAGCTCCCTGCTACCCCCAAACTCCTTTCCAGCCTGCCAGCCTTGGCCACGCCACCCTGGGACCCAGCCACAACTCATTCCCTCTACCTTGTCCCAAAGGCAAGTTGGTGTCACTAGAGCAGACTCTAGGGCAGTGGTTCTGAAAATGTGAGCATGCTGCAGGATCATCTGGAAGGTTCATTCAGGCTGCTGGGTGCTGCCCCCAGAGACTCGGATTCAGCAGGGCCGGGGTGGGCTGGAGAATGTGCATTTCTAACAAGTTCCTAAAAGTGATGCTCATGCTGCCTTCTGGGACCACATTTTGGAAACCAATGCAGGAGAGGGTCTGAGTGCATATAACTTGGGAGAGGAACACAGGGCTTGGAGAAGGGGACTCCCTTCAGCTTCTCCTAATGGGATGTCACCTTGAGGGCTGAACCCAGTGCCTAACCATGCACTCAATACCCTTGGCACCCTACTCCATCCTGCAATGGCCTGTGCCCTCTGAGCCCCACAGTCCAGCCCTAGCACTGCCATTCACTCCCCTTGTGACCTCAAGAGGGCCTCAGTGGCCTCAGAGGTAATGGCCTCTGTGTCGCTGGCCTCAGAAGGATGCAGGTTCAAACACAACCCAGGGGCTGGGATGGGGAGACAGGGCTTCCGCACAAAGGGGAGAAGAGCAAGACAGGCTCCCTGGCCACAAGAAGACCAAATGGGACACCATGGCCACTGCACAGGTGGCAGAGAAAGGGGCTGGCAAGGAGTGACCAGGAAAGAGGTGGGAAGGTTGGGGTGGGCAATGGCAGGAAACCCATCAAGGGATGGAGAGAGCAGGATCCAAGGTTGTACCTGTTGCCCAAAGAGCTGATTTTAAGAGCAGGAGGTATCTAAGTTAAGGGGCGGACTCAGCCATGGCCACCCACTGGCTGAGCAATGCTGGGTCTGGTTAATAGAAGGCAGCCACCAGCCTGGGATCAGCCTGACAGCCATCAGGCACAAATCATGGAGGACTTCCTGCAGGAAAATGGTTTTGAGCCTGATTCTGTGGAACAGAAGAGGGCAATGGGAGGCCCTTGGCAGGGGAAGGAGCCAGAGAGAACTGCCCACCCCTACCTGGTGGGAGCCTCTCTGGCATGGGGCTCTCCTTTCCATGCACTGGACCTGGCAGGGCCGGCCCTGAGCCCTTTCCGTCCTGCCCCTGGCAGGGCCCAGAGGCATCTGTGCATTTAATGAAACCGTCTGGCTGTGATACCATCAGCTCCAAGCTCGGCAGAGAACCTCTCCAGGTTCCAGTAAGGAAAGGAGGGCGCATTCCGATAAATAAAACCATATTAGAGAGCCAGCGAAAAAGCCCCTTTTGTTCCCGCCCCGCCCCGTGCTTCCCTACGCTTTATTTTTATAAGCATGCGGGCCCCAGACCGACCGCGTTTACACAAAGATCACAATTGCACATTGTAGCGGCTGTGCACGCTGTATTGGTGTTGGCAGCACCCCCCACGCTGGCCCCCGAGCAGGCTGACTCCTTCCAGCAGCCCCATCAGCCCAGGCAATGAGCTCAGCGCTGGGGGGAGAACGGGGAGGGGGTGGCTTTCAAACAAAAATCACCCAGACCTACACACGTGCCCCACCCGCCCATGGGAGGAAAAAACACACAACAAAGGCATTGTAAAGAGCAGGCCTGGAGGCCTGGGGCCTCAGACACTGGGCTACTGTGTGCAGGGGCCTGGCCTCTCCCTGCACGGGACCCCACTCCTCAAAAAAAAAAAAAAAAAGGAAAAAGGGGAGTAGGGGTGTTGCTAGAGCAAGGTGGTCAGATGAAGGACAGCCAGACACACTCACAGACAAATCCCTCTTCCAGGAAAGCTAAGAGGAGGGAGAGGCAGATTCCCAAAAAGCGGTGGAGGGGAAGGTGAGGGGCTGGGTTTTGCGTGTGCATCACAGCATAGGGCTCTCCCCAGGGCCACACCCACAAGCCATATGCAGCGCACATCGTGCCCTAGCTGAGGCAAGCACTTTGGATTGCAGCTCTGAGGACCACGGCTGCCCCAGGGAGGATCCAGCCATGAGCACACAAGGATTCTACCTCACTGCATCACCACAAGGGAGTCAGGGACCTATCACCAGGCCTCAGGCAGACGATTCCTTAGCTGGATCCAGAGCCCTGCACCAGGCTGTTCGGGCTGAGCCCTGCTGCTCCAACCTTCCTGGAGCTCCGGGGAGGACCTTCTGCGTTCACAATACACTAAGCTTTCCTCCTCGGCCTTCCCACCAACCACTCAGACCACCAGGGTCGGGGACAGAGTGGGAAGTATCACCCCAGTTTTCCTAAAAGGGAGCTTTCCCCAGGAAGACCAAGTCGCTCGGCCATGATCGTATGTACTAGACCCCCTGACTCCTAGTCCAGTGCTCCTTCCACCATGCCACCTCATAGGAAAGGGCCCTTCAGAGAGGGTGGGATCGCCTGCCAATAATCAAGGCAACGCAAATTAAAACTAGACTCCAGCAATATTTTTCCTATAAAATTAAGAAAAATTGTTCAAAATTATAAAAAGCCAGTATGGGCAAAGAGTTGATGAAATAGGTACTCTCCTTTATTGCTGGAAGCAATTCAGCAACCCTTCAGAAAAGCAATTGGGCACTATGCCCTGAAAAACATAAAACCATTTATACCCTTTTCCCATATTCCTGGGAGTCATCCAGATTCACCAAAAAGCTAGATGTATGTACAAAGACGTTCACTCTTGCGTTATTTGTATGCATCATTCACTATACAATTATTGATTGGCTATCCTGTGGGAGGTTAGCACAGTGCTAGGAATAGGAAGATGAATGAGACATAATCCAGGCTCTTAAGAGTGTGACTACTGGTTGGAAATTGTAACCTAAACAGGTATAATACAAGGTGATGTGCTACTTAATAGTGGAGTATACAGGGGCAGGGGTGAGGAGCACCTGATGTCGCCTGCTGGCACCAAGTCAGGCTTCCCAAAGCAGGCCTCAAGGATGAGGAGGTAGGCCGTGCAGACCAAGGAAAAGGGGGCATTCCAGGCGCAAGCATGGCAAGGGTAAACACACCAAAGACTTTAGGCACTTGGGGATCAGCAAGCCATTGGTCTGGCTGAGGGGATGAAGGGAGCACCAGGGCAGTGGGGACAGTGGAGGCAGGAGGGGAGGAGGGGCAGATCACAAATGGTCCTGGATTCCTGCTGAGCAATTTGGACGGAATCCTGTAGATCAGTGTTTCCCAAAATGTGTTCTTTGAGTGGTGGGTTTTCTGGGGAGCTAATGAGTGCTTAAACAGATTAAACAGGCTCCCTCCCTGCAGCCGCCTCAGAGCCTCTCATATGCCACTGTGCATTGTAAATCCCGAAGCGTGCAGTGTTTCCCAGTCTCTCTTACTCAGGAACCCTTTTTAAGTGGAGCATTTCACAAGCCTCCAATGCACTTTGGAAAACACCTCCTTAAGCTCGTCTGGTGGATTGCCCCAGCCAGAGCCAACCTTAACAAAAAGCTGTGCTTAAAAAGGGGTTGGGAAGGAAGACTGGAGTTCAGACTTGGGAAACCCAAAAGCAAGAAATCCCCAGCACCACCCAGGACTGAGTCTGAATCTGAGGGAAACTAAGGCACCGGTCATCAAGACGTGGCCCCAGCTGTGGGCAGCTCCGGCTCATCAAACCTCACTGCAGCCTGGTCTGGCAGGACCATCCCATAGGATCACCTACCTGGCCCACCACTGTGACCTTACCTGGAGCTGTAAGGCCAGCAAAGAGGGCACAGGACCTTCTACTTTCTTGAGAGGTACTCACCCCTGTAAATTAATAAATGACGTGGCATCTGGTCTATCAGCCATCTCTCATTGGCTCAGTTAGCCAAGTTGGACCGCCTGAGCCCAGTGACCTGGGAGGGCCTCAAAGAGGGATTTCTGGGCCCCTCCTAAGCTGAGGGTCATCCCTTGGAATGGAACGTGGTGACCTCATGATAGAGCTGCCTGAGGGTCCTCCATCTGGGCGGGCAGCTCTACAAGCAGAGCTTATGATCCCTCCAACCACAACAGCAGTTCTTAGCTGGCAGAGGGGGCCAAATTGACACCTTCTTCCCTGGTTCCCTGTGAGAAACACCAATCTACAATGAAGAGTAACTCAGCTCAGGCTACCGTTCAGGGAAGCAATGCTACCCACTCCACACCAAAGGGGTGGGCAGGACGGAGCTAGGTGTGGTGTTGGTGACGTGTTCTAAGTCCTCTCAAGTCATAGCCTTTCATTTCAAAGCAAACCCAGTACATACAACAGATGTTCACAAAGCAGTGGGAACCCCACCCCAACAACAAAAAGAAGTCATTGAACTGGCCGGGCACAGTGGCTCACGCCTGTAATCCCAGCACTCCGGGAGGCCAAGGCGGGTGAATCGCCTGAGGTCAGGAGTTCAAGACCAGCCTGGCCAACAAGGGGAAATCTCATCTCTACTAATACAAAAAATTAGCTGGGCATGGTGGTGGGTGCCTGTAATCCTAGCTACTTGGGAGGCTGAGGCTGGAGAATCACTTGAACCTGGGAGGCGGAGGTTGCAGTGAGCCAAGATAGCGCCATTGCACTCCAGCCTAGGCAACAAGAGCGAAACTCTGTCTCAAAAAAAAAAAAAAAAAAAAAAAAGAAGTCACTGAATTAAGTATCACTTTATGTTTTTTATGACTAATTGCTGCACAGGGCACACACATTAATAAACACACAAGCACATACCACAGATGCCCTTCCACTGGTCCAGAGAATTGATATCCCAGCCATACACTCAAACCCCACCTAAGGTGCAACCCTCAGGCCGTCTGGATGGCAATATCTCTAGGACAGCCTCCCTCTCCCAAGTTCAATATTATTCAACAAGTGTTTTCTGGGCAACCCCTGCCTATCTCCTCAAATATTCGACCAGGGAGAAGGAGCAGCCATGGCCCCAATGTCCGGGCAGCCCCGAGACCCACCATATAGAGAGAAGCAAAGAGCACAGCAGAGGGCTGTAGGAGCCCCCGGGGAAAGGCCCAGAGAGCCACAGGTCAGAGGCACTGGGAGAGTGGTTCAAGGAGGGCCCTCTCTGCCCCAGACACCCGGCAGGCAGCTGGAAGCTGCACCAGTGACAGACACTGTGCCAGGCCCTCCCCTGGCCCCAGACATTCCGGATTCACACATGAGTTTCCTCAGAGAAATGCCAGCCGGTGGCCATGCACAGCCTCCGGCCGCCAGCCGCCCCAGGGTCAGTTCCAGGGGAGAAATTGCTTTGGTTTAGGGTTTGGGAGTGAAAATAAACACTCTGGGTTTTATAGGTTCACCCATGTTGGCTGCTGTTTTCCTTTCCAGCAGCTGCTCAATCGGGCCTTTCATTCAGAAGCCAGTGGCCTCTGAGGAAGCCCTGGGCAGTGCCCTCAAAGCTCAAGGGATGTTTATTTGGGGGAGGGGGTGGGGCCAGGATGGAAAGTGTGACGTCTCCGCAGACCAGTGCCACTGCCCTACCAATGCCGTCTCCAGAGGGGAGCATAGGCTCCCAGTGCTGGGCCCTTGGAGGAGTTCCCTCCCCTCTCTGCAGGGTGCTCGGCCCGCAGGGCCCACAGAGGACAAGGGGGCTTCTGCCTGGGCCCCCCCTGGCCATCCCCCTCTCACAAACCCGCTCCCGGCACCCTCACCTCTCACGCCCTTCCGGGAAGGGAGAGGAAGCAAGGCTATAAACTCGTCCATGTCCTTTTTCTCAGAGTAAGTTCTAATCGTCAGACTCCTGGACAAGTTTCCCAGGACAAGTTAGCCACTGCAGATGCCTGTCTGGCCTGGGCCTGTAAATTCTGGCGGGTTGCTGCTATATACACTTGCAGAGGGAGCTCTCAGGACCCTGGCCCCAAAGCAAAACGGGGTAGAACTTCCTCATCCACCCCGCACCTGGCTGCACAGAGCTGGAGGATGGGCCACTGAGGGCCACAGCTGCTGGAGAGAAGGACACAGACTGGACCCCACATCGCGGAGGAGAGTGGACCAGCAAGGAAGCCGGCAGATGGCCATCAGCTGCAGAGCCCTGCTGTGACCAGGAAGTCACTCCCATGGAACTCAGTTCTACTCAACCAAACAGCAGGCACTCAGACAGTGATAGCCTTGGGTTCCCTTCCAAGCTCTGTCACTTGGTAGCTATTTTAATGCAAGCATTTAGTTAACCTATCCGAGTATCTGTCTCTTCACCTATAAAATGGGGATGTTGACCACCTACTTCACAGGGCAATTGTAAGGGTTACATGAAATAGTGTCAGCAAAACGCCTGGGCACATAGTGAGCACTCAGCAAGTGTTTGTTCTTTAGCCATCAAGTGCTGCAGGTTCAAAGTAAGACGAGACCATTTCCTGGGGGAGCTCATGGTCAGAGCAGGAAGGAGATGGCAGAGATAGACCACTGTTGATCTGTGCAGAGGGGAAGGCCTCTGAGGGAGGTGCTGGTAAGGCACTGGCCAAGTGCTGAGGGAAGGAGCAAACAGCTTGGCTTGGGGAAGTCAGAGGGCATCTGGGCTGGGTCTTGAAGGATAACTAGGAGTTTGCTGGTTAGAAATAGGGAGCAAATGTGTTCTAGACAGAGAGCGCACTGAGTGCAAAGGCCAGACATGGGCAACGTGGACAGAGTTGGTGGGGCTGGAGCTACTGGATAGAGGGCAATGAGCAAAAGGTGAACCAGGTGAGGACCACAGGGTTACATCACAAGGGACTTGTCTGCTGTGCTGAGTTGGAGGTTATCTGTCAGTGTCTATACTTGAAATCAGGGGAGGGATGTGACCAGGTGTGTCTGGGGCAGTGTGGAAGGTGCCAGGGAGATCAGAAGATAACCAGAATGACCTAGATACAAAGGGGCAAGGCCAGTGTCAGATGGCAGTGTGACATTAAAGAGGAGGGAACAGATCTGAGAGGGATTCAGGAGGTAGAATCCTCAGGACTGGGTGACTGAGAATTTCCAGCCTGGGTAACAGATGGCTGCCAACCCCAGGGCCATGGCAGGAAATGCAGAGGCAGCCTGGATCTGGGTGGGGGGAGCTGGGGAGCAAGGTCACATGGAGGTTTGCACAGGATGAACTGAGGTGAGTGAAGGTGGAGAAGTTGGGGGACCCCGGTGCCCAGAGAGAGGACACAGACAAGACTTCTTGGAGCATCAGGCTTATAGGGCAATGAAGCATCAAGGAGGAGCAGGTCAGGGAGGAGGCTGCAGGGACCCTCCAGAGACTGGCGGCTAGAGCCAAGGCCAAGGGGCTTTCAGGAAAGAGGGGACAGTCAGCGAAGCCTGATCCTACCAAGAAGACCAGCAGGCCATGGACAAGAGTTTGCTGCACCTGACGACCAAGAAGCCACAGGACCCTGGTGACAGCACCCATCTCCATGCACCCAGCAAACAGCACCCCTTGTTGCCCGAAAGCCAGATGTCTCCATTCCCAGATCTCAGCCCACAGTCTCTGACTCTCCTGCCTCTCTCCCACCTACCAGAAAAAGAGTCCTTGTCCATCGCAGCCAGGTCCCGGGCCTGGTACATGTAGCAGCGTAGATGGTAGCGGTTCCCATCTTCACCAAGGGAAAAAACAGAGGTGCCAGAGTGAGTGGCTGGAGTGGTTAAGAGCTGGGGCTCGGGGGGAGGTGGAGTCTGTCCCTAGAAAGGGCAGCAGACAGAGGGGCTGAATGAGGGAAACCACACAGGCCACTGTGCGAGGTCAGGAGAACAGACCACAGCTTGAAAGCGGACACCTGACTAATTAACATGTCCTTGGGCCAGCCTAGGGCTGGGGAGAAGAGATAGAGGAAGAGGGGAGGAGGGGAGGCCAAATAGACAATGGGACAGCCACAGAGCGCAGGGCCTTAAATGCCTGATCTCAGATTTGAGTGGGTGGACACACCACACAGATAGGCACGGACACGTGCACGCACGCGCGCACACACACACACATACACACAGCACTGACCCACCAAAAAGCACAGAGACTCAGCTCCCCAGAGCCCCACATACACATCTGATCGTATAACTCCATCCAAACAGAAGCATAAGGTGACACACCCTTATCACCCCATAGAGGCCTCGAAGCCTCACTTACAGTCGAATATGCAGGAAATCGTGGGTCTGTTCACACCGAAGCTCAAGGTGGAGACGGACATGGAATCTTCACTCTTGTCATCCATCACGCCGCCCTGGAGACACGAAGCTGGTTATGGCAGATTCTGCCCCCAGGCCTGGGGGTGGCAGGGAGACTAGCCCAGAGAGTTAGATCCCCAGGGCCAGGAGATCTCTCCGCTGCCGAAAGCTGAACTCTCAGCCTCTAATTTCATTCTGGGGAGCTCAACCTCTCCTAAAAAATCACCAGACTCCAATGTCAAAGCACCAAAGGACTGTAGGAAATTCTTCTCCCTCTCTAGTGAAGACCAGATGAGTCAGAACGGAATTTTTAGTTGTTCCAGGCAAAGAGATTAGAAGGAATGACCCGAAGGGGCTCTCCAGGGGAGAATCAAATGGGGATCTGCCCACTAGGGACAAGTCCAGTGGAATCGAAATGTGGAGGTTCCAGGCTAGCATCTCTGGGTCCCCATCTCTGCCACCCCCTGCTAACATCGAGCTGGGTCCCAAGCTCTGGAGGAAGCTGCACCACACACCCACCATCTCTCACCAGTTCCCACTCTGCTGAGGGTGAGCAAGGCTCAGGCTGAGGACAGAGGTGGGGACAGGAGTGGGTGGACAGTCAGGCTCGGAAGCCAAGCTGTCTGTTTACTGTGTATAAAGCTAGATGGTCAGCCCTGCCACCTCGCCCTCATTAGCACTGGGCTCCAACCACTGAGCCACAAACCACTTTGGGGAGCACCAAGACTGGACCACTTCCCTGGGCCAGACACCCAGCTCTCCGATGCACTTCCTCAGCCCAGGGCCAGAAGCCCAAGCCACAGCCTACAGAGGGACTGGGGAGAGTCGGTGGCCGTTACTAGACACCCCGTGCTGTCTGCTCCCTCTGCACTCACTCAAATTTCTCCATGTGCCTCTCTCCTCTCCCTCCTGCCCACTACCCAAACTGTCGCCTGCTCCATTTCAGAGGGGTGGGGTTAAGTAATAAAACGGTCTCTACTCCACTTCCTTGTTCAGTCCCACATCTCACAAACGTGTACACACCCTTGAAAGAAAACCCTGGCCTCTTCCTCAGACGGCCCATTCATCCCACCCAGAGTGGCCAGTTCCCAGGATTCTTCTGCTGGGCCACCCTGACCTTCACCCTGGAACCATTTCCCAAGAATTTCAACCTCTCCCCAGGCTCTGAAGCTACAAAGCCCCCCAGTGCCTCCAACACAAGACACCACTGCCACTACTGTGCCCCTGCTCTCCAAACCATGCCCACCCTCAAGACTCAGTCCCAGAGCCCCTTGTCCAAGAAGCCTCCCTAGACACCTGTTCTCCCACCTCTGGCCAGCCATCCCCAAGCCAAAACCAGCTTCATCACCCTCGGTCACTATGCAGCTCCTCGGCCTGAATCCTTCGGTGGCCTGAAAGGTCCAGTCCAGCCTTCTCCCATTCAGACCCCCAGTGACCCGCCCTATCTTTCCCCATCCGACACCAAGGCTTTCTTCCCCCAAACCCGGCCCTTGGCTTCAGGCAAACCACGCTCCTTAAAGCTGTCCCAGACACACTCACTCCCATAGCAAGCTTATGCTGTTCCACAGCCAGAGGTGCCGTCAACCATCCCAGGCCTCCCCGTCTTCAGATCATCTTAGGACACCTAAGCAAAGCCTGCCCTGGTCACTCTGGGTCAAAAAGGAATTGCATCCTAAGGTAGGCTGGGTCTTCCTCTGCTCCCTTGCTGCAAAGGGCCTGCAAAACACACACTTGGGAAAGGCTGAGTCCCTCTATTCTCCCAGGGGACTCTCCAAGGTCCTGCTATCCCTGGGTGGGCTCTGACTTCCACCACAGGACATCCTCATTTCTGACAGGGAGATGCCTGGACTCTCCTCTTCCTTTGGCCACAACTTCAACATGGGCTCTGAAACCAGATTCCTCGGGCTCCAGTTCTGGCCCTGCTGTTTACTACTGGCTGTGTGACTTTGGGCAAGTGGCTTAACTTCTCTGAATCAATCACTTTATAAATTTGGGATAATTATACAGTATCTATTTTAGAGAGTTGCTTTGATTATTAAAGAAGATACAGAAGATGTAGTTCTTAGCACACTTCCTGGTTCACAGTAAATGCTCAAGAAATGTTAGCTATCAATGACCTTACGAGGGAAGGCACAGGGCTTGGGGAGGGGGCGTGTCATAAACTATAAAGTTTGTCATGTGCTGGGAGTGGTGTTCACATCACTCATATTTGTTGAAAATGATTCCAAGGTGTAAAAGTGGACATTTCAGTAAGAATCAAGCAAACCAGCAAGAGCCTCTCCCAGTGCCTCCAGGCAGTGGTGGTTTGTACATGGAGTTTCTTTCCCCCTCTCTCGCTCTCTCTCACGGACCCAAAGGCCTGAAATCCTCCCTCGTGAACAGGTATGGAAGCCCTGGGCCCCTGCCAGGAGAGGCGTTTGGCCTGGCCCTGCAGCGCTGGCAACCCACTGGAGGGAGCACCAAGCCCAGCCCTGAATGACCACAGAACACCCCCCTGGCTGCAGGGTGTGCAACACCAAACGCAAAGCAAACCTGGAGGCCCAGCAGGCCTCTTAGACTTGGGAGGCAGGGACACTAAGGAAAGCTGGTTAGGACGCTGGAAATAGGGCTTGGCCAGCCCGCAGGTGCAACAGTGCGTGATGCCTGCATCTCAGCACCTCTAGCTGCTGGGGCACCGGTAAGGGGTGGGAGCAGTGGGAGTAGGGAGGATAGGGGGTGGACTCAGCTGCAGGCAGGTGGGATGGACTCTGTGGTCCGTCTACCTCAGTCCGGCCACACACATGTGCCCCACCCGCAGGTAGGGGGCTAGGGTGAGCATAGGGAGGGAGGCGCCTCCGGCTCCAGGGCCCCATCCTTCCTCTCTCCCTCCCAGCGCCTGCAGGGACCTCCCTGCTCGCGGATGGCTGCCAGTGCTCATCCCCACTCACCAGGCACCTCCTCTAGATGGCCCCCCTCACTGGGCCCCTGTCAGCACCACTCCCAAGGCCTCTGTCTGAGGTTCTGGCAGCACGTTCTGGGTCTCTGTCCAAGGGCAGGGCCTCCTGCCTGCAATCAGAAGCAGCATCTCCCTCCTTGGGATTTCCATGTGGACCTCACTGAGTCCCTGGCCCTGCAAGTGACTGTCCTGCAGGGGGAGGAACCAACGCTCCCACTGAGAATGCCCCTCATACTGCCTGGGTTCCAAAACCTGACCTGGCTCCAGAGGAGGGGCCCAGCCACACCACACCTGGTCCAGGGGCCTGCTGCCCACCCTCACCCCATCTGCCACCCAAGTGCTGACCTTCTCCCTCTACCTCAGGGAGACAGATGGGGATTTTTAGGAAGAAGTATTACTGGGGCACCAGGGGAGACACACCCCCCAGAGCCAGGCTGAGGGAAGCCACTAAGCTCAGTCCCTCTTTGTACCACCCTGATTCACAATCCGGGCAAACTTCCACCCACACGCCTGGCCAACATCCTTATATCCTCTGGTCCACTGGCCCTCCCAGGGGAGACTGGGCTCTCCATACATCCCCATTAGACCCTGGGAGCAGAGGGAAGGCCACCCCTCCCTCCTGGCCTGCTGTGGCCTCTAAATTGAGTCTCTGGCAGTCAGGACACTACCAAACCCACAGACCCCCAAACCCCTACACCCCCTACCTGCTCACACCAGCTGCAACACTCTGAGGTCTCCTTTCTTGCCCCCAGGCCCTTGCCCCATGTGTCCCCTGACGTTTCTGTGCAGTCTTATCATCAAGGTCACCCTGCAAGGATGTGTTAGGTACCCCTCCTGGGCACTCCCACTTCGCCCTGAATTTCCCCAGCCACTGCACTCACCACTTTACATTGCGAGCACCCATCTGCTTGTCCCACTGAGAGCCCAGCCAGGTGCCCAGCGTGCACCCATCACCCAGCAGAGCACCTCACAGGCAGCAGGTGCTCAACACATCATTGGTGAACAAGTGAGTGAACTCACGAACAATGGGCACCTGCCTCAGGGAAAGACAACTGTGTCGGCCTTGAGGAGGGCAGATGACACAGGCCGGCCCGGTGGGGATCCGCCAATGTCATGCCTTCTTGATTTTGAAGTACATTCTGGTTTTCAGGTGTGGACATCAGCGTGGCTCAAGCTTGGGGAATTTCTCTCAAAGCAAGTAACAAGGCCTCTTGAAAACCCAATCTGGGAACTTTGGGGAAGCATCTCCCTCCCGTCAGTCTCTCCTCTGATGTGCCACCCATTTACGAAACACCTACTCTGTGCCAGGCATTGCCCATTCAAGTTGTGAAATGGCTACTGCTGCTCACGGGGCCAGTGGCACCTGCCCAGAGAGGCCATCCCTGCCCGACCTGTTGAAAATTGCATTCTAACACGCATAGCCTCACAAGCACCCACACAGGGCTACTGTGGAAAATGCACGGCTCTTCAACCTTGGCAATTGGGCCTGGAATATTCTTTGCTATGAGGCTGTCCTGTGCGTCGTAGGATGTTTAGCAGCGTCCCTGGCCTCTACCTGTTAGATACCAGTAGCATCTCCACTGAGTTACGATCACTAGAAATGTCTCCAGACATTGCCCAATGTCCCCTGTGGCCAGGTTCGGGGAAACTGTGCCCTGTAGAGAACTAGTAGTGAAAACTGAATGAAATGATACCCCACGGTCCTTGGCAGGTACCTGGTTTAACTCTTTCATCTCTCTAGGCTCTTGTTAAATAACACTCCTCTCCTCTGGCCTTCTGTAAATTTCTTGAATTCATAACCTTTCCTCTGCCACAGGGCCTTTATGCAGGGATGTCGTCCTCTCCATTTGGAATGTCTTCTCAAATGAGCTAACTCAGGCTCTTCCTTAGCTGCATCATCTCTGAGGTATGGGCACCTCCTTGGCTGCCCAGCCTTCAGCAGCAGCCCCTACCCAGCCTCTCCCAGCTTCTCCCCTGCATCTACCCTCCATGTATGCAGGCAAGACATACACACTCCTTTATCCCCTGCACCCAGTCCAACATCGAGCATGTAGTGGGCGTCCAATGAAGATTTATCACATGCAGTCAATCACCAGAATTCCCTCGCCCTAAGCCACATGTGCAGCACCCAGGCCTAAGGTCCCAGGGCAAAGGACAGGCAAGGTGCATCAGACAGCACCTCCTACCTTCAGGAAGCTCAGAGTCGGGTCTGATGTTACTATGGAAAAAGGGATTAATGTGGACTCACTTACACCCCAGGATGAGGCCATCTGTGGGGTGGGATGGAATGGGGTAGGCCTTTGGAAGCCCCTTCAGGAAGGCTTCCTGGAGGAGGGGAAGGAGGGTGCTGGAACTGGGAGAGCGGCAGCAGCACACTGGAGCCTAGAGGAAAGGCTTGGCCAGGTGGACAAGGCCAGGACAGGGAGGGCCGCTTTGCCTCTGCTCCCACTCTGAGCCCCGTGCAGAGCCAAGCTGCAGGAGAGGCTGATGCCCTGGTTTCTGCCCACCCACCCTTCACCCCCATTCACACACACACACACACACTCTTGCCCAGCCCCAGGGCCAGGCCCAGGGCATTGGGTTTCCCACAGTCACATTCCTGCCTTGATAGCTCATGCCACCGCAACTCCCAGGCTGGGGCTGGCAGCCACACGGTCTGTGGCCACGCACTCCATCTTGGGCTAGCTGTGTAAGGGATCTTGCTGCTTGTCCAGGGAACTGGGTGGCCTCCAACCCGCTGCTGCCCGGCTGGAAGCCACGGCTCCCTGGAGGAGCCTGAGCATAGGAATATGAGGAACTCTCTGCCTCCCAGAGCCACAGGGCTCCCCCAGGGGTCCCCAGAGCCAATGGCCAAACTCACCTGAGTCTGCCAAGGACTAATATCCAAGGACCACAGCCAGGAGGAGATAGTCAGGTTCTGGGGAAACACAGCCTACAAAGGGGACTCCTCAACCCACCTAAATCAGATCAGTACCAAGATCGAGCCCACCAGCATGTCTGAGATTCCTTCTGCACCACGGGGTGTCTGTGCCCTCTGTCTGCAGACCCTCTGTTTGCAATGGTGCCTTGGTCTAAACAGGGCCTAGAGTTCTGGCTCAGGATCTATAAAGTGGAGACAGTAAGGTGACAGAAGGGCCAGAGCAGGGGTGGACACAGCAACAAGTCACAGGCTAAGCAGTGAGGCTTCCTGGGGCTGAGCAGGCAGGGGAAAGCCCCACAGTGGCCAGAAAGGAAACATCTCAGGGGCCACCAGGGAGGCCACAGAGACCTTCCCTGCTCCAGCAGAGTCAAGCAGATGGGTGTGGACCAGCTGGAGGCTGGCTACCCTCCTTCACTTTATGGGGAGGACTCAACTCCTACACAGGATGGGCCTGAAGAGCACCTGTGGCAGGGCTGTTGGAAGGGGCACTACTGTTGGGGGCCATCCCCCATCTCTTATGTAAAAGGGGTCAGGGGGCCCCTCAGAGCAGCAGGTGCTGGAGTGAGCGCATGTGGTTCACGAGAGCAGATTATATTTTCAGGAATTCTGCAAGCCAGTTGTTAAACACAGCCATTAGTAAAAATTAAATCATATACATTTACCACTAAAGAAACTATATTTAAAAACTCAAGGTGGTAAATACTTGAAATCATTCTAATTTCTCTTTTTTTTTTTTTTTTTTTTTTTTTTGAGATGGAGTCTTGCTCTGTCACCCAAGCTGGAGTGCAGTGGCGCAATCACAGCTCACTGCAGCCTTAACCTCCCTGGGTTCAAGCAATCCTCCCACCTCAGCCTCCCAAAGTGCTGAGATTACAGGCATGAGCCACCACGCCTGGCCCATTCTAATTTTTGTACTACCTTTTCCCGTTATCTCTGCTCCTGAGGCTGCTTCCATCTCATGTATCTGTGATGGAAATATTATGTATCAGTGTGCTACTGCCCGTCTCTTCCCAGCTCTGTGTTCAGTGGTGCCACATTGCTAGCTTGAAATTGGTCATGGCAGGAACAGCTACACCATGGAAATCAGCAAATGCTACAAACCAGGGCTGGGGATTGTTTTGTTTTGTTTTGTTCTGGAGACCTGGTTGTTAAACATTGACCAGCACAGTTCTAGGGTGATCTTCCAGGTCTTCACCATCTTCACTCTCTTCACTATAGGCTTTGCTGGGACATCCAAATGCCAACATGATGATGTAGTGTACACTACTACAAACCCTGCACAACCCAACCATTATCCATAAAATTTTTCACAATATTCATGGGAGGAAACACAGCTAAACAATTACTACTTGGCTTCTCGGTTACCTCAGTTTGCTTAAGTGTAAAATGGAATGGGAGTGCTGACAGACCCTATCTCCTAGAACTGCTGGAAGGGTTAAATGAGATACTATGTGGACAGGGCAGAAGGCAATGGCTGGCCCACGGTACATGCCCTAGAACAGAGGTTGACAGACCTTGTCTATAAAGGGCCAAGTGCTAACTACTTTTGACTTCGTGGGCCATAGGGTCTCTGCTGCAACTGTTCGGCTGCTGTTGTAACAAAAAAGCAGCCACAGGCACTACATAGGTGAATGAGTACCAGCTATGTGCCAATAAAGCCTTTTTTTTTTTTTTTTTTTTTTTTTTTGAGACGGAGTCTCCTTCTGTCTCCCAAGCTGGAGTGCAATGGCACGATCACAGTTCACCGCAACCTCTGCCTCCCAGGTTCAAGCAATTCTCCTGTCTCAGCCTCCTGAATAATTTTTGTATTTTTAGCAGAGATGGGGTTTCACCATATTGGCCAGGCTGATCTCAAACTCCTGACCTCAGGTGATCTGCCTGCCTTGGCCTCCCAAAGTGCTGGGATTACAGGTGTGAGCCACCGGCCAATAAAGCCTTATTTACAAAAGCAGGCAGAGGGCCAGATTTGGCCTGTGGGGCATAGTTTGCTGACCCCTGCTCCATAAGAAGAGGTTATTATTTTTGTTGTGTTTTTAGCATTCCCACCTGATAAGCAAGAAAACTGGGGCCCAGAGAGGTTAAGGTCTTCCCTGGGGCTACACAGCAAATTAGCTGGCAGAACCTGGGGTCCTCCTGCCCACTCTCAAGGCTCTTCCCAGGCTCCTACTACCCCATCAGAGCTCAAAGCACCTGAGCAAAGTTCTGGAGCTACAGATGGTTGAATGCCAAGTCAGGGCTGTGGGGAACCCAGGGCCCACTTCATTTCCCTGGCTGCTCCAGCCTCAGCTTGCAGGGAAACCCCACACAGGCCAGGAGCCCAGGCCAAAGGAGGGGAACCCTTTAAAAGACAGAACGGAACACAGGAACACACAGACTCCCTTTCTAATCAGGGCTGATTGCAACCTTAAGTGGAATAGCAGGCGAGAGTGCAACCCCATTTAATTTACAGCTGGAGCCAGGGCTTGGAAGCAGCTGCTAAACTCCTTGCAAAACTACTGGCTGGCCCCTGGGGAGCTGAGGGTGGAATCAGGAAACCTGGAGAATCCACGATGCCACGTGTGGGCTGGCGCGAGCGTGTATGCGTGTGTGCTTGTCCCTCTAGGGTTTCCATGTCTCCACATGCGGATGTTGCAGAGAACACTGGAGCAGGTTTCATCCCACGCCAGGGTGCCTTGGTAATTAGGACAACTCTATGGCCCAGTTTGCCTGGAATGGTCCTACTTACGCCTGCTTTTCCAGTGTGATTATTAATAGTGTTCCAGACTGGACAGTAAATTATATGGTCACTCTAGCAATGACAGATGAAGACCCTCATGCATGTACAATGACCCACATGGGTGATACTCAACACATGTGCCCAACTGTAACACACTCCTCTGCAGCCATGAATCTGGGCGCTGGCATTTTGCCTGAGGCACATGGACACGCAATCGAATCCTCCAGACCTTGGGGTTCAAATCTTGAGCGAGACAGATGCAGGGTCCACGCATTTAGAGTTACCCAAATTGTCCCCTACTGAGGGGCAGTAGGAAGAGCAGCGAGGCCTCTGCTTGAGAGGAGATCCAGCCCTCAAGCCGCCCATGCTAGCACAATGCCAGGTATAGAACAGGTGCTCAACGTGAATATTCAAGAAACAGAGTCCAGAGATCCACAGAGCTGCCTTTCAACACCCCAGCCCCAGCCCCAGCCATAGGTCTTGTTTCCTAATGAGGTAAACCCCTCGCACCTCCCAGGGCCTGCCCTTGCTCACAGTGCCAGCTCTGGGAACCAAGCCTGGGTCCCCTGCCCACAGCATGGCTTCCTTCAGGCGCAGAGCCGCCCCTCCCTCCCCATCCACATCTGACCTCCTTTTCAGCCAGCTCAAGACCCAAATTACTCCTCTCTGGAACCAGCCTTTCCCTGACCCACATCCCTGCACTTCTGACTCCCAACTGGCCTTGCCTCGCCGGCCCAGGCTTGAGCTGCCTGTCTCTGAGGGTCCTCTCTACTGCAGTCGGGATGCTGGCCTCCACCAACCCTCTGGAGGTTTCCCAGGGTTGGGGCCGGGGGGCCAGCTCCTCTCTAGCTGCCCGACTGCCCCAGGACTGCCAAGCTGCCTGGCTATCAGGTGAGGAGAAGCCTGCCCAGGGCAGAGGCCTCTAGCCAGCAGCATCCAATCCTCCCACCCTGGGACCCCACCACAAAGGGACTCCATGGAGCAGGAGAGACATGATGCCCTCATAGAAGTGGGGGAATGAAAGCGCCAGATGGGGTTTGGCTGCTGGTCAGGGGACACCTGGAGAGAGGGGCAGAAGAGCCACTGCCTGGACCTTGGTTAAGCACTGACTCGTGCTGTGCTGCTGGACATCCCCACTCAGGCCTCTTCCAAGGTGACATTAGGGCTCGGAGTCATTCCAGAGCAGCACTGTCCAGCAGACCTTCCTGCAATGATCAAACCGTCAATGGCTGCACTGCCCAATGTGGTAGCTGGCCACTCGGCAGGTGTGGCTACTGAGCACTGGAAATGTGGCCTGTCTGATTGGGGAATCAAATTTTCTTATTCTGATTACTTTAACTGTAAACTTAAGTAGCCACCCACGGCTAGTGGCTACTGTGTGGGAGAGTGCAGCTCTAGAGCCTCAGTCTCCCCAACTGTAAAATGGGGCTAATAATAGAATCCAGCCTTCTGGGGTCACTATGAGATGACGCATATAAAGCCTGGTTTTTAGCACGTGGTAAAGTGAATATTAATAATTCTTATCCTCTATGGGGTCCTGGATCCCCTGGAGCATTGGATAAAACCATGGCCCTTACACCAGATCATACATGCGTGCGTACACATGCACAACTTTCCATCCAATATCAAGATGCTCCTACAGCTCCCAAGGCAGATCAGGCACGCCTTTAGAAAATGAAAGTTTCTTCCAGCAGCAAAAATCTCCAAGACTCTGAGCACACGTTGCCGACGTTTCTGTCCCTCCCCTCCCTGCCAGGCCCAGGCATCTCAGAGAACCTTTCCCAACACTCAAGCCAAGCACAGAGGCAGGGCTTGGAAAAATCCTCGATCATGGAGGGCAGGCCCAGGGCAAGGGCAACAGGATGGATTCTGTGAGCTCATCCCGGCAGCCGTCACCAGAGTTCCCAGAGAGGCCGGTGGCGTCAGGAGGGGGTGACTGGGTGGGAGGCGGCGGTGGTGGCTGCTGTGGCCACAGGGGGTGTGGGGTGGAGAGGGAGGCTGGATGGAACGCGCTATAATAGCGGCTTTGTGCTCTGCTTCCCAGCTCCCTGGGAACGCCAGGAAGATTATGAAACCCGGTGTCTTTGGAAATGCCAGGATATTAGCTGGAAAAAGAATAATACGAAAATAAAATAATGCTCGGGATGGAGACAGCAGACGATTAGCAGACGGAGCCAGGGCCTCCCGCTCCGTGGAAGGAGCCAGGCTTGGCCCCTGCAGAAGGTTTCAGGGAAAGGCTGCCCGTGCTAATGAGCAGACAGGGCCTGCCTTCCAACAAGACGTCTTCCAGAGGGGAGCTGGCAGGCAAGGCCCAGCTCGCTGGTGGACGTGTTGGGTCAGGGAAAAGGTGGCAGGAGGCAAGGGGGCACCACAGACCTGGTCCAGAACTGTCAGATTACCAGCAAGGCTACCTGGCTTCCACCCACGGTCTTTCCCCAGCCCCTGCAAGGCCTGCCTCCCAACATCCTTCTTCAAGAAGCCTCCCCTCATTAGACACTGCCACTCTGGAATGACTCTTATTCTACCTCCAACACTTCAAAGACGCAGATTCTAGGGGTTTAGTTGCACTCACATGTGAACATCTCTCTTCTTGATCAGACAGGAGTTCCCCATGAGCCAGGCCTCCACCATCAGATCAGGGGATCATTAGAAGTAAAGACCACATTTCCCCCACCAAGCAGCAGGGAGAACATGTCATCTTGCCATACCTCCCTCTCCAGGACCCTGGCCACACACCTCCCAGCAGGAATGCACATGCTCTGCCTCTCTCAGAAGGGCACCCAAGTAGGGGGCCAATGGGAGCCCCATCTTGATGAGGCACTTTGTACTTCACATCTGTGCTACTCCGAGATGGCCCCTGGACCAGCAGCATCAGCATCATGTGGAGGCTTGTTAGACACAGAGATTCTCGGGGCCCACCAGACCCTGAATCAGAGTCTGCATTTTAACAATATCCCCAGACGGTGCCTGCTTTTGCTAAGTCTGAGAAGTGCTTCACTACATGCATCGTCATTCATCCTTAAAATGGCCCTGGGATTCAGTTACTTGCACGAGTGAGGTAACAGAGTTGCTAATGGCATGAGTGACCCGTCCACAGCTAGTAAGCAGGGAAAGCAGAATTCAAGCCACAGAGGCCTCACCCATCCCACCAATGAATCACCAGGCATCAGGGACCCGTGGGCAAAGACCAGCTCTCAGGACAGAAGCCGGGTCCTAGCACCCAGAAAATCCAACCACCTTCCCCAGGAGGCAGGGAGGACCTTAGCCCCAGTGCTGTGCTGGGGCATCAGGACATCCCGGGACAAAGACAGCAGCTCAGCAGCGGGAGCCCAAACCATTCTGGGTCCCAGCAGGAAGACGGAAACGTGACTGTGGAGGGGGAGTGTGAGTGTGAAAGAGTGTGTGTGGGTGCGTGTGCATATGATTGTGTATGTGTGAGTGTAAGAGAGTGTATGTCAGAATGTGTGTGTGTCTATGTGTTGGTGTGTATGAGTGTGTTGGTGTGTGTGAGGGTATGTGTGTGATTGTGTACGTGTTAGTGTGAGAGTGGGGGGGCTGCATGAGAGTGGGGCTGTGTGTGTGTGTTGGTATATATGGGAGTGTGTAGAGAGTGTGTTGGTGTGTGTGAGGGTATGTGTGAGAGTGTGATTGTGTAGGTGTTAGTGTGTATGGGTGTTAGTGTGTGGGGGTGTTGTATGAGTGTGTATGTGTGCGTTAGTGTGCTTATTGGTGTGTATGAATGTGTGGAGAGAGACTGTGTTGGTGTGTGTGTTCGTGTAACAGAGTGTGTTGTGTATGAGTGGAAAGAGTGTGTGTGTTGGTGTGTATGAGTGTGTGTTGGTGTGTGTGCTGGTGTGTAAGACAGTGTGTGAGTGTGTGTCACTCAGGTATAGAGTCTTCCAGACAGTCAAGTGGGCCTGTGGCCCCGTCCAAATGCCAGACACACCTAAACCTTCCAAAACTCTCTGGTCCTCCAGCTGCAGGTCTGTGGGATCTGCCCTCTGAAGCCACCGCCTCCCTTTCTGGTTCTCTCTGCCAGCCAAGCTGTCCCAGGACTCGGGGCTTTGCCACTTTGGTCTCTTCCATGTATCATAGGCAAGTCACAGGTGAATTACAATCCATCACCCGCCCATGGCTGCTGACTTCACGCCTAGTTTCAGTGATCCCTCAGGACAGTCTCTTCCACAAGAAGAATACGCAGATCGGTCTCTCTGCTTCTGGGAAGTGCCCCCCCTCATTCTCCCAGGCGCTGAGCCATGAAAGCTTGGCCTGGGTCCCCCAGCCTTGTCACTTTCTTCCTCCAGGCCCTAGCCAGCCCCAGGGTCCATCCACGCTTTGTCCACGTGTCTCCAGTCACCTCTTCCCCACTCCCGGCCCCCTCGGCTCCCCGCTCCAGCCTTCCTGCCCTGGGCCGCCTGGCAGGCAGCCGTCAGCTCTGTCTCCCTCACACAGCACTTCACCGTGTGTGTCAGCCTTGCCAGGGCCAACCGTGAACTCATCACAGCCCGCCCCACCCCGCCCTGCGGCCTGGCAACCACAGGGTCCCCACTGTCCACCTCTGGCCCTTCCCTCCCCAAACCCTTCAGTCCCACCTCCCTCCACCTCAGCCCCACGGCCTCACGCCAGGTGGTCACCTCTCCTGGATCTCTACACAAGACTCCTGGGGTTTCCTGATGGGAGGCTCTGCCTCCCAAGCATCCTCCATGGCTGCTTGACTGATGGTCCTAAAGCCTAGCTCTGACCAGAGCACTCTTCTTGTCAACAACTCATACTGGCTCCCTACTGCTCTGGTCACCGTCTGGACCATCTGGAGCTCTTTGCCCAACATTGCTTTGGTTTTTGTTTTTTGTTTTTGTTTTCAGAAGCTCCTCTCCCCAATCTGGTGGCACTGTCAATCACAGAGAAGGGGCATGGCCCATGCCGGCCAATCAGAACGCTCCATCCCTCACCCAGGTGCAGGGGCTGGCTGGGCACCACCAGGCTGAGCTGGTCAGTCATGCCGAAGACTTCACTGACATTACTGAGAAGGCAGCACTCAGGGGTCTCCAGCTGCATGGAAAACAGAGTGTGGCGCTGTGGGCTGGGCTACTTTATCTAGCAGGACTTTGCTGGCTGGAGGGATGATGTTGGCCTTTCGTCACCAGCAGCATCTTTGCTACCACACAGAGAGAGCCCGTGTGAGACAAGGCCAAGACAGGGGTGCGAGTCCTGGGGACACTGTATGAACCTGTTTCCTGCCAGGCCTAATGCCTGCTTCACCTCTCGGGTTCTTCCCAGCTCTGTGAGCCCACAAACCACTTTTCTTCTCAGCCCCTTTGAGTAGAGCTCTGGCTGATGAAAACAGATCCTGATTACACAGGGTGCTTTCCTGGCCTTCTCAGACCTGGCCCTGACTCTGAGGCCTGCCAAGGTCTTTATACCCCACCCCTCAGCTAGAGCCGCAGGATCATCACCAGCCCCTGCCCAGTGCTCAGGCCAGGCCCTTTCTGACTCAAAGCAGAGGGGGCCACAGAACACCAGCCCCACCCCAGAAGGCTCCCCAGCTGCTCTGACCTGGGCAGCAATTCCATCCTATCCTGCCCGACCCTGGCCGGAAGACCAGTCCATAGCCCAGAGAGCCGAGAGCTCTGCTATCTCCCCTCAGCCTCCCCTTGACCTGGCCCCAGGGCAAGGGAGGGGCTCTCTCCGAAGCCTATGGCAGGCTCCTCTGACGTCCTCAGGCCCCCAGAGAGCTTCCTCTCCTATACTGCCACTGTTGGGCCTTGCCCACCATCGAGGCCTGAGACTGACAGAGCCTCCCCAGCCCACCCACTCCCTCTCAGGGCCACTGCTGGCTTCACCTCCCTGCCAGTGGCCAGCCCAACAGATCCTGAGCCACCCCACAGCACTCCTCCAGCCTTCAAAGCCAGGCTGTCCTACAGATAGGTGCCCAGCCTGACCCCAACCACACAGCTGGCTTCACATGGACACCCTCACGTCCCATGGGGCTTGCTCCCTAGGGCCCCAGCCCAAACCCCTAGGGAGGTGCCAGTCCTGGCTGGATTTCAGAGGGAGCAGCTCCTTCCCCAGAGCAGCAGAGTGGGGACTGGCTGTGTGCCAGTACCGAGTGCTCGCTCAGACTGTCCCCGAGACACCTGCTCGTCTCTTTTGGGGAGCCCGTCACCCCGGCCCTGGAGAACCTTGAGCCTACCCCAGTTCCACTGGCTACAGAAAGCGCACCCTGGGCAGGAAAGTCATCCTGGGGCTCAGCTTCTAAGGCACACCTCTTCCCCAAAATTGCTGGGGATGACCATGAGATGGTCTCTGCCTCAAGAGGATGCACATGCAACCAAGGACACTCTGGGGCCACAAGAACTCTCTCACTCCTCCCATGGGCCTCCTCGCCCATCTTCACACCAGCCAGCCAGGCACAGGCCAGCCAGACGGCCAAGGCCATCTTCCCCTCTGCTTTCATCTTGACACCTCAAAGTAGTAGCAGCAAGTGTTTCAGTGCCAAGGAAGGAGCTTTTTCATTTTAGAAGAACACCCAGACTGGGGCTGCTTTCCCCACATGCCACCCCACAGGTACTGACGCCAGGATGACCAGCCAGCGTTCCATCCAAAAGTCCTAACCTGGGGTCCCTGTGCCTCTCCCACATCAGCCCGAACAGCCCTGGGAAACCAAGATATACCCTACCCAAGCCAGGACAAGTGCAGCCCCACATACCAGGGCCCCCTCAAGGGCAAACACAGCTGCAGGCCCCGTCTTCTCCAGTGGCTCCATGCGACGGCGCCAGCGGCGGCGGCGGAAGGCATCTGTCTTGCGGTACTCGAGGTGGAACTTCCAGCCAAAAAGAGAGGCGTACTCCCAGCCCTCGCCCTCCGCCTCCGCCTGCCTGTGCTGCACAAGAGAAGGGGCAGACTCAGAGGCCGGTGGGAAGGCTGGGGGGAGTTCTGTGCTCGGCTCCACCTTTGCCTTCCTGTCTTCCATGACAACTCCCCACCAGCTCCCACACTAGTGCCCTCCAGGTGGGAAAACCTGGGAGGGCCACCTAGAGGAGAGGGGCTTTCTGCAGCCACAGGAACCCCAGGTCAGAAAATCAGGAGGGGAGGCCAGGCATGGTGGCTCATGTCTGTAATCCCAGCTACCAGGGAGGCTGAGGCAGGAGAATTGCTTGAACCTGGGAGGTGGAGGTTGCAGTGAGCCGAGATTGCGCCACTGCACTCAAGCCTGGGTGACAGAATGAGACTCCATCTCAAAAGGAAAAGAAAAAAAGAAAAAAGAAAAAGAAAAATCAGGAGGGGAGAGGAGGCTCCATGGGCTGCGGGAAGAACCAAACAGCCAGAAAGGAAGGTAGGCTGACGCAGTGACGAAAACACTGGGCTTTTAACTTGCTTATTTGTTTGAATTCTGGGTGGATTTCATGAATCCAAAGTTTTCTTGTCATTTCCTTTTTCATCTTCACATCCTGTAGTGGGTCTGCAGCTCAGAGGTAAAAGGAAGATCCTATTTCCCAACCACAGCCAATTTCACCCCTGGGAGCTAGACCCAACTCAGCTATGGAGGCACCCCTGTACCTCGTTCATGGGGTCCCTTTCCTGGGCCTGAAGGGAGTCCCGGGAGCCCCCTTGCCATTCAGCTCCTGGGAGAGGGTGACCTGGCACTGTTGTCAGACACCACCTCAGGTCTGGGCCAGGAGCACAGTGACAAGGGCCAGTCCTGGAGGCCAGCTGTGCCACTCTCCAGGAAGGATGCTGGCTGTGGGGTGGTGGGCAAGGCACATGAGCCTGGGCAGGCTTTGCCTCTGTCTGCTGGGTGCCCCTTCAGGGAGAAAGTTGAATCTGTCTGGTTCACAGCACCAGGAACAGCTGGTTGTCCAAAAGCCTTGCCCCTCCCTGGAGCCAGCAAGAGTCCTCTCTAGGTTCTCTGCCCCCAAGGAGAAAGGAAGGAACCTAGGTCATGCCACAGGCTACTCCTGGACTAAGGGAGGTCTGGTTCTTGAGCCAAAATTCAAATGTGTGTTTAGGAAGGAAGATCATAGACCAAGAAGGTCCAGGACAGGCGGGCACAGAGGCTGTGCAGTGCACAGGCCCCTGTGTGACCCCGGAGCAAGTGCATGTGCTTGCGTGTGCTCATCCATGTGCACGATGGGCCTGACAGTATCCCATGGCATCTGTGCTCAACTGTGGGCATGTGTGCTTGCATTGCATGAATGCCAACGGGGCCCACCCCAGCCCCCTCACCAGCCAATGTACACGTGTGGCGCACCCATCCCCAGCTGCCATCAGCATCGACAGCTCCCAGCTCCCAGAAGCCACCTGCTCCAGGGAACCCCCATGCTAAAGGAAACCCCCTCACTGAAGAGATAGGTATGTGCCCCAGCTCACCCCAGCAACCCCAAGCCTAGACAGATGGCTGAGAGGATACAAAGCCCAGCCCTGCCTCCAGGTGAGGATTCTGTGGTGTTCCGAGTTGTGAACTTCCCCAGGCCACAGCTCAGGCCACAGCTGACCTGCCTGAAGCTGCATCCTTGCTCCTCACACTCCCGAGGGCACTGCCCCAATAATGTGCAGCCAAATCTACGTCTTAGCTTCTGCCTCCAGGAAACCCAGCCTAAGACAAAGTCCATGGGTGTCTTTCCATCTTCCAGGTTGGTGTGTGAACTTTGCATGTGACCTTCTGTAATCATGGGCATCTGAGTGTGTCTGTCTATAAGCATCTGTGGGTGTGCTGGGTGTGATCTGTGCTGGGTGTGATCTGTGGGTGTGCTGGGTGTGATTTCTGTGTGCTGGGTGTGATCTGTGGGTGTGCTAGGTGTGATCTGTGCTGGTTGTGATCTGTGGGTGTGCTAGGTGTGATCTGTGCATGTGCTGGGTGTGATCTGTGCTGGGTGTGCTGGATGTAATCTGTGCTGGGTGTGCTGGGTGTGATCCATGCTGGGTGTGATCTGTGGGTGTGCTGGGTGTGATCTGTGCTGGGTATGATCTGTGGGTGTGCTGGGTATGATCTGTGGGTGTGCTGGGTGTGATCTGTGTGTGTGCTGGGTGTGATCTGTGGGTGTGCTAGGTGTAATGTGTGTGTGCTGAGTGTGATCTGTGCTGGGTGTGCTGGATGTGATCCATGCTCGGTGTGATCTGTGGGTGTGCTGGGTGTGATCTGTGTGTGATCTGTGCATGTGCTGGGTGTGATCTGTGTGTGTGCTGGGTGTGAGCTGTGTGTGCTGGGTGTGATCTGTGTGTGGTGGGTGTGATCTGTGCATGTGCTGGGTGTGATGTGTGTGTGCTGGGTGTGAGCTGTGTGTGCTGGGTGTGATCTGTGTGTGTGCTGGGTGTGATCTGTGTGTGCTGACTGTGATCTGTGTGTGTGCTGGGTGTGATCTGTGTGTGCTGACTGTGATCTGTGCATGTGCTGGGTGTGATCTGTGGGTGTGCTGGGTGTGATCTGTGTGTGATCTCTGCATGTGCTGGGTGTGATCTGTGTGTGTGCTGGGTGTGAGCTGTGTGTGCTGGGTGTGATCTGTGTGTGGTGGGTGTGATCTGTGCGTGTGCTGGGTGTGATGTGTGTGTGCTGGGTGTGAGCTGTGTGTGGTGGGTGTGATCTGTGCGTGCTGGGTGTGATGTGTGTGTGCTGGGTGTGATCTGTGTGTGTGCTGGGTGTGATCTGTGTGTGCTGACTGTGATCTGTGTGTGCTGGGTGTGATCTGTGTGTGCTGACTGTGATCTGTGCATGTGCTGGGTGTGATCTGTGGGTGTGCTGGGTGTGAGCTGTGCGTGTGCTGGGTGTGCTAGGTGTAATCTGTGTGTGCTAGGTGTGAACTGTGGGTGTGCTGCATGTGAACTGTGGGTGTGTTGGGTGTGATCTGTGTGTGCTGAGTGTGAACTGTGGGTGTGTTGGGTGTGATCTGTGTGTGTGTGCTGGGTGTGATCTTTGGGTGTGCTGGGTGTGATCTGTGCATGCGCTGGGTGTGATCTGTGGGTGTGATCTGTGTGCTGGGTGTGATCTGTGTGTGTGCTGGGTGTAATCTGTGTGCTGGGTGTGATCTGTGTGTGTGCTGGGTGTAATCTGTGTGTGTGCTGAGTGTGATCTGTGGGTGTTCCCAGTGTGATCTGTGTGCTGGGTGTGATCTGTGTGTATGCTGGGTGTGATCTTTGGGTATGCTGGGTGTGATCTGTGTGTATGCTGGGTGTGATCTTTGGGTATGCTGGGTGTGATCTGTGAGCACCTCCAGTGAGTCCCAGGTGTCTGTGCATGCTGTGTGCACACATGCATGTGTCTGTGGGCATGCAGGTCTGCATCTGTGCCTACTGGCCACCTGTGACCACAGGCCTCACTCCCACCCACCACCTGCTGGCTCACCCTTTTCAGTGCTTCCATTTGGCTGAGATCCCTCCTGCGCAGGCGCACCCAGCGCCGCCGTCGGTGTGTGTAGTACATCTTCTCAGCAGGGACCCAGTGCTTCGGCTTCCGCTCCGGGGGGATGGTGATGCTATACTCCCAGCCTGGGGGAGGGGGAACCGGTCACTCATTGCTTGGCAGTTCCCCCCATCTCTCCTGGGACCATCTCTGAATTTGGGGCATGGTCACAGACTCTTGAGCGGCCACTGACTCTCGGTCCTAATTTGCAGCTTGGAGTGGGGGGTGCCTTCAAGAAGCGTCCCTGGGTGAAATAGCCCAGTGAAGGGCCCTGGCATTCAGTCGTCCCCACCAGCATGGCTTGAGAGCTTGCCGGGGATGGGGCTCGCCAGGTTCCACATGCTGCCCACCTTGCTCATCGACAGCCCGGTTGAGGTCTGTGGACCATTCCTCATCTTCCCACTTCCAGCCCAGTGGGCACTCAATGTCATCCTTGGGAAGCACCTTCTCCCCGTTCTAAGGACAAAACCGAACAGGCAAGCAATGAGAGGAGACAGACAGATGTGAGCAGGGAGGCAGAAAAGATGCAACTTGACAACATACGTCCTCCAAGTCCCAGACAGAAGGGCAGAGCCCCAGAGTCAGTGTCCTGCCACCACTGCACCCCACACTTTCCCTTTGGAAATCAAAGCATGAAGTCTCCGGAGGTAAGAGGGGGCAAAGAGAAACATGCCCCACCTGTCCCTGAGCACCAGGTGCCTCCAGAGACCAAATGTCTAGACCCCACCTGCCCCTGAGTGCCTGCTTTACCACATCGGTGTAGTTGTCACTCATGTAGATCCACTGGCCTCCGGGAAGCCGGGTCTGGTTCTCAAACACCTCTTCCACGAAGCTCAGGTGACCGGCGTCCATGTCATGGAGCAGACTGTGGAGGAGGGCTGGTCAGAGTCTCTGCTGCTCTGCTGGAGAGGCCCCCATCCATCTACCACCTCCTGGAGAGCACCCCTGCGTATGTCAGCCTCACCCCAACCAACAATGAGAGACATGGGGGGTGGGGAGGGAAGGGTGCAAGAGACCAAGGCAGACAGTGAAAAGGAGACCTAGGGACACTCCGAGATAATCGGGGACAAAAGAGCACATCACCCAAGATAAAGAGAAAAGGGGGCCAACTGAAGACAGCAAAAGGAGGATGGGCAGTCGAGGCTTGATGGATAGTTGTAAAAATATAAAGTTTTATCAAGTTGTGCTCATAAGATTTGAGTGCTTGACTGTATAATATGTTATACTTCAATTTTTTTAAGTAAAAAAAAGTTAAACACCACAGAGTTGAATGCCAACCAAACAGGAAAAGGAGAGGAGAGAGAGGCAAAGGCGGCAATAGACATGGAGAAGGACCACGTGGATCTGAGAGGGACTGACAGAGAAAGGACCACTCAGGGGATGTGTGAGCAGCCCAGACACGAGAAGGGTTCACGTGCAGAGGAGGTGATGGGCTTGTCCTGGGTGTCTTTGAGGATGGGGCCACACCCAGTGGGCACCACACAGAACGAAGGCTTAAGAATAAAGGCCTGGGCCAGGCGCGGTGGCTCAAGCCTGTAATCCCAGCACTTTGGGAGGCCGAGGCGGGTGGATCACCAGGTCAGGAGATCGAGACCATCCTGGCTAACATGGTGAAACCTCGTCTCTACTAAAATACAAAATAAAATTAGCTGGGCGTAGTGGCAGGCAGCTGTAGTCCCAGCTACTCAGGAGGCTGAGGCCGGAGAATGGCGTGAACCCGGGAGGTGGAGGTTGCAGTGAGCCGAGATCGCGCCACTGCACTCCAGCCTGGGCGACCGAGCGAGACTCCGTCTCAAAAAAAAAAAAGAGAGAGAATAAAGGCCTGGCCAGGCGTGGTGACTCAAGCCTGTAACCCCAGCACTTTGGGAGTTCAAGGAGGGAGAATCACTTGAGCCCAGGAGTTCAAGACCAGCCTGGGCAACACAGTGAGACCCTGTCTCTACAAAAAATTTAAAAATTAGCCAGGCATGATGGCGCACGCCTGTGGTCCCAGCTACTCAGAAGGCAGGAGCAGGAGGATCACCTGAGGCCAGGAGGTTGAGGCTGCAATGAGCTGCGATCATGCTACTGCACTCCAGCCTCCAAACAGAGTGAGACTCTGTCTCAAAAAAAAAAAAAAATTTTTTTAATGAAAAGAATAAAGGACTGTCTGACCATCCAAGCCCTTCTGGAAAGGACTGCTGCCTGGCAAGCCTCAGTCCTGGGAGAGTTCAGCGGAAGTTCCTATGACCAGCGCAGGAGCAAGCAGAGGGATCAACAGACCCCAGCCTGCCTCCAAAAGGAGGGTGCAGTCCATGGTGGGCAGCCTGGCCTGGCTCTCCCCAGCCCTCCCTGCCCACGACTCACGTCTTCTCCGGACACACGAACCAATCTCCAGCCCAGGTCCAGCCGGCCGAGGGGCGGAAGCTGTCCTTGGGTAGCTTGATCTTGCCCGTGACGTCAGAAAACTTGGGGTAGGTGAGGCCCGTTGTGCCCCAGTTCCCAACAAGGGCCAACTTAGTCTCGTTCTCATACTGGAGGGCCAGGAAGAATGAGGCGTGAGCAGGGGGCCAAGGCAGCTCCAGGTAGTGGGAGGCAGAGGTGGGGGCTGGCAGGTACTCACGGTTTCAGCAAAGACAGACAGCTTCCCCTCAGCAAACTGGTTGAACTCCTTCTCATCCACTGAGAGCCCAAACCACAGCTTGACCCGTATCTGCACTGGCATCCGGGCGCCAGGCACCTTCTCCATCGGATACTGGGTACCAGAGAAGGACAGAAACCCACAGTCCCCTTCAGGATCCGGATGTCCCAGTGAGAGGCTGGGGAGGAGGAGTCCTCCAAGCCTGGGTAGAGCAGGCTGACACCCTCACTGGGAGTGTCCCCTGTGGGAGCGCTTACCAGAATTGCATAGAAGGGGAGTGTGCAATTAAGAAACGTCCACCCCACCCCCTACCCCTCACCAAGATTCCTCCCCATCAAAGGCAAAGGCTACATCATTCCCTCCTAGGAGCGCTCTGCAGAGAAGAACCATGTCTAGCCCAGGACCTCTCCTCTCCCCTTCTCCCACCACAGCCTCGCTTCCATTTTCTTCTGGAACAGTGCTTGCCAATGGAACTTTCTGCTATGAGGAAAATGGTTTATATCTTCACCATCCAATATGGTAGTCAACTAGGCCCATGTAGCTACCGAGCATTTGAAATGTGGCCAGTATGACTGCGGAGATAAAGTTTTCGTTTCATTTACTTTTAATTAATGTAAATTTAAATAGCCATCTGTGGCTACCATATTGGACAGCACAGTTCTAAAACTTGTCTCTAAAGGAGATACAATGATACAGATCTGGAAAGAGAAGAAATTAAAGCCTCCCCCTCCATGTTTAGTATTTTATTTCTTTGGTTACTGTATCATCTAATATCCCTACCCTTTCAAGTGATTATCAGCATGTCAACCACTATTCACTGGTCTTCAACTGCTTTTTTTCCTGAAACTTTCAGAAGCTCTGCCAAATGGAATAACCACAACAACCCAACATGAAACAAAAATTATTCTCCACAATTACTTCACCATTTGATTGAAACCAAAGGTCAGACATGGCCTGAGGAGCAGAAGCTCCTGCTCTTAAAATTCACATTGTCCCCTAGAGGAGGCAACACATTAAGTACCCAGGCCTAGTGTCATGAGCTCAGAGCAGTATAGCCAAGTGAGAAAACGGGTGGGTTCAGAAGATGAAAGGGCAGCTGAGGTAAGGGGTCCCACGCTGGTCAGGGAGGCCTGGATCCCTGGAGGGAGAGCCCAGGGCAGGTAGGAGGCTCAGGAAGGGGCAGAGGACATGCCAAGGCTAGGGCCACCTCACGCTTCCCTCCTGCGGACACAGCCCCCCTTCTTTTGGTTCATCTTCAATGAAGCCTGTAGGAGCCCCTGAGTCCACGTGTCATGCCCCGGGGAAACCTCTCCATGGCTGTTCGCTTCGGCTGTCCTCTCCCCCGGGTGGTTAACTGCCTTTACCCTCCAAACCACCAGCCCCAGGGAGATGGCAGGAATGCCTGACCCCCACTTCCCCCATCCACCCCCGGCTCTCTCCCCTGTCCTCCCCGAGACGGGGCCAGCCTGCTGGACCCAAAATAGCAACAGCAAATAAAGAAATGTCTAGTTTGGGGCTCCTCTCTCTCTCTGCTGGTGCTCATTTTTTCCAACTTTGGTTTAAGTTAAGAAACACCAATGTTTTCTTGGTCTCTGCTTGCTGCCAACATTTTTGTAGAGCTTGCTCAGGAGCTACTGGCGGGGCTCATAAACTCAGTGGGGAAGACTTCGAGAAACAATTCTATATCTTTTTTTTTTTTTTTTTTTTTTTTGCTTGAAACCAGGGAAAATTTTCAGTTTGCATTTCCCTGAGGCTACATGGCCAAGAGGTCAGAACCTGGAGCTCATCCCCTCCCAGCAAGTCCACCAGGCACAATTCAGCAGCACCCCCCGCCCCGCCCCCGCCACTCTCGCAGACCGCCTTCCCCGGTCAGCCCCACTCAGATATGGCCACTCCTTGACTTCCTTTCCTTTCTGCCCTACCAGGCCAGGAACTGGCTTAGGAGGTAGACTCTCAGAGGTTAGGCTCTGACAAGCACAGGAGGTTAGAATCTAATGGGAAACATGCCCCAGGTGGCATGTGAGCAGGTGGATGGGGGCAGCCTGCTGCCCAACACACACACACACAGACACACTCACTCACACAACTGTGTGCAGACATCTACTATCCCTGGCCTTGAGTTGGCCTCCAGTCATGGCACGCATAGAGCAGGGGAGCTCCCCAAAAGGAAAAGGGGAGAGGTGGGGAGAGAAACTAACATCCATTGATCACTTAGTTCCAGCAAGACCCATCACCTGTGTCACCTAACTCAACCCTCAAAACCTGTAAAGTGGGCAGCCCCACCCACCCTCATTTTACAGATGATAAGACAACAGGCAATTCAGAGAGGTTAAGCAACCTGCCCAAGGCCACATAGAGCTCCAACCAGCCCTGGCATCCTCTGTGCTACTGAAACCTGCCCTCTCCACACCCCCCAGGGGACAACAAGAGGACTGGCCAATATATGAATGCATCAGCATCACTCAGGGGGCTCTGCTTCAGGGTTCCAGGCTAAAGTAAGTCAACAACGACTTCCTGGAAGAGGGGAGGAGGGAGGAGAGATGTAGGGAAGGGGAAGGTCCAGCGTGGAGGGGCTTTGGGGAGGTGGACTAGGCTGGATGAAAGTCTGGTGCCTTAGGCTGAGGAGTCCTTGAATGCTAGTAGAGCTATTCAGGGCAAATGAAAAGAGGTAAGGAGGGCTGGCGCGGTGGCTCACGCCTGAATCCCAGCACTTTGGGAGGCCAAGGCAGGCGGATCACCTGAGGTCAGGATTTCGAGACCAGCCTGGCCAACATGGTGAAACCCCATCTCCACTAAAATTAAAAAAAAAAAAAAAAAAGAGCTGGGTGGGTTGGCAAACGCCTATAATCCCAGCTACTCAGGAGGCTGAGGGAGGAGAATCCCTTGAACTTGTGAGGCGGAGGCTGCAGTGAGTGGAGATCACACCACTACACTCCAGCCTGGGCAATAGAATGAGATTCCAACTCAAAAAAAAAAAAGGTAAGGAGCAGGCCTGCTTCTCAGGGCCACTCCTCCCCAAGCAGGGGCAGCCTTGCTGACAGCTCTTCAAGGAGGGCCCTCCCTTGGGCCTGGGCAGCCATCGTGCAGGGAGGGATCTCCCGCATTGTGTCCTGCACGCCAGGCCACACCATGACCACAGCAGCTTTGGCTCTATGTCCGCGCATGAGCCTAGAGAGGAGCACAGATGGGCTCTCCCCAAGCACCCACTCACCTCCCTGTCACCCGTCCCCAAAGCTGGTGACCCTCCTGGAAAGGAGGAAGAGGGAGCAGGGATGGGTGTTAGAAGAGGAGAAAGGGCAGGAGAGGTGGGGGCTGGTGAGACCAGGGGACAGAATTACATGCTCCCAGCTCTCCAGTGGGTCCAGATTGTGGTGTGCCTGTCCCAAGCCCCAGATACCAGCCTTCCCAGCAGGGAGGACTTGAGCCTCAGAGTGGCTCCAGCTCCAGTCCAGGGCACTCGGGTTGGTGTGGAAGCCAGGTCATGCAAGGCCTGCTAGTGCCTGGGAACTGAGGATGAGGCCTCCCTATAAGGGACCTGCCTGGAAGGACAAACACAGCCCCAGGGGTCAGCCCTCCCAGATGGCCTGGGCCACAGACTCCACCTCATTCACTCCCAGCGCCAGTGATTCCGGCTCAAACCTACTAACTTCCTAGACTAGGTGCAGGGGCCTGGGGACTTCGGGGGTAACCGAGGAAAAGGGAAATTGTTTTACCCAAAGACCTCTTCTCCTTCCAAGACCACAGCCTAAGAACTAAGATAGGTCAAGAACAGGAGGGGAAACAGAAGAGATGGGAGAAAGGCCTTATGTTGGGAAAAATACGATCATGACTTGGGAAAAAAGAAAACTCACTTTCAGAAAGATTGTCTGTAGCTTCCCACAATTCTTGCCACAGTAGTTGGCACCCCGCCGGGAGAAGAGGACTTGGTGGGCGGGCACCCGCTGGTATGCCACACGCTTGTCTCCCTGCAGCATCCAGATGACGATGTCCGGCAGGCTGTTCTGGGGCTGAACAGAGGGTGGTGGTCGGGGTGGGGATGGTGACACACCAGGCCCACGCCCCACAGCCACACCGTGAGCTGACCTCTGACTCAGAGGCCACAGAGGCCTCTCCTCTCCCAGCTTCCATCCCACACACTGTCCACCCTGGCCTTCCCCCAGACCTCCCAGGGCTGGCCAGTGTCTGGCTTGAGTGGCGGTGAGCCCCCAGAGAACAGAGCATAAGGCTGCCCCCAGCTCACATGAGAAGCCCACCAAGGTTACTGAGCTGAGTACATCCTTCTGGGAAGAGACACTCCTGCCTGGACCTCAAACCTTACATTCTTAGGTCCTCGCTACCAGGTAGACATTCCCAGGGGGCAAACATCAGAGAACTAGATTTGACCAGGGAGGTAACATTACGCCTAGGACACCACCCGCCTTCCTCAGCCCCAAGAGCGGGAACAGATCCACAGAAGGTATGCCCTTCCCAGAGGACACACACCCTCCTCCCGTAGCAGCAGGACTCCCATGGCCTGAAGACACTGGACTCTGAAAATGGTGACTAGTCCAGAACAAAACTGTGAGGCCCCTAAGCCCCTCCAGCATGATTGACAACTGCTCCCAGCTGCACACTCTGGAGAGCAGGCTGATTGGGTAAGGGTCCATTTGCTTCCAAGGATGATGAGCAAAGTGAGCCCAAGTGAGCCCCAGGTCTCCACCCAGGGTCCTGCTGAGCTGATGCTCCTGCAGCACAGGTGAAGCATGCCCATGCGTCGCTTCACTGAACCCCAACAGCAAGCCCAGGAGGCAGGACAGGCAGCCCCATTTGACAGGTGAGGAAATTCAGGCTTTGAGAGCTTAGGAGCCAATGCAGGTTTTTCTGACTCCAAATATGTGTTCCTAACCACTATACCAGGGGTTCTCAAAGTGTGGCACCCACAGCAGCAGCAGCTTCCAGGAACTTGTTAGAAATGCATATTTTCAGGTTTGCCCCAGTTCCAGGGGGGCAGGAACTCGAGGGGTGGGCCCTAACCTGCTTTTCACAAGCCCTCCAAGGGATTCTGATGCACATGCAAGTTTGAGAAGGGCTCTCTCCACGGGGCCCTTACAGTGACAGCACTGTTCGACCTTAACCCCTTCCAGCCATATCACAATTTGTGCTTACAGTTCACGGGTCAGTCTGGGCTGAGATTACAGAGGGAAGCCCGTGACCAGCCTGAGGGGTTGGTCTGCTGCCACTGTGAGGAGTTGGTCCACAGCTGAGCGACACAGTGTCCACCAGGGAACCAGCCTGTGCCTATAGGCCCTGCTGACTCCAGGGACCCACATCCCTTCCTGAGCAGCCTCCCTCTCCCCTTCCACAGCTTCCTCCAGCAACCGCTCTCCTGGCCCTGCCCTTCTCACACTCCTGGGGAGAGCCCCTACCTCCTCCCTGGGAGTCCCACAGGGCTCTGGTCAGAGCAGGCAGCAGCTGTGTCTGCCCAACACTTATGAGCAGACGCTTCTCATTCCAGACAAATACCGGACCTGCCTATTTGCCACAGAACCGGGTGGGTGCATCTGGCCACAGAGACCTCAGGGGGAGGGTCTGCAGGTGGGGAAATAGTTCCCCAAAGACAAACCAGAGCCGGTTCTCTCTGATCAGATTCAGCAAAACTCAGAGTTACTGAAAATGAAGCCTCCTTGGGCCTGGGGTTCAGAGGCATCCAGGACAACAGGAAACAGAGGGTCCAGGCAGGGCAGGTTGTTGGCCAGGTGCAGACAGGCACTGGCTGGCAGGAAGTAGGAGTCGGGAACCTGGGGAAGCTGGCCCTGGCACTGAACCTAGAACCAGGTACCTTGGATTCTGGTCCCAGCTCTGTCTCTGACATACTTTGGCAAACAGAGGGCATTTATTAGTTACCTATTGTGTGCCAGGCTCTGTGCTGGGCCCCATAACACCCAGTATTCCATCGTACCCTCTCTCTTCCTTCTGCAAATTGGTCCATTGAGGTTCAGAGAGGTTAAGTCACCTGCCCAAGGTCACCCAGCAATGGAACCGGGGTGGGTAATAATCCAGACATTCGCCTTGTCCCTGCCAGTTCTGATGTTCCAGGCAGCAGGAGAGCAGAAGAAGAAAGGCACCCCCAGGCTTAATTACCTCCTCTGCCAGGGCACGCAGACGCAGGAGCCAGTCCTCCGCCTGCTCCAGAGCTGCAGGGAGCTCACTGTGGCCGAGCTTCAGGGCCAGGGCAGCCTCAGTGATTTGGCTCAGGTGATGGGTGCGCAGCTGGTACAGGTACTGGTCCAGGTGGGTGGCAGAGGGTGTCTCATGGATGTCACCCAGAGGCTGGCTGTGAGGGACGGACAGATGGAATGCGCCTGATGAGCCCAGGGCTCTCCCAGGTCCAGGCATGCACATGTGCCAGGTTCTCACAGCAGGCCCCACCCCCTCCGCCTGCCTGCTGGGTGCCTTCTCCAGCCCGCTCCACACACACAGCCATCTCTATGTGATGTGCTCCACCCTCACCTCCTCCAGGAAGCCTTCCTCACCCATGTCAGCCTACGCGCCTCCTGATCTGGAGCCCCCAGCCCTCGATTCCAGGACTGCCAGTTTGGAATCTGTCCTCAACTCCAGTCCAGTGAGTTCTTTTGCATGTGTGTTCCCCTCTGCCCCACTGACTACAGGCTCTCGGAGGGCCCAGGGGGTCCTGCTCCTGCCTCCTGGATCCTCCTAGAGTAGAGGCTCCAGCGCTGAGTGCCCTGCACTGAAACAAGTCTGCTCTGTGCTGTGTCCACATTCTTCAAGGAAGAAATTTAGGAACCCCTGAAGAGCTACTGCAGGCACTGCAGGGAGGCCAGCAGCTCAGATGTATCCACCTGAGGTGGGGTGGGGAGCCACAACAGAACCCTTCCCAGAACACTCTGCTTTGGGAAGCCTTTGGAGAGGAGGTGGGGGGTACATGCAATGCCAGAAACACAGCCCTGAGCCCTGAGAGACAGGAGGTCAGGTTTAAGCTCAATCCTGTTTAGAGGCAAAGAACTCTGACCTCCCCCATCCCACGGAGGCGCCCTGAAAGTCCTTCATATGGCTCCTCCTCGCCATTCCAAGGCCAGGGGTCGGTACCCACACAAGGGCCATGCAGAAATGCGGCGGGGCAGTCTGTGCACTCCCTAACCAAGCGGGACTCCTCTCCATTTTCCATTCTCCACTGAGGGTATGGGGGCTGCCCTGCCCCCACCTCACCCCCTTGACTCCCAAACAGGACATTAGTCAAACCCGCTCCACCAGGTCTGCTCCCACCACTTGCAGCACCCCCCACCTCCCCTCCCTGCAGCGTCTGACTCCCGGCTCCCGGCTGATTTATTTTTCTGCCAATTTCCCCGAGCTATGCAGAACCAATTACCGCCGGAGCGCAGCGGCACCGCCGCCGCCAGATACACCGCTCTGGCAGGCCCTCGGCGCACTACATTTTTCCTGTTATTTTTTTTAATTGAATTTTTAGGATGGGGGGAGCAGTACGCAAACTCCATCTCGGGAAACTTAAGCCCCGGGGCCTGTCTCAGGTCACGTACTGCACACCCTGTAGTAATATAATATTTACTGCCCCGAGGGTGCCGCGGATGGGCTGCCCCAGGCCGCTCCTCGGTGGTGGAGGGGCATGCTCGGTGGGTAGCGGGGCGGGGGCCTGCCTGGGAACCAGGCCTGAGTGGGCCTGAGAGCGGGGGCAAGCGGGTCTGGAGAGGGATAGGGAGAGCCGAGCCAACCAGGGTGATTTATGCGCCCAGCCCGGGTCGGGAGCCGGGAGGGGCTGCAGTACAGACCACCAAAGGGAGATTTTCATGGAGGCCACAGCCCAGCCAAGACTCCCCAAGAAACATTTAGGACCTGTGAGTGCCACTAACAAGCTGTCTCCGTGCTGTCTCGGCTCTTTCCCTCCTCAGGAAAGCCCAAGGCAGGGGGTACGGAAAGAAGGGGAGACCGGGAAGAGGAGGCTGATGGCGCTCCACCCAGCCCTAAGCAAAGCCAGGGGCCCCGCCAACGCCGGCTGACTTGGAAATTGCAGGTAGGCCCAGCGCAGGGCTCAGCAGGCTGAGAGCAGAGTGGGCTGGGCTGCTCCCAAGGTCCCTGCCTGCCTCTGCGGGGCCAGGTGGATACCTGTACCCTGGGCAGTGTCCGGCCTGAAAGATGAACTGGCCTCGGGGCATTCATTTCACTCCTAGTGAGCAACAGCTCTGCCCTGGGCTTGGACTGGATGCTGCCTCCAGAGATGAGACCTGGCCCTGCTCTCAGGAAGTCCGCAGAACAGAGACGCAAACAGATCCCCACCTGAGCAGCCTCAGAGTCAGGAGCCCTTCCTGGAGGAAGTGGCCCTGAGCTGCACCTGGCAGGGCCAGCAGGCGTTAGTAAGGCCCAAAGAGTGGGAAGGGCGTCCTGGCTGATGGAGCAGCATGTGCACAAGTGCAAAGACACAGAGGCAAGGGGGAGCCTGTAGGGGTGGGGGTGCTGAGGGCCGGACAAACTAGCGCAGAGCTTCAGAAGCGTTAGGGCTCCGTGAGGCAGGTGGTGGGGACAGAAAGGCCTGTCCACCAGGATGAGAGCAGGGGCTTTTCCTGGATGCAGCAGCAGCCACTGCAGGGCTGACATGGAGGCAGGCATGACACAGCTTGAAGACGATGGGGATACTAAAGGAGGGGTGGGAGAGGAAGGAAGGAGGAAGGACATGGGTGAGGCAGAGCCACCAGGGCTGGGGCAGAGAAAAGAGGAGGAGGGCAGTCAGAGCTGGCTCAGGTTTCCAGCGTGGATTCTGGGGACCCAGGAAAAGACAGTGCTGGGAGGTGATGAAACCTGTCTGCAACATGTGTAGCCCCAGACGCAGCACGGAGGTGCTGGTGGGACATCCACGTGGACATGTCCAGCACCTTGGGTTCATAGGTCTAGAGATCAGAGAAGAGGGCTGGGCTGGAGGAACAGAGTGGACACCACCAGCCCTGGGGAAGGGGGAGGCTCCCGGAAGATGAGCCGGGAAAAGGGCTGAGATGGAATGAGGAACACCGATGCTGGAGAAGTGGGCCAGGCTGACTGGAGAAAGGGTGAGCTGCTGTGTTCAGCTATGGGCCTGAGTTCGCTCAGGGCCCCCATGCCCGGCTGCTCTGCCTATCAGCTGTGATGGTGCTCAGCACTGCAGTGAGAGGTGGAGGAAGCCCTCTAGCTGAGGTGCTGGGCCACTCAGTGGCCTCAGGTGGAGCTGAGCGAATTGCTCCTGCTGCCTGGAATTCCCCCCCAGAGAGGCATTATGCATTCTCAAGAGGACGGGAACCCAGTTCCCCTCCCAAGCTCCTGAGCTGGAACCAGCCTCCCTGCTGGGAGGCCCAGCCACTCTTCCAACCCCAGGAGAGTGACTCAAAGGCGCCAGAACTGTTTGTAGGCAGATCCTCCAAGAGCAGAGCCCTGCAGAGGTCACTGAGGGCAGCCAAGGACTCAGGGCCCACAGGTCTCAGATATTCCAGGCTCCTCAGACCTGCCAAGCTACAAACAACACGGGGGTCATGTGCAGGGCCACGGGTAGAACCCAGAGTCCTGGCCCACCCACCTCACCCAAGGTGGTGCCAACATGGCACCATGAGTCACCTTGCAGGTGGGATCTGGGGCCCCGGGGATGCCCTGGGGAGCTCACCCAGTGGCTGTAGCCACCACAGGCTGACCGTGCCCATATGTGCCCCTCCAACCCCACTCTGTCCTCCCACCTCCAGACCACAGGCCAGCTTCCTCACAGATACCTCAACACAGCCTGTCCTGAATGCCTCACCTCCCCCTCAACTGGCTCCTCCTCCTGCTGACCCTCTCAGAGCACAGCCCCCATGCCCACCTAGCCCCCCTGGCCAGGATCAGGGGATCATTCTGAACCCTCCTGTGGCTCCCATATTCACCCCATCATCAGGTTCTGTCCATTACAGAGCAGCACAGCAAGGGGGTTCTGCCACTCACCAGGTGTGTGAATCTGGGCAAGTTAACCTCTCTGTGCCTCAGTTTCCTATCTGTAAAACGAGGGTCATTTACTTTTTTTTTTTTTGAGACAGAGTCTTGCTCTGTCACCCAGTCTGGAGTGTAGGGGCACAATCTCAGCTCACTGCAACATCCACCTCCTGGGTTCAAGCAATTCTGCTGTCTCAGCCTCCCAAGTAGCTGGGATTACAGGCACCCGCCACCACACATGGCTAATTTTTGTATTTTTAGTAGAGATGGGGCCAGGCTGGTCTTGAACTCCTGACCTCAAGTGATCTGTCTGCCTCAGTCTCCCAAAGTGCTGGGATTACAGCTGTGAGCCTCCACACCCAGCCTACTTTCTAGTTCATAAGATTTCATGGTTGGTTAATACATGTAAAATTCTTAGGACAATGCCTGGCACAGAAGACTGCTTGTCATCATAATCCCTCCTAAATAGTCCATGCTGCCCTAGCCCCCACCCCTCCCACTATCACTGTCTTAGTTACACCATCATCACAGCTCACCTGCCGTATGTCCAGTCTCCCCTCCCCTGGTCCCAGCACCTGCCATTCGCCGCCACCACCAGTCCATTCCTCACATTGCAGCATTTAGACCCTGGGATCACCTTTCCCTCGGCCTTGCTCCCAGGGCTGAGCTCTCCTTAGCAGAGACCCTCGGGGCCGCCCAATTGGGCAACAGCCTCTCCTGCCACTTCCCCCACCCAGGAGGCAGCAGGCATTTCAGGCTTCTGTGCCTTTGCCCTGGCAGTCCCCTCTCCAAAGGCTAACTCCTGCTCCTCCCTCAAAGTCCACCTGGGGCATCCCCTTCTCCAGGAAGCTTCCCTGAATTCAATTTGTGGGAATGAGATGCACCTGCTTAGAGCTCCTACAGTGCTCACCTCTAACTTCCTAACGCACTTTACCTCCTCTGCCCATTTTTCGCATCCAACCATCCCTGGAGGGCTGAAGTTGTACCTTTGTCAGTATGCTCTGGGCATCTGGCACTGAGCCTGCCAGGCTTCAGGAAGGTTGGGGGAAATGGGTGAATGGCCTGTCTGGAATTCCACTACTGGGCCGGGAGCATTTCTCTGGGGTAATATTTTGATAAAGATACACTTCCTAACTGAGCCACAAACAATAGAAGGGATGCTGGATCAGTGACCATGGTTATCAGTTTCTCAGATGCGTTCAGCAGGGCTGTACAGCCAGGCTGAGGGAGGGGTGATGAGGCGTATGGGAGCATAGAATACATTTGCATATATTCACACATTTGCATATATTAACCCTGTGGAGAGCAGAGGGGCAATTATTTAAGTCCATTTAACAGCTGAGAAAACTAAAGTCCAGAGAAGAGAAGCTTCCCAAAGTTACCAAGTCAGATAAAGAGACCAGGAGCTAAGTCTCCTGACATTTCTTCTTCTGAGCAATAATTATAGCTACCATTTATTAAATCCTTCCCAAGGGCCAGGCACTTTGTTTAGAAGATATTATAAAGTAGTTATTCTTCATGCCAGGTTGAAGTTGAGAAAACCAAGGGTCAAAACCCATGGGTGGCTCCCCAAAACCACATGGCAGCAGAGGAGATGTGAGATGCACCCCTCTGCTGGGCCTCCACACCCCGGGCCCTTTTTTCCTGAAGTCAACAATCAGCCATGTCAATAGAAAGCTAAACAGAAACCATGATCCCCGACATGGCCTTGAGGGAATGAGGGGCGCCGTCACCCCACCCCCCAGCCAGCTCCTCCTGGAGATTCCATCAGGGAAATAAGAGGTCGGGGATCAGAGACACAATGCTCCCCATTCAGGTGAGCCGGCCGCCGGGCCCGCAGCTGCCGCTGCTGCAGGGAGATTTATGACCTGCTCTCAATGTCACCTTTTCAACTCCTGCACTGGCTCCACCACCTTTGGACTCAGCACGGGCTGGACTGCTGGCCAAGCGTGGCTGGGAGACGTGCCACTGCTCACTGCCACACACGAGCACTCCCAGCGAAACAGGCCCAGTTGAGCCAGGAGAGGTGGGCACCAGGGGCGCCAGGTCCCCCCTACCTGCAGCCTGCGATGAGCTCATCCGTCAGCTGAGCCACCAGCGAGTCCACGTCCTCCGTGGAGCACTGCGCCTTCAGGGCCAGGTGGACCTGCTCCAGGCCAGCTTCCTGTGGAATGGGCAGGCAAGGGTCAGGTGTGTCACCACAGGGCAGAGGGTGCATGCTGGACCCAACCCCCAGGCCTTGTCACTGCTACTGAACCAAAAAGGAGTGAACAGTTAGAGCAAAGAAGGCAGAGTCCAGGCCCAACAAACCAGGGTCTATCCTGGCTCAAGAACCTTCCAAGGCTCCCCACGCCCAAATACATCCAGTCTCATGCCTGTAACTCCAGCCTCACATGTAGTCATGAGGAGCTCAGGGGGTGTCTGCAGACTTGGGCAGAACTTGATGGCTTCTGACTCCTCCCTGCTACCTCAAACCAGGCCTGGCTTCCCACAGGTAAGTGGCCCTCTCCGAGCCTGCTCTGGTTCCCCACCTGGAACCCTCTCTCCTTTCCAGATTCTACCACCCAATGAGGCTCAGACTAAGAGCGCCCTCCTCCAGGATTCGTCCTGCCACCTCTAATCACAGACAGCTCCTTCCTCAAACTCCTGTGGCCTGCTCACTCCCTGTGCTGCCTCCCAGGGAAACAGGCCCTTACCGAGCTCTTCTCCAGCCCTCTCCATGGGTCCTCAGCCCTGAGCTGAGAGGCCAAGGACTGTCCCTCAGCCCCCGACACACCCCTCCCCACCCAGCAGCCTTCCTGAGCAAGGACACGTGCTCAGGACTTGGACTACCAATCTCGTAGAACTGGAAAGAACACGGTCCCTGCCCTCTTGGAGTCTGGAGTCTTGCTGTGAGCCAGTGATGGGCCCAGAAGGCAGATACTGGAGCTATATAGCATCAACTCCATGTTCTCCCCATCTCAGCATTCGCTGGTCTCCTCTTTCCCCTAGAGCTGCCAGTCTCTGGGAAGGTGGGACCACCATGGCCTCTTTCCCTTCTCTGTCCACCTTTCCTTCAAGCCATGCTCACCTCCCCACCCACAGACACGCCCAGGCCTCTCCAGTCCCCCTTCCCTCCACCTGCTGATCTGAGCATGCTCCTGCAGTAGGGCCTGCACATGTCTCTTCCACTTTCTCACCAGCTGTCCCCATCCATGCCACAGAAACCCCTACAGCCACTGCCAGGACCATCAGCTTCCCGCCCAGCCTCCTCACCTCCCTTAGCCTCTACACCTCTGCCCACCTGTGATTCTCCTCCATTCTGGCCAAGTGCCAGGACTGCAGCATCCAGCATCTGCAGGGGGTTCCCCAGAAGGCTCCTCCTCACCTCCAAAACAGAACCTGACCTCATATGCTCTGCTCTTCTCCCCAGCTTCCCAATTCCCCAGCCACTTGAGTTCCTCCTTATAGCCCTTCCTCAGCCCCAAATCCAGTCGGCCACCAAGGCCTTGTAGCTCAAGTCCTGCAATTTCCCCCCAAGGCCATCTCCTTCCCAGGGCTTGGTCACCCTCCCCCAGGTCCCTGCAATGGTGGCCTAGCTGGGTTCCCACCCCCCATCTCCTTGCACTGGACACAGCCCCCTCACTGGCCTATGATGCCTTCCTGATGCTCCTTGGCCACCTGCCCTGCTCGGAGCCCCACATCTCTTTGCCCCTGGAATGTCACCTGTACCTAAGTTTGGAAAGCCCTGTATGAGAGGCACAAGTGAGCCTATGCCCTCCTTTAATAAACTGACTCCCTGAAGACAGAGCCAACTGCTTGCTCACCTCTCGCCTCTAGCTTCTGGCTAGAAGTTTCTAGCACAAGCCCTTGTGTGCATTACGAGTCCAAAGGCCTGTAATGAGTGAGTAAGCGAGCGAGAGCCAGGCCGTGCCCTGCTGCGTGGCATAGGTTTTCCTTCTGCTCCCTTGCTCTGTGTCCCACTGCACACTGGGGCTGCCTCAGATTGCTCACATCCCCTCTTTTCTCTTCCAAGCATGCAGGACAGGACCACAAGCCTGGTATTGCCAAGGCACAGAGGACACCAACCACAAAGGTCAGTAGGCACAGCCGTGTGTCAGTGTGTGCACCAGTGGGTGGTGGTCTGAGACACCCCATGCAGCGGGGGTAGCAGGTGCATGCATAGGCATGTGCAGCTTTGGGCAAGTTTTCACTCACCAGCCGGTCAGCAATCCCAAGCAGCTGGTTCTGAGTCTCGATTCTATGGCTGATGTCCTCCCAGTAGGATGACAGCACCACCACAGGTTTCACGTTACCCCAGGGTAGGTAGTAGTAGTGGCACCCTGGAATGGAGAGACGGGCCTGAGCGCTGTGCCAGGAGTGGAGGGCGGGTGGGATGGGGTGCTAAGAGTGCCAGCCTCCTGGGCACTCCAGGGCTAGGACTGGCAGAGCTGGGAAAGGGACCACACGTGGGACAGAGACAGGCACCTGCTCACCCTTCCCATCTAAGAACCCCCTTGGACACGTGGAGTGGCCCGTACCCGTGTTCCCTAGTGTCTGAAGAGGTGCCTGAGCTCCCTTCGTGAGTTGAGCAGACAGCTGCAGCTCTCATTAGGGCTCCTGGGCATGTCAAAACTGAGGAGATGTTAGAGCTGCCCTGGGAAACCCAAGGCCACACTCCCTAAAATGTCCAAACCAAGGCTGGCTGACTCCTTGAAATGATCAGGATGGGTCAGGGTCAATGCTGACCACAGCTGGTCCCAGGAGCTGCATCTGTGGGCACTAGTAGCAGGGCCCCTTGCCTGGAGGAGAGCAAGGGGACAGCTGGAACAGGTTTGCCAGGGCCAGGACCAGGGCCTTTGAGTAGACTCTGGCAGCTTTCCATGGGAGGCGGGATTTAAGGTGTGGCCCCCTGCTCTATGATCCTGTGATCGGGGTCCCAGCCAGGAGCACTGCCTCACCGTCAAAGACTGCACGGCTGTACTGAGTGGTGGAGGCCAGCGGCAGGCAGGTCATGTCGAACTTGTTCCCGTAGTTCCCGATGCTGACCTCAAACTGGATGGCATCATCCACATCCTGCAGCATGGTGGCTGAGTAGAAGGCCGCAAACAGGGAGTACTTGCGCCTCCTAAGGTACTTCTGAGAGCAGAGAGTAGACCAGAGGGTCACGGGAGGAGCAAAGAAAGGCACCCAGGCTGGGGAGGGGACATACGTCTGGCAGGCCCCGGCCATAACCGGCACCCAATAGCTCCTGGCTGGACTGACGGGTGGCAAGTAGCCCAAGAAAGAAACAGCATCCAGATTTCATTGCTAACTGAACAAGCTCATTCCAGGTCTGCATGTGTCTGGCCACGTTTCCCTAATAAGAGCTACTCCTCCAAGGTCAAGCTGCCCCTAATCCAAACCAGCAGCCATGGTACCACCACATCAGCTGAGTGGGGGCTCCCACTGGGCCCGCAGGGGCAACCCGGGCCTTATCTGCCATTCAGAGGGGCTTAAGGCTTTTAAGCCACCAGGCGCCTGACCAGAGCTCCTGCCCCATGCCACTCAGGGTCTCTCCCTCAGCAGCCAGCTCTTCAGGATACACGGGCTGCCACTGTCATGTGCCTGGGATGAAAGGGTCTCATTGTCCCCTCCAGGCTCTGAGCACGGGATGGGGACAGGGCAGGAACTCAATCCTACGACTGAGAGAAGAGGGGTCAGACAATTGGGTGTTAGGTGAATGTAAATAGTAGCAACAGCTAGCACTTAGTAAGTGCTTACTGCATATGTGTATTAATTTCCTTAATTCCCACAACTGTCTTATGAGATAAGTATAATCATTACCCCCACTTTCCAGATAGGGAAACTGATGCAGCCGGTAAGTGCTAGAGCCAGGATTCAAACCAGAGCGATCTGACCACTGTGTCTAAGAGCTTAAAGCACCACACAGACTCCACACAGCTACCTCCTGGACACAAGGCCCAGCTCTACCATTTGTTCCTCTGATATATCTGAGCCTGTTTCCTCATCTGTGAAATGGGGATAATAATAATAACAGCAGCCACCTCATGGTGCTGGGAGGAGTCAGTAATGGCAGAGGTGTCAGCAGCACAGTGCCTGATACATGTTCAGTGCTTATTTGACTTAACAGTTAGCTATCCTTATGTTATTAATATAAAATCGCATCTCATTTTGCATCAAGCTCTAGACTTTTTGAATATTTTCATTTATCTTCTCTGAGCCTCTGATCATCCCTCCAGGGAAGCAGGGCAAGTGTTGATTTATTCCCACTTTACAGCTGAGACTTGAGGCCCGGGGAGGTAAAGGCACGATGCGTGTGGGCAGAGCTTCCTCCTCCCTCGGCCATGACACCTCAAGGCCAGTCCCAGCCTGGCCATCCCTTCCCTGCCCCGACGCCCAGCTCCCACCCAGAGCCACACCCCTCACCTCCACCCGGAGGATGTCATCCGCAGGAAGGTCCTCCACCTTCTGTTCACTGTGCTCCACCAGCTTGGTCTCCAGGGAGAGCAGAAGCCGGCCACGATAAGCCACACCTTCCCCCTGCCAGGGAGGTCAGGTCACAAGGAGCAGGGGAGACAGAGGGGAGGAGGGGAAGGAAAGGGGCACCCTCTGGCCCTGAGGTAGCTCATCTCTCAGGCACCCAGGAGGTCCCTCAGCCAACCTCATCCCCCCTGCAGGTGAGGAAAGCATGGCCCAGAGAGTTCGGGGGATATGACAAGCCACCCAGATGGACAGTGCCAGATGCCAACTCAGCCTAAAAGACAAAGACAGAGAGACGGGGCCTGGGTGCTTCAAGGCGAGGAACATGGAAGGATCAGACTGGCACTCAGGCAGAGGCAGTGTCAAGGGGCAGAAGGAGAACTCCCTGAGGGGTTGGCTGCCAGGTCGTGGGCCCCCAGGAGGGGCTGGAAGACCCTGCATGCAGGCCTGGGCTCCTGAGGGACCTGGGCATCTGGCATCCTGCCCTTGCCAGGGCTCCAGCCGGCTTACCTTGCCTGTGTTGAGCTCTGTGTAGGGGTCTGGGAAGCCTGTGAACTCTCTGGGACTGCCATAGAGGTTGATGTAGCAGGGCCCAAAAGTGGGGAGGAAGCCCAGGTAGTCATCCACTGGGAGACACAAGTGGCAATCAGAGGGGTCGGCCCAGTGGGGCTTCCCAATGCTCCACCCAGCCACCTTCCAACCTGAGCCCACCCCTGGCCCTCAGTTCCCCCCCACATGCACCAGATGCAGCTCCTGTCAGTGTATAAAGAAGAACGCCACGAGCGATAGCTCTCACGCCCTCCCCTAAGTCTCTTTACTCCTCACCATCATGCTGAGATGCAATCATATTTTTATTAGTCTCATTTTACAGATGAGGAAACCGAGGCTTGGAGATGCAAAGAAACACAAGACTACAAGGTGGCAGGGTCCAGAATGGTGTCACCTCAAAGCCCATGCACTCAGCCAGCACACAAAGTTGGGGTTTGAGGCCCTCCACTGCTCGTGCCCCTCCCCAGCCCCACCCCCAGCATGTCCTGCATGTGCTCTCCATCCTACGCTTCTATAGGCACTGTAGGCCCTGCAGCCAATGGGGAGGGGCTAAGAGGTCCCAGAGCCCGGTAACCAGAGAAACCATCTCCCAGGAGGCCAGGGATGGAGCCCAGCTAGCCGTTCCTCCTCCCTAGGGTAGCCCCCAGGCACATACCCTCTGCCCTAACGGCCTTGCCTTATCCCAGAATCTCCTCCCCACACACACATTGTACAAAGAACAATTTTTTAACAGAGCAGGTCAGAGGAGAGTTCGAGAATTACACTCCTGAAGAGGGGAAATCTCTCCACATTCTTTCATCCTTTTCTGGAGGCTCTCTTTTACTAACATCATTTTCCAGCTCACAGCTGAGTTTCCCAGATGGGACTTTACTGGCCATGCTCTGAAAACCCTAAAATGCCACAGTGTCCCTTTCAGAGGAATGGGGAAGAGGTTGTTTCCAAAATGCCAAAGGTAGAAAGCAGGGCCAGAGACAGGAACCCTCTGGAACGACCCAATCAGTCCACACAAGGATGGGCCAAAGTAGGCACAAAACAAATGGCCTCAGCAAAGAAGCGTTTGAGCTAGACCTAAGGTCATGCACTGTGAGTCGAGCCCCTGCCCAGACCCTAGGGATGAGGAAGGGGCCAGGACAGGGAGGGACCAGAAGGCTGGAGCCTCACCTCCCCTCTCAGCCAGGGGCCTCCCCACCTCCTTCAACACCTTCTGTCTCCTAGACCCCAGCACAGACAGGGCACTGGCCTTCAGGAGAGGTGGGAGGCCCAGGTAGGTGGGCTAACAGGAGCATTACTAATTATTTGCGTTAATCATCTCAATTATGATTTACCTTGGGGATTTCAACTCCAAGAGTTTTTAACTCCTCTTGGCCTCCTCCTGGCCCCTGAAACACCTCACACTCCCCCTGCCCCACTCCAGACCCCCATGCCTGCCCCTACCCCTCACTACCAGACAGAGTGGTCTAACTCGAGCATCAGCCCAAGCCTATCCCATTTAGGAAGGGTTGGGGGAAGTGGGAGGAAATTGCCCCTTAAAGCATTCCAGATGATTTACATGCTCCACAGAGGCCGAGAGGTGACAGCAAAGGTAAGTCCAGGGACTTACCTTTGTGGGGGAATCTCAATCCCACCTCAGGCAAATCAAAAACCCCATGCCTCCAGCACCCTCGCCCCTCTAGCCAAAACCCAAGGCCCCACTCCCCTGGTTGTCCCCAAGGTGACAGCAACGTACAGTCTGAGGCTTTCGAAGGCTTGACAGCACCTGCAGGCTCCTCTGAAGCGTAAAGAAATGGAAAAGGGGTTAGGGTGGGCATGGCTGGGAGAAGGACGGGTTACATGAACAGGCTGTGGATGGAGAGCTGGCAGGCAGACAGATGGAAAGACAGCTCCCGGGTGTGAAACAGATGTGGCCCGAGGCCCCACCCTCTGCCCAGCTGTGAATTTATCATAAACTAAATCATCACGGCCCCTCCAGACGCAGCCCCCAACACCCCATGAGCCCTGGGGGTCCCACCTGGCCTGCCCATCACTCTGTGTGTTCCGTTTGCCAGTTGAAAACCAGACCCGAAACTTGATTCAATACACTCAAGGAATAATTCAGAAAAGAAAATGTGCTTTTCCATATGATAGCCAGATAAGTGAGGGGAACAAAGTACAGACACAACGGGAGGGTGGGGAGACACAAAAGGGCCAGAGCTAGGCAGCAAGGCACACCCCACACTCCAAGCCCGCAGGCAGGTCGTGCTTGGGACCAGGCGCGCCGAGCAGGGACATTTCAAGGCACAACATCTCCACCTAGTGGCCGTGTCCAGGATCACCCCCCTGAAGGCTCCACGTTGCGTTTTCACAACAGCAGGCACTGGCATCTGGCTTCTGACACAGGCCGCTTCCAGGGAATCACAGAGCCAGACACTGTCCACAAGCTGAACACGCTACACACTTGGGTGTGCCCCTGAATGTTGGTAAGGAATGTCTAGAAATAAGAAAAGCACGGAAGGAAATGCTCTGGCACATGTATGGACTCTGAATCTGTCCCTCACTGCTAGGCAGGTATGCGATGCGCCAAGGAAACGGACACCCCTCAGTCTTCCTCCACTGTCCTCTCTGATTTCTGCCTCTTCCCAAATCTGATCTTCCCATTCTCCTTCTCCAACAGTAAAGTGTAACGCAGTCTGAGGTCACGTGCACACCCGGGATGTGGTTGGTGAACTTGCTGATTACTTCCCTTCCTTGTTCACCTTTACCTGTTGCTGTCCTCCAGAAAACACTCGTTTTGCCCCTAGCTCTGTGACTGCAGTCAGAAGTCAAGGGTTGAGGAAAACTTTGTGAAGGAAGAATGCACAAAGACACAGAAAGAGTGGAGAAGAGAGAAGGGAGCGTGGCCATCCAGAGTGAGGACAGGGCAAAGACAGCAAGGAGGGCCCGGCCCAGCCCCTCAGCCCTCCTCAGCGAGGCCTCAGCTATGAATGCCAGCCAGCAGACACCAGGGCTGCAAAAATCATAGTTCATGGTCACCTTCATCTCCAAAGCAAGAGGTTTCCTTCTGTGGGCGAGCCAGGGCTCTGCTCATGGGGAGTTTTCTGCAACAGCGAGAGGGCCAACACAGACACAGCTGCAGGCCCGAGGAGAGCAGTGGCCAGGGACCACCGGAAGCAAACAGATCACATTTTAAGCTCCTTCTAAATGATTACTAACAGGCCTGGCCCGTTATCTCGGGCTAATGAGGCCAAGGTCACAGTTCCAACCCCCATGTGCTTCTTACAGAGGCAAAGTCGGCTTCCCACCCAGACTGATTTTGAATTCTGGCTGCAGACTGGTGTCCAGCCCAGATGCAGATGTCCCCCTAATCCCATCGGCCATCTGACCAACACATGGCTCTGGTGGCTCAGAGGATCAAGTGGGTGGCTGCGAAGCAGCCTGCCTCGCAACCACACCTTTTCATTAATTCACCCATTCTTTCTTTCTTTTTATTTATTTATTTATTGAGACAGTGTCTTGCTCTTGTTGCCCACACTGGAGCACAGTGGCCCAATCTCGGCTCACTGCAACCTCCGCCTCCCAGGTTCCAGCAATTCTGCCTCAGCCTCCCAAGTAGCTATGATTCCAGGTGCCCACCACCACCTATTTCTTGTATTTTTAGTGGAGATGGGGTTTCACCATGTTAGCCAGGCTGGTCTCGAACTCCTGAACTCAGGTGATCCACCCACCTCAGCCTCCCAAAGTGCTGGGATTACAGGTGTGAGCCACAGCACCCAACCTAATTCACCCATTCTTTCATTCATTTGTTCATTCAGCAAGCCTAACCAGGTGCAGGAGGAGGCACTGGGAATGTGTAATAAGACACAGCCCTGTTGGTGTCTTAGGTCAATGACTCCTGACTTGGGGGCGGATCGCAGTCTCTGGGTGTGAAGGTCCATCCCGGGCTCTCGCCCCTGTGTCTGCAGACAGTTCAAGAGCACAGTGACCAGTGAAGCCACCCAAGACAAAGCCTCTATTTAGTCCACATCACCGTTCTGCCAAAACACAAGTGTTTTATTGTGTTTTCCCTCAGCCCAGGAAGCTGGGGCTGTGGAAGCCCAAAACACAGATGAATGCTCCCAGTTCTGTGGCCCGAGCAACGAAGCCCAGCTGCCTCACCTGGGGGAAGCTGAAGGAGATAGACAGCAGGACCTCCCAGCCCAGTGAGCCACAAGTCCCAGCCCTGCACACAGTCCCCGGAACATGCATGAAGAAGCTGAGGCCATCACCTGCGGTCTGCCCCGCCAGCTCCCTCTGCCTCTCGGCACATCCCCAAGCCCATGGCGGCTGGCTGCCTGACTCTCGCTTGCGCCAGGCAAGAGGAGAAACTGAAAACTGCTGGGAAATCAGCATCATCTACATTCCAGAGACAAAAGGAGACTAACTTTGGATTTCTTAACTATGGAAAACACTAGGATACAAGTGCTATTTATGGAGCATGAGTTTCCTATGTATAAAGTTATCAAAGAATCTGTGTATGTTTCACAGAGCTCACGTGCCTGTTACCTCTCAAAAGACCTGCAGCTTCTAAGGAAAGCACTCTTTTTTAAAAAACAAAATTCTTACTTAATACTTCAGAGCACAGGGTCCAAGGAACACTCTAGTGCGCCCAGGCAAATTTGTGGGCAGAGGTGTTTAAAAGGTTAGTGTCAGGTCTTGCCCTCACTGGAAACAAAAACAAAAACAGAAAAACAAAAACTGCTAGTTGAACCAAATCATCTGGTGAACCCTGAGGCGGGGAAATACAGAGAAAGAACTTGTTTTTACAGTTCAGTTTCATTTGGTCTTTGAGAGCAGTGAGGAAATAGAAGTGTTGTCTATCACCCCAATGGGCTACAAGCCCACAACGTGGAGAAACAACATAAAAAAGGGCTGAAAGGAAAGTTGGAGCGACGCGTTCTGAGGGGGCTGCAGGCAAGTCGGGGAGGCTTGGCCCGAGCAAGGCAAGGGCCCGACCTCAAGGCCGGAGAGAGGCCCTGGCCCCAGAAAGGGACCCACCTCTGCAGGAACGGGTCGGCAGAGTCCGAGAGTCATCAAGGACAGCTCCAGTTGGATGCACAAGTTTAACTCTTTTACTGCCACTTAAATCAAGCTATTTAACTGCATGTTCAAAACCGGTTAGCTGGTTGCAAGAAGATTCTCATTTCTTTCCAGAACCATCTGTGATGGAAGGTGGTCCCGACTTTGAATGCCTTCCGCAGCATGCTGGGTTGCCCGTGACCTGAGCGCCATCTAGTGACCACATAAACATCTTTCTTACCTTCCCACCAACACACTCATGCGGACACAGAGAAAGGTGAGGGCTCACACAGCATAGAAATGAAGACAGGTCGGGGGATGTTAACTCTCCATCAGGGGGCTGGTGGTAGGCACGGCTGCAGCGTCATGAAACACAACTGTCGGAAAACAGTCAGAAATGCCACAGTGTGCCCCCACCACTGTCTGCCCCTGGATTGAGAGATGAGAGACAGTGCCAGTCAGAAAACTGAAGACGAGGTTCCTTCCATACCAAGAGTACTGACCTGTGAGGTGACCCTCTGTCTGCATTACCACCCCCAAATCTCTCTACCTGTGCAGGAGACAGCCCTCCTTAGAAACTATCTGAACAGCAATTAGTGAAGGGGCCACATCCCGGAACAGATTGTTCCCCCAGCGAGGAAGGGAGGGGCTGGGGCAGGAAGAGGAAGTTCGCAGTGCCTTCAGGAAGGTCGTTTCTGGGACTAGTCCAAAGTTCCAACAAGGAAATCAGAAGGCAGAGAGCAGCTAGATGTGGAAGCTCAGGGAGGGTATCTGGGAGTTTACTGTACAATTCTCTACCTTTGCGTGTACTTGAAATTTTCTATAATTAAAAGTTGCCCTTTAAATGTTTCAGAGAACTCAGCCAAACCAGTCTTTTCATTTCTTTCTTGCCACATGGCCTTGGAATATGTCATCACCTCTGCCTGGAACTCTTTCCTACTCCTCACGTGCCGGTGGCTTCCCCTCTGGCAGCCTAAGACACCTCCTCCTAGAAGCCTTCCTTGATTCTGTCAGGCAGAAGCAGCTCTCCCCTACTCTGTTATTCTCTTTCACCATGCATGTCCTTCTCTTCGAGGGCACTTAAGACAACTTATACCCATATTTTTATTTGTCTATTTGTTTGTCGCCTGCCAGGACTCTAAGTTCCCTGAGGGTGAGACCAAGAATACTTTGTTCAACCCTCTATGCCCAGCCCCTGACAGAAGGCATATGTTCAATAAGCATCTCCTAAAAGAATGAAGTGAATGAAAAACAATGTCAGGTACATGCCTCTGATAGCTGCCTACATTTACGGAAGGATCTGAGGACATCAAGCAGCTAGAAGTCTAAGTTAACAATGTCTTGCTTAAAAACGATGTTAACATTTGGGAGGCCAAGGCAGGTGGATCACCTCAGGTCAGGAGTTCGAGACCAGCCTGGCCCACATGGTGAAACCCCGTCTCTACTAAAAATAAAAAATATTAGCCAGGTATGGTGGCAGACAACTGTAATCCTGGCTCCTTGGAAGGCTGAGGCAGGAGAATCGCTTGAACCCAGGAGGCAGAGGTTGCAGTGAGCCAAGATCACACCACTGCACTACAGGCTGGGCGAAAAGAGCAAGACTCCATCTCAAAAAAAAAAAAAAAAAGAACATTTTTAAAAATGGTATCTCCTCCAGTCTCCTCTTCTAGGAGAAGAACTCCTAGAGGTCTCCTACAGATCTAGAATCTGGAGACGATCTCCAGCTTCAAGAGCACTGGGTAGAGTCGGCCAGAAACTGGGCACGTTAACCTGTCCTCCAGCTAAAGATCTGAGGAGATGGATGGACAGAGAAAGACCCACACACCCTATCTGTGAGAGATACCAACACTGAACAGATCTTGTGGGAGAGTGAATAAAGCAGGGAGAGGGCAGAGAGCCAACCAGGATATGGAAACCACATCCATAAGATTCAGGAAAGCATTCACCTGCATATTACAGAAAATGATTTGGAATCCTCAGTAGAGTACAAGAAGATGTAGTTTTTGTGGAACAAAGCAGAACTGCCGGGAGAGAACAGACGAGGAGCAAAGAAGTAAAGGAAAATATAAAAGGAGTGACAGGGAAAAAAGAAGGCTTGAGCCCTCTCCCTCTCCCTCTCCGTCTCCCTCTCCCTCTCCGTCTCCCTCTCCCTCTCCCTCTCCTTCTCCCTCCCCCTCTCCCCACGGTCTCCCTCTCCCTCTCCCTCTCCCCACGGTCTCCCTCTCCCTCTCTTTCCACGGTCTCCCTCTGATGCCGAGCCGAAGCTGGACTGTACTGCCGCCATCTCTGCTCACTGCAACCTCCGTGCCTGATTCTCCTGCCTCAGCCTGCCGAGTGCCTGCGATTGCAGGCGCGCGCCGCCACGCCTGACTGGTTTTCGTATTTTTTTGGTGGAGATGGGGTTTCGCTGTGTTGGCCGGGCTGGTCTCCAGCTCCTAACCGCGAGTGATCTGCCAGCCTCCGCCTCCTGAGGTGCTGGGATTGCAGATGGAGTCTCGTTCACTCAGTGCTCAATGTTGCCCAGGCTGGAGTGCAGTGGCTTGATCTCGGCTCGCTATCAACCTCCACCTCCCAGCCGCCTGCCTTGGCCTCCCAAAGTGCCGAGATCGCAGCCTCTGCCCGGCCGCCACCCCGTCTGGGAAGTGAGGAGCGTCTCTGCCTGGCCGCCCATCGTCTGGGATGTGAGGAGCCCCTCTGCCCGGCTGCCCAGTCTGGGAAGTGAGGAGCGTCTCTTCCCGGCCGCCATCCCCTCTAGGAAGTGAGGAGTGTCTCTGCCCGGCTGCCCATCATCTGAGATGTGGGGAGTGCCTCTGCCCTGCCGCCCCGTCTGGGATGTGAGGAGCGCCTCTGCCCGGCCGCGACCCCGTCTGGGAGGTGAGGAGCGTCTCTAACGGGCCACTCCATCTGAGAAGTGAGGAGCCCCTCCGCCCGGCAGCCACCCCGTCTGGGAAGTGAGGAGCCCCTCCGCCCGGCAGCCGCCCCGTCTGGAAGTGAGGAGCGTCTCCGCCCGGCAGCTGCCCAGTCCGGGAGGTGGGGGGCAGCCCCCGCCCGGCCAGCCACCCCATCCGGGAGGGAGGTGGGGGGCAGCCCCCGTCCGGCCAGCTGCCCCGTCCGGGAGGTAGGGGGCGCCTCTGCCCGGCCGCCCCTTCTGGGAAGTGAGGAGCCCCTCTGCCCGGCCGCCACCCCATCTGCGAGGTGTACCCAGCAGCTCATTGGGAACGGGCCATGATGATGATGGCGGTTTTGTCGAGTAGAAAGGGAGGAAATGTGGGGAGAAGATGGAGAAATCAGATTGTTGCTGTGTCTGTGTGGAGAGAAGTGGGCATAGGAGACTCCATTTTGTTCTGTACTAAGAAAAATTCTTCTGCCTTGGGATGCTGTTGATCTATGACCTTACCCCCAACCCGGTGCTCTCTGAAACATGTGCTGTGTCCACTCAGGGTTAAATGGATTAAGGGCGGTGCAAGATGTGCTTTGTTAAACAGATGCTTGAAGGCAGCATGCTCCATAAGAGTCATCACCACTCCCTAATCTCAAGTACCCAGGGACACAAACACTGCGGAAGGCCCCAGGGTCCTCTGCCTAGGAAAACCAGAGACCTTTGTTCACTTGTTTATCTGCTGACCTTCCCTCTACTATTGTCCTATGACCCTGCCAAATCCCCCTCTGCGAGAAACACCCAAGAATGATCAATAAAAAAAAAAAAAAAGAAGGCTTGACAAGAAACTACAAATGCAATAGCCCATTTTAAACCATGTACGAAGCAGTAAAAGGCAGAATTGGTACAGAAAAAAATCAGATTAGCAACATAGAAAGCCCATCTTAATGATGATAAACAGCAAATGTTACTTTAAGGTTATTGTGTACTAGACATTATAAGAACCTTACTTTTATAACCTCATGATTTTTACAACCGCCTCATGAGGGTTGGGACTTGTAAGAGCCCCATTTTACGGAGACTGGAGCAACTCACTCAGTTACAAAGAAGCAGAGCCAAGAGCATTTGAACCCAAGTTGGTGGGCTGGAGAGCTAGAGCTCTCCCCACTCCCCCACTCTGCCTTCAGCTGTCCATGGCATAATGTCAGAATTTTTAAAAAACAATCCTCAACTCGGATTTAAGAATTCATCATGTCTCAGACAAAATTCAATGGAAAGTGTCCTGTACCAAGATAGATTAAAATAATTTTCTAAACTATAAGAAAAAAGATAAATTCCTATGAGCAGCATCTAGTCAGGAAAAAAAAATAGACTAACTATGAAAGAATCACATCAGACTGCTGTCAGAAAACACACAAAAATAAATTCAAAATAGATCAAATGTTTAAATGTTAAAAAAAAATTAATAGAGTTAAATATAACCTTAGGGTCTGCTGAACCTTAGGGTTTGAGCATGACACAGAAGGCAGAAACCATACTTTCATTATTTAAATAAGAAATTTTAAAAATAAAGACAAGAAGCTATAAAGTTAAAGAAGGAAACAATAAAATCAGTCTAAAGACAGTTAAAGAGTGCAAAGATTAAAAGTCCAATAAAGTTTTAAAATAAACTTCTAACCAGCTAATCAAGAAAAAAAAACTCAAATACATAGCATTAGAAATAAGAAAAAGTAAAACACCACAGGTAGAGAGAATTATTCAAATTATAAAAATTTGCTCTGTACAACACTATGTAAATAAATTATACCTCAACGTAATGGATGCTTTTCTAGGAAAATATAAATTATCAAAATTGACTAGAGTAAAAGTGACAAACTAAAAATAACAATCATCACAGGAGAAATTGAAAAGTTTTTAAAGAGCTATTACTATACCCACTCAAAAAGGGCACCCAGCCCATATGGTTTTATGGGTGAATTATTTCAAACCCTCAAAGGACTGTATTCTTGTGTTATAGAAACTGTTCCAGATGTTAGAGAAGACTTTAAATCTTTACAATTAATTTTACAAAGCCAGCATAACCCAGATATCAAAACCAAAGAAATAATAAGCAGACATACCAATTGAAGATAATAGAGGAACAGGCCCAAGAACACATTTAGGAATTTAGTAGGTGATAAAGGCAGCATTTCGAAATATAGGGAAAAGATTACTCAAAATACAGTGTTTGTATCACCAAAGAACAATTTTGAAAAAAGTAATGCTAGATCCCTGCCTTATTCCCTAAGGAAAAGACTAACAGATTTGGCTACATAAAAATTTTAAATTTCTATAGGTCAAAAACTATTAATTGGTAAAATAAAGCCAACAAGAATTATTTACTACATAAATGACAGGGGAAAAGTTAATATCCATATATATACAGAACTCCTACAAAGGTATGAGAAAAAGATAAACATTTCCTCATATGGACTGAGAACATAAATAAGACATTTATAATAGAATGAATATAAATTATATAAACATGTTATATATAAATATAAAATAATTATTTAAATATATTCAAATTGAAATCGGTCAACTTCACCAGCTATCAATAAAATGAAAATTAAGGCAACAATGAAATACTATTTTGACCTATAAAATTAACAAAGTTCTTTTTTAATATTATTATTTTACCCTGTGTTGGGGAGGGTATAGCAAAATAAGCCTAGGGGCATGATGAGAGCATAAAGTAGTCCAGCCTTTTTGAAGGGCAATTTTGATAAATATCAAAAGTCTTAAAAATGTTGAAATCCTAGGCTGGGTGCAGTGACTCATGCCTGTAATCCCAGCACTTTGGGAGGCCGAGGTGGGCGGATCATGAGGCCAGGAGTTCGAGACCAGCCTGGCCAACATGGTAAAACCCTGTCTCTACTAAAAATACAAAAATTAGCCGGGCGTGGTGGCGCGCGCCTGTAGTCCCAGCTGCTCGGGAGGCTGAGGCAGGAGAATTGCTTGAACTGGGGAGGCGGAGATTGCAGTGAGCTGAGTTTGGGCCACTACACTGCAGCCTGGCAACAGGGCAAGACTCCATCTCAAAAAAAAAAAAAAAGAAAAAAAAAGTTGAAATCTTTTCACACAGCAATTCCAATTTTAGGTATTTATCCAAAAGGAAACTCATGAATTATATAAAGATTCAGCTACAGAAATATTCCTTGCCAATTTAGTTGCTTATAATGTGGAAAAATTTGAAAACACCTACATGTTCATCATTAACTAGTTAACGTGGATCATGATACATTCACATAATGGAATATGTGTATTCACTTAAAATTGTATTATAGAAGAACTTTTAATAACAGGAAAAGATATCTATGTTGTATTGTCAAGTATCAAAAAGCAATTTTCAAAACAATTTGTTCTAATGTATATATACACATACCCATGTATTAAATACACACATCTTCCATGCATGTACAGACATATACATACATATATACATACATACAGAAAGGTCTCGGAGTGCTAATAGTTCTTGTCCGGAGGGGTGGGCTTATGGGTAATTTCAGGTAAATTTTATATTCTTTCAGATTATTTCTTTACTTAAAATTTTACAAAATGATGATGAGTTGCTTTTTTAATAGAACAGTAAGAGCTATTTCAATAGCTTTTGAAACTGCTAGAGCACAGTCGGCCAAGGCAGGACCTGATGGATGGCATGGCCACAGCCAGCCAATATTCTCTGCAGGAGTGAATTATCCTCTTTGTGCCCTTCAGTGGCATATCCCACAATCCAAGTGTGGAGAACCCTAAGTGTCTGTAAGACATCTCTTTCATTGCCAGAGCTCTTCTCAGTGGAAAATGGGCAACAGAGGCCTTATAATCTCCCCTTTTCTGCAAACTCTCAAAACTAGAAGTGTAAGCTGGATAGAGGGGGTACGGGGGAGAGCACAGGGGGTCAAAGGGCAGAACGAAGAGGGAACATACCTTCTATTTCTCCTCCAGGGGCAGAGATTTTCGACATACTCAGGTAGGTGGTAGCCACGATGTCATTGTGAGTCAGGCGGTCCCTAGAGCAAGGGAGCAGAGAGGGCCTGAACACAGGAAAGGAACTGCAGGCCACAGCCCACCCAGGAAGTATGCGGCCTCGGTTACACATCACAGGGGGGCGGGGGGCAGGCAGAGAGCGCTTCTGGTCTTCACTTTGGTATGTTACTGAGGCCTGGTAATCCCAGAGATGAAGACACTGCACAGGAGGTTTGCCCAAGACTCTCTGAGAGGGAACTAGTTCATCTCGCCAACCACCAGCATCCCATCAGGCAACCAAACCCAGGCTGCCAGCCTGGATCTCTACAGACGCATCTGCAGGCTGACAGGGAGGAGGCCAGAGGCAAGGAGGCAGGGCCAGGGACTGGCCTGTTCAGGGAGCCAGGTTCCCGGACCCAGGAAGAACTGAGAGGCTCCAGGAGCTAAAGAAATGTCCAGATCAAGGAGAAAACTAGGTGACCAGGAAGAAACTATCTCCAAGGCCACAGTCTTGAAGTAGCCAATGGTAATACACGATTCCTTTTTGTATCTGACTTTGTATGTAATGGGGCACTTTTAGCCTTTATCACACAGGAGGCTCACACAGCCTTGAGAAACAAGCACTTTTATTATTATCTCTGTTGCACCCATGAGGAAACTGAGGCTTAAAGCCATGTAGGTACTTGCCCAAGGTCATCAGGAGAGGAAGGGCAAGCCCAGGCCGGAAGCCCTGGCGTCCTGACTCCTGGAACATTGCTCCTGCATGGCATAGGGCCTGCTTCCAGGGGGACACTTCTTGGCTCCCCAACCAGGGTAGGGGACTGTGGCCAGGAGCTCAAGGAGGTTAACTGCTTGATTCACCTATTAGCCAACCACATCCTATGCAGACCCTCCCTCTGAACCCCACTCCTGCCTCCTTTGATAATAATAAACAGTAACAGCTAACATTTATTGAGCACGTACTAAGAGCCAAGCACTGTGCTAAAACCATCAGGTGACTTAACTCACTCATTCTCACATCGGCACTACCAGGTAGGTACTACAATTAGCCCCAAGTTCAGATGAGAAAGCCAAGGTTGAGAAGGTTAAATAATTTGCCAAGATGGCAAAGCTGGGATTTGAGGCCAGATATGCTGACGTGGAGACCAGAGCTTTGATTGCAGCCACCTGCTGCTTCCCGGGTAGGCTAGACCTGCGGTCAAAACCACTAGGTCGAGAACCCCACAGCAAAGAATATTCCAGCCCCAAATGCCAATGATGCAGACACTGAGAAACACTGGGCTGGGCAGGACCCATCTCCTTCAGGAAGTTCCTCCTGGGTAATTTCCCCTTCTTCTTGGTGCCCCGTAGACCCCCTCTCCCTGTTGTGAGTGCCTTAGCCATGGGCAGCTTCAGATGACACATCCCAGCCCCATTGTGAAAGGCATACCCTGGCATGGTGCTTCAATTTTTCTTTGAAATCCTAACCCTACAAGGTACCCTAATCTCTGCACAATTTCTGTGCTCCTTTCTTCCTCTTTGTATTTCCCAGGGAGGTGATTAAGCTTTGATTTTTAAAGTTTTCCATCGCCGGCACTACATTAGGAAGAATGAATTGTCAGCACAGACAGATCTGTATCATTTTTCCAAGTAAATGATATTAATAAGAACTGAAAAGCAGGGTGCGGTGGCTCACGCCCATAATCCCAGCACTTTGGGAGGCCAAGGCAGATGGATCACCTGAGATCAGGAGTTCAAGACCAGCCTGGCCAACATGATGAAGCCCCGTTTCTACTAAAAATACAAAAATTAGCCAGGGGTGGTGGTGTGTGCCTGTAATCCCTGCTACTCGGGAGGCTGAGGCAGGAGAATCGCTTGAACCTGGGAGGCAGAGGTTGCATGAGCCAAGATCACGCCATTGGACTCCAGCCTGGGTGACAAGAGCGAAACTCCATCCTCCCACCACGCCCCCCGCAAAAAAAAAAAAAAAAAAAAAAACAAAACTAGAAAGTAAAAATTTCCTGCAATATTTTACAGTGATATTCTCAGCACCAGATGAGTGACAGTTAATGGCATTTGTACCCAGTCTTCATGACCAAACCCTAGAAAAGGTCAGCACTTGAAAAGGAATTGGATTTCTGACCTCCAGTCTTCTCTGAATTGGGAGAGGAGGGAAGGAGAGTGGGAGGAGAGAGGTTCTGTTTTATGGAGGTAGGGGGTGGTTTGGGGTTTTTTTGTTGTTGTTGTTTGGTTTGGTTTTTTAATGAAAAAGGAATTTCTGAAGAATTAAATGGAAGATTAAGTTACAGAGAAAAGGCCATATGGACTATATCCTATTTCCAGGATTCAGGTAATAACAAGAGCTTATCTGCATTTTCTGGGAAGAAAGCACTCTTCTGGATAGGAACTTGAAGCAGCAGAATGCTTTCTGGCCAAGAGCTGGGTTTTGGGGCTTGGGGTTGCTTTTGGAAAATACAGCAAGTCTGAAAATAGACTCACAATAAAAATGCCACTTCAACCCAAACCAGAGATGCAACCACCAGATTCTGTAATGTGTTTGGATTGTACAGTACGCCGATGCCTTTGACACAGCTCACCCGGACTCGGGCCAGACACATCCACAACACAGGAGACAACCGCACCCACTCACATCCACATGCGCAAACACGCAGAGACACGCACAGCTCATCGCCCGCAGTCAGAGCGGCACACATGGAGAGCGGAGATGAAGAGATCATTCTGGGATGTAAAGCACATCTTTCCTCCAAACCGCTTCCCCACAGTACATACCCGTGGTCGCTGCCCTTGCGGCCTCTCCCTCACAGGCCCTCCTGGCGGCTCTCTTTCCTCTCCTCTAATTCTCACAAGCTGTTTTCTTTAGGCCTGGGGAACTGGCACACAGCTTAATGGCTCTGTGGCCTGGGGGTTTTTCCCTAGTCTCTCATTATCCTCCTGGTTGGGGGTGTCATGGGCATGAGACCAGAGGAGAACACGCTGGGGAACCACAAAGCCAAGACTTCTTGGGGGCAAAGAAAGGACAACTCTCTCTTTTTGGGAAGCCCAATGCCCTGAGATCACACGTGTGGACCCCGAATATTCCCCTCAAGTGTAAGAGACAGCTCCCCTCAACTAGCAGGAGGTGGCATGGACTAGTGGTTAGGAACGCAGGCTTTGGAAACAGCAGGCTTGGGTTCAAGCCTGGCCTCAGCTACTTTCCAGCTAGCTGTCAGCTCGGGCAGGTCACTCAGTCTTTCCCAACCTGCCTTCTCATCTGTGAACTGATGTCGGTGAGTTGATGGTCAGATGAGATGACTCGTGTCAAGTGCTTGCTGGGAACAAGGTTTGGTGTATAGTAGGTGCTCAACAAGTATTAGATGCTGTGGTCTTTCTAAGACGCCCGTGAGCTGCTGTCCTCACCTGCTGCACAGCTGCCGTGGTGTCCCCTGCTCAGGCAATCTGGTCGGCTCCTCCAGCCTGGGGACCCTACTTTTTCATCCCACCAACCCAGGGCAGCACCGCAGCCCATCCTCCCTGAAGCTCTGCTCTTTTCAGACCCTTCCCTTAGTTTGTGAGCCTCTCCTCACTGGAATGTCCTCATGGTGAGCTTAGCAAAACCCCACCCCTCCTGCCGGGCCATCACCTGCCCCACCTCCTCCAGGAAGCCTTCCCAGCTCCTTCTGCCCTCAGAGATGATTCCTCCTTATCTGCCTACCTCCCAACAAGCAGGTGTGAGTAAGCTTCCGAGGAACTGCCCACACCCTCTCCATCCCTGGCTACCCCAAGGGGACATTACCTCACCTGAAACTTCTCCCTCACACTCTTACTACCAGTCACTGAGCCGAATGAAACTGAGGGACCCAGCGCCCCCTCAGGACAGCCCGCCCTAAAGACTCCAAGACTCAGAACTCACCAGTCTATGATACGAATCCTCATTTTTTCGCACATGGAGGGAAACTGAGGAAGGAATAGAGGCGTGTTGGGAGAAGAGTCCTTTTGAAGATAGAACAGCCCCTCCCTACCCCGAGCTGAAGTCTGGGATACTGGCAGGATGCTGGGGAGGCAGGAGCCCTGGACCTCCCGAAGCCCAGAGCCCCAGGGGCCTCCTTGGGTTTGCTGGGGGCAGGAGGCTCACCATGGCAGGCAGTGTGATGTTCTGGTTCCACTGAGGGTTGGCCGTCTTCTCCAAGATCTTGCTGCACAGCTAGAAGACACAGGGAGGGGACAAGTTGATCAAGCTCCATGGGGACTCTGGGCTCCCCCGGGGCCACATGCCAGCCAGTGACCATTCTCTGCCATGCTGGCTGCCCTTAGGGCTGGGTGTAAGACCCTGGGGTTGGGGCCTAGTGCAGGGGGTTCATACACAGGGAATCTTTGCAGAGACAAAGCTCAATGGAAGGTCAGACCCAGAGCTGGGGAGTGGGTAAGGGTGGGGTGGGCTGTCTGAATGCCACAGCCCTTCTACCCTTAACTCACACCTCTGGCTGAAAATCCCTCTCCATACCTCCCATTATGGCCATGACCCTAAATGTGGGGGCCCTGAGTCCAGTCCAGACCAGCTTTCCCAGAGGCCCTTATGGCCCAGAAGGCTCTTTTGCCCATTACCCCAGATCATCCACCATGTAGGAAGACTGTGACCCCTAGGAGATCAGAGATGGGAGAGGGGAGCCATGCACAGAGGTCAGAGAGTGAAAGAAAATTCAGTGAAGATACAAACCCTATAAGCCATAGTCTGCCTCCAACCAGCCCTGTCCTAAAGACCAGGTTTTTCCCAAACAAGAAACCTCACAGGAGTGGAAACCAGATCCAAACCAGCAGCTCACAGGCCAGCCCTGGCCTTGGAGTCCATAAGGAACACCAGGCCCCTTAGCCAGCCCCAGGGATCCTATACCCACACACGGGGGCAGCAGGTAAAGACTCAGTTTCAGATACACAGATCCTGGTAGATTTCCATGTTCTACACATGAAAATAATGAGCAGCCTTTTCAGAGCATTTACTATGATAAGCCCTGCATTGTGCTAGGCATTTCATGTGCATTATCTCATTTAATGAGCATCTGACTTAAATCAGAGACTTCAGGTCCCCAGGGGTGAGGATGATGTCTCCATTCCTGGTCCACCCAGTGCTGGCCCCTGCCCCCACCTTCCCCCTCCTCCCTGTAAAAAGAGCCCCAGACAAAGGCCACACAGGGCTGGGTGTGGGGCTGAGTGCCAGGATTTGGCCCTTGTGTTAGTTAGCAAAGAGAGGAGTAAGGAAAGAAGAGAGACCAACGATCCAATCCAGTGGAAGAAAGAGCAAAGAGTGGAAGAGACAGTTCACAGAATGAAGACGCAAGGCCTTGAGACATATAAAAAGATGCTTCATCCCACTCAGAAAGAAACACAAAGAAAACCAACAAAATACCATTCCTCACCCATCAGATTCATAAAAATCTCTAAAGTCTGATAGACCACTGTTGGCAAGGCTATGGGAAAACTGCATGCTCATGTTTTGCTGGTGGGAAAACAAAATAGTTTGACCCCTTCAGAGGACAATTGGCCACTATGTATTGTAGTTTCAAATGCATGTTCCCACTGCCCTATGAATCCTACCTCTAGACACCCATCCTACAGAAATACTTGCACATGTGAGGAATGACATATGTGTGAGGCTATTCACTGCAGCATGGCTTGAACTAGCAAGGATTTGGAACAACCCATGTGTCCACCAATGGAAAGCAGGTTAAATGAAGTATGGTCCGTCCGTACAATGGAGTACTAGGCAGCTGTCAAACAGAATGAGGATGCCTCTAGGTAGTGACGTGAAACCATCTCCAAGTTATATGATTAAGTGAAAAAAGCAAGGCGCAGAGTGGTGTGATGTGCAGCCATTTGTGCTAAAAGGTAAAAGACAAAAATCTATAGTCGGCTGGGCACGGTGGCTCATGCCTTAATCCCAGCACTTTGGGAGCCCAAGGCAGGTGGGTCACTTGAGGTCAGGAGTTCAAGACAAGCCTGGATAATGTGGCAAAGCCCTGTCTCTACTAAAAATACAAAAGTTAGCTGGAAGTGGTGTCACATGCCTATAGTACCAGCTACTCAGGAGACCAAGGCATCAGAATTGCCTGAATCCAGGAGGCAGAGGCTGCAATGAGCGGAGATTGCACCACTGCACTCCAGCCTGGGCTACTGAGTGAGACTCCATCTCAAAAAAAAATGAAGAAAGAATCTGTAGTCATATTTGCTTACACGTGCATCACAAAACCAGAATAATATAAAAGAAACTAATTGCAGTGGTTTTCTTTGAAAAGGAAGAAATGGATTGATTGTTGGATGGGGTACAGAGCAAGAGGGAGATTTTTCATGATAGATAGATAGATAGATAGATAGATAGATAGATAGATAGATAGATAGAATAAATGTACTACCTAATTCAAAAATTAGATAAACAAAATTTTAAAATAAGATACTTTAACAAGACCCAGCTGAGCAGCTCTGCCAACTCTGTGCCCCAGGTCCCTGGAATAAGAAGGCACAGGCTGCCCCAACACACACATAGGATGCACACGGGCTACTTCAGCCCCTGCCCCAGGCATCTGGCCCTCCTCCATCGCAAACACTTCAACCTGGCTACCTTCACCAGGATGTGGGTCTGGGGGCTTGAACAGCAGCTGGTCCATCTGCCACACCCCAGCCAGCACTGCCTGTGGCCCCAGAGATCCCTGCCAGCCTTCCCCCATCCTGTTCCACCCACAGGCACTCAGCCAGGGCCACACCATGCTGCTTCTTCCTCTTCCTCTGCTTCTCTTTTTTTCTTGCTTTACCTTTTTTCTTTACCTTCCTTCACTACCCAATGGAGTATTATTAGTACACTCTCTCTGGAAGGCTATTTGTCCATCTGTATCAAATACTTAAAAATAAGCCCCCTGGCTTAACAGCCCCAATTCTAGAAACTTCCCTACAGAAAAGCAATCAGAGTGTGGACAAAGATTCCTGTATGCTGATGTTTGTCACAATGTTGTTTATAAAAGAGGAAAATTTGAATTATATATGTCCAAAAAATAGGTCAAATGTTATGGTATACTCATCTGACAGAATATTATGCAGCCATCAAAAAAAATCATTTCAATGACTCTTTAATAACCTAAGAAAAGATGAGACAACACAAGCAGTTTACCAAACTGCATGTATATAGTTGATTCTCATTATTCATGGTAGTTATGATCTATAAGGTCACCATGAACCCTGAATTAGTGAATGCTGACTCATTACCTCAGAGAAGAAGCAGGGTTAAATTCCTGGCAGCCTCTGTCACAATGTTTTTGTCAACTGATCAATACGTAACCTTGGTTTATGTGTGCTTCTGTTGAAGGACACCTTACTTTTTAATATACATTGCTGAGTCATCAGCATTGAACTCACAGCCAACGGCACTGTGACTCAAGCCTGCCAGAAGCTTACCTATCACACGCACTTCCTCCATAAAACACATCACAGCCTTTCTGAGCTGAGGAACGCCAGACAGCACTTCAGCACGACATTTGGGGCCATTTTAAACAGCGAAGTCGCCAAGAAAAGGCACAAAAATGTGAAAAACATGAGACTACACAGGACACATATCAAAGGACACACATTTTGTCTGTGTCCTTTGATACGTGTCCTGTGCAGTACCATGTTTTGAGACTCTCTGCCTCCCTGTTTCAACTCTCGTGGAGTAAATACATGTCCTTTGATCATGGACATGTCATGTTTACTCCATGAGAGTTGGAGCGGGGAGGCAGAGAGTCACCTTGTTCAACCTCAGCAACCAACATACACGCTGGGAGACTCAAATTTTTCAAAGCCCTGAAAGTGTCCACAAATCATCACTAAAGTGCCATGAGTGTTGATTTTGGGCTTGCAAATACATTTTAGTGAGTAGGCAAATTGGCAAATACAGAATCCTTGAATAAGGAAAATCAATATTTTCATGATTTTTTCCCAGCAAGTGGGAAGAGGGGAGGTAACAGGGTAGGTAATACAAACCAATGTTATCAGTAATTCTCTCCAGGGTGGTGCAGGGTACAGAATATGGTGCAGTGGGAGTTTTTGTTGTTTTCCTTGTCTCTGATTTTTTTCAATTTTTTGCAATTAATGGGTTTTATTCTTGAATTCAGAAAAAAAAAAGTTGTTTTAAATCTTCCTGTCCTGCCCTACAAGTAGGGCAGGACCTTTTCTTTCTTCCATACCATGAAGTGCACAGTCGCACACACTCTCCCACACTCCTATCTTCTTAGGAACTTGGCCAAATCAAGTATGGTTCACATCTTGGATAATACTGCCACCAGGTGTCCATAAGGGGAAATGCAAAGAAGGCCAGCTGGGGTGGGTGGGTACACAGAATGTAACCTCAGGGCTCTTCAGCTTAGGGTGTAAAGAGAGAAAAGGGACATGCAAGCAGGCTAAAAGAGAGGGACAGGCAGAATGAGACACGCCATAAGAGCAGCAGAAGCGGGGACGCCACAAGGAGGTGGCTTAGGGCAGAGAGGACGCAAAGGCCTGGGGTCCACCGAGGAGGCTGGCCAGGTTGAAACTTTCAAGACGGAGCATTCCAGCTGCCTCCTTCACCATAAGGTCATTCTTCAACTCCCTCCACCTCCTTCTAGAGGAAAAATGGGAGGCGCAGCTTCTTGCATGAGCCCAGATGCCAATCTACTGTATACAGTGCCTTGCCTTGGCTGCCTTTGTCCTTTCACCTCCCCCTAGACACTGGTACCTTCCTAAAGAAATCCCCAGGGCCAGCCAAGGGCATCTCAGAACAGAAGACCCAGGGAGATCAAAGATGCTGGCAGGGACCCAGGAGCAGCCCGGAGCCCCGGAGCTCTGAGGCTTAGTTCCAATGAATGTGAAGGCATGTCGGTCTTGGTTCTAGCCACCATCGAAATACCTTCCATGTTGGGAATGCGAAATAAGAACAATCTCAGGACGTGAATTCCCCCAAGTGTCAAGTGGAAGAATTAATCCTAGTCCTTGGAGCTAGTGTCCCACAAAAACGTACAGCCGCAGCTTCCTGTTTCCTTCCTACCTTCAAGCAGCTGTCCCCATTCCTCCTGATGCCAGGCGCAGGGCGTAAGACCTGGACCCTGAGTCTACACCAAAACCTGCACTCAGGTGAGGATCTGCAGTAAGCATTTACACCTCCACATGAACGAGTTTAAAATCTGCATTACATCCCCGTGTACATTTTCACTGGGACCCTGTGCTAGTCTCTGAGGAGAGAGAGCCCAGCTCAAAGGGGCTCCTGATGGCCACCTTCAGTATAATTCATACATCAACACAATAATGACTGATTTAACATTAGAAATAAAAAGTATTGAGGTCCATACTAATACTCAACGAAGCGGAGGGAGAAAGCTCTTCTTTACAGAAAAAAATGTTGGCTAATCAAGAGAAAAAGAATGATAATGAGAAAATCACCACTTTGCAGTCCCAACTAAATGACTTCTTCAGACAGGAAGGTCAATGGATGCTTAGACCATTAGATAAGAGGTAGCTGAGAAGTAGGACATCCGTACAGTGCCAAGATATCACCCACAGTTTACTTGCTAATTACAAAGTGGGAAGATTTATAAGGGAGCTGTCTGGAGGCACCATTTTAACTGTGTGATCAGGCGATCATCCCTAATGATGGGACAACCTGACATTATGGCTCTCTGTTGTGATGCCATATGACATGCAGAACATCAACTACTCTGAGTTCTTGCCGAAATACTTCATCTGAATCTAATGGAGTCTCTAGACCTAACTTCCAGTTTACAGGAAAGAGAGGAGTCAGAGAAACAAGTTAAACAACAGAAGGAAACAATCGAACAAATCCAGTACTTGGACAAATGGCCTGGGCTGTTCAAAAATTCAATGCCATGAGTTGAGAGACAAGGGAATGCTCCTGGAAAGAGCTAGCAGTGGCTGTGGGGGCACGAGGTAGGGATGGGCCCTGGGGACAAGTTTAAAGTCAAAAGCTAGAGATAGCATGTGGGATGTGGAGAGAGAAAAAAGAAGGAAGAATCAAGGCAGGTCCACATTTTCTGCCTTTGATGGTTGTACCTGGTTAAGACAGAGGCTTTTGGATATGGGGCAGTTTGTGCAGAGAAAATGACTCCCTCCAGGGCTCAGAGGGGCAGCAGGCGGAACTGTTTAGAGGCACAGAGAGGCCTGGGGTTGAAGGGAGGGTTCGGAGAGCTACGGAGTTCTCTGCAGAGAGGTGATGGCTGAAGCCTGGGAGGGCTGGGGCTGCCAGGAAAGCCTGTGGGGGGTGCACAGACACTGGGGGGTGGGCAGCCTGTGTGGAGAGAAGGGCTGGGACAGAAGTCAGCAGGGACTGGAGCCACAGTCCCGCCTCAGGGCAGGAAGGTGGGCTGCAAGGAAGAGGCTAGGGTGCCCACCAGAGGGGCCTTTCTCTGCCCAACTACCCCCACAACATTTTTTAAATAACCATTATGTTTTTCTCCCACATCTTTAAAATATAGTTTCTCTATCTTTATGCCTTCATGTCTGGTTTCCATGCTATTGCTCCATTTTCCCCCAAATGTTCCTCTACTATCCACCATCCAACGTCCTCTCCTGGGCCATCCACATCTATGTGTCTGTCTGGGACACCCCCAGGCAGACCTGTCCACATTCGTGTGCGGGGCAGTCCCTGAGAGCTGGGCCTATGTGGGTGTCTCACCACGCACCAGGATCAGCCACTCCTTGTGCACACACCTCTGGTGGGGGCATCTCACTCTGTCTTGCTCTCACCCGGCACAGTCCACAGGGCACCAGAAAGTCCCCTCCCGAGAGAACCCTCCTGCTCCCTTGCTCCTTACCATTTTCCCCGCAAAGCTGACCTCCACAAAGGGGTCCACCAAGTTCTTCTTGTTACTCTCGAAGCCAAAGATCTGTTTCACGTTGTCCATCACGGCATCGTCCACTGGGAAGAGGGACACACCAGTCACTGCCTGCCTGCTGTCTCTCCTCTAAAACCCTGACTGTCCCCCATCTGTCTCCAGGCAGTCCTGGGACTACCTGAGCAAGAAGCTTTGGCCCCTTCACACAGGGACTCAGCCCAGGGGCTCCCCAGAAGGAGGACTGTCTCAGAGCAGCAACTCCTGAGAGCTCCGGGCCACTTTGTCACCAGTCCCAAACAGCTCAGTTCACTGTCCCCACCCTGCATTCAAAGCCTTTCAGATCAAATCTACCTGCCTGACTAATTAGAAATCTACATCACTAAGGGCAGTAAGTACTCAGAAAAGGACTGGCAGTTGTTATAACAATATCCCATTATTGGTGCCTGGTTGACATTTTCCTTTAAATCTATTAGCGCAGCGATTTACCTGAGGTTAACCAAGAAGTCAATTCTGTTGTTTTTTTTTTAAGAGTTTTTAATCTATGCTGCCCCAAACCATTATTTTTTGAATCAGCCAGATTATTTATATATGTAGATACAGATAGATAGATATGTTTATGTGTATACACATACATATGTGTATAAAGCATGTTATGTTTACAGACATATGAGTGGGTAAGTAAGTGGAGGGGGATAAAGATTATACGCTAGCTAATAACTACATGAATACAAAAGGCAACAACAATTAGCAAACATTTATGATCTGTTTGCCCATCTATTTTGTTTTTTTCAAACAACGTTGCAGGGAATTCAACACAAAGCTCTTTCACCTTAAGAAAAGCAAACATTTCTATTTCCCCATGCCCCTCTTGAAGTTCACCAGCCTCACTTCTAGTTGCAATCAATAAGTGCAGAATATTTTTAAGCATGTGTTTTAGTACTGAATTAATACCCATTACTTATTTACAGGCTTTCTTCAGGATTTGATCTAAGTAAGCTTGTACATTTCATTTCTTGACGTCAGCAGCCGAAGCAGAAACTCTCAAATAGTTACCTTTATGGAAAAGTTGTAACCAGGGACCCAAGTTGCAAACCTTCTCACTGACTCTGCTGTGGACAGTGGCTTGGTTGTGTTAATGCATGCTTTAAAATAGTGGCTCACAGCGGGGCCTCACCACAGAACAACCTGGGGAGCCTTTAAACCCTACCAATGCTGAGCCCTGCCCTAACTCGAGTCAATCTAAAACGCTGGAGGTGGGGCCCCGGCATTTGGACCGTTTTGAATCTTCCCAGGGAATTCTACTATCAGCCCAGGTTGATAACCAGAGCTCTAGAATATTCGGTATAACTCCCCAGCATTTACTAAACACACAGATGGGTCTAGTATCGGGCCAACCACTGTGAGAAACCAGGCAGTGGCCACATTGGCCTTCCTGGGAGGAAGAGATGGTTGCAAGTCGGGTGCCCACTGTCCCAGTTTGCTGGAGACTGCAGGGTTTCCTGGAACAGGCACTTTCAGTGCTAAAACCAGGACAGTCTCAGGCAAGCTAGGATGGTGGGTCACCTTGTGGATCTGTGTCCTTCATCTGTGAAGACAGTGGGGCCCAGGAGTCCTTCATGCAAACCCTTCCAACATTAGAGCAACTGCTCCCCAGCCCAGCTCTGCCACTAGCAGGACGGGCTTCCTCACAGAGGGAGGGAAAATCAGTGAGAGCCAGCCCTAAGGCCAGAATAGAGTCCAGATGGTGCTGACTTCTCAATGAGAACTAAGAAAATGGGTCCACAGAGTGGCCAAATATTGCCAGACCAGGCCCAGAGGACATTGGAATGGAGCTGAGAGGCAGCTATTACTCTCAAGAGTTCTTGAATCTTTGTAACTCCACCAGCACTGATTACTTTTCGTTAAATTCTGATTGTTTTCCTAGACGCCTCTCCTTCCCCCAGGGAGCTGACCCCGCCCGCCATCGCCCACCCCCACCAGCCCTGCGCCTCCAGCCTCCTGCAGACCTCCCACCCAAGGGCGCGCCCCACGCACTCTGCGGCAAGTCCTCGGCCCGGAAGACCTTCAGGCAGAAGTGGGCTCCTCGCAGGGCTACGCCTGTGGGCCGGAGCAGGTTGCTTTCAATGTCCTCCTTGTCTTCAGAGGGGTCTTTTCTCTCCAGCTACAAAGAAAACCAAATACGATTCCTTCATGCGCTCCTGAGCACAGGGTTTTACTTTCCTTTTCTAAGAGTTCCAGCTTCGCCACATAAATGCTGCATTCTGCAGTAAGGCAGACTGCGCTCCGACACTTACTACCGCGTGGTCTCGGGCAAGGTCCTTCACCTGAGCCTCAGCTTCCTCTTGAGTACAGCAGAGACCATGATACTGACCTTCCAGGACTGTGCGAGGAACATCTCCAGTAATGATGTAAATGCACGTGGCACACAGCAAGCATTCCACCAACCTCAGTCTCCTTCCCGCTCTCCCCCACCTCCCGGTTAAAACATAGTACAGTAGTAACTGAGGTCTAAGCTGGCCACTCTGTCTTTAATAACATGCAGGTGTTCATTCACCCAGCCATTAGCTACTGAGTGAGTACTAGGTGTCTGTATGGTGCTGAAGGGCAGGGGATATGGCAATGAATAAGGGGATGACATGAATAAGCACCCTGTTCCCATGGAGCTGACTATCATGCAGGGAAAACACTTTCAGCAAACGAATCCAATAACATGTACTGTGTCTTGTGGTTGGAACAGTAATAACAAAAATCACATCCCACATGCATTGATGTGTATGCACTCTCTCATTTAATCCTCATAGCACCCCTCCCTTGAATGGGTCTCAAACTTGGCGGCACATTAGAAACACCTGGGGAAGCCTGGGCGCCGTGGCTCGCACCTGTAATCCTAGCACTCTGGGAGGCCGAGGCAGGCGGATCACCTGAGGTCAGGAGTTCAAGACCAGCTCGCTAACATGGGGAAACCCTGTCTCTACCAAATAATACAAAAATTAGCCAGGCATGGTGGCATGCACCTGTAGTCCCAGCTACTCAGAGGCTGAGATGGGAGAATTGCTTGAACCTGGGAAGCAGAGGTTGCAGTGAGCCAAGATTGCACCACTGCACTCCAGCCTGGGCAACAAAGTGAGACCGCCCCCCGCCCCCACCATCTCAAAAACAAAAAAGGAAAAGAAAAGACTCACCTGGGAAACCCAGGTCACACCCTAGACCAATTAAAACAGAATTTCTGGGAGAGAGTACCCATGCAGCAGTGGCTTGTAAAGCTTCCCAGATGATTCCAACTAGCAACAGAGGCTGAGAATCAATGTCTTCTAGACCACTGCTGTGCATTCCAATTAAAATGCAGGTTCTAGTTCAGCAGGTGTGGGGTGGGGCCCAAGATTCTGCATTTCAAAAAGTGTCCAAGTGATGCCCACGCTGCTTGCCCACAGATGTTGCTCTGGGTGTAAGACCTAGAATGCCCCCACTTTACAGATAAGAAAGCTGAGGTGTAACACAGGCTGGAAGCAGAACCCACGTGCTTGGAGAGCACAGAGCAAGGGGGCTTGTAACTATACTGAGGTGGGGTCAGAAATGCTTCCCAGCTTGAGACCTGGATGATGAGCAACAGGTGGAGGCATCCAGACGAGGAGGCAACTCATGCAGAGGCCCTTGCACATGGGGAAGTCGGCAGCTGGAGGAACAGACAAAAGATCTGGTGGCTGCTCTTGGGCTAGCGAGCAGCGAAGGGACAGGAGAATAGCAAGGTCAGGCTGTGCCCAGCAGCCAACTCCTTGGACAGTTGCCTGGACTAGCCTCACCCCATTTCTCACTCAGTCACACTTGACACGTAGAAACCTGCTTCAGGATCCTTGCTGCAAAACCCTCAATCCCAGAATGCCCATATCACAGCATGCCCAAAGGGATGTGTTCTGCGTTTATTCTCCTCAGCTCATATCAGAAGAAAACAATCATCTTTCAGGCATCCATAAAAATGTCTATTCCCCTAGACAATAAGCACTGACTGAGCACCTACTGTGTACAAGACCTGCCGTACTAGGCAAGAGGGGAGATAAAAGATATCACATTTGCTATATTGTCCCCATCATCAAGAAACTGAATCTCAGTGATGAAGACAGACACATAAACTGATTAGACTACCAAAGGGCTGGGTGGTGGCCCAAAGGAAAGACCAATACATTTTCCTGGAAGACGAGGCAAGCTTCAGGGAGGAAGTAGCATCTGAACTGGGTCTGGAAGAACAAATTGGCTCTTGGTAGGCAAAGAGAGGGAAGGCATTCCAGCAGGGGAAAAGGCTAGAGAGGGATGGAAGAGCATTCTGGAAAGAGTCACATCATCTGGTGTGGCCACAGACGGGGCCCATGAAGATACATAACAGCAAGTGGGATTGGGAAACTAGGCTGAGGGCAAATGTCAAGGGCCTTGAATGTCATGCTAAGGATCTTGGACTCTATCCTAAAAGCAGTGGGAAGTCACTGGAGGTTTTGTAAGAGGAGACACGCGTGATTCTACCTGGGTTTAAAAGTGATGACTGGCGGCCAGGCGCAGTGGCTCACGCCTGTAATTTCAGCACTTTGGGAGGCCGAGGCGAGTGGATCACAAGGTCAGGAGTTTGAGACCAGCCTGACCAACATGGTGAAACCCCGTCTCTACTAAAAATACAAAAATTAGCTGGATATGGTGGCGCACGCTTGTAATCCCAGCTACTCAGGAGGCTGAGGCAGGAGAATCACTTGAACTCGGGAGGCGGAGGTTGCAGTGAGCCGAGATTGCACCATGGCACTCCAGCCTGGGTGACAGAGCAAGATTCTTTCTCAAAAAAAAAAAAAAAAAAAAAGATGACTGGTGATAAGGTGGGGATAGGTGAAGTATAACGTAAGAAGTTAGGAGACCTCAGAGGACACTTAGGATGGATGGCAGAGACTGCTAGTTGTTCCCCCAAATCCAGTCTTTTCTGCCTCCCCTAACAAACCCTCAATTTTTAGCTGGACAGCATTAGGATGGACTTTATTTCCCAGGCTCCCTCGTAGTTAGATGTGGCCATGTGACTAAGTTCTTGTCAATGGGACCTAAGCATAAATGTGTACAACTTCTGGATCATGCCTTTGAAGGAAGAGATGTGGCCTCCATTGTCCTTTACTCCCATTTCCCTGGCTGGAATACAGACATGGTGATGGGAACTGGAGCAACCATCTTGGGCCATGTGACGGAGGCTGCATGATGATCACAGTGGAGAAAAGACCAGGAGCCTGGGTCTCTGATCATTGCCGAAGCACTGTGCCAATTCTGGACTGTGGCATTCATGAGAGAGAAATAAACCTCTGTCCTCCTTAATGCCTATTATTTGGGGCATCTTTGTTACACCAGCTGAACCTATATTGTAATTCACAAAGAGACCCAAGTGAGAGAGAGTGGGAGCTGGACCTCAAACTCCTGTCTTGGGATGGGAAAAAGAAGAGGCGTACACTGAGGTTTTCCACCAACAAGACTGGCCAACTGCTTGCATGGGGATTGAGGGGTAAAGAATGAAACTCTGGCCTCTGGTTTGGGGGACTAAGTGGATAATCATGCAATTTCCTAAGATGTCACCTAATACGGGATGGGGAACAGGTGTGGGGAGTGGGCAGCAAATGATACAGGCTTTGCTATAATAAGTTAGATTTACTATAATAAGTTAGAGGGGCCTAAGGGACATGTTAATGTGGCCTGATGACAAGGCAACTGAAACTGAGCGTCCAGAGCTCAGAAGATCCAGGCTGGAGAAGAGCAATTTACAAGTCTCAGGTGGTGTCTGAAAGAGACGGACTCCTCAACAGTGACGGGCAGGACACAGCAAGGGAACAGGGACTGAACTGCAACATCGAATTTGAAGAACCCACTGGAAAAGGAGCAAGGAGAGTCATGAATACTAAGGGAGGAGACAGTTTCAAATAAGGCGTGGGCTCCAGAATCGAACGCTATGGAGCAGTGGTGCAGTCTAACAACAGAGGAGAGCTCCTAAGCTATGGTAATGAGTGACCCTTACACCAGTGGCTTCAGGGAGGGGAGGTGGTGGGATTCCTACTGAAGAGGAGAAGGAATGAGCAGCTGGCAATGGAGTGGAAAAAGGGGGATGCAGTGCACCCTTTCAAAAGTTGGTGATGACCAGCAGTAGGAGAGAGAGAAAATAGTAGTGGAGAGGAGGGGTGGGGAGAAATGGGTCAAGGAAGGGGTGTTTTAGGATGGGGAAATCTTGAGCCTGGTACAGATCATGGAGAAGGAGGCAGAGGAGACAAGTGTGAGAAGAGACCAGAAAGAGGAGGCTAAAGAAGACAGTGGAGGATGTGAAGTCATGGCCAAGGAGGTGGTGGGATAATGCAGCGGGAGGGGCGGAGGAAGGGAGGGAAGGTGGATGAAGATGGGGGGCAAGTTGAGGACCACAGGAGCTCCCAGAGCTCTCACCACTCATCGCTGTGCAGCTCTGCCTCTCCAAGGGAAGCTGAGGTTGGAGCTTAGGAAAGGGAAGAAAGTCTGGGAACAGCCAGGAGAGATAAGGAGTAAGGAGATGAGGAGAATTAGATAAGGAGTAAACTATACCCAGGTAAAGGAAGAGGCGGACAGCACCCGGGGCCCAGCTAAGTGGAGAAGTAGAAACCCACATTCATCCAAGCAGCACGTCCAGGTGGCCAAGGAGCCAGTGTGTGGTGAGGATGGGGGAGACACGAGGCATGGCAGGAGACCCCAGGGGCCCTGTCCTCCTCTCCCTCCCTGCACAAAGCCATCAGCCATATTCAGGTACCTCACCCCTGACCTTCACCTCACCCCTGACCTTCAGCACTCCTGGCTTGCCCTCACCCAACACGTCCACCACCCACCTGCCTCTCTTCTGCTTCTGCGCTGCTGAGCACCATGAGGCAAGTGGCTCCACTACAAACAAAGCGTCCAACCCAGAGTGGGTGCTCTGGTGTTTGTACAGAAATCCTTTCATTAAATCTAACCCCTCACTCCTCTCCCACAAAGATGATTCCAAACCTTTTCTCCTCTTCTCAAACATAGAAAGATGCAGATACCTCTCCTGCTCTCAACATTTTTCTCATTCTTACCACCTCCAACTTATAACTTTACTTACTGACATGTGGAGATGAGCATGATACATTCTTAGGCCATGAAATTCAAGTCACAATATAATATATATAGAATAATCTCACTGTTGCAAAAAGAAAATATGTGCATATATCCTTCCAGAGGGATGTGCAATGAGACAATAATAGCTCTCTCGGAGTGGTAGGATTATGAGTGATTCATTTTTTATTAATACCTTGCACCCAGAGCATTCATTTTTTATTAACACCTTTCTACATGTTCCACATTTCTCATTAATTACCACATATTAGTTTAAATCAGAAAAAAAAATAGAGTTTTTGTTTGTGGTTTGGTGCCTCCGCAACCAAGTGCCGCGTGGGGGACCGTAAGGAAGACCCAGGGAAATGTACTCACAGGCGCTTCGTCCCCAGGCCCCAGCACACAAAGGCTTGTTTTCAGGTAGCCTCTGGCCCCAGCAGAGAAGTCATCAGGGTCTGAGAGCAGCAGCCACTTCCTGAGATAGGCGTGCCCTAAGAGAGACAACATCCTCTGGTGATCCCAGAATCAGAAGACCCCAGGCTGTGGCCACATCCGGGAACCCAGGATGGACTGCACAGGGGAGGTAAAGGACTCATCCGCTGGGCCATGAGCTCAGGACTCAGATTCTAGAATCAAAAGGTACTTTGAGTGTTCATGTGGTCAGAGTCAGAAATATTAACAGAAACGCCTGTAAGAGGCTGGCAGAGCCAAACCCAAGGCATTTTCCTCCCCTTCAGGAAGTGACCAGATCAGAATGGAAACCAGGGTGAGGAGAAATCCTGGCTTGTCACCCAAATGACCTGTCCCTGTCTGCCGTGAGCCCAGTGTCCAGTAATGGGGCCTTTCAGATCTAGCCTCCCTGAATGGGCCAACGGAGACACAGGTGAGTGTTACACCCTCCCGAGGGCCTGTCTCACATGGAGGATGAATGACCTGCTTTCTCTCCCAAGATCAAACCCTTCCTCTAGATTCTAAAACCCCCAGGAGGGACAGTGAGGACCCCAAATGAGTGTCCCCAATCAGCCTCCAGAACCAAAATGCAAGGATACGGCCAAAGTGGTGAGAACTCACGGGGCTCTCTGTAAATGGTGCCCACGTCCATCTGCAATCAATGAGAGGAGACACAAATCAAACTCTTGCCGCCAAAGCGTTAAATAAAGTGTGGTGCATTATATGATTCCATTAAAAACCATGTTTTTGAAGAACATTTGGAAACACAGGCAGTCAACATTTGATACTACATGAAAAGAAAATGAAATATATTTTGATCCCAGTTTGATAAAGAATGCTTATGTACAGAAAAGAAAGAGGAAAGGAGGCTGGGCGTGGTGGCTCATGCCTGTAATCCCAGCACTTTGGGAGGCCAAGGCAGGTGGATCACTTGAAGTCAGGAGTTCGAGACCAGCCTGACCAACATGGTGAAACTCCATCTCTATTAAAAATACAAAAAAAAAAAAAAAAAAAAAAACTAGCCGGGTGTGGTGGTGCATGCCTGTAATTCCAGCTACTTGGGAAGCTGAGGCAAGAGAATCACTTGAACCCAGGAGTTGGAGGTTGCAGTGAGCCGAGATCATGCCATTGCAATCCAGCCTTGGCAACAAGAGCAAAAATCCGTCTCAAAAAAAAAAGAGGAAAGGAAATTCAACACAATAGGACTATGTTATCCCTGCATGGTAGATTTGGATTATTTTTATTTCATTTTTTATTCCTTCCTGTGTTTTACAATTTTCTATTAAAAATCCACAGATGATTGGGATGATGATAGTGGGGAAGGCTGCAGGGGGCAGCAGGGGCAGGGGGCAGGGAGTATATGGGAACTGTGTACATTCCACTTAATTTTTGCTGTGAACCTACAACAGTCTGTTTTAAAAAGTCGTCTTTTTTTTAAATCATAGATTACTTTTATAATTAGATACAAGTAAAATAATTTTTTGACTTAACCCTTGGGTTCTCAGAACAAGACTCAAAACATAATTAAGATTTAATTTGTTACAGAATGACTTGGGCTCAAGCTCATTCTTTTAAAAAATGCTTCTCCAGGTAAACAGACTTAGTTTTTTATCTTGTGACTTCTTCCCACAGGCAATGATTTGAGAAGACAGCGCAAAGACAAAGAAATCTCACCCACTGATCTAGCCATCAGGTCCAACCCAGTAATTTTTTTTTTTTTTTTTTTTTTTTTTTTTTGAGATGGAGTGTCGCTCTGTCATCCAGGCTGGAGTGCAATGGTGCGATCTTGGCTCACTGCAACCTCTGCCACCCAGGTTCAAGCGATTCTCCTGCCTCGGCCTCCTGAGTAGCTGGGATTACAGGCGCATACCACCATGCCCAGCTAATTTTTGTATTTTTAGTAGAGGCGGGGTTTTACCATGTTGGCCAGACTGGTCTTGAACTACTGACTTCAAGTGATCTGCCCACCTTGGCCTCCCAAAGCACTGGGATCACAGGCATGAGCCACTGCGCCTGGTCCCAGCAATTATTTATTGGGCAGAATAAATAATTCTAAGGTAACTTCTGACAACAGGCAGAACCAAGCCCCTTATTTTAAATTCATATTTAAAATACAAATTTAAAGAAGGAAGGCATGATATACTTGGATAGAGGGGAGAGGGGAAAATAAGCTTGTGCTCTTTCTTTCCTTTTGAGAAATCCTTGAAAATTTCAAAATGAGAAAATTAGTAACAATTACATCAAATTACATTAAAACACCATGCAGGCCAGGCACGGTGGCTCATGCCTGTAATCCCAACACTTTGGGAGGCCAAGGTAGCCAGATCACAAGGTCAGGAGTTCAAGACCAGACTGACCAAGATGGTGAAACCCCATCTGTACTAAAAATACCAAAAAAAAAAAAAAACTGCCAGGCGTGGTAGCACACGCCTCTAATCCCAGCTACTGGGGAGGCTGAGGCAGGAGAATCACTTGAATCTGGGAAGCAGAGGTTGCAGTGAGCTGAGATCACACCACTGCACTCCAGCCTGGGCGACAGAGCAAGACTCCATCTCAAAAAAAAAAAAAAAAAAATCATACAGGTCTCCTTTAGTCTGTGCAATTACTAGTTACCTTTACTTTACGTAATCTGTTAAATCCATTGGCTCTCGGTTCTCAGAAGAGGACTATTCACTTCTGGACTGTCTGGGACAAGTGAGGAGGCTGGGGCAGGGTTCCCCTCTCTCCACTGCCTCTCCCTCCCCCAGGGATCCATATCTGAACCCCACTCCCATCCCAGGGTGAGAGTGATGTCAGGGCAGAGAGCGCTGGGTCTCACTGGCCCAAGATGGCCAGGATGAGGAGGAGGGCTGCCCAAACTCAGATCTCACACGGCCTTCCCAGAGGTGGGGGAAAATCCAAATTACAAATAAGGGTCTTGATTCTGCTTGTTGGAAATAAGGGAAGAAGTACTTCCCTCCCCTCTCTTTTTGTCAGAACACTTACCTTAGAAAACTTGTAAATATATTACACTTTCCCTGTCTCTTTGAAATGCATCTTTTTAAGAAACTAAATAAGCCTTTTGTCAGCTTTAGTATACAAATATCATTCTCAGGACGTCTGAAATATAAACACCAAGGGAGACGGCTCCCCTGTGTCCCAGCTTCTGTCGGAAGATAGGAGCCTAACTCCCGTGCGCACCTTGCTCCAAGTTGTAAAACTACTTCCTGTCATAAAAATATGAGTTTGATTTTTGTTTGGTCTTCTGGACACAACAAATTAGCTAACATAGATGGTCACCCCGATTACCAGGTGACTTTGGGATGAACTCGGTGTGACCAAAGGTGCTATACATCTTTTTAAGAAACTAAATAAGCCATTTGTCAGCTTTAGTATACAAATGTCATTCTCAGGAGGTCTGAAATGTAAAGTCCCCTGACCTGAGGGTGGGGCATAGCTTCTCTTGAGAACGTATGTGGTGGGCAATGGGTTGGACCCGCTGGCTAAATTAGCGTGAGATTTCTTTCTGTCTTTGCAGCATCTTAGTGGATCATTGCCTGTGATGTACATCTCACTCTGGTTTAAGGCCTCTTCAGTGACAAAAAGTGCTTTCTTTCTCTTCTACCTTTGTGGAGAGGTTTTCTGGGGTGAAAGGAGATGCTGTGCAGAGGGCTTGGCGTTGTTCTTTGAAATTATATTTTCCCAAAGCAGAGAAACACAGGATCTCTGGAGCCCCTGCCCATGGTCCACAGAGGCTCCACCAACACGGAGAAGTGAGAACTGACTGCTTTCATAGAAAATAAGCAATTACCCGGAACTCCCCGAGGAGAGCATCTGTCCTGAGAGAACGAGAGTCTACCACCTGCAGAGAAAGATCATGGAAACTCACATTCACAGGGAACATGTGGCCCACACGGCCAACCCAATAGCTCTTCCCTCCCAAACAATAACTGCCAACACTTCACACTTACTCAATTCCAGAGACTGTTCTAAGCAGTGTTTAGCCCTCACAGGAACCCCATCAGCAGATACTGTCATTATCCCCATTTCACAGGTGAAATAGGGGCACAGAGACTTGTACAGAAAACACAATCCCTACACGGCATAGACAGAGCTGGAATCCACTCTAGTGCCGGAGCCTACACTTAGAGCCACTAGGCTGCAGTGCGCTTCAGAGGAGATGGGGGAAGAGCCAAGGCCCAGAGAGAAAGAGAATCTCAGTCAGAAGCAGGCACGTGGATTAACAAAATAAGATGGAACCTTAAATGTTCATTGCCACAAGTGATTTAAGGACCCTGACCTGAGGCCCCAGGGGGATGCTGAGCAGTGGGCTCTCCCGCAGCTGCTGCCTGCCAGCTGAGCTGTTGCAGGCATTTCTGTGACCCGTAGAGCCTGACTGTGAGTTACTCCACATCATCCATATGTCAGGCTTTAACACGTCTCCCTCTCACGCACATACTCACATACACACCGACAGGCACACACACGCATTCACGCATTCACACTGACGTGCACATGCACACACGTGCACAAACACACACGCGTGTGCACTGACACCTATGTGCATACATACAGCCCACGGAGAACACTTTGACTGCTGAGACATACCGTGATAAAGATGGGCTCATCAAACAGCTCCCCAGGAGAGTCAAACAAGTTGAAGAAAAGAGTCTGTTGGTTCAGAGCAAAGAGAGACATATCAGTGCCTGCTGATCCCTCAGGCCAGGGAGAGGGAGGACCACCACCCCCAAGCCTCCACGCCTAGCAGTTTAGTCCCCTCAGAAAATGTGGATTGGGCACAGTTCTGGGGATTGGACAAGTTCTGGGGTGATCTGCCCCTGGCCTCACAGACGTGGTCATTTCAGGGTTGGGTGGGTGGCTGGCCCTATAGGGTGACAGGGATGTGGAGCAGCAGGAGAAGTAAGAGCAGGAGCCCTTTCTCCAGTCCCACAGATAACCTCCTTGGGAGCCAGCACATCTCACCACCCAAGGTCAGCGCCATACGTAAACACTCTTGAATGAATTGCCAGGTGTCTGCACTGGGCTTCCAGATTGGAAGGCCCACCAAGGTTCTGGCCCTCATGCCCCATGTCTCCCACCTCATTGAAGAGTGGGCTGTTTCCCTTGTGGATCCGCGTCCGCTTGGTCTGCCCTGCAGCGGTAACCTTGACCACAGGCTTGATGTTCACCCCCGGCAGCTGGCGCCCCTCGATCACCTGGACCCTGATCTGAAAGCCAGAAGGAGGAAAGAGCAGGAGGAAGGGGGAAGAGTTAAGGACCACCCACCATCCACCCCAAGAGTCAGAAATCTCAGGGACCATCTCACCACTGGCTTCTTGGGGAAAGTATTAAAAAGGAATTAGGAAGAGCATTATACGAACTATCATATTTTCCCACCAAGGCCCCTTACATCTATAAAATTCCACAGCTCCATAGAAGAGCTGCCAGGCTGCCCCTCGTCGGCTACCCACATTAAACCCCAGGGGTGGGCAGATACAGCCCCCATTTATGTCATTCAGCCATTGGCACAAGCCCCACCCGAGACCCCATTGATACTGGCATTTTTAAGTGGCTTGAATATTCTTTATTGACAATTCCCTCAGAGGTCGAACTTACACAGTGAAGTGACCCCAGAAATAGTCTTTATTCTTTATAAGATGCAATGCTTTCTTACATTCTGAGAAATAAATTAAGAATTTTTGCCATTGAGCTGTAAGTAAATGAAGACTTCAAGAACGTCTATGCTTCCAAATATTAGGTAAGATATTTTAAAATATGAAATTTTACAATATTAAGGCAATTCTATGGAAAAAAATAAGATATTTACTGGCTCCACTTTAGAATCAACTGTTATTTACTGACCAACTGTTTTTTTTTTTGTAAATTGCATAATATGGGAGGATATATTCTTAATAGCAATGGGAAGATGGATGAGTGATTTTTAATCTCCTCATTTTAATATATTTTCCAAAGTGTCTAAAATAAACATATGGTATTTCCATAAAGAGAACAAAGGCAATATGAACATGTTTGGGGAATAGTAGTATGGGGGCTAGAATTTTGTCTTTTGGGGCAAACAGTGGTTAGAGCTAGGACTTCTGCTTAAATTACCATGATTTAGAATAGAAATATATTTTTGCAATTTGTTGCACTTAGTATTATAAATAGAGATTTAAGATTCTTGCTTTTAACCTTAAAAGTAGTTGTAAAGAGTTAAATATCACTGTGTGACTACATCAAAATAGAAAATTCTTTTGAAAAGAAAAAAAAAATAGGCAAAGGACCAAAGTTAAAAGCAAATAAAATGGGATGGATTTTTGGATAAAAATGTGTCAAAGTGTTCATATTAATAGCTTTTATTCTGTGATGAGCTTGAACAAATTCAAATTCCACATGACTCTCAGAAAAATCCATGGCTATATGCAGGGGGATAGATATAAGGAGAAAAAAAAGATGTTAGACAGAGCTTCTTTGAGGTAAGGATCTTGTTAAAATGCAGATTCTGGTAGAGCAGGTCTGAGTAGACTCTGCATGTCTAACAAGTATACAGGTGATGCGGAAGGTGCTGGACACAGACCACACCTGAATAGCCAGGAGCTTGCTGGTTGGATATACCCTGGTTAGAAAAATCAGGTTTTTCTCTGATCAGAGATGCAAAGACATGCTGAATCTCTGCAGTGACTTTTTTTTTTTTTTTTTTTTTAAGCGCAAAACCACAGGTCTCGGCAGAAGCTTATTCTGTGGATGTAAGATGTGAACTCCCTGTTTGGCATCTGCCCAGGCCCAGGGAAACTACAGATTCCCCCACAGGAGGGCCCTGAGGATCCCACACACATCTTCCCCTGAAGCTGGACAAACCAGGCAGGTGCCTGGCACCCGCAGCTGATGGCTGAAGAGGAGCCTGGGGTCAGAGAAAGCCCGTTCATCACCTGGAAATCCTGCGGTTTGTCTGACAGCAGCTTTCTAGATGTAGGCGCACTTCGCTTTCTTTTGATCCCGGGGTAGTGGGGCGGAGGACGTGAAGGTAGTTTCCTTGGGGTGGTGGGAGCCCCCGGGCCTCCGCTTTGATCCAGGAATGGCTCCGCCTCATCTCCAGTGAGTCCCTGGTCCTCTGTGTCTTCCTCTCCTCCTGTGTCTAAGAGGAGAGGGCCCTAATGAGGCCTGGATCCCTCTGGCCCTGCCCCTGCCCCTGCCCCTGGGACCCAGCCCAGGGGGCAGAAGATCCAAAAGGCATGGGCCCTAAGACTCATCCCCTCTTCCTCTCCCTCCTCCCTCCCCATCAGTGAGCCAGGATGGATAAGGTAGAAAGAAGAGGAGCTTCCAGCAGCTGAAACTTGAGGGCAGTCAGTCCAGTTAGTCAACAGGAAGAAAACAGAATGGCCCTAGCCCTCCCACCCGCCAAGTCCTGCAGGAGGAGTCCTCTGCCACCTGGCCCCGCTCCAGCAAGCTGACCATGGCAGCTAGTGAGACAGTTACAGGGAGGGTCTGGGATCAGGACAGTCCTGGCCCGTGTCTCACCCGTGGGGGCCGGCCACTTCTTTCCAGAGTATCTCGTGTCCATGGTGCTGTCACTGAGCAGGGACCAAGTCTCGGCCCGGCTCTGTCCCCCGCCTGTCTTGTGGGCAGGGCATAACCCCGGGAGGGGAGGGAGGAGGTTGGGGTGAAGGAAACCAACCTACTGCACCTCCATCCCCAACCCTGCCTTCCCCGCCCACCCCAGCCTGGTGCAAAGCTCAGAAATAGCTGTGGAGCCCAGTGGCACCTGTTCCTTCTCACCACCTCCCAGGCGTGTCTGGAAGCCTCCACTGATTGGCCTGCACCTAACTCTGTCAGATCCACCTCAACACAGTCCCAGAGTATTCGGACCCTCCCTGCTCCCCACCCTCTGCCACCACGGGCACCTCTCCTTCCTCCCCTGAGCCCACTCCAGCCACACAGCTCAGGATTACCAGGTTACTCCAGTCCAGACTGATCTCCCATCTCTAAGCTCGGACAGTGCTGAGCCCCAACAAGACAGCTCTGCTCTGCCGACCTCACCACAGAGCCCTGTGCTGGGCTGGCCCCAGGTCAGGCACAGGGCACACTCAATTGAGACATGGGCTGCTCCGGTTTTAATGCTGTGCTTGCTTCTAGCTCCCTTCACTAAGAGAAAAACTCTAGAATCTTTCCCATGGGCAAGTGCCCACTAGCCCGTCTATGTAGCTTCCTCCCAACCCCAGCAGGCTGGACCACATGGAGGCTCCCACACCCAGGCCCACCAGTGGAGAGCCAGCCACCCCGGGCTGGGTCCTCGCTTGACCAGCCTGGCAGAACCAAGTGAAGAGAGCTGAGACAGGCACAGCACTTAGCTAACTTAGTCTGCTCCCTTCACAAATAATCTATGGGCCCAGAGAGGGAAAGTAATCAGCCCAAAGTCACACAGAGACTCAGTGTCAAAGGCAGGACTGGAACCCTGAAGTTCAGTTCAGGGCTCTTTCAAGAAAAAAAACTAGTTCTTTTGTCACACACCATCACCAAAGGCCTGCTGGGTGCTGAGGTAGGGAAACATTCGGTTCTGGGGAGTTTGTGGGGCCTCAGGTATCACCTGGGTCAGACCCCATCCCCACACACCCTTCTTGGAACTGCACAGCTCAGAACACCCAGCCTGGGCTCAGCCCCGTCCCCAGGCAGCTGGGGCTTGGAGGCACCCTCACATTACTCCCTGCACCGCCCAAGGGAACGTGCCTGCTGCCCCTTCTTTCTGCACAGCAGAAGGCAGCCCTCAGGACTTCCCACCCACTGCACCCTCTTCTTTCCAGGCCTGGGCAGCCTCCAACCTGGGGAGGGCAGCAAAGGCTGGGAAGCCTCGCTGCAGCTCCCAGCCCCCAGGCTCAAGTGCCACTGCCGGCCTTCTTGCTGGGGCCCAGCCAGGCCAACGTGGGCTACCCACCTGCCACTACATCCAGGTCAGGCAGAGTCGGGGAGGGCTCCAGAGGAGTAGGGGGCGGGAACAGGGGCACAGCTCCAGGCAGCGGTGTGTAGGACACCTGCAGGACCAGCGAGGCCTGGAAGAGATGAGACGTGGGGGACAGGTTGGTGCGCTGGCCTCGGACCACTGCCCTCCAGTATCTTCCCTGTTTCTGGCATCCCTCCACCAAGGAATATGGCTCTGACAAGAGCCAGGTTTGCAGGAGGCTGTGGCAAAGCCACCCCAAGGGACCTATCAGCATAGTCAGGTGGTTCGAAGCACAGAATCCGGGGTCAGGTTCCACCACTCAGGAGCTGTGTGACCTTAGGCAAGATCTGTGACCGCCCTGTGCCTCAGTTTCCTCATCTATAAAATTGGGGTTAGTCATAGCAATAGCACCTTCCTCACAGGTCAAATGTGGAGCAAATTAGTTGATGTAGCACGTAGTGGACTTCTGCAAATGAATCAGGGATCCAACCTCACCTGCAGGATTTTTCCCACTATCCACTTGGCCTGTCTTCAGGAAAATGTCCCTTTGGCCACTCTGCTCAGTCAATGGCTTGCCCCTACTTCTCCAGGGACAACTCAGCTTTGCTCTGCTTTGCTCAGGCTGCAGCTAGCACTGAGAGGGTCTCAGTGTGCTGCCAGGCTTGCAGAGCCCTCTTCCTTCCTGCCCCCCAGCACATCCTCAGCTGCCCCGGCTTGCACCGGCCAGAGAGGAGAGGGACTGGTGACATCCCTCACAGGCGAGGTCGGGTTGCCCATGCGCCCACCCCACCCCAACCCTCACCCTGAACCTGGGAACGGCACAACCTCAGCAGGATCTGCAGCCTGGCTGCTCCCGGGCCTGCCTGAGCCCTGTCCCGGCTCCACAGGTCCAGCAAGCCTCCTGGGGCAGCCAGTCTCTCAAATTAGTGCAACGGATACTCTAAGAAAGTTTGGGAAGCACAGAAAGCTTAAAGAGGAAAAATAAGGCAAAAGAAAACCAATTGTCCATAATTCCGTGACTCCACATTCCAGTTCTCTCCAATCTTTCAAACAAATAGTAGACAGATCTGCTGTATGCAAAATGATTTTCTTTTACTGAATGTCAGGCAATAAGCTCTCCCCAGGTTTTGACAAACCCTTTATAAACACAATTTTTCCTGAGGCATAATGTCCCTCTGAGTGGCTCTGGCACAGTTCACTGGACCTTTCTGCTGAATGATGTTAGGGACGTCCAGGGACTCACAGAGCAAACTCAGTCCCAAGAGAGAAGGGCCTGAAGGCTCCCGACATACTCAGCTCTTGAGCTTGAACTCTCCAGACTGGGGCCTGGGGACAGCCACACTAAGGAGAGCAGCACTGGTGGAAAGCAGGGCTCAGAACACTGAGGAAGGAGACAAGAGCTAGCTCAGCATCCCAGGAGACCCAGGAGGAGGTCAACAAAGGCAACTGAGACCCTTGAATTCCCTCACCCAAGGAATGAACATAACCTGCCCTGTGGGTTCCTGAATCACCACCAGGTGTCGCCACGTGAGCAGCCAGTCCCTTCAGCTCCTGCAACCCGTGGAGGGGAAAAGAAGAAAGTCCTCCCCTCCGCCCAGATGCCACACCTGACTCCTAGAGATGCCAGTTCAGTAGGTCTAGGGTGGGCCTGGGTATTTGCACTTTTAACAACTGTCCTGGGACTTTCTTCCACTTCAGCAAAAGGTAAGTTGGGCTCTTTGGAGAAATAACTACTTCCAGGGCTAGGGCAGGGAAGATACAAGATGAGCCTGGACCATCTTCTTGCACCAGAAAGGAAGGAAATGCTCAATGAATGACTGATTCTTAAAAACACATCAAAAGAGCCTGGGCGAGGTGGTTCATGCCTGTAATCCCTTTGGGAGGCCGAGCCAGGCGGATCTCTTGAGGTCAGGAGTTTGAGACCAGCCTGGCCAACATGGTGAAACCCCATCTCTACTAAAAATACAAACATATTAGCCAGGCGTGGTGGCATGCACCTGTAATCCCTGCTACTCAGGAGGCTGAGGCAGGAGAATCGCTTGAACCTTGGCGGCAGAGGTCGCAATGAGTCGATCACACCACTGCACTCCAGCCTGGGTTACAGAGCAAGACTCTGCCTCAAAAACATAAAATAAAATAATAAATAAATAATAAAAAGTAAAAACATGTCAAAAGGACACAGAAGCCAACTTTCAAGAGCTCCCACAGGCCAAATCTGAGACAATAGAAACATGAAAATACATAATAACAGTAACAGATTAAACAATTGAATAAAATAGAAATACCCAAATCCATACCACAGTAAATAAATAGGAGAGGAGAAAGCTTTTCCTGACCACGAAATGCCAACTGACTAATGCAGGAAAAATAACTGAGAATATCACTATTTAGCAATCATCAAAGCAATAATGAATTCAACCAAGAAACAGCAGTGATATTAAAACTCCTGGGTACGGCCAGGTACAGTGGCTCACAACTATAATCCCAGCACTTTGGGAGGCTGAGACAGGAGGATTTCTTGAGCCCAGAGTTCAAAACCAGCCTGGACAACATAGTGAGACCCTCATCTTTACAAAAAACAAAAAATTAGCCAGGCATGGTGGCCCACGCTTATAGTTCCAGCTACTCAGGAGGCTGAGGTGGGAGAATCACTTGAGCCTGGGAGGTCAAGGCTGCAGTGAGCCATGATTACACCACTGCATTCCAGCTGGGCAACAGAATGAGACCAGTCTCAAAACAAAAACAAAAACACTTCATGACGGCTGGGCACAGTGGCTCACGCCTGTAATCCCAGCACTTTGGGAGGCCGAGGTGGGTGAATCACCTGAGGTCAGGGGTTCAAGACCAGCCTGGCCAACATGGTAAAACCCCCCATCTCTATAAAAATACAAAAAAAATAGCCAGGTGTGGTGGCATGCCCCTGTAATCCCAGCTACTTGGGAGGCTGAGGTGGGAGGATTGGTTGAACCCGGGAGGCGGAGGCTGCAGTGAGCCAGGATCGTGCCACTGCACTCCAGCCTGGGCAGCAGAGTGACATACCGTCTCAAAAAAAGTAAAAATACAAATACAAAACAACAGCTCATAGAACTCACGGGTAAAGGTTAGATGACAAAGAGGATATTACAAAGTCACAAAATTCTGACATGAGAAAGGGGAGTAGATGAACGATTAGCGGGGACACCCAGCAAATGCTAGTGTAATCAAATGATCACAGTTAACAGTGTGGTAACCAAACGAATCACAATCATCCCACCTGATAGGGCACAAAGACAGCCACGCAGCATCAGTGTTACACTCACACCCAAGACACACAGCCTAAATCTAAACACAGGAAACATCAGACAAAACCAATGTGGGGGACATTCTACAAATAATTGGCCGGAATTTCAAAAAAATATCCAGCTACAAGGTTATAAAAGTCAAAGAAAGACTGAGGAATTATTCCAAATGGAAGGAAACTGAAGAAACAAAACAACTAGGTGCAACACATGAGCCTTAGTGGGATCCTTCTGCTACAAAGGACACTGGGAAAAATGGATGAGCCGCGACTGGGGTCTGGGGATTAGACGAGAGTGCTGTGTCCATGTTAATTTCATCGTTTGGAAGGCTGTGTTGTGGTTATGTAGGAGAAAGTCCTTAACTGGAGAACACACACTCGAGTTCAGAATGATGGGCCAGGAGGTTGGCACCCTCATGTCAAATGGCTTAGGACAAAATACTCTTTGTACCATACTTGGCAACTTTTGTCTAGATCTTAAATATTTCCAAATAAAAGGTTTTGAAAATCTGCTTCTTTTTAGGAATAGCCACAGGAATCTCCTTAGGCAGAGACAAATAAAGCCCCCTGCCCATCCATGCTGACTCCGGCCCTCCAAGATTAGCATGAGGTCAGGACCAGCTGCATAATGTGCAAGCCCAGCACAAATGAAAATGCAGAGCCCCTTATTCCAAAATCAAAAACTAGTTGGGCGTGGTAGCCATGCTTGTAGTCCCAGCTATTCAGGAGGCTGAGGCGAGAGGATCACTTGAGCCTACTTGAGCCCCGGAGGTCAAGGATGCAGTGAGCTTTAAGAATTTCAAGATGGAAACAGAAGAGAATTAAGCCAAGCATGAGGCCCTTGTGAGCGCAGGGCTCCGTGCAGTGGCCCCAGAGGCCAGGCCTGTGGGGGGTGTTTGTTTGACTTGGCCTGAGTTGGGCCCACATCTGAAAGATGAACACTGAGGGCCCTGCCTGACATGTCTGGCCTGACCCATTCATTCATTAACTCACATATTCATTCCCTCTACGTGTGTGTGTGTGCGCGCACACGTGCCTGTGTGTTGGGCACCTGCCAGGGCCAAACACACTGTTCAAGATTCTGGGGACGCTTCCATAAATAAGGCAAAGGTCCCTGCCCCCATGGAGCTGATGTCTTGGCAGAGAAGACAGACAATAAATAATAAACAAAATAAATACATAAAGAAGAGAGTATGTTAGAAAGAAAAGAAAAAGTAAACCAGAGCAAGAAGGATCAGGGGAATGAGACATTTTGCAGATTGCAGTGTTAAATCAAGCGGTCTGAGTGGACCCCATTGAGCTGAGGAGAGTGAAGCAAAAACTTGAAGGGGCCACACCTGGGCTGCCCTTGGGCCTCTGACCTTGGAAACAGGTCCCCTGGAAGAGCGCCCCTTCCTGTTTCTAGGGGCTCACCCTGCTATCCACTCACTGCACACCACCTGGGGGCTTCTATACACCATCTCTGTGAGAGGTGGAGCCGCCGGAGTGTAACTCTTCCACACCGTGCCCAGTGCCAGCTCCTCAGCACTGGGGCTTGGGAGCAGCCCTCTCCGGGATGCAGACAGGAGCAGCCCTCTCCAGAGAGAGGGCTCCAGAGACCACTTAGGCAGCCCCTTCTGGGGTTTCCTGAGCATCCGGTGTTTCTACACCGACAGCTCCACACCAACCTCCTGAAGAACTGGCACCATCCGGGTTGCTCTGGGCCCTTGAATGAGACTTCCAGCACAGGTCTGTCTTCTAGCTGCCCATCAGAGAGCCACAGGGACATCCCTGCAGCTCCAGAGGCTCTGGAGCTCAGGGTCTAGAACAGACCTCAGCACTAGGAGGTGGGCCCCAGGGACCATGGCTTCAGGATCTGATGGTGAATACTGAAGTTCTTTGGCTCTGCTGAGGCTCTTAAGGGAAAGTGGGCGTGTCAGTGGGCCCCACCCAGGACCAGGACCTTGTACCCTCACCATGACATCACAGCTCAACCCCTGTCTCCTTCTCTAGACAAATAGAGCTAAGATTTTCTTCCTGGGGGATATATGTGAGCCCTGTGCTCTCCCGGACTACACAACCTGGGCCTAGAGCTCCCAGTGGGACCTTCCTCAAGGTCCTCCACGTCACGGGTCCCGCGCCTGACAGCCCAGGTCCTCAGTCTCCAACTCAGCAGCACTCCAGGGTTCTCCACGCACAAGGCCATTGTCAGTCAATCGTGTGTCCACCAAACACGCTGCCCTGGAGCAGGGTAACCTCGGTCGCCCTCGTCTGCTGCCTTGGGGCCCACAATCAACGAGATCAGCAGAACTTGAGACTCCTGTCTTGCCCCAGGCTAAGAGGGCTCAGGAAACTGAAGGCGAATGACCTCCTCAGACCCTCCCTGGCTGTGACCCTCCTCCAGGTTATGTGGTCAGGCTCTGGGGTCCTTCGCCCACCCTGCCATGCCCAGCCCATTGTGCGCCACCTACTTCCTCGACCACAGCTCTCCAACACTGAGCTCATCAAAACCAAAACCCAGACCAGCCCACTCTCACCTCCCCTAACACATGTGTCCCGTGTGGACAAGACAGGCCTGATATGTGCGTGGCCCTCACTAACCTCTCCCTCAGACAACCTCCAGAAGCAGGCAGAGGGTAGCTGTGGCCCTGAGCTGATACAGGGTTGGTTGGCAGAAGCTCCAAACCTTTGAAGAAAGCTCAGGGACTCACTGAGCACTGTCCTGCCCGCCTCAGGTCCCCGCTCCCAACACACAGTGCCCTCCTGGCTTCCCTGACCCACACACCACTGGGCTTCGTAGGCTCTTGTCCTCCTTTGTGATCCGATTCTGGCTTTAAGGCCCGGGTGATGCCGACTGAGTTTTCTCCATGTATCCACACCTTCCTGAGTGAGCTCCTCTTAAAATACATCTGAGAGGATGCTGCTTCTTTTCCTCCATGTGTGTCCTAAATCCCCATGGCCTGGAGGTTCCTCCAGGACTGGGGGAGTGTTTTCCCCATCAACCTAGCAGCTGTCAGAGGGTAGATTTGGCACATAGCCAGATCCTCCATGGCACACAGCCCAGCGTGCTATATCTGAAGGGACTTGGGTGAGAACACTGAGCAAAAGGCAAACGGGGTCTGCAGTCAGCCTGCGGCAGGACTCCCGGCCTCCCCCACGCCTCTCAGTCTGCCAGAGTTTCCTAAGGATCCCACTGGCTCTGTGTTCACTCGTATCACCCCATCAGCAGGTTCTTTGGCCCTTAGAGGCAACTGAGAGCTACAATGAAATGGGGGCACCTGGCATGCTCTGCTGATTGGGCTTAGCTCAGAAATGAGGTCTCAGTGAGCGGCCAGCGAGAACCCTCAATGTTGTTGGCTGTCTGTCCCTGCCCAGCACACCCCCAGTTATCCCTGCCTCGCACTACAGTGCAGCCAGCCCAGGTCCCAGGCAGGAAGCCCCAGCCCAAAGGGACATATGACCTGTCTGGGGCTGCACTGTGACCTTAATGCCATCACATGGACTAGAATCTAGTCCTAGACCCTCTGTACAGGTGAGGACTGCCTCCTGGGCAACAGGGAGGAGGCTCCCCAACTCCATTTCCAGCCTGTGCTCAGCTAGTGGGGCTCAACCCAGCAGGGTCCAGCACTCTCTCCCATCCGCCACCTCCTGGATCTCACACACTCTTTTTGGAGACACGGTTGGTGAAGGATTGTAAAGCTCTGCAGACAGCCAGGAATCCCCAGCCAGGGAAGAGAAGGCAGCAGGCTCCCCGCTGGTAAACATGAAGCCCAGACAGTGTGGGAACAAGGAGCAGGAGGAGGCGAAGGGAGGTATGGAGGGGATGGCTCCAGCCTGACACGGCTCATGAATAGGGACCAGCTATGGAAAACTCTGCCTCGGGGCTGGACAGGCCTTTGAGGTTGGAAGGGACCGAAGGGCAGGAAACACCAGAGTCATGGATGCACACAGAGCTGGAGTGGAGAGATGCTGGTGTCCCAGCAAGGAAGTGAGAACCAAGCCTGACCCCAAGGCTTTCTCTCGCCAGCTGCCTTGATACCTATCATCCCTCCATCTGTGTCCCATGCCTTGAGGGTTGGGTCTGAGCCTCCTCAGGACCCCTGAAGGGGTAGTTCCAGAACTCCTTGGGGTCCTCCTTGACCACAGGGAGTGTTAAGAGACAGGAGGCTGAAACGGAGGATGAGAGGGGACTCAGGGTGATGGAGACAGGCTCAGTGAATACTGCTCTAAACCAGAACATTCTGCCAGTGAGCCCTGTGTGGGAAACAGATGGACTTTCCTGGGAAGTGACATCTTCCATCAAGGGAGCAGCCCAGCCATCCCCAGCCTAAGACCCCTTGGGAGCAAAGTCCAGCACCGAGAGGGCAGCAGACTGAGAGTTCAGTGAACCAGGAGTCCATCCACAGCCATTCCACCAGAGGGTCTAGGGGATGAGCTCCTGGTCCAGGCCCCCATGGGAACAGCCACTGACTATGTGACTTCAGTGGTTCCTTTTCTCTAGGTCTCAGCATCCAGTCTCGTTCCATTCAGAGATCTGCCCAGACCGGCTACTTCCTGACTCACCCAGCCAGCCAGGAGCCCCGGCCTCACACACCCGCCACGGGGCAGTACCACTGCCCTGTCTGAGACAAGTCAGGGCCTGAATCCCCCAGGCCTCACAGGGCGGAAGTAGTTCCAATCCATGGTTCCTGGTACATCCTGGAAGGCGGGGCTAACCCACAGGAGAGGTCAGGAATTCTACCAAGAAGAGAGAACCCTACAGGGTATATTTAGCTCACTAAAAATAACAGGCAGAGAGGAGGGCTGGGAATTGTCTGATTGGACTTGGGGGGAGCACTGAGAAGGCCAGGGAGGGGCAGGAAGAACAACGGAGGAAAAGGAAGAGGGTCCTGGTGGGCAGGGGAGAGGGCTCTTTCCCTCCATCCCTCATGCCCTGTGACCCAGATGGTTCAGAGATTCTGAATCTGGAGAAGAGGGCTGGATGGTGAGGGAGGAGGGGAGGTCTGCCAGGGAGACTAGGTGGGCTATAGCCAAGGCTGACCAGGAAGCTGGGGACAGGAGGTGGCCAGACCGGCAGCACCAGACCAAGGGGCAGGCCAAGCTGCTGCGAGCCAAGGCTGACTTGAGCCCTGCAGGTGGGGTCAGGGCTCCCTCTGCCCTTCCCATCTCCCCTAGTCCAGTGCCCCTCCAGACACTGCAAACTCTGGTCAGGGAGGGCCAGGCCTGCTTCAAGGGAGCTGAAGTCAGATGCATGTCTGGGGTCAGAATGGCAAGGCCCAAAGAGGAAGCCACCTGGCAATGCCTTGGACCTTAACCTGGCAGAGGCTGATGGGCACTTACCCCTGTGGGCTGCTTCTTGGTGTCCAGCAGGGGGGCATTGAAGCTGGCGGACAGACTAGGGGTGGCGAGGACCTCTCGGAGTGGGACCTTGGCTTCCCCCAGGAACCTGAGAGGAGAGAGAAGTCAAATGTAGAAAACTAGCCTAAGGCACCCTGGCTCTTCTGCCAGACCCCTCACTGCCACCACTCAGATGAGGCTGGTCTGCCTAGACCACACAGTCACCCAGCACCCCACGAGGGCTCTCCTGCACCCCCACACCCAGTCACCACCATGCACCATCCCTGGAAGGCCTGGCCCCTAGGGAAATACTTGGGCATGGGAAGGGATAAGAGATACCTTTCCTTCTCCAAGGTCCACCTTGACCCCTTCCTGCCCCTCCCCAGAGGCCCAGCCACGCCTCCCCAGAGATGAAGGGTTGTCTTCCCATGAGCCCTTGACAGTCCACCAGGTCAGTATCTCATCACCCCCACACTGCCCCTGAGCCCCAGCAGATCATATGACCCATGTCTACACAGGCCGTCTGTATTGGAATCCCAGGGCTCCGCCGGCAGTGATTGATTGTACATGAAAAGCAAGGAAACCTTCCTGTCTTCAGGGACAGGGAGAAAAGGATATTGGGGCAGGGGAAACAGGCTCCACTCCTGAGAGGCCCTGGGCGGTCCATACCACACGCACCAGAGGCTGCATTTCTGACTGACAGGAGGGGTGGGGCACATGTATGGGCTATTAGGAAAGAGTAGGTCAGCAGCGCGATGGTTGGCACATGCTCCCTTCAAAGAGAGCAGAGGAAGCTATGAAGTGGGCTCACCATATAGTCTGCCCCTCTGTAGAGGCAGCAGGAAACCATGGGCAGTGAGTGGCCTGTGACTGTAGGAACCTGTCGCCTGGTGTCTGTGTGTGACTTCTGCTTGCCTCCCTGAGAAATGGACTTACCCTGAACATTACTGTCAGGGCACAAGGCCATGTTAGGCTGGTGAACAGCCACAGGTGTACTTATTAACTGCTTTTTCCTGATGGATGAACAGCACACCTGTCATCTGGGCTCATCCCTTTTCTGGTCTCTGCAAATATTGATTGGAATATAGATTTTTATGACCCTATCAAATAAAACTGCAACCTCGACCTAACGAGGTGATTTTTAAAACTGACTACTCACACTGAGATACTACTTCACATCCATTAGGATGGCTATTATAAACACACACACACACACACACACACACACACACACACACACACAGAGTCATGGAGAGAAAAATCACAAGTGTTGGCCAGGATATGGAGAAACTGGAATGCTTGTGCATGGTGTGTAGGGACGTAAACGGTGCAGCCACTGTGGGAAACAGCATAGCAGTTACTCAAAAAATTAAACCTAGAATTAGCATATGATCTAGCAATTCCACTTCTAGTTATATACCCCCAAAAAAATTGAAATCAGGGACCTAGATATTTGCACACCTGTGTTCACAGCAGTATTATTCACAATAGCCAAGAGGTGTAAGCAAACCAAGTCTCCATCAACAGAGGCACAAACAAGATGTGGTCCATCCATACAATGGAATATTATTCAGTCTCAAAAAAGAAGATTCAGACACATGCTACAACATGGATGGACCTTGGAGACATTCCGCAAAGTGAAATCAGCCAGTCACAAAAAGACAAATATTGTATGAGGTAGCTAGAGTAGTCAAATTCATAGAAAGTAGAATGGTGGCTGATACAAGCTGGGGGGAGGAGGAAGTGAGGATTTATTATTGAACAGTTACAGAGTTTCAGTTTTAGAAGATGAGAACATTTTGGAGGTGGACGGTGGGAATGACTGCATGACATCATGAATGCATGTAACGCCACTGAAATGTATGCTCACAAATGGTTAAAATGGTAGCGTTTATGTCGATTTATCATAATAAAACTTAAAATTAAAAACTAGCCACTTATTTAAGCTTCTCAACAATGAAATCCCTCTTTTTCCATCCTTCTTGAAAGCAACAGACTCTGCCGCCTTGCTCGTGCCCTTGCTAGCAAGGCAGTAAATGTAATATACGCTCAAGGTCCATTTTCTAACCCTTTCTGAAAGAAGGGGATAGAGGGGGAGAGATATTCACTAATATTCAATCCAGGGTTTGAAACCCCCTCACAGTGTTAGGAGCCATATTTTCTAGAATGTAAACTGATTTGTGTTCCATTCCTTCACAGCATGGAGCAGGATTTTTACCATCACTTAATAAGCTGGGGCTCCTGGAGTGTCTCCATCCTAGGGGCTGGTGCCAGAAGGCACCCGTCAGTATGTTGACTGAATTGTCCTCAGGACCCAGACAATGTCAAAAAGACCAGACAGTAGGTATAGAGGATGCATGAGTCCATGCGACATCAGAGATCAGAGTAACCCTGCCCATCACGAGAAAACTGGGGTGGCAGAGGGGAGTGACTTGTTCAAGCAGGAGAATGGCTGAGTCAGCCCCAGGACCCGGGTATCTAGGTTCCCTGTCAATCCCCCAGAGCACTGAGGCTTCTCTCCTTGGGGACTGGGAGGCAGGGCCCAAGGAGGCCTCATGGACCAGAGAGCTGTACATGGCAGCTGGAGCTCCAGCTTAGGAGCCCTCAGGACTGAGCAGAGCAGAGTTAGCAGCCAGGTCATAGGGTGCCGAGAAAAGCCAGACCTCCTCTGCCTCCCTTGCTGGTTGTCCAGCCCTCCCAGCCCAGGGAGAATTCCCGGAAGTGGGTCAGGGAACAATGGCAGGAAATGCAGAAGGAAGTAGCACCCCCACCCCTGCCAGCCTGGGGTGCCTCTTGGATGCCCAAGAGACAGCAGCCAGGGTTGACTGCTTGTTATTTCCTCCCTGAAATGCTTTTTGGGGCCATGAAATGCACCCCCAAACCCTGCTATCGGCCTGGGGGCAAGTCCCTCCAAGAAGGGTGGCTTCACCAGCCCCCACTCCTGTAGAAGGAAGGGCTGGAAATAGCAGGGCAGGCTGCCTCTCCCGCAGTGTAAGGAGCAGGCTGTGGTAGTCAAGTTCACAAGAGTCAGAAATTCAGAGCCTCCCAGGAAGCATTGCTCAGGGAGGAGAGGTGGGGGGCGCAGAAGAGGGACCCCTGGGAGGCTAGAGGGGTCTGAGGTTGGTCACAGAAAACCCAGAAGGCCACTCATCATTCATCCATTCATTTCACAGGGATGGAGGAGATGTGGCTTTATCCAGGGGCCTCTAGGTCTGGGGCCCTTGAGGAGACCCGCCCCATCTGGAGTCAGACTGAAGCACAGGCTCCAGGGCCAGGTGCCCTCTGCTCATCAGGGATGCTGCACTCTCAGTCGGCACCAACCAGGGGCCTGGCAAGTGGCAGACAGGATTCCAGAGGCTCAGATGAGGCAAGGAGGGGGCCAGGGGTCCTGCACAGGGCCAGCTATGAGTGTGTGCAGAGCAGAGCCTACATGGGTGGAAATGACACCCGTGGGTCCTGGCCACACCCCCTGCAGCCCACATGGAGGAAAACACCACAGGTGCTCCCAGCCTCCTCAGACCTCTTGGCTAGCTGTGCTCTGGAGCCATTGGAATGTGGGGGGTGGAGAAGTGTGGGGACCGAAAGAGCCGCTGCCAACCCAAAGAAAGAGAAGGCAGGAACTGGCATGGGCAAGGGAAGGAGAGGCCAAGGCAGCTTGAGGTCTGACAGGGCACATGCTTTTCCTCCGTAGAAAAAGAACTAGTTCCCAAACTCACCATCCAGGGGTGCTACTACTGCCGTATGGCAGAAGGGAAGGAGGCATGGGTGGCCCCCAAACCTTAGCCTTAGGCAGCATGTGGGAGGGTGGGAATCATGGTGGCCAAGTCAATTTATTTTAATAAAGCACAAAGAAATCAAAACAATTTTATTTTAAAACATTGGGTCTTATTACATCATTGTAAGAACAAAACAAAACACAGGAGGCAATTCACGTGTCCATCATAGACGACAGGTAAATAAAGTACAGTACATTCATACAATGGAACACTAGACAGCTATAACAATAATGGGGAATTATTCACTTACATGGAAAATCTTCAAGATACACTGTTAAGTGATAAAACAAGGTGCAAAAGAGCATGTATAATAAGCTACTTGCTGCATAAAAAAGAGGAAAGTTAGAATCTATATGGGCGATTAAGCAATAATATAAGATCTCTGGAATGATCCATAAGAAACTAAGAAGAGGGGTTACCTGTTAGGGAACAGCAAGAACTGGGCAGATCAGGGACAAAGAGGCCAGGGAGAATTTTCACTGCGTTTTTAAATATAGTTTCTGTTTTTACAACTTCTTAAAGTTTTTACCAACGTAAAAAATTAAATTTAAAAACAAAACGTAAAAACTCCTTAAAAATCTTAGAATTTATTCATTCAACAAATACTTATTTAGTATGTCCAACAAAATACAGTCTCTGACCTCATGGAACTTGCATGCTAATAATAGCAACCCTCCTATTAATGAAACCGGCTTTGCAAAAATTATAAAAATGAGAGAATGATGACAGTGAAAGAGATCTGACCCAACCGACTCCATCTTGCCTTTAATCTCCAAAATGCCCTTATTCATTCCTGGGCATAGGCCAGCTAACCATAGAAAATTTTAGTTTATAGTTTAACTTTGAAACAAAGATGAAAACAGCCCTTTCCAGAAACAAACCTCGTCCTTGCCTGGAGACCAGAGTAACTTTGTAAAACTCAGATTAGCCACAAGCTTAGGAATTATGACTCAGGAGTCATGCAGCCAGAGGCCACGGGATTCCGAGCCTCCCCAGTTGCTCCTATGGATAACGTCACTATTGTAGAACCTAAGATTGGTGTTTGAGGTATTTTTCAGACACTGCATTCCTGCTGGCACTACCTAGACTGGTAAACTGGCTCATCTGGTCATGTGGTCCCCACCCAGGAATTGACTCATGGCTAGAGGACAGCCTCAACTTCCTGTGATTCCATCCCTGACCCAACAAATCAGCACTCCTATTCCCTAGCCCCCTGCCCACCTGTGGCAGGCCAGATCTCGCTAACAGCTGAACAGGCAGGTCTTCATAACAGCTGTTTCAGCACTGACTGAGTGGTGAAGTTAAACATTCAAAGCTGATAGAGCCAGTGCCATCACACAAAGGCTGGAATGTAACAAAAGCCCACCAAGAGTTTTGCCCAGGCCTTTCCGGGGACTTGAAGCATGACAAGATAACAAAGGAATTCTTAACAGGACCCATTTAGGACTAAACAAGTTTTTACTGGGGGTCTGAAGAAACTCCCCAGGCCTCAACAATCAAGTTTTATTGGGGGTCTAAAGGATCTCCCCAAACCTCCATGATTTAGCAGGAGACAAGCGAAGGATAATCACCCCTGGCCCCTAGACCCACCTAGATTAAGTAAATTTACTGAGGCTCCAGAAGAAGGTCTTCAAAACTCAGACCTTAGTTTTAGTTATAGATTCAAAGAAGTTAGACACTTAGGTCTTTAGAAGAATGCACGCTCACATGTAGAGATATAGCTTAGAAGGTATATAAGCTCTGGAAAACTTTGTAATTTCGAGTTGATCTGCTGATATTTTCCAGGCCTTCTGCCTGTACCTGATTACAGAAATAAACTCTCTTCTTTCCCAGTTCATCTTCATCTCATTATTGGGCCATGAGAATAAGCAGCCAGACCCTCGGTTTGGTCTGGGAACACACCTGTATTAGTCTGTTCTCACACTGCTAATGAAGATATACCTGAGACTGGGTAATTCAGAAAGGAAAGAGGTTTAATTGACTCACAGTTCAGCAGGGTTGGGGAGGCCTCAGGAAACTTACAATCATGGGGGAAGGGGAAGCAAACATGTCCTTCTTTACATGGCAGCAGCAAGAAGTACAGAGTGAAGTGTGGGAACCACTTTATAAAACCTCAGATCACGAGAACCGGGTGAAGATAACTGTCCCCATGATTCAATTACCTACCACTGGGTCCCTCCCACAGCACATGGGGATTATGAGAACTACAGCTCAAGATGAGATTTGGGTGGGGACACAGCCAAACCGTATCACCACCAAACAGTCTTTAAAAACTCTAGCCTCTGAATTTTCGAGGAGGCTGATTTGAGTAAGAATAACACTCCAGTCTCCCATTTAGCCAGCTCAGTATTAAACTCTTTTTCTGTTGCAATTCCCCTGTCTTGATAAATCAGCTCTATCTTGGCAGCCAGCACGATGAATCTGTAGGGCAGTTACATCAACTAGGTACATATTAGGACACTAGTCCTGTGGGGTAGGTACTGTTATTAGTTCAGTCCACCTCACAGACAAGGAAACTGGGACTTGGGAAGGTGTTTGACTTGCCTGATTTCACACAAATAACAAGGCTGACAGAGCCTGAGGCTTTGCTTTGAACTCTACAGTGAGCCTCCTGTGCCATCTTAGAGGCCCATGAGTGCATCATGAAAGAAACAGAAAGGTCATTGGTTTGCTTAATCCGTGGGAAGGGGAGCCCAGTCTATACATTTGACCTGGCCCATATTTTTTTAATCTTATGCCAAACTATGTTTTTTGTATTTCTGATGCTTCGACATCTGGAGCCTTGTTGACCTTGGAGGCACTCTCTTCCCAGAATTCCTGGAGATGGTAAAGGACTCCTCACTTACCAGCAGGCCTTTCATATGCAAACCAGCCACTCTGAGCCCATACCCCACACCTCCTCCACAGCCTGTCACACTCAGGGCCCACATTCCCCTGTCCTAAGCACCATAGGGCCAGGTTCCAGCAACTCAGGACAGCCCCTACCGTCTATGTCGGTACATAGACAGCTATATGTCTACGTGTAAGTGTGCCCAGAGCCCACAGAAATTATTCAAACTGGCCAGTCCCCAGGCCTGTTTACCCTGCCTCGCCCATTCCTTCCCTTGGAAACCACAATAAAGGCGCTTGTCCCCGTGTTCCCCTCGCTCTCTCTGCCTCCTGATTGACCCCTGCACTGATTCTGGCACTGACCCCAGCACTTCCCTGTGTGGCCCTGCACAGCGTGGCCTCCCACTCTGCTGCCCAGACTGGTCTCAAACTCCTGGGCTCAAGGGGTCCACCCACCTTGGCCTCCCAAAGTGCTGGGATTACAGGCATAAGCCACCACGCCCAGCCTTGAGTGGCCATTTTAAAAAGCTTTTAAAAGCTAATTAATTCTATTTTTCAGATGGGTTAAAGTATCATATGAAGAGGAGGCTGGGAGGTCTAATAGTCTACACTATGCAGGGATGGCATTTGGAGTTTTCAGGAGGTGGCCTTGAAGGCAGGGCCCTAAAGAGGGAGGGGAGGTGGAAGAGAAGGGTGCACTGAGGGTGCAGCTCTGCATCACGGTAGCTGGCAGAGACCCCAGAGAAACAAGTGGGTCAGAGAGAGGCAACCCTGTGGTAGGATGCCTGAGGACCCAGAAGAGAGCCACCAATGAGAGTGGTCTCCATGCCTCCACACCCACAGTGAACCCTTCTCTTCCACCTCTCCTCCCTCTTTTAGGGCCCTGCCTCCACGCCTGCAGAGGGTAGCAGAGCCCCTGCCCCAGTGACTCCGGGCCTTCCCCTATGTCAGTGGCGGTTTAAGCTGAAGAATGTGGGTGTGCAGGAACCAGGGCTGGGGCAGCCTAGAGGACCACGGCCCCTGGTGCTGAGAGCCATGTTAGCTGCAGGAAGATGGGAGGAGTGGGTACGGCTCAGACTGAAAAAGAAGTGGACAGGAGACAAGCTACCTTCTCCCAAATGCCCCAAAGGAAAGTGATCCAGAAAGGCTGGCAGGCCACATAGCTCCTGTTCTATTGGGTTCATGGAACAGCCCAGGTGGTTGACCCTAGGATGTCACACTCACCAACCCAGTGTTTTCAAACTGTACCTTTCAACCTACAGCAACACTTTGAAAATGTTCTTTCTCTCAACTATCTTCCAAAAGTATTAATCATTCAGTGATTTAACAATAAGAGCCCTCAAGTCATCCTACCATGCCAGAAACCTAGCCCTGCAATCTGACCAGCTGCGTGGCTGGGCACACATGACATAAACTTTCTGAGACTGTTTCCTCATCTGTAAAAGTCATTCATTCATTCATTCAACAAATATGTAGTGAGCACCACTCATGGGTCAGGTACGGTTGTAGGTACTGGGGATACTGATGAGAATAAAATGGACAACCCACCCTGCATTGTTGGAGCTTGGAGGAAATAATGAATACTTCAGAGAGTTCTGGTAAAATTTCAGTTAATACACCTATCACCCCCCACATGTGCCTGGAACCTAGATAGAACTTGGTAGGTGTCAGTTCCCTTCTTCCCCTCCCCACTCACCATGTTCCTGTGCTTCTCTGCACATTCCCATCCCACCCAGTGACTGTCAGCACCATATTAGACCATGACTTGAAGTGCTGTCATATGCAAGAGGGTTAGATTTCTTTTTGATCATTCCTGAGGGTAGAGAAATAAGATCCTCAAAATGTCAGGGAGAAAAACTGTAGCCAATAGAAGGAAGGACTTTCTAATGAATAATCCAGCCCCAGAATGGGTGTCTGTCTCACTCCAACACTGTCTATCAAGGATGGAAGAGATGAGACACCCAACCTAATGACCCAGAGGTCTTTCAACTCTGAGAGAATGGCCCTGAGCCAAGGGGTGAGGCTCAAGGCATGAGTCACCAAGGCACAGTGCTAGGCACAGGTAGGGATCAATGCGTGGTGGCCCTGGGGTTATGCCAGCACCACTGTGACCACAAGAGCCTCACACAGCCTAGCCTGGTACATGTGGAAGGAGTGCTGGAGATGAAAATCAGCTCATACCCATCATGGTAAGGATTGGATCAGGCAAGGATCATCCATGGATGCTAAGTTTAGGGGGACATCTTCTTGAGAAGCAGGATATTTGCACCATCTTCAAGTACATCTTAACAAACTTCAAGGGGGAGAAAAGAACTTTAAATATGCAATGGAAAAATCAGACAACACCTTGACCAGGTGATTGAAATTAACGTTCCCCAGTAAGGAACATCATGTGCCTCCAGATCCGGAGACAGACACAGCATCACTTAGACAGTGTTCTGGCCAGGGATGAGTAACCTAATCCAAGCTTGAATCTAAGCATGAGAAAACATCAAACAAACTGCCACGAAAGTTGTCAGAATAAAAATGGAGTCGCTAATGTTAAGAAAACCCTAACAAAAAGAGCTAAGGAAGGCCATGAAGAGAGGGTTCTCATGCTTGTATGCCTGATAACAAAAACCCTCACAAAAGACTGCAAAAACACAGTCTTGCACAAAGGCTATAACAGCCTTACTCAAAAAACACTTCTGCAAGAACATCTGCCCACTAATTACCAGTCCAACCCTGGACCAGAATCACCCTTGTAATTGATTTTTATAGCCAAGGATAATATTTCAAAATAATTATGTAATCCTCATTATTTTCCTCTTTTCCTCTAAAAAACCTTTGTGTTTCTTTCTTTCTTTTTTTTTTTTTTTTTTTTTTTGAGACAGAGTATCACTCTATCACCCAGGCTGTAGTGCAGTGGCACGATCTCAGCTCACTGCAACCTCCACCTCCTGGGTTCAAGCAATTCTCCTGCCTCAGCCTCCCGGGTAGCTGGGACTACAGGCGCATGCCATCATGCCTGGCTAATTTTTGTATTTTGAGTAGTGACGGGGTTTCACCATGTTGGCCAGGCTGGTCTTGAACTCCTGACCTCAAATGATCCACCCACCTTGGCCTCCCAAAGTGCTGGTATTACAGGCGTGAGCCAGCGCACCCAGCTGAAAACCTTTGTGTTTCTTTACCTCCTTAAATACTCATGTGGTTTACTATGGCATGCATATTCCCACGGCTGGCTCTATTCCCTCACAAATATCTTTTTTCTCTGTTCGTTATTTAGGCTGACATCCCAAATGAGGAACATTCTATTAGAAAAAAGGGATACTATATTATTCAAAACTGTAAATTGTCATGAAAGACAAAGACTAAGGAAACGTTCCAGATTAAAGGAGGCTATAGAAACATGACTAAATTCAATATGGACCACAGGCTGAATCCCGCACTGGGGGAGAGGGAAAGGGAAATTGCTATGAAATGAAAAACATTATTTCATCCATTAACATGACTGGAATACAAACAATATATTAGATAAAAGTATGGTATCAGCCAGGTGCTGTAGCTCCCTCCTGTAATCCCACCACTTTAGGAGGCTGAGGCAGGAGGATCCCTTGATCCTAGGAGTTCAAGACCAGCCTGGACAACATAGTGAGACCCTGTCTCTACAAAAAAAATATATATATTAAATTAGCCAGACGAGGTGGCTTGTGCCTGTGGTCCCAGCTACTTGGAAGGCTGAGGTAGGAGGATGGATTGAGCCCAGGAAGTCAAGGCTACAGTGAGCCTTGTTCAAAGCACTGCACTCCAGCCTGGACAACAGAGTGAGGCCCTGTCTCAAAAACAAACAAACAAACAAAAAAGTATGGCATCGTGTTAAATTTACTGAAGTTGATAACTGTGTCCCTACTCTTAAGAAATATACACTGAAATATTTAGGAGTCAAAGACCGTGATGAATATGACTTACCTTCAAATAGGAGTAAGAGAAAGAGGGAGAAACAAGAAGGGAGAGACGAGAGAAAGAAAAGGGGGGGGGGGAGGAAGGGAGATAATAATAATAAGTATAATAAAACATATATACTAAAACTAATGGAGTAAAATGTGAATAAGTATATCTGAGTAAAGAATATATGGATGTTCTTGTACTATTTTTACAACTTTAAATTTGAATTAAAAAAAATGTTCCAGAAGGGTTACCATGTATCCATTTCTCATTCTTTCTTTGAAATGAAGAAAAGCGCATGCCAATTAAAACTATATATGTATTGCGAGTAACTCATCACTGACTCACTGTATCTCCCCCTGGTTAGCGTCAATGAGCCAGGTGACAGGAAAGTGAGAGAGCCCTGTCCTGGAAGGAGACACATGCCATACAGGGGAGGAAACACCTGTCCTCTGAGCCCCTCCAGCTCTCCGCTATGCGTGCCAGGCAGTGAGGGGCAGGAAACAGGGAACAGCAGGACATTCCAGAGCCCCTGAGTCCCCTGGCCTCTGGCAGCCTTCCGGCCAGTATCTGATTCCCCAGGGCCTGCCCAAGGGTAACTCTAAATAGTTTTCCACTTCAGTCTAGAGAAAGACAAAAGAAAAATGATTCTGAAAGCCAGGGATGTCCTGGATAGAATCCAGGGCAAAATATAGTCATAAAAATCCTTGAAAATAAGGATATGGTCAATGCTTTCGGGCCCGCTGAAAACAATGAGGCAGTGAAGGGTAAATAATCCTGCCCAAAACAGCCTCCCAAGCATGCCAGAAGCGGGGGCTGGCAAACCAGCTTGCTAAAACCAGAGGCCAAGCCTATGCCTTTTCCCAACTTCTAACACAGCAAACCGCCACTCTGCCTTTATAAAGGTCTGTGTGCTATGTATGTTCATTGCAGCACTATTCACAATAGTAAAGACATAGAATCAACCTAAATGCCCATCGATGATAGACTGGATAAAGAAAACGTGATACATATACACCCTGGAATACTATGCAGCCATGAAAAAGAATGAGATCATGTCCTTTGCAGGAACATGGATGGAGCTGGAGGCCATAATCCTTAGCAAACTAACCCAGGAACAGACAACCAAATCCCAAATGTTCTCACTTATAAGTGGGAGCTAAATGATGAGAACACATGGGCACATAGAGGAGGACACACACTGGGACCTTTCAGAGGGTGGAGGGTGGGAGGAGGGAGAAGATCAGGAAAAATAACCAATGGGTCCTAGGCTTAATGCCTGGGTGAGGAAATAATCTGTACAACAAACTCCCATGACACAAGTTTACCTATGTAAGAAACCTGCACCTGTACCCTGAACTTAAAAATTTAAAACAAACAAATAAAGGTCTGTGTGCACACGTGCACCTCTGGGTAAATGCCTGTTGCCATGTGAGTGCAACTGACAGGTGAGAAGCAGAGAGAAAAAAGTTTTATACAGATAGAACAGAGTGAGGGTTAGTATTCCTAATAATATTCCAAATATATGTAATTATTATGAATTAAAAGGAAAAGACGAGCAACCCAAAATACAATGATTGGCAATCACAAAAGAAGAAATAGAAATGGACAATCAGCACACAAAAGATGCTCAACTTTACAAATGGCCAAGGAAACACAAATTACAACTTTTTTTGGTCCGTTCTACTAGCAAAAATAAATTAGCAGGCACTTTATTGCATTGTTGGTGGACATTAATTGGGACAACATTTTTGAAAAGTAATTTGGCAGAATCTACAAAAAATGTTATTTGCTTATACCCTTTGATCTAGTAATCCCACTTCTAACGACCTATCCTAAAGAAAAAAATAGCATAAGAACATAAAAATATTTGGATAAAGATGTTTACTGGATAATCATTCGAGAGCAAGACATTGGAAAGAAACTAAATATCAGTCAATGAGAGTACAGTGGGGTAAATTACGGTGCACACATACCGCGGAATACCACATAACCATTTAAAAATGTGATGGACTGACCTGGGAAAGAGTCAATGATGAAGTGATAAAAGCAAAGTGCAGACCAATACATATAGCATAATTCCATTTTTGTATAAGTAAATGAGTATGCATGTGTATAAACAGATGCCTGTAGATAACTTAGGAAAAGTCCAGAAAGATATGCACCAGGCCGGGCGCAGTGGCTCACGCCTGTAATCCCAACACTTTGGAAGGCCGAGGCAGGCGGATCACCTGAGGTCAGGAGTCCAAGACCAGCCTGGCCAACATGGTGACTACAAATACAAAAATCAGCTGGGCGTGGTGGCGGGCACCTGTAATCCCAGCTACTCCGGAAGCTGAGGCAGGAGAATCACTTGAACCCGGGAGGCGGAGGTTGCAGTGAGCTGAGATCGTGCCATTGCACTCCAGCCTGGGCAACGAGAGCGAAACTCTGTCTCAAAAAAGAAAGAAAGATACGCACCAAATCGTTAACAATGGGCACCTCTGGAGAAAAGAGAAGAAATTCATGGGTAGAAGATGGGAGAACTTGTACTTTTTCCTTTATAACTTTTTGAGAATGAAATGCACTTTTATACTTATAAAAATTACTTAGGTTTTTTTATACTTCCGTGAAATTTTTTGGTTGTTTTAAATTTAAAAAAATGCATGTGCACATATTATGCAATGCTAGTGCACACTCAGGTACAGCCGGGTGTCCATACGGGCCATGCACATAGTGTTCACATGTTTGTGTGGTTTACGTAAGTGCATCTATATGGATCCTGCTCCCAACAGCCCCCATATATTGCACCTTCAGTATTCCAAGCACTGAGCAGGCATTTGACACACATGCATTATATTATTTAAATTTCACAGCAACCTGGCAACATAGGGACTGCTTTTGCCATTGTCCTGATGAGGAAACGGTTTCAGAGAGGTCCAGGTTACAGACAGTGCCAGGATAGAACTCTGCTGACAGTGGGGTCCCTGAGCAAAGCCCCTGACCCTCATTCTCATTCCACCACCCCTGCCCTGCAAGCTCTGATGGACAGCCTGAGAATTAGAATACCTGCCCCTCCCAGTACAGAGCCCCTCAATCCCACCAGCATACTCCAGGTGTGGGAGACAGGCCTCAACTGGCCAGGCCCCCTCCCCAGGCGCCTCTGTCGTCTCCCATGCATGGCTACCCTGAAGAACTAAGAGCATGTTCAGCCCCTTCCTGGAAACCTCCACATTCCCTCAACAAATGAAACTCATTGACATAGGAGGCATCAGGCCACCCTTGCCTCCGCCCAGATGGCACCAAGGCCAGGCTCAGAGATGGCCCTATGTCAGGAAGAAGATACACCATTCCTAAAATATCTCCTCATAATCTACTGCAGTGGCTGGACACCTACCATTAACACTTCTCTCTTTTCTAAGCAGAGTCTGAGCTATAAAGCAGCATCCCGCCGATTCCTAAAATAGAGTGAAACATGAAGCCATAGGCTGCCACCTATGCATTCATATGATTTGGTGCTTTTTCAACCCACAGCTGGCTAAGAGCAGCCTTTGGTGGGAGAGGGCTGGGTCAGTGGGACTTTGAGTGGTGGGGGCAGCAGAAGGAAGCACGGGGGAACAAGAGCAAGGCAGCAGTGCAGAACTAACATTTAGGGAGACCCCCGTTGTGGCAGGTCCCTTGATTTGATACTCCCTAAGAATGGAAGAAAGCAAGGTTCAGGGAGTGTAGTGATCTGCCCAAGGCCACAGAGTGTTGCAGCTAGACCCTGGCTCTTCTCAAAGTCCACGCTTATTCCACTGGGGCAGATCATCCAGCTCAATGTGGGGGTGGGAGGAGGAGCAGCTGAAGGAGGAAGGAGGAGAAGGAGCATTGGGGCTCAGGAAAGTTCTCAGGTTGTCTCCTGGGTCCCCTCCAGTTGCAGGCACCATGACTGATGCTCAGACCATGGGGAAGGGTGAAGGCAGAAAGGCATCTGAGTGCAGGTGAGAGGCCCCTCAGTGCCCACTTTACAGAGTCACCAGGTCGCTAAAAGATACAGAGTAGATCACACTATTCCAAAGAAAATGCCACTGTGAACACCTAAGAGAGCGTCTTTAAAGGCAATCCTGACTAGACCTCCTCCTATAACACTTGATTAAAGCAGAGAGGCTGGGGACACGGTCAGGCTGGAGGGTAGAGTGACCAGGAAAAACACAGGGAGCCCACTCAAGTCTGTATCTCAGAGAAACGATGATTAATGCCTTAATATAAGGTGTCGCCTGTGGTATTTGAGACCTCCTCATTTAACAGGTTGTTCTGTATGCTTCCTTGTTGCATCTGGGCCCCCTGTCTTGGGGACCGGTTAGGCCTGGGGTTAGTGAATCACTGCAGTCAAGGTGAGCATCATTTTGACCATGGTGCTTTGCCAGGTGGATGTTTTGACCCCATGGAGATTTTTGCTTCCATGTTTATATTTACCAAACATTTAAATATAAAAAACACCTACAGTAATTAATTTCCACTGAGAAGGCATTTTTCCAGAACAAATTAAATGAAGCCAGTTTAATGTGTTGATATGTTTTGCATACAGAGCAATTAAACTGTTTTCTTTTTCTCTTTTACCATCTTTATTTTCATTTTACCAAAATTCTTTTCATTGGGGACAATTAATCCCTGCTTAAATTTCCCAACACAGATTTGGCTCACAGATTTTTAATTTTTTTTTTTGGTTGACATTAAGTTTTATCAAATATTGCTCCTTGCCATTTTGAGTTTTCTTTTGTGGAATTATTTCCACTAAGTCCAACTTCCCAAGTCAGTGTTTGCAGTTACCAACAGGATTCTTCCATCTGTTTTTCAGTTCTGTAACAATTTTACCATGTGCAGTTTCAGCCATTATTACTTGATGGTGATTATTTTGCCAATAATCACATACATAAACAATTACAAGAATGACCATTTCTATTTATTTCTTAGCTAATCCATGGAAAAATTGAGAGCAATTCCTTTCAGAAGTGCCAGCATCAGACCAGGCACAGTGGCTCACACCTGTAATCCCAGCACTTTGGGAAGCCAAGGCAGGTAGATCACCTGAGGTCAGGAGTTCAAGACCAGCCTGACCAACAGGGTGAAACCCTGTCTCTACTAAAAACACAAAAACTAGCCAGGTGAGATGGTGGGCACCTGTAATCCCAGCTACTCGGGAGGCTGAGACAGGAGAATCGCTTGAACCTGTGAGGCAGAGGTTGCAGTGAGCCGAGATCATGCCACTGCATTCCTTCCTGGGCGACAGAGCGAGACTCTGCCTAAACAACAACAACAACAAAATGCCAGCATCTCTCTAACACAGTGAGTTCTCTACCCTGCGGGCACACTGCCCCCCTGCCATCCTGGGTGGTTTCCAAAAGTGCTGACTCCTGCAGCCCACTCCAGAGGTTCTTGTTTAATCAGCTTAGTGCGGAGCTCAGACACTTATTTTTTTTTTAAGCTCCCAGGTCATTTCTAGATGCAGCCAGGTTGGAAACACTGTTCCAAAAATCTAAAGCTGCTCTGTCCAACACAGTAGCCACTAGCCACGTGGAATTAATTAAATCTAAGTCATTAAAATTAAATACAATTTAAGATTCAATTTCTCAGGCACACTAGTCAACACAAAGACAACATTTCCATCATCTCAGAAAGTTCTAGTGGGCAGTGCTGGTCTAGAGTCCAGATCAGTGGCTCTCAGCCCAGGCTGCGCAATGAAAACACCAGCACCTGGAGAGTAGGTGATGCTGCACAGACCTTGCCCCAAACCAACGAAATCAGAACCTCAGCCAAGGCTCAGGCATGAGTGGGTGTAAAAGCTGCCCAGGTGATTCTATTGTGTGGCCTGAATTGGGAACTTCTGGGCTGAACATCCCACGGGTCAAAACAGCTGGTCAGGGACCTGGATCATCTCCCCTTCAGCTTCTCTCTGAGAAGCCTCGAGTAAACAGGAAATTGTCCAGTGCAGCCTGGAACAGGATCCCAGGACCACCCGCTAGGTTTGCCTGAGTGTCTTCCACCCTAAGGAGTGGAGCTTCCTTTTATGTGCATTGGAAACCTGATTTTAGCCAGATAAAGTCGATCCATCCCTGAAGTTGGCTCAGGGGTCCTCGGGCTTAGGGCTGCCCCTCTCATGGGTTAATGGCATGCTGAGCAGCCCAGAGACAGTTCCCAGATGGAGATTTCCTTCCTGAGGCATGAAAGGATTCCCCAGATCCCACTCTGGGCCAGCAGACCACTCTGGTTTAACAAGATCACCCTAAACTGCCAGTGATCATCAGGGAAAACCCAGAAATGCCAAATGCCCCAGGAGCCATAGGAAAGAGAGGACAGTGGCGGTGAGGATGGTGAGGATCGAGGAGGGGCAAGAGAAGGAGGAGAGAAAGAATAAAAGGAGGGGCACAGGAAGGAAAAGAAGCAAAGCAGGAGACACAGAGACAGAGTGACAGGCTGTAAAGAATGAGGGAGGCCTGAGGGGAAATCTAGAAGCAGAGAGAGCCAGAGGGTGGAGGTGGGGAAGAGGGAGGGGAGGCAAGGTGGAGGGGGACTGAGAGGGTTAACAGATGCAGAGGGCTGTGATCCCCTCACTTGGAAGAGGATGAGGTTGGACAGCGGGGGAGCTCACAGAAGACACGCCCAGGATTCCCACAAACAAAACGGGTGGCTGCATGATGACTCCGGGGACCCTCACTGGAACCCACCAACTGGAGAGGCCTGAGGACAGTTGCAAGGCACAGCCACCTAACCCTTGAGTCCCTGTTTGCTTCCTGACCCAACAGGCAGGACTGGAGGGCAGTGAGGAGGTCTTCAATTTAAAATGCTCATTGAAGGGCTGGGCGCGGTGGCTCACGCTTGTAATCCCAGCATTTTGGGAGGCCGAGATGGGAGAATCACTTGAACCCAGGAGGCGGAGGTTGCAGTGAGCCAAGAACGTACCACTGCACTGCAGCCTGGGCAACAGAGCAAGACTCCATCTCAAAAATAAATACATAAAATGCTCATTGAACTGGATTCCCTGAAGTTTTTTCCTTTTCTTTCAAAATTTAAAATGTCATGCGTTCATTCTTGTTACTCCCTGGTATGGTTTTCTTTTTACACTTTTGGAATTTGTATTGCTGCTTGTCTTTGGTTGTTTTCTCACATCCATGTGTAGGGTGGAAGTACTTTGCCATCTGGTCATGGGGTGGGGTGACAGAATTACCTTGCAGGTACCTGTGCTCCCTCCCCTGAGGCATCGCACCTGCCTGAAAACAGCTGAGGAGGCCACACATCCCATGTTCTCCTGGCACAAAGCCAGTGATCTTGGCTCACTGCAACCTCTGCTTCCCGGGTTCAAGCGATTCTCCTGTCTCAGCCTCCTGAGTAGCTGGGATTACAGGTGCCCGCCACCACGCCCAGCGAATTTTTGTATTTTGAGTAGTGACGGGGTTTCACCATCTTGGCCAGGCTGGTCTCGAACTCCTGACCTCATGTGATCTGCTGCCCTCGGCCTCCCAAAGTGCTGGGATTACAGGTATGAGCCACAATGCCCAGCCATGGAGCCAAAATTCTATCATTTCTTCTCATGACAGTGTTGCTTTGGCATATTCTGAGAGTCCTCAAGTATTTATGAATGTACGTGCACATTTCAATCTAGTTTAATTAAGACAAGTTTTAATTGCTAGAAATCTGAAACTGAGATAAATGTTTGGAAAAATCAAAAATTACATTTAAATGTTATAAGAAAGGTGTTTCTGGTAAACGGGTGAGGTTGGTGAATTGGCTGTCCCATAAACTGATCTTTGAGGACCTGATTTCTGGCACACAGCCCTGCAGTGAACTGCTCACATGGGGCACTGGTTTTTAGGGAGCTAGCTGCCCCCAGGAGCTAGAGAACACCCACAGGGGCCAATGGGAGGACCCCAAGGTTCGAAGCTTCCCGTTCCCCATATGACCTCTGCTCCACAGAGCCAGAACAGCCTGCGTGTGGCCCTCACTTACCGTTACCCTGAGGGCTAGCCTGGTCCTTGAATTGGCCAAAAATATGTTCACAGCTCTCATTTTGCCTCTGTGGTCTTAGAAATCTCCCTACAGAGAACTAATTTTTAAAAAATTGAACTTCCGGAGATAGAGTAGAATCCAGAGGCAGGGAAGGGTAGCAGGGAGAGGTGGATAAAGCAAGGTGGTCAATGGATACAAAAACACAGTTAGATGGAATGAATGAGTCTAGTATTCCCTAGCACAATAGGGTGACTACAGCCAACAATAATCTATTGTATATTTTAAAACAACTAAAAGAGTAGAATTGAAATGTTGCTAACACAAGAAATGATAAATGTCTGTGGTGATGGATACTCCAGTTACTCTGACTTGATTGTTATACATTATGCCTGTGTCAGAACATCACGTGCACCCCATAGATATATACAACTATTATCTACCCATAATGATTTTAAAAATTTTTAAAGGAAATCTCTGGCCAGGCATGGTGGCTCATGCCTGTAATCTCAGCACTTTGAGAGGCTGAGCCAGGAGGATCACCTGAGGTCAGGAGTTCAAGACTGCTCTGGCCAACATGGAGGAACCCTGTCTCTACTAAAAATACAAAAATTAGCCAGGTGTGGTGGTGGGCACCTGTAATCCCAGCTAGTAGGGAGGCTGAGGCAGGAGAATCGCTTGAACCTGGGAGGTGGAGGTTGCAGTGAGCAGAGATCGCACCACTGCACTCCAGCCTGGGCCACAGAGCAAGACTTCGTCTCAAAAAAAAAAAAAAAAAAAAAAAAAGGGAAATCTCCCCACAGAGCCTGTAAAAATGCTGAATAAGATAATGAAAATGAAACATGTGCTTCTGCTGCATGACCTGCAGTAACCAGACTGTCCTGCCTCTGCCCCTCTAAACTCTGTCAACGCCGGCATTGTCAGAGGGAACTGAACTCTCCAGAAGAGACCAACACCATCCTGGGGCTTCCAGGAGCCTCCGAGAGGCACATGGGGCTCAGTGACTATGAGCATGTCCCAAAAACCTGCCTTCCAATCACAGCTCTGCCATCACTAGCCTTCAAGAAAGTTGCCCAATCTCTCAGAGCCTCAGTTTCCCCATCTGTAACGGTGACAGTTACAATAGTCGTGCCTAACTGATGGGAAAAGGTCTTGTATATAAGACAGCATGCGGCCAGACACTCAGCTGTGTGGCAGTTGTGTGACTTTGCTGCTATTCTCCTCAGCCTGGCATTGGAGACCCCCCTCTCAATTCTTCCCCACCACCCACTTCTCACAGGGCCGCACGTGTCGTGAGACTGAGTCCCACCTGTGAGACCTGAGCCTGGCTGCCCGCCACATCCACACGCTGGAATACCCTCCCCTTCTGGCCTTTTCAAAGCCTACCCCTGCCTTCAAGTCAGTCTGAGTGACCCTCCTCCAGGAAGCCTTCGAGGACTGCCCACTGTCCAGGGCTGCTCCCTCCCTGATCTGCGGGTCCACCATTCATGCTTGTTAGCGGCTGCCTTGCCTTCCACAGTGTCTGCGTTGGAAGGTAGCTGAAATGATTCCAATCCCTGTCCCCCGTGCAGGTGGAGATGTCTGAGGTCAACAGCTGGAAGAGACGGGCCCAAGATGCCCTGGCCCACAGGCCTGGGCCCCACACCTTGCAGCCACACTTTTGGGGGCCCAGTGAAAGTGCCCCACCCTCCCCACACCATGCACCCATGGCCAGCACAGCCACAGAGAGAAGGTGGCAATTGGGTTTTTTTCTGAGTTTTTAACATTTCAAATTTTCCAGGTGTTTTGCAGCCGGAGACCCTGATTGCCCTTCCCTAGGTTCCTGAATTCTCATCCTCCCCAACCCCTTCTGCCCCACCCCAGGGCAACACAGCCAGGCTTTCAGGCCTCAGACACCACTGACCCAGTTCCCAAACAAAGGCTCCCCTGTGAGCAGGTCACAAAACAGCAAGCCCATCCCTGATGCTTGGGCCTAGACCTCCGTAAATGGCACTTGAAGCACGAACCCACTCCTGCTGGCATCTAACGCAGCTGCCTCCTCTCATGCCCAGCAGGGACAACCGGACTCCCACTCTGATGCTTAAGGCTCATCATGAGCAGTTTCATGTGCTATGTCTCCCAGTCCACCCACAGCCCCAGTCCAAGACCCACCCATCTGCAGGTTGGGTTGAACTTGTCCACCCCACCACCTCCGTTTACAAGGCCCAGGGGCTCAATGGCAAGAGAAGGGATTCATCGCCTGCCTAGGGGGAGCCTGCTTTTGCCACCACAACTTTGATCCCCCCACCAAGAAACCCACCACTAGGTACATGAAAAACTCAGCAGAAACCCCAACACAGGGAAGCGCCCAGGCCGGGCTACTCATTTTTACTGTTCTGATTTCTAAACCACGAATCTTAACCTCTAGTCCTACCCCTTCCATGAAGCATTCCTGGAAAGCTCCCTGCTAGCTACAGTTTCACTTTGCCTGCCTGCCTGCCTCCTGCAGGGGGCCTCTGCCCTCACTGGCCTGGGCTGGGCCGGGAAAGAGAGCCCACCTCAGGGAGCCTCTGGGCTGGAGCAGCAGGAAGCGAGTCTTCCTGCTCCCTGGGGCACACACTGTCTGTGCAAATGCGTGGACACCTGATTCCAGCCCATCTTCCCTCCCCTGTAGCCTGGAAGCTCAGCTGTACCCATGGCTGAGTTCCTGAAGCCACAGCCAGATTCTCCCAACATCTATCACTGGGCCAGTCCCATGGGAGGAGGTGGATAAATGCTAATTGAAACCCCAGCTCCCTGGGGCCTGGGATTCTGCAGTCTGTATACTCCACAATCCTACCTGCACCTTCAAGCCATGGAGCACCCCCCTCTGGCCACCTTACCTGTTCCTCCCCATCGTCTCATGGTCTTTGACCACCACATGAAGCTCAGAGCCCTGGTCCAGGGGGATGCCCTTGAGGTCCCATTCAAATCCCTGGAAGAAAAAGAGAAAAGGCATCTTAACCTATGGCCCTCTAGGAGAAGAGACTGTGTCTGGTTCACCTTCGTGCCACCAGGGCACTGAGTAGGCATTCATGAATGATTCTAGTGGATAGGCAGATGGATCAATGGATGGATGGAAGCATGGATGGATGGATGGATGGATGGATGGATGGATAGATGAAGACCACAGATCCAGAAATTCAGAGGTGACAGTATGAGCTGAAGACAGCAGAAGAGAGGAGAGAGGTCTTTCACAGGCCCCTCTCCCAACTCAGTTTCAACCCATCCCCAGGAAGCCAAGCCAGGAGTGTGGCTGGGAAAAAGCCAGGTGACCCTGAAGCATCCTCAAGGACCAAGATTATTGGGCTCATCCAGACGCCAGGCCCTGGTAGGCAGCACGAGTTAGTGCCATGTTGGCTAGGCCCCCATGACCCTCCTCAGAGCAAAGGCTCCCCTGTGCATCCGACCCCATCCATGCAAGGCAGCAGGGCTTCCAAAGGACCACCCGGGAGCCATGTATGCAGGGAGCTGGTTGAGGGGACAGGGGCTAGCAGGAGCCAGAGGAGGACCTGCCTCATCAGGGAGGGCTGTGGGGAGAAGGTGAGCTTTGAGCAAGGAAAAAGGAACAGCCTGTGTGAGAGAAACAGGCAGGCAAGAGAGTCCCTGAGCACCCTTTACCTGGCTGGCCAGAGCTGGGGGGAAACAGAAACAAAAAATATCTAGCTCCCCTCCATTTACCTAGTAGGCCAGGCCACCAACCCTCCTCCCAGGTTCCTAGAGCAAGAAGGATTTCGTTGGCAGGCTGGACCACCAGCCCCTCCCCACCTCAAGGACACTGCTGAGAAGGCACCTCCTCCACAAGCCCCCTAACTTGTCCCTGCAGACACAACTGCAGCAGACAGAGAGAAAAGGAAGGAGAAAAACTCACATACCTCATTCCATACAGGGTTCACGCTGTTCTTGATGACTTTGGTTCTCTTCTTCACCCCTACAAGAGACACAAAAGGGAGAATGGAGAGACACATCCCGCCTTTCACCTTCCGCTGAGTTAGGCTCAGCTTCTGAGACCTGTGCTTCAGCTTGGTCGCCAAGGGAAATCTTACAAAATCAACAGATTCCCTGAGAACCCGCCAGTCTGCAATGAATCCCCAATGCCAATCACACAACTTCCCCCTCTCAGCTCTGGGACATCAGAAACATGCTTTCAAAAGAAAGTACCCAGGCTGACTCTCCTTAATGAGTTTGTTATTGTTATTTCTGACTTTTTAAATAATTTTTTTAATTATAAATTTTCTGATTGTAGTATTATTTTTTTTAGAGACAGCATCTCACTCTGTTGCCCAGGCTGGAGTGCGATGGTGAGATCATAGCTCACTGCAGCCTCAAACTCCTGGGATCAAGCTATCCTCTCACCTCAGGCTCTTGAGTAGCTGGGACCACAGGCACACACCACTAGATCAAGCTGGTGTGTATGTGTGTGTGTGTGCGTGTGTGTGTGTGTGTAGACGGGGGCCTCACTATATTGCCCAGACGGGTCTGGAACTCCTGGCCTCAAGCGATCCTCCCACCTTGGCCTCCCAAAGTGCTGGGATTACAAATGTGAGCCACCACATCCAGCCTTCTAATTCTAACAATGAACAATCTCCCTAGAAAGTATTTCATTCCTCTTTTGAACAACATCCATCTCCAGAAATTATATGATTCCATCTATAAGAAATGTCCAGAATAGGCAAATCTGTAGAGACAGAAAGCAGATTAGTTGTTTCCAGGGGCTAAGAGAAGGGAAAGGGAAAATAGAAATGGGGACGTGATTGATTAATGGGTATAGGGTTTCTTCTTGAGGTGACAAAAATGTTCTGGAATTAGATCATGATGATGGTTGCACAATATTGCAACCTAAAACCAATTAAATTATATATGTGGAAATTGTTCAAATGGTGAATTTTATGATATGTTAATTTTATTTCCATTTAAACAAAATCCACTTCACCCTCCAAGGCCTTGAAGGAGTCCATCTGAGGCAAGCTGTCCCAAGGAAGCTCTATGTGGCTGGGAGGGCTGGCTGAGGGAATGCAGAATGGCTCTGAGGTGGACAAGAAGAACTAACACTTTGATGGCTGAGAGCTGACCCACTGTGCCCCAGACGATGCACGGCAGAAGCCCTTCCTCTGGAGCAGTGGGCATGAAGGGGCAAGTGCCTGTCCCCAGTGAGGTGGGCAGGTGAGGCTTGAAAGAAAGGTGGCAAAGGAGACGCACAAGGAGACCCTCCTCCTAGGGTAGGTTCTACAGCAGTGGGCAGGAAGGTCATTTCCATGGAAGAGCCGTAGGCTGGGAGAAACAGGCAGGTGCTGCAGCCCCTGGTCCTTTACTGGGCTGGCAAGTGCATTTCTCTCTCTGGATGATCCACAAAACAAGGAGTTTGGACAGAGCTTTGGCCCTCTCTGCTTGGCGGCCCACCATGTGGACCGACAGGTCAGGGTGAGGGGTTCCCCCACTAAGCCCAGTAGGTCTGGAGACACGTCTTCCATGAAGACACTGATCCACAGAAAAAGAGTGTTGAAGGTCCCAAAGAAGAAGAGAAGGCATTTAATGAAGCTTTGTTCTGCAGTGCCCTGGGCACTTCCAGTAAGCATCAGGAAAAGAAACGATGGGGCGCTCAACAGACAATTCAAAGGGTTCAGCCTGACACAGAACTTTTATTTGGGTCGGCTCTTAAAGATCACCTCATTCCACCCAACCTGTGCAAGACTCAGTGGAAAGCCTTTGGTCTCCACCTGGATGGCTCAGCTTTCAGAGAGTCCTGCCTGGACCACGAAAGTCCCTCGAGCCTCTGGCCACATCTCCCAGGAGCCCCAGTAGGCTTTAGAGCCAAGCACATCAGAGTCCATCCAGCCTGGAGAGGTGCAGCCTCCTGTGGGGTCGGCCCCGCCCTGCCAGGTTCAGAGCCTGGAGAAGAGGAGGAGGGAAGCAGAGAGGGATCAAGGAGGCAGGCAAGGGGTGAGGGAGGATTTGAAGAAGAGGAGAGAGAAAAAAAGAGAAAGAGAGCACGTGAGAGGGAGCAAAAGACCATCTGAGGGAGGGAGGGAGGCAGGGAGGGGCTCAGGGAGATTCTAAGGGAATTATCTTGTAAATATTTGCTCGTTGTAGTGAGTCCCGCAGAGATTCCGATAAACCTCCCTCCAGGGAGAGGGGGGAGCTCCCAAACTCCCTCTCCCACTGTGAATCACTGATCATGGAAAAAATCATGAAATTTGAAATCACAGGCCACTATAAAACACTTATTTCCTGTGATTCTTTGGGGCAGCAGTTCAAACTTTTTGGTCACAGGATGTCACTCTTAAAAATTATTGAGGATGCCTGGGCCGGGCGCGGTGGCTCACACCTGTAATCCCAGCACTCTGGGAGGCTGAGGTGGGTGGATCACGAGACCAGGAGATTGAGACCATCCTGGCTAACACGGTGAAACCCCATCTCTACTAAAAATACAAAAAATTAGCCGGGCATGGTGGCTGGCACCTGTAGTCCCAGCTGCTCGGGAGGCTGAGGCAGGAGAATGGCGTGAACCCAGGAGGCGGGGCTTGCAGTGAGCCGAGATGGCACCACTGCACTCCAGCCTGGGCGACAGAGTGAGACTCTGCCTCAAAAAAAAAAAAAAAAATTATTGAGGATGCCAAAGAGCTTTTATTTAGGTGGCCTGCATCTATGAATTTTTACATTAGAAATTATAACTGAAGCATTTAAAAATAATTATTTAGTAATTTTAAAATCACAATAAGCCCAATAAATATTAACATAAGTGACACATATATAGCAAAAAAAAAAAAAAACTATAACTTCCCAAAAAAGGAAAAGTGACACTTTTAGATTTTTGCAAATCTCTTTAATGCTTGGCTGGATTCTCATATCTATTAATACCTCAGCATTCAAACTGCTGAGACTCCTCATTTTGATTGATGTCTATGAAGAAAATCCAACCAGATATGTAGTTGGAAAGGGAGGCCTATTTTAATACACTTTCAGATAACTGTGAATATCCTTCTTTGATACTACATCAAAACTCAACAAGTAGTAGTTCTTAACTTCTTAACAGTAAGTTGCAATGTGAAATCTGAAACCAGATCAATGAACATTTTGTACTCTGCTACATTAAAATTCATTGTTCTATCTTGCAGTTTGAATGAATCTTTCACCCACGTATGATTCTGTAACAGTTGCATTGGTCATTTGGAAAATTTTTGTTCAGTCAGTTACGTAGATCTTCCCAGATGTTGACACATTTCACAATGCCCTACCAAAAAATTACACTCATACATTAATGTCACCATCAGCCTTCTGTAAGCAGGTAGGGAGATTGAGCAATCTGCCTGCTTTACAGCTTTCTGTCTTACAGCCTGTTTTTTTCAAGCTCTGTGTAGTAGGCGGTCATCTAGTGGGCTAAAACCAGCTCCTGACAGAGCCCGGCAACTTACAGATGAACCCCAATGAACTTTCCTCATGACCATGCTAAAGCCTGCACCCCAGGAGACCTGTAGCTTCATTACCATAACATGCAACCTATGTGCTGGCACCATGACTCACAGCATCTGTGCCACCGGGAACCCTCCTCTACATGCGATGTTGCACCCTCTCCCCTCTCCATTGCCCCATAAAACCCTCCTGTCACTTTCCCTCAGGGAGACACTGCTTTGTCCCAGTGCTCCTGCTTGTGACAAGTAATAAAATTCCTATTGATCAAAACCTGCATTCTCATGGAACGTCGTTTGTTATTCACCATGTGAACAAATCCCAGAGTTTTGGGGGAGTAACACTTTCAGTACTGGGAAGCTGGAAGTTACTTCTCAAAGTTTTCTAAAACTCCAATTTCTGCTTGAAAAGCTCAAATTTTTTGATTGGCAGCAAGTGGTATTTCAAGCCATTTTCCTTGAAATGGCAGGCTCACTCTTTCATTTTTAAGAAAATATCTGCCCAATGCCCAGGTCAAATAACTATAGTTTTGTCAGTCATTCTTTAAAGTAAAAACAGTATTCCATGGAAAAAAAAAAAAAAAGCAGCTAGTTCGGTTTGTCACTTAAGCAGTGACTCCAGTGCTTTTCCTGGAGACAATCATCATTTTGTGATGTGCAGCAGAGGTGCACTATGCATACTTCCCATTTCATCACACAGAACATTCTCAACACATGTACAGGAGGATTCAAACTAATCCTTTTACTGCTTCATCAAGGACACTCTTAAATGAAACTGCCTTTTTATTTTTAACTGTGAGTGCATGCAATCTAAAAAACACAACAAGAAGCACAATTTAGTGCCAAGGCCTTTTTTTTTTTTTCTTGAGATGGAGTCTCACTCCAGTCATTCAGGCTGGAGTGTGATGGTGTGATCTCGGCTCACTGCAACCCCTGCCTCCCAGGTTCAAGCGATTCTCATGCCTCAGCCTCCCGAGTAGCCGCGACTACAAGTGCCTACCACCTAGCTTGGCTAATTTTTGTATTTTTAGCCTGACCATGTTGGCCAGGCTGGCCTCAAATTCCTGACCTCAGGTGGTCTGCCCACCTCGGCCTTCCAAAATGCTGGGATTACAGGTGTGAGCCACCACACCCAGCCTGCCAAGGCCTCGATTAGTGATCAGGTGCCAGTAGTATTAGCTGCCATTGCTGTTGTACCATCAGTACAAATGTCCAAACAGTAAAAAAGGCAGATAGCCTCTTAGTGTTGTTGTGAAGGAGTTTTGACCTTCTGACCTGCTCAAAGAGTCTTGAGGATCCCCCCAAGTTCCATGTACAACACTTTAAGAACTTCTTAGGGGCCAGTGAGGTCCTCACACTTGTAATCCCAGCAGTTTGGGAGGCTGAGGTGGGAGGATCGCCTGAGGACAGGAGTTCAAGACTAACCTGGGCAATATAGTGGGGCTCCATCTCTACAAAAAATTTACAAAATTAGCCAGGTGTAGTGGTGCATGTGCCTGCGGTCCCAGCTACTCGAGATGCTGAGGTGGGAGGGTTGCTTGAGCCCAGGAGTTTGAGGCTGCAGTGAGCTGTGGTCGTACCACTGCACTCCAGCCTGGGCAACAGAGCAAGACCCTGTCTCTAAAAAATAAAATAATCTCTTAGGAAATTCATTTAACATTTCTGCCTCAATTTCATCATCATAATATCTACCTTACAAGGGGTTGCTGTGAAAATTACCGAGATAGAACGTTGAGGTGCCTGGCACATAGTATGCTGATTACATGTGAGTTTCCTTCCCCTGCCCTCCCCTCTGTGCCCACTCTGATGGATCTAGTGAACTCCTACTGACTCTTCAATACCCAGCACGGTTGTCTCTCCTCTGGTAAGACTCCCCTGACTCTCCCAAAAGAGGTAGCTGATCTCTCTTTGGTGCTCCCTAACCATGCTGTGACCACATGTGCAGGACAGCCGTGTAGCAGTGTGCTTCTAGCTCTGAACCCCCAACTGGGCTGGGAGTTTCTGGCGGCAAACACCATGCCTTACTCACATTACTAACTGTAACCCTAGTCTATAGCGAGGTGGCCAGTAATCGGGTGCTGAATGAATGGGTCCTTTTCTTTCCACGTTGACTGCAAGTTGACTTCCTCACAAGAGGATAGAAGCGCTGTTTCCAGGGAACGCCCCAAGACTTCATTCATGGTGTGGCTGTTTGTCAGCGGAGGGAGGAAGAAAGGAGGCGCCATGTGGGGGAAGGGTCCTGGCTGAACCACTTTGAATTCTGTGTGGCCCATATTGGTGTGGCTCCAGCAGGAGTCAGACACACCGCTTTGGAGTCACTCAACTAACAGCCACTACTATGTGACCTTAGGGAGGACTCATAACCTCTAGGCCTTGCTCCTCAGCAATCAGTGGATCATAATAAAAGTGTCTGCTGCACAGGGTTCTGAGGGGGCCTGAGATGCAAGCTACGTGTCCACTTCCCCTCCCCTATCACAGATCAGCTTCCTGTGACCTACAGGAGTAACATGGAAAATTCCATCTGCAGCCTCTCATGAGTTGCACACTTGGAAACTCATTTCCTGGTGCTCCAGGCTTCCTTAACTGAGCGATATCTGTGTGCCAAGCCCTGTGCTAAATATCTTTTAATCATTTTCCACTTCCTACCTTCCCTGTAGATGAGGAGAATAAAAGCTCTCAATGAGATTTCACTAAGTCCTGGTTAGAAGGGCCAACTCTGGGACCCTCTGGGTAACATGAAGGAAGGGGTCACTCATGGGTGCTGCAGCCCCAAAGAGGAGAAAGAAAGAAACGAAACATTCACTAAGCACAATCACGTGATTTACAGGCACCAAGAAAAGGGAAGGCACATTGATAATTAGGAAACTGTTAAGAAAATAGTTCCTCATCATGGATTTTGGCCTGCCCTGTTCCTGATTATTAATTTAGGCCTTGAGAGATGTGGCTTTATGCATGTAATTTAACAGAAGTTGAAGATACAGGAGAGCTCACAGCTTATGCTGGGTGAGGAAAGGGGGCCATGCCCTCTTCCCAAACTGCTCTGAGGAACTGGGGACCAGCAACAGGTGTAAGATTCATGATGAAACCCTGAGGGTTCCTCTAGACTGAGTGACTCAGCCAGTTACAAAAAGACAAATAGTGTGTGATTCCATTTATATGAGGTACCTAGGGTAGTCAAAATCGGCTGGGCATGGTTGCTCACGCCTGTAATCCCAGCACTTTGGGAGGTGGATGCGGGTGGATCACCTGAGGTCAGGAGTTCCAGACCAGCCTGACCAACATGGAGAAACCCTGTCTCTACTAAAAATACAAAATTAGCCAGGCGTGGTGGCACATGCCTGTAATCCCAGCTACTCGGGAGGCTGAGGGAAGAGAATCACTCGAACCCGGGAGGCAGAGGTTGTGGTGAGCCAAGATCACACCATTGCTCTCCAGCCTGGGCAACAAGAGAAAAGCTCTGTCTCAAAAAAAAAAAAAAAAAAAAAAAAATCATACAGAAAGTAGAACTGCAATTACCAGGGGCGGTGAGGGAGGGGAATAGGGAGTTAGTGTTCAATGGGTATAGAGTTTCAGCTGGGGAGGATGACAAGTTCTGGAGATGGTGATAACTGCACAATGATTAATGCCACAGAACTGTATACTTAAAAATGGCTAAGATGGTACATTTCATGTTATGTGCATTTTACCACAATTTTTTTTAAGTCCAGGTGGGAAATGGAATGGACACAGGTGGTGGGCCTGAGGTCTACTGGCCAGTATCGGCTTGGCGAATGGGAAGCAGGAGGAGCAGAAGATGTCTCCCAGTCTCGGATGTCCCTCCTAGAGAGGGGACAGAGAGAAGGAGAGGAGTTGCGGTGTCTCAGACTCCCAGTGAGAGAGACAGAGAGACAGCTGCATCTGCCCATGAGTCAGGCAACAGGAGTTACTCTCAGAAGCTGCAGGGGGCTTTGGATCCTGCAGCAGCCTAGATGCAGACTCTTGCTTATCCCCCAGATATTTATTGAGGGCTTACTTTGTGCAGGGCGTTTCTTGACGGCCCCATTAGAATACACATAAGACCAAGAAAGTGACAGAAATTCAAAGAATCAGCAGAAAACCCAAAGGCAGCAGCAAGTGAAAGGAGAAAAGATGGCCCTAGCGTGGGCTGAAGGAAGGCCTGTATTACCTCTTGGTACAGACACCCCCAAACAAAAAGCAGAGGTAGATGGTCATTCTGACACCTGCCCTGCCATGGTGTTCTCAGGCCTGGACACCCCAAGAACTGGGCAGCTGTCTCCCCTATCATCAGCAGAGCACTGCTCCTCTCCCCGTCAACCACCCTCCACCCCACCTTCCTAAATCCTAGCTGGAACCACAGAAGTGGCCAAAAAGGGAGGGAGCCAGGGTGAAATGCACTTCAAGAAGAGTAGTCTTTAAACTCAGAAGGCCTGGGGAAGATATTTACATTAGAACTGGGGAAGATATTTACATATAATTTTTACTTGCCAATTAAAGAAAAACAAACAGAACTGGAGAAGATACTAGAAACATCTATGACAAAAACGGTAACATTCTCAATACATAAAGAGCACTTGCAACTAATGAAGAAAAAGACAAACATGCTCCACCATGGGCAAATGAAAAAGTAATTCAGTAAGAATAAATACGAATAGGTGATAACAATGAAGTATCACAAATACTATTTGAACCTTAAGAAAGTGTTGGCTTGGCGCGGTGGCTCACGCCTGTAATCCCAGCACTTTGGGAGGCCAAGGCGGGTGGATCACGAAGTCAGGAGATCCAGACCATCCTGGCTAACATGGTGAAACCCCGTCTCTACTAAAAATACAAAAAATTAGCCTGGCGTGGTGGTGGACGCCTGTAGTCCCAGCTACTTGGGAGGCTGAGGCAGGAGAATGGCGTGAACCCGGGAGGCAGAGCTTGCAGTGAGCCGAGATCGCGCCACTCCACTCCAGCCTGGGCGACAGAATGAGACTCTGTCAAAAAGAAAAAAAAGAAAGAAAGTGTCAAAGATTTACAGGACAATGCTGTGTGTTAGCAGGATTATTAGAAAAATAAGCCCTCATACTTGGCTGACAGGAGGATAAAGTTGATACAGACTTCAAGAACAATTTGGGAAATGCAGCAACGCATTAAATCTGTCTATAACCTCTGACATAGCAATTCATCTTCTGGTATTTACCCAAAGGAAATAATTAAATATGTGGCCAAAGATGTAGTCACCAGAATATGCCTCACAGTGACTGTATAATTTAAGCACTGGATATAAATATAAACACTTATATAACCTAAATATTCATCAGTAGGGGGTTGAGTAAATTAATGATGGTGCATCCATATAAGAAAATATTACGCAGATATTTATAAAGGTGTTATAGAAGAATACTTACTGACATAAAAAATGACCCTGGATTTTTTTTTAATTAATTAATTGATGTTTTTGAGACTGAGTCTCATTCTGTCATCCAGGCTGGAGAGCAGTGGTGAGATCTCGGCTCACTGCAGCCTCCACCTCCTGGGTTCAAGCGATTCTTGTGCCTCTGCCCCTCAAGTAGCTGGGATTACAGGCACACACCACCATGCCTGGCTAATTTTTGTATTTTTCAGTAGAGACAGGGTTTCACCCTGTTGGCTGGCCTGGAACTCCTGGCCTCAAGCAATCCGCCCACCTCAGCCTCCCAAAGTGCTGGGATTACAGGCGTGAGCCACCACACCCGGCCCCCTGGTTTATTTTTCAGCAAATGTGCAAACATTTGGGAAAAAAAAAATCTATGATGGGATTACTTCTGGTGGAGAAATGGGGCTGGCCAGGTGCTATTTCTTGACCTGTTTGACCTGGGTGATATTACATAGTTATTCTCTTCACACACATATTTATTCTCAACCGTGGCATGATTACTATGTGGGCTGAATCACTCTGTGGTTGGTGTGGGGGACCTCCCCTTGCACTGTGGAATGTCTAGCAGCATCCTCAGCCTCTACCCTGTAGATAAACACCCTGTGCCCCCAACCCCTGTGGCAACAACCCAAAATGTCTCCAGACATTGGCAAATGTCATCTGAGGAAAAAACTGCCCCCAGTTGAGAACTACTGTATTAAATCATATATTTATATCTTCTGCACTTTCCTTGTATGTTAAATTTTATAACTAAAATTTTTAAGAAAAAAAATCTTGGAGGAAATGTGTCAAATTGTTAACAAGTTAATTCAAAGTGGCAGGATTTGGGGCTATTTTTTACTCTTGCCTCATGGCCTTTCTGTAGTTTGTCATTTTTAACAGCAAGTACATATTATGTTTATAAAAAGAAAACAGGCTAGGCGGGGTGGCTGACACCTGTAATCCAAGCACTTTGGGAGGCCAAGGTGGGTGGATTGACTGATGTCAGGAGTTTGAGACCAGCCTGGGCAACATGGTGAAACCCCATCTCTACTAAAAATAAAAATAAAAATTAGCCAGGCATGGTTGCAGGTGCCTGTAATCCCAGCTACTCGGGAGGCTGAGGCAGGAGAATCACTCGAACCTGGGAGGCGGCGGTTGCAATGAGCCGACAACGTGCCATTGCACTCCAGCCTGGGTAATAAGAGTGAAAGTCCATTTCAAAAAAAAAAAAGAAGGAAGGAATGAAGGAAGGAAGGAAGGAAGGAAGGAAGGAAGGAAGGAAGGAAGGAAAGAAGGAAGGAAGGAAAGAAGGAAGAGAAGAGAAAGCTCTTTTCTTTTTTTTTTTTTTTTTTTTGAGATGGAGTCTCACTCTGTCACCCAGGCTGGAGTGCAGTGGCTCAATCTTGGCTCACTGCAACCTCCGTCTCCTGGGTTCATGCCATTCTCCTGCCTCAGCCTCCCGAGTAGCTGGGACTACAGGCACCCACCACCACACCCGGCTAATTTTTTTTGTATTTTTAGTAGAGACAGGGTTTCACCATGTTAGCCAGGATTGTCTCGATCTCCTGACCTCATGATCCACCCGCCTTGGCCTCCCAAATTGCTGGGATTACAGGCGTGAGCCACCACGCCTGGCCGCTGTTTTCAATATTTTAAGTCATTTGTAATATGTAAACAGCTAGGTTCAGAGAGTCCGGGGCCTTCAGCCCACTTTCCCTACATAGGTGAGTTAAGAGTGTTCCCTGACGACAGGAATCCACCTCCAACTAGTTCTATAAGATCCCCCAACTCCTGCCCCAAATCTAGAGACCCCCAGGAGATCAAGAAGAGAAGAGGTGGGAGGGGGAGGCTGGAGGAGGAGACGCCCTGACAGGATGAGAGAGAGGGAAGTGTCAGTAATGACTTCTGGGTTCCTGGCTGATGACACAGGGCAGAAATTCACCAAGTGGGGACGCAGCAGATCTGGCCTTCAAGGAAATAAGATGTTTCAGCTTTAAAGCAGTAGGGATCTGGTTTTGTTCTTGTATGCATCCAAGCACCTAGAAAAGCACCAGGCACGTAGTAGGTACTCAGTAAATATTTGTTCAATGAACTAACTGCATGAATAGAGGGATATAAATAATCACATTAAGGAATGGAAAATGGGCAGGGCAGAAAAGAAGTACAGACAATTAAATGCTATAGGAAATTAAGCTGCTCGTTGACACAATCAGTCAAAAATATCTACTATGGCCCAGTTACTCATGGTAGTTTTAGTTAATGAATTAATTAATAGAAAAACAAAAGAATGAGAAGTATTCATTAGTAGCCTCTACTATTAATAGAGGTGCTTAGACAGGGAAGCCAAAAAATTGCCCTCAGAGTCCAGCCTCCCAGAGCTCATAGTCTATTTTGGGAGGCAGGTCCTGAAATTACATCCGAGACAGGGAACAACTGCAAGGAAAGTGGGGCCAGCCCAGCCCCATACATTTCAGGCTGCCTGTAGGAGCCAAACACACAGTGCAGGCTGGCTTCTCTGCAAGCAGGCCACTGTCCCATCTGTGCCATGAGGAGCTGGGCTCAGTGGTTCTCAACCCTGACTGCACATTCAAAACACCTGGAAATTTGACAGAAACAACACCTATGCCTGGGGCCCCACCGGAAGGGATCTGGCTTCAGAAAAGGCAGGCAGGGAGGTTGGCAGTGGTCTTTGGTGAAGCTCCCACACACAATGTTGACCTGCAGCCAGAGTTGAGTCCCCCCAGCCTACATGCTCTGTAAGTTCTGAACCTGGTTCTAACGGTTTCCCTCCTTAGGCATCAACTCAGCCCCAAACTCCCCAGTGAATGCTCCCGCAATGGGGAGCGCATTAATTTCACCTGCCATCACATCTCAGACCCATTTTTCCCAAGATGCGGTTCCAAAATAACCTGCATCGGGTATTTGTTAAGTGCTGATTCTTAGGTCACCTTCCAGACCTGCTGCATCGGAACCTCTACAGATGGGGACTCTGGAATCTGTTTCTCAAACACGTTCTACAAGTGATTCTCAGGAACAATCAAGTGAGCGGACCATGTCCCAGACTAAATGAAGCTCCCAGGCACACCTGGAGGATGGCTAGAGGCTGGGCCAGAAAGCGCACAAACACTAGAGAGCACCTACTTGTGCTCAGCACTGGGACAAACCAATGAACAAATAGGACAGGTCACTGCTCTCAAGGCACCTAAGCATGGAGCTGAGCACAGGCCAGTCAGGGCGAGGGTGCTAGCATCCCTAGCAAGGTGCTGCTGCTTGTCATCCAGAGAGGAGAGACTCTTGAGAGCCAGGGGGATCCAGGGTGTCCTCCTGGAGAAGGTGGCATTGCCCTGGGCTTTGAAATACAAATAGACTTGAAACGGTTGGAGATGTTACATTCTATTGTATGGTATTTCTGTTTTCCGAGGAGATCATCAGTGCAAATAAATAGTAAGGCATTACAAAGAAGGAATACAGAGATCTGGGGGGAGATAGCAGCTGCACGTGTTCGGGGTACTTGGGCGAGGGCAATAGTAAAGAGGGGCCTCAAGGGATTTGGTCATCTTCCCGACTCAAGGGCAATACCCACTCCAAGCGCTGGTAGCTCCCTGCCATGACCACTGACCTGAACACATTTAACTTCCCTGGGTTTCAATTTCCTTATTTGCAGAATGGAGACATTGGTAGCCACCACAGGACTGTTACAGGACAAGGGAAAGAGCTGTGAGCAGACCCAAACGAGTGTTAGAGCATCCAGAGCCCTATGCTAATGTGTGCCCTGCCCAGTGTCCTTAGGGAATTTCTTTTCCAGCCAATGGTGACACCGCAATTTCTGCATAGCAAAGCCTTAGGCAGCATCAGGTGGACACTGGAGAAGGAAAGACTTTGTCTTGAAGTTGCTCTTGCATAGTGAACTCCCAGGCATGTCACCAATCAATGAAAATAGTGAAATTTTCTTAAACGTTTCAAATCACATCTTTCAAAAGAGGAATACATATAACTTGTCCCACAGCAAAGAATAAAAGCTACACATAAATCTCCCTTTGCCAAATCATGTCTTTCATCTATCATTATCTTGGGGGTGCTTGGAGATATGATTCAGATCATGGGTCAGACTGAAAAGAGTTCCCTTGGTGCCTGCACTGAAGGAGGCTTATGAAAACACCAGCTACTCTTCCTTCTTCATTTGACTATCTTTTCTGATACGTAGATTTTTATTATTATTATTATCGATTCCACAAAGCTACAGGGTATGGCTCCTGGCTAAGTGGAAACCCTCTTTCCTCTCCTGATTTATCTTTCTCTGCAGAACTGGGGTCCTGACTCACAGCTATTGTTCCTTCTCTTAATTTTGACAGATCCTTCCTCTTCCCTTTCCCCTCCTGAGACACCCGCTCCAGTGGGAATCTGCCTTGGAGGGGTTGGGGGAGGGGGTTCAGGACGCCTGGTGAGAAGAGGAGTGTGTGTGTGATTTCTCTGCTGCCCCACACAGAAATACCTGTATGTATTCTAAGCACTACATGTAGGGACTTAGCTTCTTGAATTTAGAGAAAATATCCTTGACATTCCTCAAAACTCCTTGTGTCAAGGCCATTTCCATCCTATTCTGTTCCTTTTCCTACTGATTAAGACGGGGCAGATTCAATACAGCCAATGTTGGATAAAGATGGGTGAATGAATGAATGAATGAATGAAAAAAGACACAACTTTCAAAGCACATCATCTACACGCCCCGTTTTTCAGAGGCCCTGATTCCTCTCTACCTTCTGCACCCATCTTCCAACTTACCCTTATCCCCACTACCCAGTAAAAGCTCGGACTTTATTTCCTCTGGGTGTCAGTCTTAGAAAAGTGATAACCGCTGACCTACGGCACTTTCGCTTTTCCAATTTTTCAAAGCCCTGTGGCATTTATTGTGCTCTGCTTATTCCTCATCGCCCCCCTGCAGAAGTCGGGGCTGGGATTTCCGTCCCTGCTGACAAAGGGAGAAACTGTGGCCTGGACTAGGGTTAGCTCCGGAGCAGGGGCTTCAGACCCGCCAGTGAGCGCCGAGAGTCGGGTAGCACCCGAGCATGGGCGCGGCAGCCACGGGGCTCTCACCTCGGAAAGTCAGGCTTGCGACAGGGTCGCTGCGCCGGTCCTTCTTCGCACTGGGGAGGTTGCTGGCCCTCACCAGCAGGCAGCACAGCATGGCTGGGCAGCCCCGGCGGCACACAGGCGCGCAGTCAGGGCGGGAGCGGGAGCACCGGGCCCGAGCACCCACCCAGCAAGCGCCCGGCTCCCAGGCAGCCGCGCCAAGAGAGCTGTCGCCTTCGCTGCTCCTCCGCGGAGAAGTGACCAATGCCTGGGAGAGGCTGCAGGGAGGACACCGGACACCCGCTGGGCGGACCCTCCCCCTCCGGCCCCTACCCAGATCCGCCCTGCCCGCGGCGGGCGGGGAGGGACAGGGGTCAGACGGGCGCCTGTGGGGGTGCTGGTCCCTAGCTCCGCGGGTCCCAGCTCCCGGCCAGGAACGAGGCGCCGCTGACGCGGGCGCGCAGCTCGGCCTCCGAGAGCGCACAAGGCGCCGTGGGGCCTGCTCCGCGGGGGCCTCCGGTGACCAAGGCTCCACACCAGCCAGGGATCCCGGGCCCGGTGCGCACCGGTGCCGACTTGGCAGCCGCCCTGTGCGCTCGACGAAAGGGTGAGAAGGAGGCAGGAGTGCAGGCGGAAGGAGTGGGCAATCAGCGGCGGGGACGAGAGTGTGTCTTCGGGGAAACCAAGTCTGAGTGAGCGCTGAAGGGGGAGTGTGCGGAGCGTGCCGTGCACCCCGAGCCCCCCGCCTCATTGCCTCTCGCCTCTCTCCACCTGCCCCATGATCTGCGCCAGGGAGCCGGTCCTCTCCCGTCCGCAGGCTGTCTAGGTGGCCGTTCTGGTTTGCTGGGACCCCCGGGTCGGGAGAGACTCCGAGGTTCGAGTCCCCACCAACCCTCCTCGGAGCCTTCTCCGCAGCGGTGTCGAGTCACTCATCTCTGGAGGCAGAGATCTGTATTCAAATCATACTGCGTTCCCTGGAGAACTAGGGTCCAGCTGCGGCCCATTCTGTCCCCTGCAAGTCCCCCATCCCCAACAATCTCTACACTCCCTAGTCTCCACAGTGGAAAGCTGTTCAAGGTGTAAGCCATGAACGGTGACAGTCGTTTCGCTTATTATGTCTGGTTCCTTTCCAGCGTATGAACTTCTTGACACAGGGGCCCTGGCTTCGCACTTCTATCCCCCAGCACTCCAGCACCTAGCCCCTGTCAGGGCACTGTCCGTCTTCCCACCGCCCAAGTCCTCACTAACCAACCTGCTCACTCAGCCTAAACGCACTGCTGCGCAAAATCTCAACTCCCTTTCCCCTCTCTTATTTTGAGGGATACAGCATTCTCACAGGGCTAAGCCATAACCCTGGCGAATCCAACTCCGCCTCCTCCACACCTGCCCCCAACCAGTGCTGTGTTGGAGAGTAACACAGCCGGCCTGAGTGGTGCCTTTTGTAGTCATGACCCTTAACTCAAGCGAGCCCTCACTGCTGGGGGCAATCATACTATATGTCTTGTCTCCCTGTCTCCCGGATGCCCCTAGGACACCCCATCGCCCAACCTCACTCTCAGTTTGCTTCCTCTTTACGGAGCAGAGAACTTCTTCAGGTCCCCAGTCTCCTTCTAACGCCCGCCCTCGGCATCTGTGCCCAAATCCTGTGAGTTCTCTCCTGTTCCTACAAATGAATCACCCGTACTCCCCACTGGTAACAACTGGACACTTGGGCATAGACCCCATCCCCTCTCGCCCATTCAGTGGTGAGCCTGCAGTGATTCTCTCACTCTCTTGCCTTACCAAGTTCCCCTGTTTACCGGATCATCCCATCGGCACACAAGCATGATGTTATTGCTCTCAAGAAAGCACACCGTTGACCCCACATCCCCTTCAGCTACTGGTCATTTCTCCCTTTTCACAACAATGCCCTTTGAAGGAGCTCTCCATACTTTCTGTCTCCAATCTCCCTCCTCCATTCTCTCTTGAACCCACCCAGTGACACCTTCAACCCCACCAGGTCACCAAAACTGCAAATCCCCCTCCCACTCTCCTTCAAAATATGTCCAAAATCCCACCATATCTCACCATCTCCATTGTAACTGCCCCCAGTGGAAGCCTGTCATCCCTTGCCTGAGTCATTTAATCGACTCCATGGACTCCCAATGCGTCTCCTGCTCTGCCCTTGTCCCCATGGTCTATCCTCAATTCAATTCTCATGACCTGGTTCTACTCAAAGTCTTCCGTTGGCTCCCATCTCACTCAGTGCAAAACTCAAAGGCCTTACGTGACCTTGAAAGCCCTGGCTGACCTCGCTGACCTCCTCTCCAGCCACTCTCCCCTTACGTGACCTTGAAAGCCCTGGCTGACCTCTCTGACCTCCCCAGGACCCATGCTAGCCTTCCAGCTGTTCCCCAGACAGGCCAGACCAGCGCCTCCCCAGGGTCTCTGTCAGCTGTTCCCTCTGGCTGGCATGTCTTCCTTTCCTTCAGATATCAACTCCAGTGAGACCAACCCGGCCACACAACTGAACACCACAACTTTCCCTCTTTCATCTCCCTTTCAGGCTTCTTCTCTAGCACCAATCACTGTATAGCACATGTGTCTTAATTGTTTTCTGTCTTCCCCATCAGAATGTCTGCTCCAAGGAGCCAGGGGTTTTTGTCTGTTTTGTCCACTGCTGTTTCCTCAGTGCCTGAAACAGCACCTGGTGCAAAGCATGGTCTCCATAAATTCTTTCTAAATGATGGACTGAAAGAATAAACATTCACCCATCACCTCTGACTTGCTGGGAATAAGTCACATCCCTGCCCTCAGGGAGCTTCCAGTCAAGGGGTAGAGACCACAGAGGGTGGCAACCACATCTACAGCTCCCAAGAAGTGGAAGGTCGGTAAAGGACAGAGCTAGGATGAGCATGGGGGTGGGGAAAAGGAAAGAGAGGAGAGTCTGAGCCTGTTCTCATCACAACGCCTTCTCTAGCTGCTTGGACCCTTGCTGCTTCCTCCCAGCTCTACCCTTCTCTTCTCCCCTCAAGATGAGGCGGACATTTGATTCCCTCAACATCCATCCAGACCCCCTTCCCTTCTAGCAGAACCTGACTGCTCAGTTATGCAGCCCCAGCTCCAGGATGGATCCCACTCTATCTGAGCATATTTCTTGGCAACGGCTATTGGTCTAGCTAGAGGTATGTGTCCTAAGTTGTTCCCCTGGAAAGACAGATTTATATGCCATGAATAGAGAAGCCCAACTCCCTCTCCTGCTTTGTGTGCATAAGGAAGCTTGCAGATCCAATTGCTGACCAGTTGAGGACATAGCAGACATCATGGACAGCAGATCAGAGAGAAACATGGAGCCTGCCTGGGTACAGGATGATACTATGGAGTTGCTGGCAGCAGCGGCCCATCTGGAGTGGCCACTGCCAAGACGTGGGCTGCAGTGGAGAGTCTGGCCAGTGTTGTGCACTCTGCAGAGCCGGTGGGGGCTGGGAACAGGTGGGAGCCCCGCCCCCTACCAAGTTGGTGGGGTGGGAGCCCCAAGCTCCCAGGCACAGCTGCAGCCGTTTGGCTGCGGCCCCAGATCCAGGCATCCCTGCACTCTCTGGGGCCCAGGAAGCTTGCAGGCTCAGAAGTGCCTTCGCCCCATCTCTGGCCTCTCCCAACTCCAGTCACCCACTCCAGGGTGGAGCAAAGTTGTGTCCAAGCCCACATGCTGTTGCAACCCAGCCAGATGTGTGCACACTTGTGGTGGCACTGAGATGCCAGCCCCCTGCTGCCTCAACCCCCTCCAGACTTTGAGCACTGACAAGCTCAGGAGGGAAGCTGAGGGGTAGCTCCACCTGGAACTGCAAGCACCCCTCTGCATGAACAGCCTAGGTGCCCTAGACGACATGTTGATGGCAGCAGGAGGCAGACAGGCTCCTGGGCAGAAAGGGGTGGGTCCTCAGTGAAACCCCACCTACAAGCCAGGGATGGCCTGAAGCCTGGGGGCTGGGCTGCCAGTTCCAGGTGGAGTCCTCAGCCCAGAGTGAGAACTTATGGTGCTTTTTCCCCCAGCCTGCTCCTGGTCACCCATGGACCAAACAGCACACACTTCCTCCCTTCTGAGCCCATAAAATCCCAGGACTCAGCTAGACTCAGACAGATGTTGGGACTACCAGGTACAGGAAGGAACTACCCACTCCAGGTCAGGTCTCCTCCACTTGTCGGGAAGACCTGCCTGCGGTGACGAGCTACCCTATGTGGGTCTCCTCTCTGCTGAAAGCTAGACACTTATCAGGAGGACCTGCCTGCAGAAAGGAACTACCCACTTCGGGTTTCCTGAGAGCTGTTCTGTCACTCAGTGAAGCTCTCTCCACCTTGCTCACCATCCAGTTGTCTGTGTACCTATTCTTCCTGGACATAGGACAAGGACCCAGGACCCACTGAACAGCAGGACTGAAAGAGCTGTAAGACAAACAAGGCTGAAACAGCCTGCCCCCCACCCCAACCCTGCTCGCCATGTTGCAGGCAACGAGAACGAGATAAAGCTTCAGCACTTTGGGGAGCCCAGACCTAGGGGTGACATGGCTGTGACACCCTCTTTGGGGCTCTGCAGTTCCTGGTGCCTCCAAGCTTCTGGGCACCACCACATTCCCCAGTAGCCACAGTGGAAGCCCCTTCCAGTATGCCTGGCCCAGCCGCAGCCTGGCACAGAGCCAGTGCCTGTACCAGCACCTGGAGCTGCCTGCCCCACCACAGCTGGCATGCCTGGCTGTGCGCAGTGGCTGGACCCTGCACTCACTCACACACCCCTTGCTGTTCAGTGCCTGGCTCGCCCTTCGCAGGCGTGGGATCAGGGCTGGTACTGAGAGCTGAGCACAGCCTGCCAGGCTGAGTGGGCAGAAGGAGCCCAGTGGGCCCAAGCAAAATTCAGGCAAAGGTGCTACCAGCCACAGAGGTTTCCAGCTGGAAAAAGCAACACCCTTAGGATCCTGTGACAGAGTTGTATAGTCTATATGCCCAGAGCTCACTGGGTCTCTGGACACCAGTTAAGTGAGCTGATCCCCTTAAGACTACTTAGCATTTAATAAATTGATTTTCCCAAGGCTTAAACATGGGGTGTCCAGGAGGCAAACAAACCTTGCCTCTCTGCTCATTTAAGTCTATTTAAGCCAGGATTTCAGTTGCTTGCAGCCTAAATCATCCTTACTGACCCCTGTGACTTTGGTACCATCTGTGTGCCCACAGCATCCAAGTGACTCCACCAAGTCTTACCACCACCCTCTCCTGCCCAGGCCACTGCAGGTGCCTCCTAGCTGGTCAGTCGCCTCATCACATCATCACTCTGGCTATGTCTGACCCATTATCCACACTGCAGCCAGGTGATCTTAAATATGATCAGGTCAATCTCCTGCTAAAAGCCTCTTGGGAGGTTTATCCAAAGGCCTCCTGTGCTCTTGGGATGAAGCCCAGATTCATTTCCTCGGGCCAAAGGGCAAGGCCATTCCACCTCTCGCTCTCCTAGCTCTAGCTCCGGTGCCTCGTCAGTTTCTAGAATATGCCAAGCTCCCTCTCAGCTCTGAGGTCCGCTGTTCTCTCTGCCTCCAGCTGCCTTCTTCTCTTTCTTTGCAGAACCACCTATTCATACTTCAGGCCTCAGCTTAAAGATCACCTCTCCAGGAAAGCAGTCCCTGATATCCTGGGGTCTAGACGGGTCCCTCTGGCAAATGACTGCACAGCAGCCCTTTTCCTTCTTAGCACGCATCACAATGGTCAGGAATAACTATTAGCGTAATCACCCGTTTCGTGTCTAGCTAGACTGTGGAGTTGGTCAACGAGGGGAGAGACCAAGTCTGTCTTAGTGACCCAGGTATTCCCAGCGTGTAGTACAGGACTGGCCTGGCATTGGTATAGTGGACACTGCACGTGGCTCCCGGGTGTGGGTTCTGCCCACTGGTGAGTTCAGCCAGTGGTTCTCAAAGGGGATAGTACTGCCCCCTAGAGGGACTTTTGGATATTACAAAGCTTTTTTTCTTTTTCTTTTTCTTTTTTTTTTTTTTTTCCTGTCTATCACAATGATTCCTGGCTTTGCTTTTGCCCCTATCATACCCCACCCTACCCCAGCTCCAGTCCTTCAGAGTCACCACAGGAAATGGAAATCTGTAGGGGGTATAACTAATACCTCCATAGGAACATTCCAAGGGACTTCTGCCTTCCCTTGGCTTGCATCCAAGGAAAAGGGTCTCCCCACATCTGTTCTGCAAATCAGAAAAGCAACTGCTGGTGATCTGACCCCTGGACACTTCCTGAGGCCTCCTTTTCATCCCAGCCTCCAACTTCCTAGTCTGGCTGATGTTCACTGACCTGGACTTCTCCCTAATCAGATAACTGACTGTTCCCTTGCAGACTTCATACTGAGGCCTAGTAACTCAATAGGGCTTCCTCCCGAGGGGACATTATCAGGAATTAAGTTCTAATGGAGAGTGTGGCTGAGACCTGACCTCCACCTCCCAGTATATGTTCTCCCCTTCATCCACAGAAATTTTCCACAGCACTTTACTTGGGTACATGGTCACCCAAATAAAAACATTTCCCAGCCTCCCTCATAGCTGAATGTAGCCAGGAGACTAATTGATGACCAACAGAATATGAGCAGAAGGGCTGTATATAACTGCCTGGATATGTCCTTAAAGGGAAGCGGCACGCCTCCCCGGCCCCCTTTCCCCTCTGGCTGGAATATAGACAGAGGCGTGCGCCATCATGGACCACGTTGTCAAAGGGAACTTCTGGGGATAACAGAGCAATAAAACAGGAGGAGCTGGGGTCCTGGACAGCCTGTGGGTCAGAGTCTTACCAGTCAGGACTGTCTACATTCAACTATTATGTGAGTGGAGAGACCATCATGCTTATACCAATGTTAGTTAGGGCTTGTTTACAAATAGCTAGATCTGCATCCCACCTGAGGCTTCAGGTGAGGGCAGCTCCTCGGGACCCCAGGCTACTCCAGCCCCACTGTAAAGGTGATGGGGCCAGCTTAGGAGCCATAGCCTGGAAGGAAGGGCTTGAGGGGCCTGTTTGGAAACTGAGTTTCATGCTTATTGCAGTGTTTCGGGGCTGACAGAGGTTAAGGGGGAAGGGGACTAAAGCTCTCCCACTCACTCCATCCTGTAGTCACTGATGACAGGTGCTGCCTGATGAGCCCAAGGGAGAGGACACTGGCTCTCTGCCCTCCAGAGAGCCCAGGCCCAAGGTCTCCAGGATTGAATGAAATACTGTGTCTCAGAAGCGGTCACTGGTGTTCTCTGGGACACATCCAGCCCACAGACATGTTGTCTTTAATCAGTACAATGTTTTATAACAAAATTGTACCTTAAATATTAGAAGACTTTTCCGTATAAATCTGGATTTACAGCTTCTCTTGAAAAAAATCAGAGAATGTGGCACCTGGGCCTAGATTTTCCACCTAACACTGACCGTCTGGCACCTGTAGACCAGGTGTCCCCCCCTCAGCTCACTCCCAGTATGCACATAGGATTTCCCCTCCAGCTTGATCTTAGTCCACCTGCCACGTTTCTGGAAGTGCATGAGTTTGTGACCCCTGTCACTACTTATTTGTGGCCCTACCTTCCTGACCATCGAGGAAGGCATGCTTCTAATCATCTCTTGCTGCTGGAGTTGGGCCAGTTCTCCTCTGGCCACATTCTCCTAATGTTAGCTGGTCCTTTGTGTTTCCCAAGACTTAAACATGGGGTGCCAGGAGGCAAACAAACCTTGCCTCTCTGCTCAGTGACACTGACCTTTAGAGGAACATTCTACATGAGTTGACAGGACTCCTTCAGGGCATATTTGTCAATGTCCAAAGGCTTCCGGAAGTATAGATGAGGCCTTCTTCCCTCTCCCTTCACATTCATTTAAGAATATGTGTCCGGCGGATATCCCAGTCCACCAGGTGGAATTGACAGGGGACCTGTGTATCCAGCAAGAGGGTAGAACCCACATGCAGTCCTGGTTCTGACCACAGCCATGATTAGGGCCTGTCAGGGGAGAAATCGTGCATAGTGGAAACAATCAGACAGTCCTGGGCTTCTGTCCCAGGCCACCCTTTCCTAGTGGTGTGACCTGAGGCATGTGATTGGACCTTTCAGTGTCTGTTTCCACTTCTGTGCAATCAAAAGAATGAGGACAGTTTGCAGCGGTGTTGGGAGGATTAAACAAAACACTAGCAACTCCAGCACAGTGCTTGGGGCACAGCACATCCACAGTAGATGTGAACGCTCTCTCTGCTAACATCCCATGCTAGTGGACCAATCTGGAAAGAGACTAGCATGCAGGAAGTAGAGAAAGAAAGTGAGTTTGGCCTGGGGAGAGGGACTGAAGAGGTTTGTGGGCTGCTAGTGAGTCACCAGAGGAATACTTGTTCCCAGAAAGAGAAAGTACCCCAGTGAGGGCCACTGCCAGCCATCAGGCAGGTGGCCAAATGACTTCGCCTCAGAAGGGACTGCTCTAGGAGGGGCAGCCAGAGAAGACAGGCCCAGTGTCCCTGGGGGCAGACAGACGGCCACCCACCACTTGGCCTGTTGTGTCCAGCCTGGCAGGACAGTGGATGGAGAAACAAAGCTGAGGATAGAATTCACCAAGCAAAAAAGACATTGAAAGCCTTTGTGGATGTGTACAATTATTTCTTAGTACATGTACAATATATGTTAATAGTAATGATTATAATAAATTTATGTAAAAGTATATGTAATAATTATTATAGTTAACATTTATTGCTTGCCTGGCTGTTTGAAGTGCTTTATATGGACTAACACATAAACTCTCCAGAATGATTCATCCAAAGCAGGTACAAGCTATTGTTATCAACACTTTACAGATAAGGAAACTGACACAGAGTGGTTAAGTAACTTGCCCAAAGCCACATAGCTTGAAAAGTGGCAGACCTGGGATCCCGAGTTCAAGATGCAGGCAGTCCTTCTCTCCCTCTTGTTCGATGCTGTTATCCCACTGGACTGTGACTCAGGCTGCCAGCTAGCCGCTCTTCTGAGCCCCCCGCCCAACTTTCACTTTCTCCTAGACTGGCTAAGCTTGAGATCTACAGTTACATGACCCCCTCCCTGGAAGTCCCGGAGCACCTGCCATACGCACCACAGGTTGCCCACCTCAGTGCCATGTGACCATTGCCCTGGCCTTGGCTTATCAGACCCTAGGCAGCCACCATAGTCCTGTCAGAGCTGTGAGCTTGCCCGGAACGAGAGCACTGCCTGGAGGGAGCGTCCTGCATCAACTGGTGACTGATTGGTCCTATCAGATATAGAGAGGGTGAGGCAGAGAGCAAGGACCCCCTGAGATAAGAAAGCATCTGCAAGACCAGAACATAAGGGCTGAGGATGTCTGTGCTTGGGTGAGCAAGCAGCAGTAAGGACCACGCACGTGATGAGAGGAGTCAAGGTGCAGACCGAGGGGGGCATCAGGGTCTCAGCCAGGCCTGGGTTCAGGTCCTGCCCCTCCACCTTTTCTTGCTTGTCTTTGGTAAATCCAAGCTAAAGCCAGAGGTAGATAGCAGAGTGGTTAAAGCTGGGGATATTGTGGGGGCTCAGGAGCCAGATACTTAGACTCAAATCATAACCCCACTACTTACCAGTGTATAACCTCAGGCAACTTACTTAACCTCTTCATGCCTCAGTTTCCTTATCTGTAGAATGGGAGTGATGACAGTTGCTACCACATATGCTTGCTAAGAGGACTGAGGTGTATATGTCTACATATAAGGACCTGGTACAAATTATAACCGGGTCATGATGTAGCTTCTATTAATGTTCTAGTTAGAACAGTATCTGCCTTAAAATAAGCATGGTGTCAGTTAAATAGATCTCTTTCATAGGACTGTTGGTGGGATTTTCAAGAAACACCACCTGACAATGGTATGCTTTTGTGCTTAGCAAATGTCCATTCCCTCTGTTTGTGAGGAACACGCATTTGAAACCCCAGAATCCTCCATCTTTTGGTCAATTGTTTCACACCATGCTCCTGCAGCCCTGCACTCCCCCTACTCTGACTCAGCTTCTTGCTGGGGACCCCAGGCACCACCCTCCCTGGCTGGCTCAGGTCCGAGTGCCCTGGTGCCCTGGGTGTGGGCAGCATATGGTATGCTCTCCAGAGCACTTTCTTATTCATGCACCAAGGATACTGAGAACAACAGAGGGCACTGATGAGGGGTTGGGGGTGGGGATGCTGTGGCCACTATGTGACCTTGGCCAGGCTCCTTCACTTCTCTGGGCCAATATCCTTATCTTTAAGGGGGGATAATATCTTTGCCCTCTACCTCACAAAGCTTCTGTGAGCTTGCAATGAATGTATACATGCACAAAGGGGCTGTGAAGTGTGGCTACAGGGTATTATAATCATGTAACCAAAGGAGGGGCTTTATGGGACAACAGATAGAGTCTGGGAAGAGCAGACCCAGCCCAGCTGGGGAGGGAAGGCTTCCCAGACTGGTGTTTTGCTTTGAGCTGCATCCCTGAGACCGAAGTCTTCTGTGTAATCATTCACCAAGCTGACCCTGCCAGGGAGAAGGAGAGCGAGCAGGCCTGAATGTCACAGGGAGGCCAAATTTGGACATGGGTTAGGAGCTTGGCTAATGCAGGACGTGAAATGTGGCCAGGGGCTGGGGGAGGGGAGGGACTGCATTCCCCAGGACTGCCTGGCGGTTTCAGTGATGACCAGGGGTGGGGGCTCCAGCCAGTCTCTTCCTAGGCTCAGGGGCTCATGACGGATTGGCACAGAAAATGTACTTCCTTTCCCCAAGGTGAGCTGTGTGCTCTGGGCCCTGGAAAGGGGGAGCCTACCCCGAAGAGCCAGGCAGCAGGCAAAAAGCAGATGGGGGTGGGGAGAGGATTCAGCCAGGGATGTGTAAATGGGAGGATGCAGGATGGGGGGAGCTGCTCCACACACAGGCCCTTGGGGCTGAAATAACAAAAGAAAAGCCACACCAGCAGCACTTCCTGCACTTCTGGGGTTAGAAAGTGCCTGCCATTTATTATTCATTCTTTCCTTTCTCCAACCAGAGGTCTGAGCCTAGCCTGGGTGAGGGACCATGAGGTAGAAGCCTAGTGTATTGAGTGTATGGGGGTGCAGAGGGGGCATGTGGTCAGGGAAGGTGGAAGAAAATCTGGTTCAGGCTGAGTGGAAGCCAGAAACAAAGCCCCTGACAGCAGGGGCTGCTGCAGCTGAGTGTACATTTGGAGCACCAGCCCCCAGGTTCAGGGGCTATAAATGGGGAAGAGGTGCTGGCGTGGGAGGAGGCTGCTTCACCCACAGAGTGCCTGTCCTCCCTCCCCTCCGCCAAGGGGCTATTTACAGTATGAATGGTGCCCCCTGGAGTTGTGCACCAGGAGCCCAGAGCCCTCAGCCAGGCTGCTGAACAGGGCCACTGACCTGGCCTGCCCAGAGCTGAGGATGCGGAGAGGAAGCATGAAAGACTCCCATGTCCTCCCTGCTGGAAACACCTGGATAAAGCTCATTTCCGGAGGCCACGTGGGAAACTGATTGAGAGCAGATCAAAGCAGCACGTTAGGAAAAAAAGCACAGCTGGAGTGCCACAGCCACCCCCTTGGTCCCCACTCTTGGTGTACACTGCTTTCCAGGCCTCAGGACCATTCAGCAACTCCTCCTCAAGCTCTGCTCTGGTCCAACAAATCCAGAAGCCCTGAATCTCATACCCAAGAGAAGGTACTCATGACATGATCCCTTGCTCATGCTGAGCTGGACACAGGCCTGTGCTTTCGGAGCTTTTATTCCTTGGAACATCACAGGTGTCCCACACGCTCCAGGGTGTGCATGTGCCTGGGATCATATGTGCAGATGGTGTCTGTGAACAGGTGTATCCAGGAGCTTGTGAAACTGTGCTGAATGGCCAGAAACCAACTAATGCTATGATTTCTGGAAGTCTGGGATGTAGTTAGAAGTCAGATCTCTGGGGAGAAGGGGAGTGGCAGGTAGTGGAGGCTGAGAGGAAAACCCACAGGCTGGGTGGGAGGTTCACACTCTTTCCCCCTAGTTCTTCTCCCCCAGTATGGTTCCAAGCCCAAAGACCCAGCTGTGTAGATCCTAGCTCTGGCTTGGTCCTGAAGGGTTCCTGGAGAGCAGCCAGGGCCCAGCCCTCAGCTCCTGGAGGAAAAGTCAAGTCATAACTCTATGAAGGCCCTCCTATAGGAGGTCCCAATCTGATAAGGGAGTGGCTTCCCTGCTCAAGGAGGCCTCACTCTGATGATAGAAAGCAGATACGACCCCCGCTCCCTCCACCCACTGGTCCGTTGGGGGCAGGGGTTGGGGGCAGAGAAAGTCTGTAAAGGTTGGTGCTGTGACAGCTGTGCCCAGCTGCTAAATTTCCCCCATCCTGTGCGCAAAGCAAGGGTAGGGTGCCTTCGCCTCCAGTGGCTGCCAGCCTGCCAGGCCAGCCTCTGAGAGAGAGCAAAGGGCCAGGAAAGCAGCCAGGCGCAGATCGGGGCGGGAAGAGAGCTGGGTTATAAATAGGCCTGGGACCAGACCTTCAGGGGAGAAGGAGGAGAGCCCTGCAGTACAGCGCTTCGCCGCCGGCAACGCAGAAAGACCTCTTTTCAGAGATCCCGAAAAGGTGAGAGGAGAGATGCTGGTCCCACCTTCCTGGCCTACCTCAGTACCAACCTGGGCTGAAGCTTCCAGGAGAAGCGCCATTCAGACACCTCTCTCCTTCCAGCCTCAGTTTCCCTCTGAGTCGCCCTCTGCAGACCTGTGTCGTTGCAACACTCAACGTCAGTCTGGCGGGGCCAGAAAGTCTCCTGTCTCTCAGCTCTAGGTGCTCTCCAGGGTTGAGAGCCGCGGCGTCCCCTCCTCTACCCCACCCCGACCCCGGGCGAGGGTGGTCGGCCCCTCCTACCTGCAAACACCGCGGAGCAGTAGGCATCGCTGATGTCGGTGTCGGGTGTGTGGACGTTCTCGGCATAGAGGATGAAGACCCTCAGCATGCTTGGCGCGTGTAGGGCCCCGTGCGCCCAGGGCGCAAAGAGGGCTCGGAAAGGTCGGGAGGGCCGAGGCGCCGCTTGTGGGTCCCCTCGCTGGAGAGGGCTGGCTGGGCGAGGCCGGCTCGAATCTCTGGCTCCTGGCTTAGAGCAGTTGCTCTTAAAGGGGAACGGGCCACCCCCGGCTGCTCCAGTGGGCTAGGCTGGGTCCCCGCCCCGGCTGCGCTCACCCCGCTTGTCAGCCGGCGTTCCGAGAACAGGGGCTTCTGCTCATCTTCCACCCCCGCCGCCCTTCCCGAGCTCCGTCGAGCTGTAATCTAATGCTCCGGCTGCGGAGTCTCCCAATGACACGGCATTTTGCACCTGGCTGGGCGGCGGCCGCGATGGCCGGGGGCTGGACTAGGGCTCCGGGCGCCCGGCGTAGCCCAGATCTCGCTCTTGGACAGGAGAAAGGCTCGGCTCCTCCCCTGAGCTTCTACCCCCTGGCTGAGTGCTGCGCCAAATCGGTTGCCTCCTTCCGCCTCGGGGATTGGAGCAGTCTCTCCAGAACTCAACCCGACCGCCCGGGGTAGGACGGGGGATCCTGGGGAGGCCTCTTTCCCTAAGAGAAGCCTGGAGTTGAGAATTTCATTGACAAGCAAGGCAGCTGCCTTAAAAACTTTGCCCCCTTTTTCTGGCTTTAAAAGCAACACATGCCATTTTAAAACAAAAAGCATAAAGAAAGAAATCTCTGGTTCTGAAAAAATAGTATATTAACATTTGGGTATTTGGCAGCCCAGGCTTTCTCCTCTGAATGTATACACACATGTAAATTGCAGTATTTATTATATATCTGAGTGTAGAATGCAGTCTGTGTCCCACGTTTTCATGTAACATCTTACATCATTAAACAATTATTCATAAACACTATTTTCAATAGCTATATAATTGTCTGTCATATGAATGTACTAGATTCACAAACTTTCTCTTGTTTCACATTTAGGCTCTCCCCAGATTCTACTATAATAGTGAGAAAGGGAGTTTCTTTTTAATAAAAAAGATATAAACTCATCTTAGCCCTCCCCCTCCCCCCACCCAGTTCTTCAGATTAGATTGTAAGGTCACAGGATATGACTTTTTTTTAGGTTCTAGTACCTATTGCTAAACTGCCTTCCTGCAGATAGATCCACACTCCCGGCAGCCTGTTGACTCACCCTCTAAAGAGGGCCAGTTGGATGGGTGTGCAGCTGTCAGCAAAACTCCCACAGCAGCCCCTGGGGGCAGTAGACACACCCAGGGCAGGATGGGCTGGCCGCTGACAGGTGGCTGATTTTTTTCCCCATAGGGAGATACTAGAAGAGAGCAACACTCCCCAAAAAAAGGTCTGTAATTTCAAGATTAGGGTAGCAAACATTTCCTGTGGTCACTTAGGGTCCTTCTGTAGTGGTCTATGCCTTCTTTTCTTTGCCTTTAGCACAACGTATGGTGGGGGGTGGGGAGAGGAAGAGGAAGAGGAAGGGGGGAGCTGAAATGCAATCATTCATTTAATGGGAGTGTGTCAAGTCCTAAAATAAGTCAGGCACTGTCCTGGGTGGGGACACAGTGGTGGGCACAAGTGACACAGTCTGTGTTATGGGCTGAATTAGGTCCTCTCGAAATTTCTATGTGAAAGGCAACTTCCAGTACCTTGGAATGTGATTCTACTTAGAGATAGCACCTTTAAAGAGGTGAACAAGTTAAAGTGAGGTCATTAGGGTCATCCAATCTGACCAGTGCCCTTATAAAAAGAGGAAATTTAGATACAGACAAACCAGGGATGCATGCACGCAGAGAAAAGGCCATGTGAAGGGCACAGGGAAAAGGCGGCCATCTGCAAGCCAAGAAGAGAGGCCTCAGAAGAAACCAAGCCTGCTGACTACACCTTGATCTTGGACTTCCAGCCTCCAGAAGTGTGAGAAATAAATTTTTGTTATTTAAGCCCCCCAGTCTGCAGTATTTTGCTATGACAGCCCTAGCAAACAAGTAGAGTCCCTAACCTCAAAGAGCTTCCACTTCAGTGAGGGAAACTGACACTTATGGAATAATCACGTCAGTCACATACCATTACAAATATGTAAGTGCCATAAAAGACAGAAAATGTGGGAGTGTGAGAACAGAGAGCAGGGAGTCCTCATCGCGTGCCCAGGACAGTAAGAGCTATTTGAGATGAGATCTGAAGGTCAGCTAGGAGTTCACTGGGCAGGACTGAGGTGGGGGCAAGGAAGAGAGTATTCCAGAGAGAAAGAAGGAAGCGCTCTGTCAAGGCCATGGGAGGAGAGGAGTGTAGATTAAGGGGTTGTGGAATGGGGCAGGCAGGCTGGAGGGCACCATGCAGGGCCTGGGGGAAGCTGCCTGAGGCCTGCTAAGTCCAGAGGAGTGGCAGGATCTGATTTACTTCTCAAAAGCTCCCTTGGGCTGCCTTTGGAGAATACAGTGCAAGGGATCAGAGTGGAAGTGAAGAGTTAAAAGCTACAGCAGAGGGTCAGAGTGAGAGTTGATGGTGACTTGGACCAAGGTTGTGAAAAGGGGGATGGCGCAAAGTAAGGCAAAGCTAGGAGGAAGAAAGGAAATTCTGCAAGAGCAGATGAAGCAATCAAGTTTCCCATTACAGAACTTGGCCATTATGTGTTGCTGGAGAAAACAGTTTTGGCTCGGATGTAGCAACTGATTGATTGACTCAGTCATTCATTCATTTACCAACATTTATTGGTACCTTGTCTGTGGCAAGCATTTTTCAGATTCAAATTTTACAGAAAGATAGCAAGGAGGGAGTAAAATTTAATTGCTTTGGGAAGAAGGGCAGGAGGCCCTGTTGATGTAGGGAAAGCCCAAATTATGGTCTATTTTTAAAGAAGTACAGTTTGGCTCTATTCAGATGTATAAAGTAACATGAACCTGCTCTGTGGCAGAGCTAAAATTGGACCTAAGAAGCAGCTAGCTGCTTGCAAATATGGTGTGGCTACAGTGATTTGAAAAGAGCCAGTTTGGCTGGGTGCAGTGGCTCACGCCTGTAATCCCAGCACTTTGGGAGGCCGAGACGGGTGGATCACAAGGTCAGGAGATCGAGACCATCCTGGCTAACATGGTGAAACCCCATGGTGGCGGGCGCCTGTAGTCCCAGCTACTCGGGAGGCTGAGCCAGGAGAATGGTGTGAACCTGGGAGGTGGAGCTTGCAGTGAGCCAAGATCATGCCACTGCACTCCAGCCTGGGCGACAGAGCAAGACTCCATCTCAGGAAAAAAAAAAAAAAAAAAGAAAAGAGCCAGTTTTCTGTATAGGTTAAACACCTTCCTCACAACTTCACTACTTTATTCATACAGAAGGCTGTCTTCAAACTTTTTCTGCACAGCCCAGTCTGTGCAGAAATAAACCTCTAGTGAGCATGTCTGCCCCCAAATTGTAGGACATGTTTGGGGTATCTTCTCTATTTAAAAGAATCACTTTCTCTGAGACTACCCAACCTGAATCAATCACATTCTCTCTCCCAAAAACGTGGAATTGGGACTGAGAGAAGCTAGCTTCTGTGTGGCTGGAGCTGAGATGAATAAAATGGGAGGCTCAGAAGGGGCCCCGCACATGAAGTGGAGAAAGTTTCGCAGTCAGAGAAAAAGAGATCACGTGTAGGGGGTGAGGTGGGGAAAACAAGATCCAGAAAGAGACCCTTCTGGTTGTTGTTCCTGGCTCTCATTCCTTGAGTCTCCCTGCCTGTGAGTGCTGAGATAGTCCTTGTGGTGGATATTTGCCATTTTTGGCTTCCAGCTTTTAATCTCCCTCTTCCTAAAACATCCTTTTCCCACCCCTCTTGGTGGGCAGAAGTGCCTGCCTTTTTTCTGGAAGCTTTAGAGATAGGGCCTCCCACTCTGTGTCACTGGGCAGTGTGGCCTAGGCTCAGACAGTTGGATGCTCTCTCCCAAGACTTGAAACAAGTTCTTGAGCTTCAGGAAGTCAGACATGGCAGCTGCCGTGTGACAGCAAATGACCAGGTAGGGCGCCTGCTGTGCGAGTCCTGTCCATAACCAAAGCCAAGTTCTCCAACCTCCCTCCATTCTGTTAGCCCCCAAAGCTCTTCTGAAATCCTCTCTTGCTTCAGATATCCAGGCTTGGCTGCTGTAGCTAGCAGCCAGGGATCCAGACCAACATGCCCAGTGTCTTTATAGTGAGTCGCTGCACATTTTACTTAGGTTAACTTGAAATGCAATTCTTTTTATTTTTAATTTTTTTAGAGACAGTCTCCCTCTGTCACCCAGGCTGGAGTGCGGTGGCAAAATAGCTCACTGCAACATCCAACTCCTGAGCATGAAGCACAGTTCTGTTTCTTGCTATAAAAGAACAAGTTCTTGTGGCCCTGATGACACTTTGATCTTGAATTTCTGGCCTCCAAAACTGTGAGAATAAATTTGTTGTTTTTAAGCCACCATGGTTGTGACAATTGGTTAGAGCAGCCACAGGAAACGAGTACACCAAGGCTTTGTCAACACAACCAACCACTGTTAAAGAGGGGTGGTTTTCAGGCCACTTTTACTACTTTACTGTTTCAGGACAGAAACGAAAGGGAGGGAGGTGGCTCTCCAATTTCACTGAGAAACTAAGGGACAAGTTTGATACTATTTTCCAACAGAAAATAGAAAAACAACAACAACAGGTTTTTCGCCAAAGAGGTAATGTGAACACACTACATTATTTCTATGTTCTCTGTCTTCTGTAAAAACCACAGATCTTTGCAAAGCTTGCTAAGGACCATAGACCCTGGTAACAGCCTGGTCATTTCATCTGCTTCCCCTAAGAAGAAAAACTAATGGTAGTGTCAGAGAGTTTCAATTTCCCAAGAATCTACCATAATAAACAGTAAACACTCAATAAATAGAAACTATTTTTTGTTCAGGCATGGCTGCTGATACAATGGAAAGGAGTGAGCTCAGCATGAAGGTGCAGGGGCTTCTGAAAGCCCTCACTCCTCTTGAGCAGGGAGTGAAGAGCGGCCTATCTGCTGAGCTGCAAGAGCGCAGCTCTGGGACTAATGTGAACAGGTCAGTCTGTGTGCACAGTCCTCCTTTTGGATTTAGTCCAGAGGGTGAGGAGTCTCTAGACAGCACGAAGGAAAGCCTCCACACACAGCGATTGTTAGAAGAGCCACTCTTTCTTCTTGAGCTGGACATTCATCTCCTGCTCTCGGACATCACAGCTGAGCTCCTGGTGGGCCCCCCCCACCTCCATTCCCAACGTGTGGTCTTTTCTGATTCTCCAATATGAAGATGGCATATTGTAGGACTTCTTGGCTTCCATAATAGCATGAGTCAAATCTCGTAACAGATATTTATTTACTGTTTCTACTCCATTTTACTCTCTCTCTACACACACACCTCCTATTGGTTGTTTCTCTGGAGAACCCTGAGTAATACACACATAGAAGGCCTCTGAGAAGTGAGGGAGATCCAAACCAGGGTGATAAGAGTGAGGAACAGAACAGGAGTTCGACTTCTTTCCAAAGTGGGGTTATCTCATCTTCTGGAAGAGGCCACAACATCCCAGGATGCAGCAATCCTAGCAAATGTGAGGAAACCTGTTATAGGCCCCAGCAGTGAGAAGAGTCAGGTGCTGCTGATGGCTGGTTCCCGAGTAGGGTGCAAAATGAAGGCACAGGCAGAGCTGATGCAGGCAAAAGGAGCAGGTTTGGGTGTCCCTATTGCATGTCTCAGGGCAGAGAGGGGCCAGAAAGCTTTCTGAAGCTCATACACCAAAGGACTCCTGTTGATTCATGGGAAGATATCACCAGAAAAGGCCTAAAGAACATCTTTAGGAGTTAAGAGGGCAACAAATGTCTCACTTTGTTTCCCCCTTGGCTGATGGCCAGGACTTTGGAAAAGGGGCACCAAGAGAAGTGAATATTTGACTTATGTGTTTTGCTGTTGTTGTTGTTTTTTTACAGAGACAGTGTTTTGCCACGTTGCCCAGGCTGGTCTTGAACTCCTGGGTTCAAGCAATCCTGCCTCAGCCTCTCAAGTGCTGGGATTACAGATGTGAGCCACTGTGACTGGCCTAGTGTTTCTTAAAGTACTATCAATCTAAACATCTCCTGCATCAGAATCTTCTTGTAAAAAATGGAGACATCTGGGTCCCCCTCCACTCCCAGACCTACTCAATCAAAATCTCTGGGAATGGCCCAGGAATCTGGCTTTTAAAAGTTCTCTTATTTTTATGCAGACCAAAAACCAGGAACCACTGACTTAGGTTGTGTCAAAGAACAGACTTTGGCTCTTTGGATCATAACCTAAAATGCCAGATTAATACACTCTTGAATTTGGATGGAGTACATTTCACAATGATTGAGAAGACTGTCTGAAAACTGGCTTTAAGTGAAAAAAGGGGGACTCGGGAGGCAGGGGGAAGACAGTGGGAAAGATAATATTCAGCTAAGAACTGTAAGACCAGTAGGACAAGACAAGAACAATGACAGTAGTGTAAAAGGATGACGCTAGAGTCAGACTACCTGGATTCACATCTTAGCTTTCTTTACCTACTAGCCGTATGGCCTTGGGCAAGTGATCTTACCTTCGCGGCTTGGTTTCTTTATCTGTAATATGAGAACTATAGAAATACCTGCCTCATAAAAGAAATGCTTTACATACATTATGGTGCTAAATATTAGCTAATATTACTATTATTGGAATGTGTGACTAGTATTTCATAGGATTAAAACTTTAGAAATGAAGCCACAAATAATGTTTATGATCTCTGATATCTATAAAATGTTGGAATCATTTGAGGTTTGAACAACAGAGGTATTGAAATGGTGAAAGATACTTCTTGTTCAAAGAAGAGTTACTACCAGGGAGAAGAGAGTTCTGCAGATCAAGAAGACATATGCCTGCATGGAAATCCTTACCAAGACTCATGCAAGATAGGCTCTAGTTGAGGATGAAAGGAGAGATAATCTGAAGAGTATGATCAATGGAGGTGCATGGGCAAGCCGAGGTGGTGAGAGACTTCCACTCTCTGGACACTTGGGGAAGTTACATTAGCTCAAAGATATGCATCTGGTAATGTCGACTTATTTTAGGGACAATTCCATCTCTAAGAAGATGAATTGAGAGAAGGGATCTCTTAGAACCTAATCCTGACCAACAAGGAAGAACTTGTTGGAGAAGCAGATGCAGCAGGAAACCTGGGGATAATCATCTTTGGGATGAATGCTGCCAGAGCCATGTAAAGTTTTCAAGGCTCAAATCCTGCCACTTTGGTGGGGCTCTGTCTTTCCACAACATGCCCTATTAACCAGGCTCCCCAGAACTCAGGGAACCCACTTAATTCCTTGACATTAGCAAATCCCTGGCCTTCCTAAGAGCTTTCTTTTTATAGGGCCAGCTGAGGAACACTTCTTGAGGTTCTTCATTATTCCACTTGAGAAAAACAGAACTGAGCTTTATAAAGGTCCTGCTGAGACTACCGGATAAAGCAGGGTACAGTCTTTCATACTCAGCCAGTCGTTCACAGTAGCCGTGCTCCTTTGCCCAATCATTACCCAGTCGTCTGATCCAGAAATCAGATCCTACTGACATCCCTGACATTTAAGAATACCTTCCCCTCCAGTGTGATCCCCTTCAAGCCTATAGCCTAGGCTCTGAGGTCAATCTTTACCCATATTCAACCCTCCTCAGTAGTTTTAGGGTGGGTACTTGTCAGAGCATCCTGAGTTTGTGTCATCCAGCATATAATGGAGGGGAACGAGATTAAAAACAACAATCACCACACAAGGCTGCTGTAGTCTCCACTTCTGTAGCTGGTGGCAAGGCCTATGTCGGGAATCTGAGTTAAATCTTTCCACTTATGTTTCTCTCACCCTCTGCCAGCATGAAGGCTAGGCAGACTGGAGTCCTTGGTGGGATTATCTTTACTGGATTGTCAGTTTTCCATTGACCAGGACTATAGGGCAGGAGAGACCTAAGGGGCGCTCCCATGAATTTCCTGGGTTCTGAACAGTTCTTCTTGTCCCCACTGTGTAGCAGCAATTCAATTTCCCCCTGGTAAACAGATCATTCCCATTAGGCACAGTGATCCTTTTCCTATTGGTTTATTGGCATGAGGAACTCCGAAAGGTGAGAGGGCAGTCTCAGCTCCCAGTTCATTAGAGTCACGTTCTTATTTCCTGGTATATGAATTCCTCTCTTGAGCACTTGGGCTTCCAAAATACTGAGGCCAAGATCACAGAGATGGGAACTAAAATCCTACAAGTGGGTCAGTAGGTCTAATAGGGAGAGGGGGCACTCTCACCTCTACTTCTTGGTTCCTAAACCCTTAAGTTCTAGCCATGGGAGAGCTAGCACCACATTGTTGGCCTCTGTTTTAAGGCACATAAAGTTTCCATAGGATAACAGCTACATTTCTTAGGATGCTGTATCGGGGGAACCCGCCTCCAATATTTCAACGTAGGTTCTATTTTCCCTAAGTGTTAGCCAGCTGAGAAATAAAAGAGTACAAAGAGAGGAATTTTACAGCTGGGCCTCTGGGGGTGACATCACATATCGGTAGGACCATGATGCCCCCTGAGCCGCAAAACCAGCAAGTTTTTATTAGGGATTTCAAAACGGGAAGGGGTGTACAAACAGGGATTAGGTCACAAAGATCACATGCTTCAAAGGGCAAAAAAGGAGACCAAAGTTCACATGCTTCTGAGGCCAATAAAGATCACAAGGCAAAGGGCAAGGCAAAGATCACAAGACAAGGGCAAAATTAGAATTACTGATGAGGGTCTATGTTGGGCTGTGCATGTATTGTCTTGATAAACATCTTAAACAACAGCAAACAGGGTTCGAGAGCAGAGAACCGGTCTGACCTCAAATTCACCAGGGCGGGATTTTTTCCCCCACCCTAATAAGCCTGAGGGTACTGCAGGAGACCAGGGCGTATTTCAGTCCTTTTCTCAACTGCATCAGACAGACACTCCCAGAGCGGCCGTTTATACACCTCCCCCCCAAGGAATGCAATTTTTTTCCTAGGGTCTTGATATTTAGTATTCCTTGCTAGGAGAAGAATTTAGCGATCTCTCTCCTACTTGCACACGCATTTACAGGCTCTCTGCAAGAAGAAAAATACGGCTCTATTCTGCCCAACCCCACAGGCAGTCAGCAGACCTTATGGTTGTCTTCCCTTGTTCCTTAAAATCGCTGTTATTGTTTGTTTTCAAGGTGCATTGATTTCATATTGTTCAAACACCCATGTTTTACAATCAGATTTCATATTGCTCAAACACACGTTCTACAATCAATTTGTACAATAGTGGTCCTGAGGTGACATACATTCTCAGCTTACGAAGGTAACAGGATTAGGAGAGTAAAGACAGGCATAGGAAATTATAAGACTATTATTTGGTAACTGATAAATGTCCATGAGATCTTCACAATTTATGTTCAGAGACTGTAGTAAAGACAGGTTTAAGAAATTATAAAAGTATTAATTTTGGGAACTGATAAATGTCCATGAAATCTTCACAATTTATGTTCCTCTGCTGTGGCTCCAGCTGGTTCCTCGGTTCAGGGTCCCTGACTTCCCGCAACAACGCTGTCTCCAACTTGTGCCATAACCAGTCTTTAGCAGGTCATGCCACCTAAAAAGCCAGCTGCTTCTGGGTGATGGACCGTATGGTAAAATTTGTCAAGTCTGCACGCATGGGCCCATTGCCCACATGCCCATTTACCAAAAAAATGCATCTCCTTGTTAAAATGAAGTTGGATGGTATTCCATGGTGATGGAGAAGTCCATCCATAAAATCTACAGTGTGCCATCAGAAGCCCTGAGTTCAGGGAAGGCAAATCCATATCCATAATATATCCCGTGAGGACAAAGCATTGTACCCTCCATGACAAGAGACTGAATATAGTCAACCTGTTACCAGGTAGGTGGTAGAAGAATGTGTCTACCAGAGGCTCCTCACCCTTACCTGCTCTGTGATTCCAAGAGATAAGGGACTCCTTCAAAGCTACCATGGAGGCCTTCTGGTTCTCCATGCCTGTCTTAATTGTATGCTCTTAACTTTTATTTCTCCTATTCCCAAAATATGCTCAAGAGGGCTATAAGAAACAGGTGGCCTCAGTTTTAATAATCATTATTGTTGTCATACTGACTTAAGTGCCTCAGACACTTCATCTCTCAAGGCCTTGTCCTCTACCTGCACTTCATTCCATGATGCCATTGGCAATAATCTGAATAACTGTGATGACACTGCATATCACAGATTACTATGTCCCACTCACCCCTGGCAAAGAGGTTATCGATGCACTCCTTGAATATATGACCAACCCAATCCCAGAATCCAATTATTTTAACTTTTTCTTTTGAAATAATTATAGATTCATAGCAGGTTGCAAAGAAGTATACAGGGAAGCCCTATGCTTCCTATCTCCATCCTCTCCCAAGACTAAGATCTTAAACAACTATAGTACAATATCCAAATCAACAGATAGCATTGGTACAATTCACAAAACTTCTTTAGATTTCACCAGTTACACATGCACTAATTTTCATGTATATGGCTCTATGTAATTTTGTCATGTGCAGCTTTGCATAATCACTACCATCATCAAGATACTTCACTATCACAAGATTCCTTACTAGTACCTTTTTATGATCCTCTCATTCCAAATACCTGGCATTAAGTAATCTGTTCATCTTTGTTATTTAATGAATGATACATAAATGAAATCATGTGGCATGTATCCTTTTGATATGAGCTTTTTTCACTCAACATAATTTGAGGGTCAAGTTGTTGCATGTTATCAATACTGGCCAATAGCTTTCCTTAAAAACAAACAAACAAAACCTGTTAGATAGTATTTCATGGTATGGATGTACCCACAGTTTGCTTAACCATTCACACATTGAAGGGTATGTGGATAGTTTCCAGTTTGAAACTACTATGAATAAAGCTGCTATGAACACTTACGTAAACATTCTTGTATACATCCTATGTGAAAATAAGTCTCTATTTCTATGGGATAAATGTTCAAGTGTGTAAGTGCTTGGTCATGTGGTTACTTGCCAGACTGGCTGCACCATTTTACAATCTCATCAGCATTGTATGAGTGATCTAGTTTCAACTTCATCCTTTTCAGCACTTGGTGTTATCACTATTTTTCACGTTAGCCATCCTTATAGATGTGTAGTGTTATCGCATTGTGGTTTTAATTTACATCTAACAGCTACTGATATTGGACATTTTTTTCAGGTGTTGTTTATCTGTATATCCTCTTTAGTGAAATATCTTTTGCTGATTTTCTAATTGGATCATTTTTAAACGTTAATTTTTGAGACTTCTTTATGTATTCTAGATAAAAGCCTTTGTTGGATTTGTGATTTGCAAATATTTCCTATTAGTCTATAATTTTTCACAGAACAAAAATCTTGATGAAATCAGATTTATCCGTTTTTCCTCTTATAAATTGTGCTTTTGATGTCAAGTCTAAGTACTCTTTGCCCAATCTTAGGCCCTGAAGAATTTCTCTTATTTTCTGTAAGTTTTATAGTGTTATGTTTTACCTTTAAACCTAAGGTCCCTTCAGTTTTTATAATTTTAAATATATAATTTTGAGTTTTTTAGTTTTAATATAAGGTGTGAGGTTTAGATCAAGGTACATTTTCGGCTGATGGATGTCTAATCGCTCCAGCACAATTTACTGAAAAGGCTCTCCTCATCTGCTGAATTGCTTTTGCTTCTGTGTAAATAACTAGGTGATTTGTGTAGATTTATTTCCAGGTTTTCTATGCTATTCCATCAATGTATGTTTCCTTCTCTCTGCCAATACAGCACGCTCTTGATTACAGGACCTATGTAGTATAAGCATTTGCATCAGAAAGGGATTCCTTCAGTTTTATTCTTCTTTTTCAAAACTGTTTTAGCTATTTGCATAATCTTTCCTTTTCCATATAAACTTTAGAATAAGATTGTCTGTTCCTACAAAAAATTTTGATTGGTTTGGTAGAAATTGCCTTAAATCAATAGAACAACTTAGGGAGAACTAACATCGATATTATGTTGAGTCTTCCAATCCATGAACATGATAAATTACCTTATTTAGGTTTCCTTTAATTTCTTTCATCAGTCTTTTATAATTTTCATCATATAGATCCTACAAATGTTTTGGTACATTTATACCTAAGTAATTTTCTTTGGTGTAAATGTAAATGTACTTCATTTGTTATTTTGGTTTCTACTTGTTTGCTGTCAGTACACAGAAAACATAAATGACTGTTGTCTGTTGATCTTGTGTCCTTCAACCTTACTCATTGATTCTAAAAGTTTTATTACACATTCCTTGAAGTTTTCTGGGTAGACAGTCATGTATCTGCAAATAGAGATAGTTTCATTAAATTTCTCATCTATATGCCTTTTCTTTTTCTTGCCTAGAATTGCAGTGGCTGGAAAACTGCAGTAGTAAGTTTGTTGCCTAACGATGGCAGGAATGAACATCCTTTCATTGTTCCTAATCTTAGAGGGAACACAGACTTTAAACGTTAAGTACGATGCCAGATTTTTTTTCTGTAGATCCTTTTTATAAAACTGAGGAAGTTCCTTCTTTATGATCTACTGAGAATATTGATGTGTTGATTTTTATATCAAATGCCTTTTCTAAATGAATTGATACACTCATGTTTTTCTTCTTTAGCCTATTGATAGTTTATTAAATGGACTTTCCAGTATTGAACCAGCCCTGCATGCCTGAAATAAGTTCCTCATAAAATGTAATTCCAGCTACTCGGGAGGCTGAGGCAGGAGAATCGCTTGAACCCAGGAGGCAGAGGTTGCAGTGAGCTGAGATTGTGCACTCCAGCCTAGGTGACAGAGTGAGACTCTGTCTCCAAAAAAAAAAAAAAAAAAAAAAAAAGAGTTGAGAAGTGTTCCCTCTTCTATTTTCTTTGGAAGAGGTTGCACAAAATCAATTCTTCTTTTGAATGTTTAGCAAAATTCTCCAGTGAAACCATCAGGACTTGGAGGTATCTTTTTCAAGGATGTTTTCATTACAAGTTCAGCATCTTTAATGGTTTCAGAATTACTCAAGTTCTCTATTTCATCTTGGCCAAGTTCTTTTTTTTGTTTTGTTTTGTTTTTTTTTTTTTTGAGACGGAGTCTCGCTCTGTCGCCCAGGCCGGACTGCGGACTGCAGTGGCGCAATCTCGGCTCACTGCAAGCTCCGCTTCCCGGGTTCACGCCATTCTCCTGCCTCAGCCTCCCGAGTAGCTGGGACTACAGGCGCCCGCCACTGCGCCCGGCTAATTTTTTGTATTTTTAGTAGAGACGGGGTTTCACCTTGTTAGCCAGGATGGTCTCGATCTCCTGACCTCATGATCCACCCGCCTCGGCCTCCCAAAGTGCTGGGATTACAGGCGTGAGCCATCGCGCCCGGCCTCATCTTGGCCAAGTTTTAGTGCTTTCTGATTTTTGAGGAATTTGTCCATTTCTTCCTAGTTATACTTGAGTAGAGTTGTTCACAGTACTCCTTTACTATTGTTCTCATGGCTGCAGGATCTGTTGTGATATTTTCCATTTCATTCATATTAGTGGTTTGGGTATTTTTTTAGTCAATCTTGTTGGAGATTTATCAATTTTATTGTTTTTGAAGGACCAGCTTTTTGTTTCACTAATTTTTCTCTATTGTTTTCCTGTTTACAATTTCATTAATTTCTGCTCTATTATTTCCTTGCTTCTGTTTGCTTTGGATTTAGTTTGTTCTAACTTTTCTAGTATCTTGAGGCAGAAACTTAGATTACTGATTTGAGATCTTTCTTTATATAAGCACTTAGTGCTACATATTTCCCTCCCAGCATTTCATTAGATGCATCTCAGAATTCAATTTGTTGTTTTCATTTTCATTCAATTCTATGTATTTTTGAAATTTCCTGAGAAATCAAGAAAGTAATTCCATTTACAATAGCTACAAAATAAAATACCTAGGAATTAACCAAAAAAGCGAAAGATCTCTGCACTGTAAAACACTGATGCAAGAAACTGAAGAGGACACACAAAATAAAAAGATATTCCATGTTCATGGATTAGAAAAATCAGTATTGTTAAAGTGTTCATATATTGTTACAGTGTTCATGCTACCCAAAGCAATCTGCAGATCCAATGCAATCCCTATCAAAATACCAGCAACATTCTTCACAGAAATAGAAAAAACAATCTTAAAATTTATACAGAACCACAACAAAAGATCCAGATAGGCAAAGCTCTCCTAAGCAAAAAGAACTAAACCAGAGGAATCACATTACCTGACTTCAAGTTATACTACAGAGCTATGGTAACAAAAATGGCATGGTACTGGCATAAAAACAGACACAGAGACCAGTGAACAGAATAGAGAGCACAGAAATAAATCCAATAAATCTATAGTAAATTCATTTTCGCAAAGGTTCCAATAACATACCTTCAGGAAAGGACAGTCTCTTCAATAAATGGTGCTGAGGAAACTGAGTATCCATTTGCAGAAGAATAAAACTAGGCCCCCAACTTTCCCCATATAAAAAATTAAATCAAAATAGATTGAGGCCAGGAGTTCGAGACAAGCCTGGCCAACATGTCAAAATCCCATCTCTACAAAAAAAATACAAAAATTAGCTGAACATGGTGGCATGCGTCTGTAGTCCCAGCTGCTCCAGAGGCTGAGGTGGGAGGACCACCTAAGCCCAGGGAGGTTTGAGGCTATTGTGAGCTGAGATAGTGTCACTGCACTCCAGCCTGGGTGACAGAATGAGACCTTACTTAAAAAAAACTTTTTTAATTGTACATTTAAAAATAATTAGAAGAGCATAACTGGACTGTTTGAACCACAAAGGACAAATGCTTGAGGTGATGGATACCCAGTTTACCCTGATGTGAGCATGCCTGTATCAAAGTACCACATGTAACCCACAAATATATATACCTAGTATGTACACACACACACACACACACACACACACACAAACACACACAAAATTCCTTTGAGACTTCCCCTATGTGAATGTATATTCTTAATGAGGTATTCCCTCAGGACAAAACAAAACTGAAAAAAAAATTTTTTAACTGTTTTCAATAATCACATTGTTGGTTAAGGTCTTGGCATTGTTACTGTGACTGTGATGCATATAAGATGAGATAAAAGCTAAGCAATTATGCGACAGTTTACGTCTATCATCTTGATGTCCTGGAGAATTGTAATACCTGACACAAGACAAAGAAGATCTATATTTAAGATAGAAGAGGTTATGAATTTGAACGAGAAGAATCAGTATAGTGATGATGAATTTTCTCTTAAAAACAAAACATACATGCATTGACAGGCCAAAGTGGGTGGATCACTTGAGGCCAGGGGTTCGAGACCAGCCTGGGCAACATGGTGAAACCCTGTCTCTACTATAAATACAATTAGCCAGGTGTGGTAGCACATGCCTGTAGTCCCAGCTACTTGGGAGACTGAGGCACGAGAATCACTTGAACTCAGGAGGCTGAGGCTACAGTGAGCCAGGATTGCACCACTGCACTCCAGCCTGGGTGACAGAGAACCCTGGTCTAGAAAACAAAACATACACTTCAATTTCCATCTATGGGAAAGCAATAACCAGTCCAGAAGCAATGAACACACCTAATCAGCCACTGTTCTTTAGAGAAGTAGCTGACCCCAGGTCTGGAGAAGTGAGCCTGAAACATCTTGACATACAGATAACTACTAGTAGAAATGAGGAAATCAAATCAAATGTGGGACATATAAGGATCAATAACACTAATACTGCAGAGGTTTCAAACATCAAATATGTTAAAATTTACAAGTTCATACTAATGCTTAAGAAAAAATTTATCACAGTGGATGCCAAAGAATCAACTCATTCTGAAAAAAATAGGTAAGTAAAGGAAAAGCATCCCATATCTGTGTCTTTCTTACACAAACCGTACCGCTAGTAGCCAAATAGCAGATGAGGGGGAGTTTCTCCTTGCAGAGAAATATTCCTGCTTACACATGAAAAAGGGATATAGAATTAAGATATCATTATTTTGCAACCCCTAATGAACAAGTGGATCAAAACTAAGCATCAGCTGCTACTCAAATCCCAAAGAAGGCAATCAGTTTGCGCCTCCTATCGGGAAGACCACATCACTGCCTAAAGTAGTCTCATCAAAAAAAAGAAAGAAAAAAACAAACTCTAATCAAGTGTCTATATTTACTTACCAATTTATGAGCTACAGAGAGAGCAAGGGACACGTTAAAGGTACTACATGGTTGCAAGCAACAAAGTCAGACCTGGGGAAACCTGTCAGCAGTGCTTCTCAAACTATGTGCTTGATCAGTTTTCTTTTTCTCCCTAATTTTCAATTAACTATAGACCAATAATTCTGTAAAATACAAAAAAAAAATTTTTTTTAAAAACCCCACAAAAACATACAAACTCCAATTTTTTTATTGTTAGATTCAATAAATGAACATAAAATCACTGTCAAAATGTTTCTAGAAACTCTCAATTTCTGTACTTCAGTAATCATAAACTAATACTAAAGTTTCTGAACTGGCACTGCCCTGGGTCCCAAGACATTTTGAGCAGCACTGCTTGGCACAGCCAAGAATCTAGTTTCTTTACCAAATAAATTACAAGGACGGAAGTAGGGAGGGAAGAACCTATATATTCAAAATAGTATAATTTAAAGGACCTACCAGCCAGTCACAATATATGGATCTTATTTGAATCTGGATTCAGACTTAGTAAACCAACAACCACAAAAAAACGATTTATGAAACAGTTGAAAATCTGAACCAAACTATTATTTAAATAAGAGATTTTTTAATGGTACTGGATATTTTTAATATAAGGGTTAAAAAGAACTCATATTTTAGAAATACACAATGAACAATTAACGGGTAAAACATACTGATATTTAAAGTAATACAAGAGAGTTGGGAGTAGAGATACACACAGACAAACACAACTGGCCTTAAGTTGATAATTATTGAAACTAATTAATGTATGAGGGTAATTATCCTATTGTCTTAATATGCTTGACATTTTCCACAATCAAATAACAAATCAGTAAAATTAAAAATTTAAGTTTTAAAAACCTGACTCCCCTATAAATGTTTTTTAAAGAAGGATTAAAAAGGAGTAATTTTGGAGAGGCAAGTTTCCACAGCATCCTAATGCCAGAAAGGGTAATAAAATCTAAAAACTTTTATAGAGATCATGTTGAATGTAAACTTTTTTTGCCTTGGAGTCTAGATGCTGAGTTTGAGACCAGCCTGACCAACAAGGAGAAAACCTGTCTCTATTAAAAAAAAAAAAATACAAAATTAGCCGGGCGTGGTGGCACATGTCCGTAGGCCCAGCTACTCGGGAGGCTGAGGCAGGAGAATCGCCTGAACCCAGGAGATGGAGGTTGCGGTGGGCCAAGATCGTGCCACTGCACTCCAGCCTGGGCAACAAGAGCAAAGTCTCAAAAAAAAAAAAAAAAAAAAAAAATTAAGTCAGCTGCAATCCTAATTATATCCCTCAATCAACTAATAAGCAGAAACTACTATGTATATGACGTTCCATTTGTGTGGTGTGACTAAAGGAGGAAGATTTTCTGAAAATGCCAAGAACAATACTAAAATTATATGCAAAGAGCATGTTTATTTTCTGAAAACCTCATACAAATCTTTTGTATTTGAAGCCCTATGATAAAAATTACCAGCATTAAGTGCAAAAAGTCCCAGAGAAAAACATTATTTATAATGTACAATTAATGGTCAACATTGGTCACTAGGATAAAACACAAAAATCACCCCTACCATTTTTATGCTTTAGCAGCTCCTCCTCTCATTCTAATTTAGAATCCCAATTTCAAAAGACTGATCCAGACAAGATTAAAGAAGCTTATAACTTCCCTAGTTGCAAAAGTTCCAAAAGCAAGCTGAGGAGAAAGGAAGATTCTTTAAAACTAAGATTCTTATTCACTATCACTGTGCTTCTGTAATTTACAGGCACCTTATTCCCCAATCTTTTAACAGCTCTTCTCCCTCTTATTATCCGGATTCATCTGTAAGGTTTTAATTCCAACAAACTCTTGACAGCAAGCCGCTCCTCTCTCTACCCCACCCCTTGTCTGTGACGTGTAGCATTCTGTAATTTTACTCAGGCTGTGGGTAAGTCTCGACTAAGTATGCAGTGAGTTTCATAGGAGGTGACAAAGAGGTGCTGCCTTTTTTTTTCTCCAAGCCCTTCTTACTGACTGTGATGTCTCTTGTGCTGTGATGGAAATAAGACATCTAAAAAAAGTAGGGTTTTTGTTGTTGTTGTTGTTGTTCCCCTCCATTCATCCTCTTTGTATTATTAATTGGTGCACTCTATCTTGAGGCATCAAATACTAAAACAATTATAAGTATTCAGACTATGTCTGAAGAATGGCTCAATCTAAAAACTTAAAAGTATAGGGCTATTTCCATCACCTGCTAGCCATTCAATTATTTTTTGTGCCCTTAAAACTTCTTATAAACATATTCAACTATAATTCAAATGGTTTAAAAAGCTACTCTGGTGGTCCACAGAAGTAATGGCTGCTCTGTAGATTCAAGCTAATAATAAATGACTAGCTTGGTGTTACCTTAAATGGGTTCTGGCAGAAACAGCAAGTGTTACCAGAAGCAGAAAAAATACCTTTCCAACACATATAAAAATCAAGCAAAGTTTCATTCAAACCTATTTGGGGAAAATATGCTGTAATCTAATTTTATCCAGAAAAAATTTGAATTTTAAGAAATCTATGACCTGTATACACATGAATGGTTGAAGCAAAGTAAAACACTGTCATGCTATGACTTCCAGTGATACATGAAGAATCCCCAAACATCCCAAATCACAGGAGTTGTAGTGAAAAACCTTGTCTGCAATCAGAGGCAAGCAAGTCTTTAAAAAATCAGCCACAAACACAGATGGTATTTTAAATATACAGTAGGAACATTTATTTTAACACTTCTAAAAGATATTTCTCCATGCCTGATGATTTGATATAAAAATCAAACCCATCATACTTTCCCCATCAGTCTCTCTACATTTAGGGCAATCAGAAATTTGTACAACACGAATATTTGCTTCTGAAACGAAAATTACAAATTAAATGATAACAAAAATACACAAATCAACTGGACCCTAAACAAATTTCTAGTGAATTCTTTCCTTTCCCCCAATCACCTAGAGCTTCTTTCTTCAGCCTCATTCTGCTCCTTTTCCTTTCTTTGCTTGGCCATGAATTTCTGTTAAAAGCAATTTGCAATATAAAATACTTATTAGACGTTATTTTGCTATGTGTGCAAACTTATCTACTGTATATTTATAATTTAAAAGAAACTGATCCTACAAAATATTATAAACACAGTGCCTTATATAACCATTTCTTCCTTTCATTCATCAGTCATTTGATGTTTATGACACACCAGGTATTACACTTGGTGCCTGAGGATTCGGTGGGCAACAAGACAGATAGAATCTTTTATACAATAAAGCTTACATTCTAATGGGAGAAGAGAAACAATAAAAGAAAAAAATAAAATACTTTGGGGGCGGTGGTAAGCACTTTAAAGACAGTGCAACAACGTAATTGAGGCTGAACTTTTTTGGGGGTTCTACTTAGCTAGGTCTTTCTTAAGCAGACCTTTCTGGGGAACTGATATTTGAGACGAAAAACATGAAGAACTGGCCATGCGAGTAGGACTGGGAAGGGGCAAAAGAACAGCAGTATAAAGGTGCAAAGGCAGCAATGGGTCTCTCATGTATGAAAAACAGAACAGAGAGAGCCAGAAAAGCTGAAACACAGAAAGCATTCAGAGAAGTAGAAAAGAAATCAGATCATGCAGGGCTTTGAAGACCCAAAATAAGAAGTTTGGATATTAGACCAAGTGCAATATGAAGCTACTAGAAGGTTTTAAATGGAAAAGTGACATGATGAACTAAGTTAAGCACACAGGTAGCAAAGCACAATGTATAAGAGCTTGGGCCTAGAATGAAATAGAGCGGAGTTCAAATCCTAGGTCTGCTACTAACTAGCTATGTGACCTTGGGTTTAGATACGTAACCTCCTTAAGTCTATTTTCTCATCTTTAAGATTGGAATAATAGCATCTACCTCATGAAGTTCATGAGGAGATTAAATAAGCTTCCAGCATAGAACAGCTCAGTAAATGTTAGATGAGTGTCTGTGCCACAAATTCAACAGAGAGGATGTACGAAACTCTCAAATATTCAGCAGGAACTAGAGTCACCACTTCAATTATGGTTAATGATGATTCTCCAGAGTAACACTTCTTAAAGATGTGTACAATTTAGAAAAGGTTTTGTGATTAAATCAGTTTAATAAATGGTTTGCATGAAGTTAACCAGGATTCATTCTGGCTAGACAATTCAGAAACTTTAATATGCTAATGTCTACATGACAAGAGGGCATCAAAACATGCAGTTTCTTACTTTAATAATGGAGTGTCATATGAGACTAGTGATCTGCAGAATCTACTCTGGCAAATGTTGCTGTTCAAGGAAAAGGAATAAGGACTAGAAATTACAGGCAAGGTACACTGAAGGAGAAAACAGGACTTAAGAGGAATAAACTGGCATAAACATTCTCCTAAAGCGGGGGGAAATGTACGTTTGGGGAGATAAATAATTTGATTCTAAGACAATAACAACACCTCAAGATTTTGTAAGAATTTTTAAAATTACCTCAGTATTTTGCTTATGACGTGTACTCTTGCAGTGATTTGTCATTGCTTTTTCACCTGAGTAGAAGAGGGAACAAATTGGACAGAAGAATCCAGCCTTAGGTACAAGAAAGTCTAATTCTAGAGGATAAGAAGAGACAAGAAGAAAATTAACAATAATTAATCTCCAGTTGTGTTCATCGATTTATTCATTTATTTGAGACGGAGTCTCACTCTGTCATCCAGGTTGGAGGGCAGTGGCGCGATGTCAGCTCACTGCAACCTCTGCCTCCTGGGTTCATGTGATTCTCCTGCCTCAGGCTCCCGAATAGCTAGGATTACAGGTGTGCGCCACCGCGCCTGGCTACTTTTGTACTTTTAGTAGAGATGGGTTTTATCATGTTGCCCAGGCTGGTCTCGAACTCCTGACCTCCCCTATAGGATGTGCCTGCCTTGGTCTCCCAAAGTGCTGGGATTACACGTGTGAGCCACAACTGGCCTTCATCAATTTAAACACGACAAAAATATTAAGCACAGTATATACTTAAATATAAGAACAGTACACACTGCTATAAATTTAGGGATCAATAGTAGTAATTTTAATCAGAAAACGTAAGTCTTTATTTCGTTAACACATTCTATACTATTCCAGAACCTCTAGGGAATGCCAGTATGCCACTGCTTTGGTATAATGCCAAGTTGAATAGATTCCCAAGGAGAATCTTCGGATAACAAAGAACTGTTCAATAATCCTTCAGAATACCAAGTCATTAGATAAGAACCTAACAGTCTAAAATATACCTCTGGCTGGGAGAAGTGGCTCAAGCCTATAATCCCAGCACTTTGGGAGGCCAAGGCGGACAGACTGCTTGAGCTCAGGGGTTTGAGACCAGCCTAAGCAACAAGGTGAAACCCTGTATCTACCAAAAATACAAAAACTAGCCAGGTGTGGTGGTAGACGCCTGTAGTCCCAGCTACTCATGAGGCTGAGGTGAGAGGATTGCTTGAGCCTGGGAGGAAAGGGTTGCAGTTAGCTGAGATCACATCACTGCACTCCAGCCTGGCTGACAGAATGAGACCCTGTCTCAAAATAAAATATAATAAAAATAAACCTCTTAGGAATCCCATTAAAATAAAAGAGAGAGAAGAGGTAGAATGATGGGCAACTGTCTGATTGAGGAGTATGATGGCTGAATAAGGTCTCCCTCAGCTCACCTTAGCTGACCATGAACAAAGTCGGCTAGCAAAGATTTGCAGCATGTTCTGCTTAACTGGAGTGACTTTCTGCCTGGGCAAATATAACTCAATTCTCACCAGAGTGGCAAAGAAAGCACCAGGAATAAAAGAGGAGATACATCCCAGATTTCAAGAGTGCAGTAAAAATATCCTTCTCAGGTAAAAACAGCCCAGTAAGCTGTCTTCAAAAATGCCACTGTGTAAAACATGCAAATTTCCACTATAAAATGACAATGCAGCCAAGGTTACCCAATTACTCACCTAAAACAATAGAATACTTATTATGGTGTTTTTGTTTTTTTTTTTTTTTGAGACGGAGTCTCACTCTGTCGCCCAGGCTGGAGTGCAGTGGCGCTATCTCGGCTCACTGCAAGCTCCGCCTCCCGGGTTCACGCCATTCTCCTGCCTCAGCCTCCCGAGTAGCTTGGACTACAGGCGCCCGCCACCACGTCCGGCTAATTTTTTGTACCTTTTAGTACTGACGGGGTTTCACCGTGTTAGCCAGGATGGTCTCAATCTCCTGACCTAGTGATCCACCCGCCTCGGCCTCCCGAAGTGCTGGGATTACAGGCTTGAGCCACCGCGCCCGGCCGACTTTTAAATTTCATATGGGTAAGAAAAAAATGTCATTTTAACTTTACCCTCAGGGACATCAGACGCCACTGATTTGCCTGAAGAAGAGTCTTCAGTCTTCTTGCGTTTTCGCTCTGGTTCTGAATCCTTTAATCCAGATTCCTCATCAACTAAAATTTTTCGAGGAAAAAAAGCTATTCAGAATAGATTTACAGACTTTGTAAAGTTAACATTGGATAATTCTTACCTTTTTCTTTCTCAGGGAAAACCTCCCTTTGTTAATCCCATCTGGCCATTCTTTGCACAATATTCTCCAAGATTCTTTAATGTAAGGAATAAATGGGTAAATCCATTCAAATGGATTTAGGAATATAGGTCTAAAGCTAACAGCAAATTTTATTTATATATGTTCCAGGCAGAATTTAACGAAGTAATACAAGTCCTATCATTACTGGCAAGAGAACTTATATATGCAAAGTGCTAAGCTGAGCCGAGAGTGGAGATTAAGGGAAAAGGATACCAGCAGAAATTGATTCTATGGCCCAATACTGAGGCCCTTCCAATCTAGAAAATGGAGCCTAAACTGATAGCCTAAGACCCCTGTTAGAAACACAAGTAAAATTATTAATATAAATGTTAAAGCCCACCAAAGTGAGTAACACGTAAGAAGCACTCAATGTTAGCAGACTCTGCATACTATGATCTTGGGGACAGACAAAAATGAAGACTGATTCCAAGCAATTCTGATTACCCTCAGTAGCTGAAATGCCTTACTGTTGCCTAATACTTGACAAAACCCTTTTACATATATAATCATTCATTTAGCTTTTACCTCATGTAAGATAGGCACGTGAAATCATTATTAACCCATCCCTATTTCTTCAGAGATGGAGAAAGCACAATCAAAAGAGGTAATAAACAGATATGCCCAAGGTTGCATAGCTAGTGAGTGACACAGGCTAGAACCAAGACTTTGTGACTTCAAGTTCAGTGTTCCCTCCATACATCTGGGCTACTCTTTAGTATTCCTGAGGGGATGGCAAGGAACTCTGAAATCATTACTTACTCTTATTCCTCACACTTTACTGATCATCAAGTCCTACAATCAATAAGAAAAAGGTATCTTCCTTTTCTTAACTTGATGGTTAAAACAATCTGGTTTCCTTGCCTCCAATCTCTTTCTATAATTGTTTATTTCTTCATCAGGGTAATAAACTTTCCCAAACATATCTGTTCCTGCCACTCCAAAGGCACATTTATCTTAATAGTATATAACATATATTAAAATTATATATTTAAAATAGATTAAAATAAATGATTTAAGTTTACAATTGTGTGGAAAAATGACTTTTTCTTAAGCTAGGTCCTTTTGTCAAAACATATTGTTCATTAGTAGAAATATATTGTTACGTAAGCAGTAACTAAATCATCCTTTTATATTACTCAGTTGCAATGAGGCAGTTCTAAGCAAGCTGATTGCCAAGGTTGCCCTACCATACAGAAATTCTGAAGTCGGGGGGTGACCTCATGAAATCATGCGAGAACCTAATTACTGAACCACCACCTATAGCTTGGTTATCAAAGATTGTTTATGGAAAAGAATAGACAAGGAAGAAGGAATACCCACTTGACCATGACTTGGCAAAGAGTTTCAAGAGAGGGCATAATCAAAAGTAACCAATCATGTGGAAAAGTCAAGTAAGACTAACTTAAGAAGAAAACACTTTAAAAAATCACGTTTGACAACAACCTAATGGGGGTTTCATCAACATCATTTTCAGGAAAGTGGTAGGAGAAAGAAACCAAAATACATTCAGTTCCATGGGAAATTAAGACGTAAAAGTAGGTGGTTCTTTCTAGACGTTTTGCTCTAAAAGCAAGTAGAAAAGATAGGAGCTAGAGAGATTTCAAGGTCAAAGGGATATTTCTTTCAATGGGAAAAACTTGGCCAAATTTTATATTTTATGTGTATAAAACAAAATATAAGTTGGCAGACAAGGGAGATCCTAGATTTACTCTGGCAAATAAAAACGAAAGCAAGGACATCCAATGAGAAACGGGTTAGGTGATGTAGAAGGGGGGGAAAGCTAATTTTACATCTGGTTAGGAAATAGTAAAGGAAGGAGACCTCTAATATATTGGGAGCAGCACTGAGAGCCCACCTGAAATCCTTGGACCAAATCATACTTGGTAAGTTTTCCTTAAAGAAGATAGGATAGGAAAGAAAGAGGGCAATGAGGGTGCTACAAAGAGAATGGTAAAAGCGATACCCTTACAGTGCTCTATTTAAATCATACTGGCAAGGTGATTTTTTGCTTAACCTCTCTGAATCAATAAACCCCTTGAGAGCAAGAGCTATGTACTTTCTTTTGTCTACCCTTTTTAACATTGTTATGAAGGATACCCAATACAATATGACAAGTATCTGCTGAGTGACTAAAGTATTCTCTCTCACTAGACCCTTCCTTATTTGTTTCAAGTTAAATTTTATAAACGCTATTAAGGCTTCTTGTTTAATTCATTGGCTGGCTGCTGACAAGCATCAACAAAGCAAGGTCCACAAATAATAGCTAGTTAATAAATAATTTCTATCTGATGCTGCAACATGGTCAGAAAACCTTTCGAGGATCATTTCCTCTAATCTGTCACATTCTAATATCAATAATCCATTCTCTCTACATTACAAAGATCAAAATGTTACCCACATCTAATAACTATAGTTGACTTTTCCCACCCCTGCTCTATTCCACTGATTTTCTACTTTTCTTCTTAGATAGATCTTTAAACTTCAACTACTCTCCTGTGTTGTGTAACTTTCCTTCCCATTCCAACAATCCTGCTTTACCTTCACTCATCTGGAAGGCCTCTTCACCTTTTGCTGGTTCTGTCACAACAGCTTTTTCTGATGGCAGAGTTTTCCCAATTCTAACTCTCTTGGTTGGAGTTTTAGCTTTAAAAAGAAAGTCCTAATTTATTGCTCTAGTAACAGTATTTAAATTGCTTTAAATTAAACATATTATACTGTCTGAATCAACATTATACATTTTTGCAAAAAATACCCAAATTTGGGAGGGAAGCCTACTGCTAATATAAAATAGAAGAATTCTATTTTAAAATAATCAGTTTAATCTAAGCATTTCCTTTTGTTCCCAGTTATCATTTTCCAAGTAACTATGCTTTTCTAACTTCTTTTCCCAGGATGTCCATAAATGTTTTTCTAATTTGTTCCATAAGCCTGTGGGACCTTCCTAGTATTTTATTCTTAGTTGAGTTAAATCTTTCAGGTTTTTTTTCTTCTTTTTGGAGACAAAGTGGCTCACTCTGTTACCAAGGTTGGAGTGCAGTGGCACAACCATTGCTCACCACAACCTCGACCTTCTGGGCTCAAGCGATCCTCTAGCCTCAGTCTCCAAAGCAGCTGGGACCACAGACGCATGCCACCGTGCCTGGCTCATTTTTTAATTTTTTGTAGAGACGGAGTCTTGCTAGGCTGCCCAGACTGGTGTCGCACTCCTGGCCTCAAGCGATCCTCCCACCTCGGCTTCCCAAAGTGCTGAGATTACGGGAGTGAGCCACAATACTTGGCCTCAAGATTTTCTTAATGGAAATTATGTTTATCTCCCTCAAGTTCGGAAAGTGAGCTGCCGTACTATTCTGTATCATTACAATATTACTTTAAAATCAAATAGTTCCTTTATAAATAGTTCTTAATTCTAAGTCTAAGCAAAAACTGGGAGGTAATCTGATGTAAATGTTCTTCTATTTATCAAAAGTTGTCTTTTTCCCACAATACAAATATATCATTTTCATTCCAATTCTAATTTGGCTACTTCAGTTTGTTTTCTGTTTTTTGTCATCCTTTCTTGAAGCATAACCTGGAGCAAGTTCTGCTGTAAAACTTTAAAAAACTGTGAAACTTGTACACATTTCTTTGGAAAATTTATTGTTGACTTTAACTGTCTGTTGGCCTCTAATATCAATACTGGGTGACATTATTGGTAATGCCACAACATGTATTTTAAAATTAATTTTAAATGTAATCCCCTCATAAAACAGAAAGACTACCCCTTCCAAGTATCTACCTGTTAAGTGTCTTTCAATCATGGTTTTTAGATCTTCTTCCATAACATTCTCATTTACTGGACCCACTTGGGACAAGGATTCAAGTTTTGTCTTTTTTGTGTCCACAGCTCTCTTCTTTCTATTCCCTTTTTTATCTGTGGGATGGTCATTTTTGCTTTGTGCTAACTCAACTTTTAAATCATTATCTCCATCTTCCTCCTCTCCAACTTCATCAACAGTAACAAAATTAAGCTCTTCTTTAAGGTTGTTAAAATCCGCCAGAGAGTCTTCATCCTCTTCAGTTACTTCATCCAAAGTCACTAAATGCAAATCACTGCTGTCATCTTGTATTTCATCTACAGTAACTAAAGTAGAAGGGTCTTCGGGCACCTGAGAAGAAATGAAGCCAATGGAATCCCTTACAGTATCTCCTTCATTTCCTTTAGTATTTAAAGTGGCAAAAGTTATGTCTGCTGACTCATTCAAAGGTAGCTCTTCCACTTCTCCAATTTCATCCACAGTTACCAAGCGTTCCTGTTTGAGGAGATCTTGTTCTTCAGCCACTGACAGAACAGTAACATCTTTAGGTTCACTGTGGGAAATGCAATCATCTTGGTCAATTAATTCATCTAATGTAAAAAGTGAATTTGAATTTTTTACCATTTCTTCCATATTTAGTTCTTCTTCATCAATTACTTCATCCACAGTGACTAGAGCTTGTGCTAGATGTGCAGCTGCATCTTCCTCTTCCCCAATCTCATCCAATGTCACAAAAGATAGTTCTCCCTCAACACCACGAGGAGTGGAAGTTTTCCCCTTTTTCTTCTTTAAGTTAAGTTCAGAGAAAGGAACATTTTTGAGAGTTTCTTTCCTTTTTCCCTTTAGTGGATTCTGCTTGGCCTGAGAAGGATTCACTTCTTCTATAACCTCATCCACAGTAACAAATTCATCCAAATTAAATGGAAATAATGGCTCCTGTTGGAAAGTTAAAAATCATAGTATTGTAAACAAATTTTGACCACTGGCTAGATTCCAAATAGTCACAATAAATGTGCATGCAGATCATTTGGGAGAATTTCAGTGCAAATTAGTTTTCCTAAAGGCTAAAATTAAGAGTTGTTTTTTTTAAAGCCCCACAAATGACTTAGCTATAATTCACAAAGTATAATCCAAAAGTAAAATTCTAACAGTATCAACCTAATTCCACTTTTACTTAAATTCAATAAGATTACATTTCCTAAATGAAGAGTTTCGAAGTATGACACATAAAAATACATTTAAAGTATTTGTCAGACAGTACAAAGGATTTACTGTTCCATATGTCAAACATCTAATAAGTGCTCTAGAAGACTTACTGGACTTCTAAAAGCACCTCAAATATAGTTAGAAAGTAAACAGCTAATTAGGCTGTTCCATTTATCAGTATATATTGATTACACATTAACTAATTATATATAGAATACATATTTTAAGAAATACAGGCCGGGCGTGGTGGCTCATGCCTGTAATCCCAGCACTTTGGGAGGCTGATCACCTGAGGTCAGGAGTTCGAGACCAGCCTGGCCAACATGGTGAAACCCCAGCTCTACTAAAAATACAAAAATTAGCTGGGTGTGGTGGCAGATGCCACCCAGCTACTCGGGAGGCTGAGGCAGGAGAAACACTTGAACCTGGGAGGCAGAGGTTGCAGTGAGCCGAGATCACGCCATTGCACTCCAGCCTGGGGGACAGGAGTGAGATTTCGTTGCAAAATAATAATAATAATAAAAGAAATATAATGGTTACATTTTGAGAAAGTTGTATGAAAAAATTATTACTAAGACTCAATGACTAACATAACTGTATTTGAAAACAACAGTATCTGTAATTTTTAAAAATGCCGTCAATAGTAAAGAAGATAAATTCCTACCAGGGCTCCTATACATTTAGTATGTTATTAATGATTAACTGCTATTATATATAATAACGACATTAGAATATGTACCCTGTAATTTCTAGGGAGAATATCTACAAGCGATTGTACTATCAAATTAACAAAGCAAACTGAAGTAGCCACAATCCTTACTTCTGCTTTAGTAGCCATAATCCTTATTTCTGCTTTAGTAGCCATAATCCTTATTTCTGCTTAAAACTAGTAACATTTCTCCTTGCCCCAACAACATAGGCCCAAATCTATCCCCTACCAGGTAAGAAAAGTAAAATGACTGAAAAAAATTCTATGAATGGTAAAAACCTAAAATAACAACCAAATATAAAATATGTTTGACAACAGAACTTGGTACCAGTAAAGTTAATCTTAGAGACCATCCACTTAAGGTTAAATTAGAGCCAAAAGGATAACCTGTTTTAACAAAATGAGGATGACTCAAGTCAAATGTCAGTCTCTTTCACATATATAAATTTTTTTTCTGTGTCTACAACCTATTCCTGTCAATATGAGATTGGAGGTATTGCCCTACTCTACTCTCTTTCTGTCCCCATATAACATTTTGCCCGCTCCCCCCGCCTCAAGAAAACACAAGGTGTTTAGACTAGCTCAAGGTCAAAAAGTAAATTAATGGTAGGATTAGAGATAAGTTAAAAACAAAACATCTCATTCCTATCCCTTGCTCTAAACTCTTAGTCACTAACATTGTTAAGGCAGGCACAAGTTATAAGATAGATGAACTGTGCTATGGAGATGAAAAAGAAGGGTTAGGGTCTGTGATCTATTTTTTACCTCTTTAGATTTGGAACTTCTACCAGTAGTGCTTTTAGGATTCTTAGTGTTTTGCTCAGCCAAAGTCTGAAATAGTAAATAAGAAATACAGAAAAACGGAATTTACAACCATATTATTAATGTTCTGGAAAAAAAAACAAAAAACAAAAAAAAACAGTAAACATTACCCAAATACAGTCAATTATGCAAATTATTTAACATGTATACAAAACTAAGTCAACAGTCACTAAACAGTATAGGCACAGTCTGTACAAGTTGTAGTTAAATTCAGTTTTACTGATCTTTTCGTCCCACAATGTCTAGTTAGGCAATCAGTGACCTGATAAAGGAAGCTTCAATTTAAGAGAGGAAACAGTTTCCCATTCAGAAGCAGAGTGGTAAATCACCTTAGGAGATTCACTGCAGACTTTTTTTTTTTTTTTTTAAACCACAGTTATTTCCAAATTGTATCCAAATAATGCTTTTCAAACATGTCAATAAATTATGAACTTGAGTTTAATACTCTGAATGTCTACTGGCTTAAACAATGGAATCATTTAAGAAAAGGAAATGGGAGCTTCCGGGGTAGAGTGAGGAGATGAAAGTATGAAACAAAATTACATCTCCTACTACATAGCTACAGCAGCGGAGCTAATCACTTCAAAGACACACTGTGCCATTCTTCCTACCCTCCTCACCTTATTGTTGCTGTCATCCCGTTTCATGATGGAAGGTCTAGCCTCTGTTTCCTGAGATTGTTTTGTTATATCTCTGTAATCCAGTTTAGAAAGCTTGCCTTGCAGGGCTGAGATCCTTCCACTGCCTCCTCTGGTAAGACTGCTCTGAGTAGGTTTGAATTTACTGCTGCTTTCTGCCAAGCCTGACCTGGCACTTGTGGGTTTAAGCAGACCAAATTCCTTGGCTGAAAGTTTCTTTTCAGCATTTATTTGATCTCTGGGCACAGATTTTGGAAAACTTTTCTGATTTTCAGTTTTTGAAACTGTAGCTTTTGCCTTAGGAGAAGAGACTATAACAGCCTTGATGCTTGGTTTACTGCTAGATACATCTGATACAGCCAGAATACTAGTTTTACTAGTTTCATCAGGCTTATTAGCCTGACCCACTCCTTTATTTGGGTATGCCTTGAATAAAGTGTTTTCTGCAGGCTTTTCTTTCATTGCTGCCATCTTTTCCACCTTTTCTGCATCCATCCTACCTTCATTCTTTTCAGCCTTCTCTGTTCCTATTTGAAGATCCATTCTGGTTTCCTTAGTATTAAATTCCTTCTCCTCCTTTTCATCCATGTTACCTTTTTTTTCAGAAATATTCTTTTTGTCCACTGTCTTCTCATCCCCAGTGGGAATTCCTGGTACTAACGTCACAATACAAGTTGATGGCAATATTTCCGAAACAGTTTCATTTTTTTCTACTTCAGCTACAGCTTCTACCATAGTCTGTGTAATTCCAGAAATGAAATCTTCTGCTTCAGATGGAGATTCTTCTAGAATTCCTTTGAGGTTCCTTTCTTCTGCAAACACACTGTCAGATGGTAACAATGCTGTTTTAGGGTTAATAATTTCTGCCCCTTTCTTCTCCAAGTCACTGTTAAACATCTGCTGATTTAAAGCACACTCCTCGGCATTTTCAGTGAATTGTTCAATACTGACTGAAGCGGATGCTACAAGAGGAATTTCTTCTTTGACCTCCTCTCCTTGAGTTTCAAGCTCCAAAGTTTCAACAGCAAAGTCAGAATCACATGTTGCTTTTTCAGCTTCTTCCTCACAAGGCTCTTCCTGCTGTACCAAAGTTTCTGTTTGAATGCTGGGAGTACTTTCTTCTTCAAGCTCATTAGGTTTAACAGAGGGACTATCAGTTGCTGTTTGCACCTCACTTTCATCAATTGGACTGTTTTTCAAGCCAGGGCTAAAAGTATTTAAAAACAAACAAAAAGAACACAAACAAAAACACAAACAAAAATCAAACTATGATGAGAATTCAACCATTATAAAGAATCCTGCTGATGCCAATTGTTAAGACTTCCTGATGCATTCGTAATAAGCACTGGGAAATCCAACCAATCAGCATAAAATGGGTAAGATGTATTGCTGGAAATACGTAAATAATATAAATTATGACTGTTGATATGTTCCTTTTGCGCTCATGTGATTACAGCCAATATTTTCCCTCCTCTGTCAAGTTAACCCCTGACATTGAAAGGTCAAATGTGAATCTGAGACACTTCAAATATTATCAGGTCCTATTCCCAACAGTGGTAACTGAAATAATAAAATATGTGTACAGTTCTACAATAAAACTAATGATCCATGCATTATGATTTAAAATTTTATAAGTGAACCTTACCTAAAAAGAACATAAACAGAAACTGGTGGGGGGAAAAGACCATACTCTAAATCATATCACCTTTTTATTTTTTTTTTGGATGTAAAATATTTTTTTAATTACCCAAGAACCATATTTATTAATGATAATACTTAGAACATTATTTGGAAAGTATTCTTTATATACTCTATTGAGGATTTAAAGCTAGTGACAAAACCTGATATAATCACCTTATGTGAACATACAGTCTTATAAATATTTGCCTTTGGCTATAAGAAGAAATGCATTAAAAAATAAACCTTCCCAATTCAAGAGAATAATGTATAATTCTAATATTTAACTTAAATGTGTAAGTAATATTCAGAAGAAATGGAGGAAATACATGGCTAAGTATATGTAATTCATCTTATTTCATCATGGTCTTCCCAAATCTAAAGTATATGAAAAGTGAGTAGTCCTATAATTCCAGTACTTTCACCGAGGTAGACACAGAATAAGTTATTTTTATATCAATATTCCACAAATCAGAGGTTTTCTTGAAGAACAAGGAAAACCTTAGCTTCCAAAAACAATGCCCAACATGCTATCAATGCAAATTAAAATTTACCAAATATATTCATATAATGAGAAGCAGCAGATTGGAGAAAGACACCAGAGAGTGATCCTATCATATCAATACCTGATTATTAAAAAGTACTGACTTTCTTCTCCTATTTTTTAAGGAAGGAGAGGATGAGCCATCCCTTTTGACCTGCTTCTTAGAGGGTGGCCATGTACCCTTCAGTTAACAACACAAGATGGTGTATATCTGTGTGCTGAGATGTTAACCATATTTAAGAAAGTTGTGCTACCACATCAGGGTCTTAAATCATTTGAACCAAACTGGTCTTCCCTCATGCCCCAAAGATTACATCCTGAGGAGAAAACTTTTCTACCAGATTAGAGAAATACCTCTTGACCCTAAACCTTAATCAATATATATTCTATCCATTGTGCAAGTTATTCTTTGCATGCTAAAATGTTTTTTTTTTAAAATAATCACACCCCTTTTTTTCAAAATATAAATGGCTAATTTTAAGAGTTTCAAATCTTTACAATTCACAATAAAATTTGTGGCAAAGCACAACCAGAAAAGAGCAGTGACATTCACAGTTACAGCAGGTATATGAATATTACTTCTCAAAACAAGCTTTTGTCTTTAAATTACAAGACTCATTTCCAATAATGAAGAAAATATTCAAATTCCTGCCTCATTACTGTACTGCATATTAACCCTACATAAAACTTTAGAAACTTAGGGCTAAGTAAAAACATCTATGGGGCTAGGATAACAATGGAGACCTTGATTCCTGGCTCAAGGATATAGCAAGACTTTCCCCTTCACAAGTTTTTCAATAAAAAAGTTATTATCTTATATACAAACTGAACCATTATGCAGTTCCATACTTGAAACAGAGAACACAGGTCTACTCAGAAGAATTATTTAATTCCATATTTGTCCTTGTGTGCTAGTCTTTTCAAATCATAGTGTTTTCTTTAGAGAAGTCATTTACCAAAACTAGTATCTGCTTTCTGGCTAATATGGGAAAAAAGCCTCAATATTGATCAAGTTAGTTTGAAAAGACAGTTTGAAATGTCAAATAAATGACATTAACACCAAAGTTAAACAACCACTCTTTGTAACGATCAAATGAAAACAGCCACATTCTGGGAAATGGAACAGAAAAGGATTCCAGAAAGGCATTTGAGATACAGATATCTCATTTGCCACTCCTCCCTCCAGCCCCAATATCCCAGTAATACCAGAATTTCACAGCCTTCAGAAAAAGCATACAATAAAAGCTGGGCATTAGAACAAACGTTAACACTGAAAGACAAACATTCTGAGAAACCTTAAACTGGGACTTCACAATACTAAAGATTAGTGTTTATTTCAGAGGCCAACTGTTTACTTCCTAATGTTAATGAATTAGAAAAATTTCACTTAGCATTCTTATTTGTGGCTTTAATCAGATGATAAATAAAATCTGTTTACATATCAACAGAATGAGTACAGTGTGAATTATTAAATTATGAATGTATCCACGAGTTTCCTCTAAACAGTATTTAAATAGTTTAGTTATAAACAAAAGTATCATATTCATAATGAATTGGCAACCACAAGTGCTTTAAAACAAAACAAAACAAGTGCATGTAGTACCAGCTACACAGGAAGCTGAGGTGGGAAAACAGCTTGTGCCCAGGAGTTCAAGGCCAGCCTGAGCAACATAGCAAGACCCTGTCTCTAAAAAAAAACACAACAAAAACAACAAATAGTATTTTCTCAGCATCAGTTCACTCCAAAACAAATGTTTAGTATTCTGGACATATCCCACATCTTTTTCTCTAATGTTAAAAAAAAAAAAAAAAAAAAAAAAAAAAAGGCGGGGGGGGGTGGGAATTAAGAAGTTTTTGGTGCTAATTTTAAAAATTAGTTTTATGAGGTTGAATACATCTATAAATTATTTAAGAAATATATTCAATTTTAAAAGCTATGTCTAAACAATGAGAGGAGAACAATGACCAACTGCTATTGCTATGGAGAACAACTTTTCATGCAGACCTCAAAAAATCTTTGTAAAATGAAATAAAATGGGTTTTGCCACAGAGTTAACGTGGCCAATCTTTAGGTCTATATATATAGTACTACATAGGCACTGTTATTTATTAAGCCCTTTGTGAGCTTTCACATCACACACTGCTGGTGGTACTATTTCTTAGGTATGTGAATGCACCTGGTATGACATACAACTTAAATAACCCTGTGCTGACACACAGAGCAAACCTATTGCTTAATGTTACTGGTATATTTTAATGTACTCATCATCTTTGTCAACTAAAATAATCTGATTTTATAAAAATTACTGAGAAGAAAAATCCGCTAAGACGTTCTGTTTTTCAGGGATCTTAACATCAGTGCATCAGATAAAATAAACACTTTACATATTTAAACACTTTCAAACTGCTGTTTCAAACAAATATACGCTCTTACAACAAGGACTAATAAATATTGATGACTCAGTATACAGGAGGAAAAAGAAATATTCTAAATCAGTGATTTACAATGAAGAGCAGTGAAAGGCAAGTCATCAACTGGTGGAACAAGGGTGGTGATAAGGAGGATATCCATCAGAATGAGAAAGTTATTAAGGAGAGGGTGTACTTTACGTGGTCAAAACAAGGCTGTAAGTCACCAGTTTGTGGAGACTTTGAAAAACAAGCTTTCATTCCTCTGATAATGCAAAACTATATACATAATTTTTTTGGACAAATACTTACTCGCCCCAACCCAGTTGTTTTTAAAAAGTATCAAAACACACAATGAAATTAAGTAACGTTAAAAGGTTAAAATTTTACTACCGTGTTTATTTTGGAATAGGAAAATCTAACAAAAACAATGTAATTACTGTTCGTGATGTTGAGTTATTCGAGAGTCTTAAAACATTTTATAAAGTGGTTTATTTAATTCAAACTGTTTATATACGCAGTTACTCTAAATATTCAGTAAATACTTAAATGAGAGTAAATAAAAAGCAACAAACGAAACTCCTAGGTCAGGCTGAGTCCAAAAAGAAAACTGTAACAAGCCCATATGTACACAAAATAAATATGCAGAAAAGAACTTTTCACTACATGTGAGCCATTACTATAAAATACAGCAATAAAATTCAGAAACTAAATACTATACAAAAGTGTTAGTAAACATAAAGCAACATACCTTTCTTTTTCTAATTCTGGGTCATGCTCAATTTGCACCTGTAATATAATCAGCATTTTATTAGAGGCTATTCCACTGGATTTGAAATATTTAACTATAAAAGCAATGTTTTTAGTAAAAATTTAAGCTCAAAAAAAAAAACCTTAAAAATGTATCAAAGCAGCTAGTTTTCAGTGTCTACATTACTATCAGGTTCTAGAATTTTTTTCTAATTAAAGACCTCCAAATTAGGTCACACACAATAACTTATATTAATGAAAAAATAAGTTTCCTTAATAATGATATAAATAAGAAACTTTATTAACTTTAGAAGCCTGGAAATTCTATCTTTTCCCTAAACAATAAATGTGAAATATCAACATCTTCCTTGAGGAATTATTTTAAAAGACTTCTAAGAGAGATCAGCTGACTAAAAAAGTTTCCTATTCAAAATACCTAGAAATGCTAAATAAAATTGAACAATAATCCTTTTAAATATTTGTCTGATATCTGATAAATATTTTAAATATTTATCTGATATGTGGGTCCCAAGAAAGCAATACTCTGTAGCCCCAAAAAAGGGCAGGAATTAAAAATCAGTCCCTATATGGCAAGCACTGTCCTGGGTACTTGGGATGCATCAGTGAACAAAATGGCAAAACATATCTGCCATTCAGAGCTTATACATACTAGAAGGAAGCCTTTTCTGAGAAATCATGCACTCTCTGGGTAGAAGTCTTCTAGAAAGATTTTGTCAGACTAAAAACTGAAAACAATACTTTAAGGAAATTCAATGTGTCTAGAGAGGATTCCTGGCATAGGTGTTTGAGTCCAACAGTAAAGACTTCCTTTACTGGGATATCTGGTGATAAGTCTAGCTTATATCCTAATGATACTGCCCAAAACTAAAGATGATGGTTTTTAAGTCCCAATTACAGAGAGTGTTTACTAGCAGCTTTCCATTAAGGAGAAAAGTTTATTAGAGAGAAAAAAAAAAAAACCCTGCATGGTATCAGAGGAACTCTACATCAGATACCTATATTGGCCAACTTACTTCCTTATTCATAAAGGAATAACGGAAAAACAAATGCACAAAAGTAAACAAAGTAAGCTAAAGAAAAGATATTTCAGACAACTGAAGTGCCTTTTAAAAAACTCAGGGAGGAGCCAAGATGGCCGAATAGGAACAGCTCCGGTCTACAGCTCCCAGCGTGAGCGACGCAGAAGACGGGTGATTTCTGCATTTCCATCTGAGGTACCGGGTTCATCTCACTAGGGAGTGCCAGACAGTGGGCGCAGGTCAGTGTGTGCGCGCACCGTGCGCGAGCCGAAGCAGGGCGAGGCATTGCCTCACCTGGGAAGCGCAAGGGGTCAGGGAGTTCCCTTTCCGAGTCAAAGAAAGGGGTGACGGACGCACCTGGAAAATCGGGTCACTCCCACCCGAATATTGCGCTTTTCAGACCAGCTTAAGAAACGGCACACCACGAGACTATATCCCACACCTGGCTCAGAGGGTCCTATGCCCACGGAATCTCGCTGATTGCTAGCACAGCACTCTGAGATCAAACTGCAAGGCGGCAACGAGGCTGGGGGAGGGGCGCCCGCCATTGCCCAGGCTTGCTTAGGTAAACAAAGCAGCCGGGAAGCTCGAACTGGGTGGAGCCCACCACAACTCAAGGAGGCCTGCCTGCCTCTGTAGGCTCCACCTCTGGGGGCAGGGCACAGACAAACAAAAAGACACAGTAACCTCTGCAGACTTAAGTGTCCCTGTCTGACAGCTTTGAAGAGAGCAGTGGTTCTCCCAGCACGCAGCTGGAGATCTGAGAACGGGCAGACTGCCTCCTCAAGTGGGTCCCTGACCCCTGACCCCCGAGCAGCCTAACTGGGAGGCACCCCCCAGCAGGGGCACACTGACACCTCACACGGCAGGGTATTCCAACAGACCTGCAGCTGAGGGTCCTGTCTGTTAGAAGGAAAACTAACAAGCAGAAAGGACATCTACACCGAAAACCCATCTGTACATCACCATCATCAAAGACCAAAAGTAGATAAAACCACAAAGATGGGGAAAAAACAGAACAGAAAAACTGGAAACTCTAAAACGCAGAGCGCCTCTCCTCCTCCAAAGGAACGCAGTTCCTCACCAGCAACGGAACAAAGCTGGATGGAGAATGATTTTGACGAGCTGAGAGAAGAAGGCTTCAGACGATCAAATTACTCTGAGCTACGGGAGGACATTCAAACCAAAGGCAAAGAAGTTGAAAACTTTGAAAAAAATTTAGAAGAATGTATAACTAGAATAACCAATACAGAGAAGTGCTTAAAGGAGCTGATGGAGCTGAAAACCAAGGCTCGAGAACTACGTGAAGAATGCAGAAGCCTCAGGAGCCGATGCGATCAACTGGAAGAAAGGGTATCAGCGATGGAAGATGAAATGAATGAAATGAAGCAAGAAGGGAAGTTTAGAGAAAAAAGAATAAAAAGAAATGAGCAAAGCCTCCAAGAAATATGGGACTATGTGAAAAGACCAAATCTACGTCTGATTGGTGTACCTGAAAGTGATGTGGAGAATGGAACCAAGTTGGAAAACACTCTGCAGGATATTATCCAGGAGAACTTCCCCAATCTAGCAAGGCAGGCCAACGTTCAGATTCAGGAAATACAGAGAACGCCACAAAGATACTCCTCGAGAAGAGCAACTCCAAGACACATAATTGTCAGATTCACCAAAGTTGAAATGAAGGAAAAAATGTTAAGGGCAGCCAGAGAGAAAGGTCGGGTTACCCTCAAAGGAAAGCCCATCAGACTAACAGCGGATCTCTCGGCAGAAACCCTACAAGCCAGAAGAGAGTGGGGGCCAATATTCAACATTCTTAAAGAAAAGAATTTTCAACCCAGAATTTCATATCCAGCCAAACTAAGCTTCATAAGTGAAGGAGAAATAAAATACTTTATAGACAAGCAAATGCTGAGAGATTTTGTCACCACCAGGCCTGCCCTAAAAGAGCTCCTGAAGGAAGCGCTAAACATGGAAAGGAACAACCGGTACCAGCCGCTGCAAAATCATGCCAAAATGTAAAGACCATCGAGACTAGGAAGAAACTGCATCAACTAATGAGCAAAATCACCAGCTAACATCATAATGACAGGATCAAATTCACACATAACAATATTAACTTTAAATATAAATGGACTAAATTCTGCAATTAAAAGACACAGACTGGCAAGTTGGATAAAGAGTCAAGACCCATCAGTGTGCTGTATTCAGGAAACCCATCTCACGTGCAGAGACACACATAGGCTCAAAATAAAAGGATGGAGGAAGATCTACCAAGCCAATGGAAAACAAAAAAAGGCAGGGGTTGCAATCCTAGTCTCTGATAAAACAGACTTTAAACCAACAAAGATCAAAAGAGACAAAGAAGGCCATTACATAATGGTAAAGGGATCAATTCAACAAGAGGAGCTAACTATCCTAAATATTTATGCACCCAATACAGGAGCACCCAGATTCATAAAGCAAGTCCTCAGTGACCTACAAAGAGACTTAGACTCCCACACATTAATAATGGGAGACTTTAACACCCCACTGTCAACATTAGACAGATCAACGAGACAGAAAGTCAACAAGGACACCCAGGAATTGAACTCAGCTCTGCACCAAGCAGACCTAATAGACATCTACAGAACTCTCCACCCCAAATCAACAGAATATACATTTTTTTCAGCACCACAGCACACCTATTCCAAAATTGACCACATAGTTGGAAGTAAAGCTCTCCTCAGCAAATGTAAAAGAACAGAAATTATAACAAACTATCTCTCAGACCACAGTGCAATCAAACTAGAACTCAGGATTAAGAATCTCACTCAAAACCGCTCAACTACATGGAAACTGAACAACCTGCTCCTGAATGACTACTGGGTACATAACGAAATGAAGGCACAAATAAAGATGTTCTTTGAAACCAACGAGAACAAAGACACCACATACCAGAATCTCTGGGACGCATTCAAAGCAGTGTGTAGAGGGAAATTTATAGCACTAAACGCCTACAAGAGAAAGCAGGAAAGATCCAAAATTGACACCCTAACATCACAATTAAAAGAACTAGAAAAGCAAGAGCAAACACATTCAAAAGCTGGCAGAAGGCAAGAAATAACTAAAATCAGAGCAGAACTGAAGGAAATAGAGACACAAAAAACCCTTCAAAAAATCAATGAATCCAGGAGCTGGTTTTTTGAAAGGATCAACAAAATTGATAGACCGCTAGCAAGACTAATAAAGAAAAAAAGAGAGAAGAATCAAATAGACACAATAAAAAATGATAAAGGGGATATCACCACCGATCCCACAGAAATACAAACTACCATCAGAGAATACTACAAACACCTCTACGCAAATAAACTAGAAAATCTAGAAGAAATGGATACATTCCTGGACACATACACTCTCCCAAGACTAAACCAGGAAGAAGTTGAATCTCTGAATAGACCAATAACAGGCTCTGAAATTGTGGCAATAATCAATAGTTTACCAAACAAAGAGTCCAGGACCAGATGGATTCACAGCCGAATTCTACCAGAGGTACAAGGAGGAACTGGTACCATTCCTTCTGAAACTATTCCAATCAACAGAAAAAGAGGGAATCCTCCCTAACTCATTTTATGAGGCCAGCATCATTCTGATACCAAAGCCGGGCAGAGACACAACCAAAAAAGAGAATTTTAGACCAATATCCTTGATGAACATTGATGCAAAAATCCTCAATAAAATACTGGCAAACCGAATCCAGCAGCACATCAAAAAGCTTATCCACCATGATCAAGTGGGCTTCATCCCTGGGATGCAAGGCTGGTTCAATATACTCAAATCAATAAATGTAATCCAGCATATAAACAGAGCCAAAGACAAAAACCACATGATTATCTCAATAGATGCAGAAAAAGCCTTTGACAAAATTCAACAACCCTTCATGCTAAAAACTCTCAATAAATTAGGTATTGATGGGACGTATTTCAAAATAATAAGAGCTATCTATGACAAACCCACAGCCAATATCATACTGAATGGGCAAAAACTGGAAGCATTCCCTTTGAAAACTGGCACAAGACAGGGATGCCCTCTCTCACCGCTCCTATTCAACATAGTGTTGGAAGTTCTGGCCAGGGCAATCAGGCAGGAGAAGGAAATAAAGGGTATTCAATTAGGAAAAGAGGAAGTCAAATTGTCCCTGTTTGCAGACGACATGATTGTTTATCTAGAAAACCCCATCGTCTCAGCCCAAAATCTCCTTAAGCTGATAAGCAACTTCAGCAAAGTCTCAGGATACAAAATCAATGTACAAAAATCACAAGCATTCTTATACACCAACAACAGACAAACAGAGAGCCAAATCATGAGTGAACTCCCATTCACAATTGCTTCAAACAGAATAAAATACCTAGGAATCCAACTTACAAGGGATGTGAAGGACCTCTTCAAGGAGAACTACAAACCACTGCTCAAGGAAATAAAAGAGGACACAAACAAATGGAAGAACATTCCATGCTCATGGGTAGGAAGAATCAATATCGTGAAAATGGCCATACTGCCCAAGGTAATTTACAGATTCAATGCCATCCCCATCAAGCTACCAATGACTTTCTTCACAGAATTGGAAAAAACTACTTTAAAGTTCATATGGAACCAAAAAAGAGCCCGCATCGCCAAGGCAATCCTAAGCCAAAAGAACAAAGCTGGAGGCATCACACTACCTGACTTCAAACTATACTACAAGGCTACAGTAACCAAAACAGCATGGTATTGGTACCAAAACAGAGATATAGATCAATGGAACAGAACAGAGCCCTCAGAAATAATGCCGCATATCTACAACTATCTGATCTTTGACAAACCTGAGAAAAACAAGCAATGGGGAAAGGATTCCCTATTTAATAAATGGTGCTGGGAAAACTGGCTAGCCATATGTAGAAAGCTGAAACTGGATCCCTTCCTTACACCTTATACAAAAATCAATTCAAAATGGATTAAAGATTTAAACGTTAGACCTAAAACCATAAAAACCCTAGAAGAAAACCTAGGCATTACCATTCAGGACATAGGCGTGGGCAAGGACTTCATGTCCAAAACACCAAAAGCAATGGCAACAAAAGCCAAAATTGACAAATGGGATCTAATTAAACTAAAGAGCTTCTGCACAGCAAAAGAAACTACCATCAGAGTGAACAGGCAACCTACAACATGGGAGAAAATTTTCGCAACCTACTCATCTGACAAAGGGCTAATATCCAGAATCTACAATGAACTCAAACAAATTTACAAGAAAAAAACAAACAACCCCATCAAAAAGTGGGCGAAGGACATGAACAGACACTTCTCAAAAGAAGACATTTATGCAGCCAAAAGACACATGAAGAAATGCTCATCATCACTGGCCATCAGAGAAATGCAAATCAAAACCACTATGAGATATCATCTCACACCAGTTAGAATGGCAATCATTAAAAAGTCAGGAAACAACCGGTGCTGGAGAGGATGTGGAGAAATAGGAACACTTTTACACTGTTGGTGGGACTGTAAACTAGTTCAACCATTGTGGAAGTCAGTGTGGTGATTCCTCAGGGATCTAGAACTAGAAATAACATTTGACCCAGCCATCCCATTACTGGGTATATACCCAAAGGACTATAAATCATGCTGCTATAAAGACACATGCACACGTATGTTTATTGCGGCACTATTCACAATAGCAAAGACTTGGAACCAACCCAAATGTCCAACAATGATAGACTGGATTAAGAAAATGTGGCACATATACACCATGGAATACTATGCAGCCATAAAAAATGATGAGTTCATGTCCTTTGTAGGGACATGGATGAAATTGGAAACCATCATTCTCAGTAAACTATCGCAAGAACAAAAAACCAAACACCGCATATTCTCACTCATAGGTGGGAATTGAACAATGAGATCACATGGACACAGGAAGGGGAATATCACACTCTGGGGACTGTGGTGGGGTCAGGGGAGGGGGGAGGGATAGCATTGGGAGATATACCTAATGCTAGATGACACGTTAGTGGGTGCAGCGCACCAGCATGGCACATGTATACATATGTAACTAACCTGCACAATGTGCACATGTACCCTAAAACTTAGAGTATAATAAAAAAAAAAAAATTAAAAATAAAAAATAAAAAATAAATAAAAAAAATAAAAAACTCAAAAGAACATCCTCAGAAAAATTCAAGAGAATACAGCATCTATGAAATCAGTGCTGGTATTATTTCCAGAAAAACAGAATATTAAAAATTGAAGGAAATAAATCAAAAAATAATAATAGAAAAACTTCCCTGGGGCCAGGCATGGTGGCTAATCCCTGTAATCCCAGCACTTTGGAAGGCTGAGGCAGGCAGATCATGAGGTCAGGAGTTCGAGACCAGCCTGACCAGCATGGTGAAACCCCATTTCTACTAAAAATACAAAAAAAATTAGTGGGCATGGTAGGGCGTGCCTGTAGTCCCAGCTACTCGGAAGGCTGAGGCAGGAGAATTGCTTGAACTCGGCAGGTGGAGGCTGCAGTGAGCCGAGGTCACGCCACTGCACTCCAGCCTGGACAACAGAGCCAGGCTCCATCTCGACAAAAAAAAAAAAAAAAAAAAGGGGGGGGGAGGTGGTGGGTGGGGAGAAAAACTTCCTGCTCTAAAAGCAGGATGCAGGAAATGAGTCCCAAACCAAGAAAAAACCTTACTCACTGGACTAGCAATACCAACCCTCTCTTTAGAAATTCTGGAATCACCAAGTATGTCCCTAAAGCCTTTGATCTGGTTCTTCTGCCTAAAAATCTCCCCTTGAAATTTTCTTAGAGCTTGCTCTCTTCCATCAGGTCTCTCAAATAACTCTTCTGCTGAGGGACTATCACTGACCACTTTAAGATACACATTCCCCACATTAATCATTCTCTTTTTATCTCAATTTATTTATTCACAGTCTTTTTACCACTTTTATATCTGTTTATAGTCTATCTCCTCCACTAAAATATAATCCTTGAGAACTAGGACATTGAAACAATGTTCATCATGGTATTCTAATACCTAAAATAGTGTTAGCATAGAGAAAAGGAATTAGATAAATATTAGTTTAGGGCCAAGCACAGTGGTTCACACCTGTAACTCCAACACTTTGGAAGGCCCAGGGTGGAGGAGCACTTCAGGCCAGAAGTTTGAGACCAGCCTGGGCAACACAATGAGACCCCATCTACACACACACACACACAAAAAAAAAATCAAAAATCAAATAAAATAAAGTTAGCCGGGCATGGTGGCATGCCCCTATAGTCTACTCTGGAGGCTGAAGTGAGAGGATCGCTTAAGCCCAGGAGTTAAGGTTTAAATCATGTGGGCCATGATTGAACCATGGCACTCCAGCCCAGGTGACAGAGTTAAGACTTCGTCTTTAAAACAAACAAACAGAAAAACAAACTAGTTTAAAGAATTAATAATATAAATCCTAAAACCTTTCAGAGGAACAAAATAGTTTTGATCTAAATCAGACTTCTCCTCAATAATACTGGATTCTGGATGCTAAAAACAATCAAAGGAAAAATAGCCTAAGCACAGAATTTTACATCTAGACAATCAATCAATGAAATACGTAAGAGCAAAATAAAGTCAGTTTCAAACATGCAGAATTTCAGAAAATGTACTGCCTCCACATACTTTCTGGGGTAAAAAAAATACTTGAGAATGTACTCTAGCAAACAGAAAAACCACCTGTGACGTGACAGAATCCAAGAAAAAACAGACATGACTCAGAAAAACAATGAAAGAAAACCAAAGGTGTATATAATTGGTCGACAAAGCAAATGACCCTAAATTTAGAAAAGAGTCACAAGAATAGCTCTGAAAGGAGACTCCATTCAACAAATAGTAATTAAGTTACACAGATGATCACAGTAACATGAAGACTGTCATTTTTCCCCCTTTCAACAAGATACAAACCCTAAACCATACAAGAAAACCATAATCTACCTACTTATGAAAATGAAAATGTGGCGCCATTTTGAGAAATGACTGGGAATATAAGAAACTCACCTGTGAGTGTAGAGGTTATGGACACACATATTGCCTTCTTTATAAACCCATTCTCATTATTACTTAATTCTGCAGTAAATATCTTCATAATCATGATACCAAAAATGCAGCTACTAGTTTTCAGTATTTAGAATGGAGTGCTACATGCTTTGTATACAAGCTAACTATAGATATTGAAATAAAGGTCACACATACTACACAAAGAAGTAACATTTCAGTCTAACAAAAACAGTAAGTGTTGAAGAGAAGATAATATAGAGTTGATTATTAACTCATTTTAAATAGTAGTCAATTAAAAACTGTTACAAATAAGCCATATGTGTTATCCAACTTAAACTATACGAATAAGGTTCTGGGTAAGCACTTAGGAAGTGAAGTACCAATTCAGGCAGAAGTTTATGTAAATTTTCACTTCTTTAATTTTCTTTTAACTCTAAGAATTTGGGACTATATTTCTGGGATAAGGATTTCTGTACAGTCAGTGTTTAATTTTGAATTTAGTTGAACACAACTGAATAACAGCTTGAAAAATATAAATGACAACTTTTTAAAAATGCATGTTCTGCTGAGGAATAGCTAAAAACTTTTATATATTTTTTTCTGAAATTATCAAGTGAAATGAGCCACTCATTTGTGCTTAAACTGGTACCTATCATAATACATTTACTTAAAGATACTCTAATTTAGATTTAGATGATGAAATTGCCTTTTTCTTTAGATAGTGCAAGATTTTTAACAGATTGACAACACAAGGACACCACATATAAGGTCCTATTACTTACCTCTGATATCAGCATACAATGGAATAGAAGGAGAAAATAGATTGAGTTTGAATTTAATGCTTTCAAAGGTGGACTATCCATAGCTTTCCTACATGTACTACTGTGTAGGCCAAGAACCTGTGAAATCTTATTTCTTAACACAAAAACAGTTTATAATAAATGTAACTGAAACAAAAAGAAGAATAAAACAAACTTCTTTCTACCCAGAGGAAGCCAAAATGGATTCAAAGTAGCTGCATTCTGGAGACAATCATGTTACATACAAAGAGTCACTATACACAAAAATGTAGATACCTACATGTCAACAGTAAGTATTCAAAAATGCATATATGTTACATTGTTGAAAATTTCTTTATTCTCATTTAGACAAATTTATACTGCTTTATAAACTATGAAAATTGGAACACTGATTGCAACACAAATTATAAAAATCATCTCTAAACACAGAAACAGTTTGACTACTACCTGAGAATGACCTTTATGTTCTCTGTATTTTCTAAAATCACAAAAGCTGAAGAAAGATAAATCTTACCTCTGGTAAGTCTATCTTTGGAGATAATGAGCAGGTCAACATATGGTCACCAATATTTTGTGGATTTTGTTTCAGAAAGCTATACATTGACTGAGCAGATTCAGGACTATCTAACTGAAGAATTGCCTTTGGAGAAGATTAAAAAGTTATGAATAGTTCTTTAAAAAAATTGGAATTAGAATAACCACATAATCCAACAATTCCACTTTTTAGTATACACCTAAAAGGAATGAAAGCCGATACTTAAACATGTATTTGTACACCCATGTTCACAGAAGCATTATTCACAACAGACAAAGGGAGAAGCAACCCAACTGTCCATCAATGGATGAGTGGATATAAAAATGTGTTACATGCGTAAAACAGAATTATTACTCAGCTTTAAAAATGAAGAAAAATCTGACACATGCTGCAACATGGATGAACCTTAGAGACATTATACTAAGTGACATGAGCCAGTCACAAAAAAGCAAATATAATTCCACATACATGAGGTAACTAAATTTATAAAAACAGAAATAATGGTTGATAAGGGCTGAATTAATGGCGAGTTATTGTCAAAAGGATAGAAAACTTCAGTTTGAGGAGACAAAAGTTCACAAATGGATGGTGGTGATGGTTGCACAATGTGAAGGTGCTGAATATCAGTGAACAAACACTTAAACATGATTAAAATGTTAAATTTATGTCTTACAAACGGTAAAATTTGTGTATTTTACTACAATAAAAATGTTTTTAATTGTTTTAAAAGTTTGGAATATATTCTTCTTTCAGGTTTCAGATATATGACTACAAAGGTAAGGTTAATCCTTATTTAAAGGAAACAAGAGAAAACAATCCTTAAAATGTTGTAAAGCCAAGGCAAAACTGAAGAGAATGATAGGTATTCTTTTAAATAGAGGATTAAAAATGTTTACAAGAAAGGTTCAGAATTCCTATGTGCCATCTGTGCCCCACCTTCCATTCTATGTCACACTATTTATCATATTCCATTCTATGCTCTATTTATCAGAAGCATATCAAAGAAATTATCTAGTTGTTGGTTAATTAAGTGCTTTTTATGAATATTGTCCACTTTTATGTAAAACCCTGCCTTTCTAGGTAATATATGGCTGATAAAAATTTAATTTTAATGAACATGTAGCTGAAATACATATTAAATACAGAAGGCATACCAAATGTAAATAAATGAATAATTTTTGGTTAAGAGGCCAAATCATGAAAGTAAGGAATGATTACTTTATTTTTGAGACAGGGTCTCGCTATGTTACCCAGGCTGGAGTGTGGTGGCGTGAACACAGCTCACTACAGCCTCCAACTCCTGGGCTCAAACCATCCTCCTGCCTCAGCCTCCCAGGCAGCTGGGACCAGAGGCACACGTCACCATGCCCAGCTAATTTTTAAACTTTTTGTAGAGACGACATCCCACTATGTTGCCCAGGCTGGTCTCAAACTCCTGGGCTCAAGCAATCCCCTCGCCTCAGCCTCCCAAAGTGCTGGGATTACAGGGGTGAGCCACTGCATCCAGCAATTATTTTATCTCTCTCTTTCCATATAAACAAACAAATAGACCTAACTCAGGTGTTTCATAGCTGGAAGGGACTTAAAGAAATATTGGGTAATACCCCTTTCATTTTACAAGTAAGTGTAAACCAACTTAGCCAAGACCACAAAGATAGTTAAAATCAGAGCCAAAGGAACTCAGGTCTAAACTTCCCAGTAAGATAATGCTGTCTACACTATATTACCTTTCCCCCTTGCGTAAGTCTTATTTTTCCTTAAAAACTAGGAGTTCTGAAAAAAGAGAGGTCATCTCTTCTTTCTCGGCCCAGTCCAAAATAAAATATTCTGGTTTATAATAATTCTGCGAAGTGGTTGAGTAATATTTACAGGTGCTTCAGATCAGAAGTTGCAGATTGTCAGAATACAGGGTTATTATACATTCTTTACAGAATGAATAGCTAAATTATGAGGGAACTTGTTACCTTGTTTCTATTACTTATGAATACATGGTGATCCACTTTTCCAAACTGAAGTCCAACACAAAGTACACACTGAAGTCCATCTTCCGGTAAATTATCAAGATGTACAAATCGATCATAAATTGTATCTATGTTTGCCTGTAGTTTTTTAAGAGACAGCACAGAAAAAACCACAGCTGAAGCAACAAACGGTAAAACAGATTAACATTAACTTACTATTACAGAGGTCAGATGATGTTCTCTCCCAAGAGTAAGAAAATGACTACATGGGGGAAGACAGTGAGGTCTTAATTTTACGTACGAGTAATCAGTAAAATGACGTACTAAAATGGGAAGTATAATATTTCTACTATCAACATAACGTTTACCCAAAACATCCTCAGACAAGATATTGACCTATTAGACCACTTAATATGCACTCCAGTACCTGAAAAATTTTTTCGCATCAAGTACTACAAGAAACCTTTATTTTTTTATTGTTACCAAGAAGACCCATCTGACATCTCCATCACCTCAATATCTTAAAATTAGTTCTAAGGTTTTAATTCCTAAAAGGCAAACAAGTAAAACAATGTTTCCATCAATTAAATAAGTATACAAAAGCATTTAAATGCAAAACTTACCTCTGGGTCATTTTCTTTTACCAAGGTTATAAATATAGCTTCCTAAAAAGCAAAAATAGATAAAGGTTGATGGTATAAGCTCTTTCTCATACAAATACTTACTTAGTTAAGATTTATAACATGACAATCTATACAAATATGCATTACAAAGTATTTTATAAAATTAAGAAGCAGCAAGATTTACATTCTTTCCAAAAATCTTTCTCTCCTAAACAAGCCTCATTCTAACCCATACAATTTAATTCTTCTTATTCCCCTAAGAATATAAAAGACTAATAAGATAGTACCATTTAGAAAAGACATTCAAATTCACAGAAGGAATAGAGATTTAATTTAGACAACAGGAAGAGAATTCAAATTACAAAAGAAAAGTTAACTAAGCAAAGTAGGAGATGAGAAAGAACAGAAATGCAGGCAAATAAAACAGCACAGAGCATAAATGCAGATTTGATGCTACTGAATTATGAAGAGGCCAAGAACATCAGGGAACAAGGATATCAAAGCAGGCAGAGGACAACTAATGGAAGGCTTTGTGTGCGGCAAAGGAACTTGGACTTTATAAGACTGAGGATCCTAAACTTTTTTTTTCTTGTTGATACTACTGGTGTGTATAAAACAATCTTGCCAATTACATCACATTAGAGTGATTCTTAATGAAAGGTATTTTTACATTACATGCATTTCTACCTGCCTCTAGAAAGGATATAATATTTCTACCTCATGTGATGCATACAATATTTCTACCTCATGCTTCTTAGCAGTTGACAGTAAATGTTTATAGGTCACATAGAGGCACTGAAGGGTGTGTACATGAGATAAAAGCTGAGAACTCAAAGGAGTTTTATAAAACTGAAGGTAGCGTGTATGTACAAAAGACAATTACTTTTGTATATACAAAAGGTCCAGGAGGAGGTCTGTTTGTTTTAGAGACTAGGTCTCCCTCTGTCACCCAGGCTGAAGTTCAGTGGTAAAATCACAGCTCAGTGCAGCCTCAAACTCCTAGGCTCAAGGGATCCTCCTACCTCAGCATCCTGAGGAGCTGGGACCACGGGTGTGCGCCTTCAGGCCCAGCTAATTATTTTAAGTTTTGTAGGCATGGGGTCTCACTTTGTTGCCCAGGCTGGTCTTGGGTCCTGAAGTCCTGGGCTCACACAGTCCTCCCACCTCAGCCTCTCAAAGTGCTGGGATCACCAGCGTGAGCCACCATACCTGGACCAGTAAGAGTTTTTAAGAGATAAAGCAATGGTATATGGGATGAGGAAGAGGGAACAAGCTCACTGAGTTAAACAAGATTTACAAGGAACTAAATTTAAGAAATGAGAGAAAAAAAATTAAAGATAACTTCCAGAATTCTAGTTTAGATGACAGATAATGGCAGAAAGATAAGAGAGAAACCTGTCTTTAGACAAAATGCAACCTTTTTTCCATCCCAACATACATGAAGAATAGGATTCCCTCACTATGAAAGTAACTCTCAAACAGTGGGATGGGTGACTGGGTGATTGTTGGAGGGACAGGAAGAAGCTTTCTCAGTGTCTGTGAGAAAAATGTGAACCAAAGTGGAAAACTAGAAAACATAACAGACTGTAACAAATCTGATTTAAAAACTTAGTAAGAGCTAGTAAAAATGGTGGTCTGATTTACCTCATCTTTTATATTCATGTTTTCAGGAGCCATACTTATTGAGAGTTGATTTCCATCCATCAATACTGGGAAGCAGGTATAAAATTTTACCATAGACTCAGCAGCTTTTCTATTTATTTCTATATATGCCTTTTAAAACAGAAATTAAGGTAACAAGAAAAATCTTATGTTACTTTTTCTCAAAAACAGACTTGCAAGTATAAACAAACTACTTCAAACGTCAAGTGGATTGAACAACTTAGTAAATATTTTAAAGATAAAAAAATGCAGTCCTCAGAAAATTGAGGCCCAAAGACTAAGAATATTACAACCATAAGCAAGAAATAAAGAATGAATAAACTTACTATACTAAGGCAAACTAAAGAGAGAAAAAAGAAGAGACATTCTAGCCACTGACATTAAGAAAAATCTTATTCAAACTGTATCCTTAGTACATAGAGCAGTATCTGGCATGTAGCAGATATATTTCTAATCAATATTAGTATTTCTTGAGTAAATAAATTGATAAAATATGAGAAATATGAGACATGAAAAAACCAAAGAAACGTGTAACAATTGTGAAGTCATTTTTCATTTTGTTATTTTCATAGGTGTAAAACTGTAGCTCCATACATTTTGCTTTTAATTTTCACACCTTGGTAAGTAAAGAGGTTGAAACTTCTTCCATATATTTGATAGTTAATGAGGTAGAAAGCTGTATGTTTGCTTACAGTTGTAAGCCTATTTGAAATGAATTATCTCTTAAGGTTGTTTATCTATTTATTGTAGTTTTAATGTTACAGCATAATGTAGATGTGAATCCTGTTCCCTTTTTTAAACAAATACTCTTAGTTTTTAAATTTTCATTTTATGTTAATTTTAATTTCATAAATGTTTAAAGTATTTTCATTAAGTCTCCAAATATTTTAATAATTTTACTCAACTCCACTCAAAACTGGGCACATAACTTAGGTTTAAAGTTCAACCACTGTACACAATGCAATGGGTTTTAGTGTATTTACTGAGCTCTGCGATCATTCAAATAATCTACTTTTAACATAATGTGAAATTACACATAACTCACCTGTACTCACTCTCTTCTACCATTTTCTAAAGCAAATTGGCTCGGAGTGCCTCAAAACATATATCCTATTCTACTTTCAAAGATCTCTAGTGACTACCAACTCCTCTCTAACGTAAGAACACTTCTTCCCACTATTCTAATGGTGTCATTTCCATGATTTAAACTATTTCCTGAAATCTCGCTCAATTAAACATACTTTCTACAAGTTGATTATTAACATACATTTTAATGTGTTGTTTTAAAAATACAAAGCCAACAGATGCTTATAGAAAATTTAGAACATAAAGATAAACCTAGATTGTTTTAAGTATTGATGACATCATTAGTCTGAGTCTGAAAATGGTTACTTCCCATTTGAGTATCACTGATAAGAGCAGAAAGAGTATGAAATACAAGTAGAAGAATGATCTACGAATCTTATAAATATAGCTTCCTAAAAAGCCAAAATAGATAAAGGCTGCTGGTGTAAGTTCTTTCTCATATATATACTTATGTATTAAACATATTAAAGATATAAAACATTTCCTACTATTAAACATATTAACATAACATAGTAAAAGATATATTTATTAAACATATTGAAGATATAAAACGTTTCCTATTAAACTAAAATTTTGAGTAGAACTTTGACATATTAGAAAGCCATTTGTCCCCATCATTAAAACTATGTCTCGTTACAACAATACTAAAATACAGGATATCTGTGTTTTATATTTTAAAATCCCTTAGCTTGAAAGTTTACTTTGAGATACTGCTTTTAAACCTTTTCTTTTTAGTTTTGTAAATTTAATGTTTTTCAAAGCATGCATGCTTGCAGAGGATATGAACAGCTATTAATCAACTCTTACCTTTTTATGAGATGATAAAATCAAGATATCCTTTAAACCACCAAATGGTTTTGCTAAGTCATAAACTTCTTCTACAGAATATCCTTTATTAGGCAAATTAGAGACAAGCATCACACACATTTCTTCTGTTTCCTTCAAAACAAATTTTTAAAACCTGTTATTAAAATTTCTTTGTTTCATATTTACTTAAGTTTATACTGTGTATCATGTTATATTAGTATATTGTTGCATTTAATACTGAGGAAAGTCTGATAAACTCAAGAGGCTGGTCTGAACCTCAAATTAAAAAGAAAAGCAAAAAAGCTTGCAAATTTACACTCTTCAAGAGTACAGACTAATTGTAGTTATACCATCTGTCATCTAGTCGAGGTCTGCTGGACTCTTTTTCACCCACTGTTTTTTTTTTTTAGTCTTGCTCTGTTGCCCAGGCTGGAGTGCAGTGGTACAACCTCGGCTCACTGCAAGCTCTGTCTCCCAGGTTCAAGTGATTCTTGTGTCTCAGCCACCCAAGCAGCTGTCACCCACTGTTTTAAAACACAAGTTCATTTGTTTTTGGCTACAACTGCTTCCTTTCATATACTGTCGCCATCCCTGTGCCTTGTGATAATATCCCCAAGCTCCAAATCAGTGTGTATCCTTTTATCTTCCTGAATAAGATAATCACTTAGGCAATACATAATAAAAAAGCTCCTGAGAATCTTTACCCCACAACCCAATCCTCAATGCAATTAAGCACTTTTGTTTTCTGCCATCCCTTCTCTCAGATCCATTTTATTCTTCAAGGTAACTCTCTCATCAATGCCAATTACTCCTTTCATGCTTACTGGGAAAATTTCTAAAGATGATGTGCTATAGTCAACTTGGCAATTTTTGATATCTAGGGGGAAAAAAAGGCAGGAAGTTACAATCTTCATAAACCAGTTTAGTGTGACTTTACACTAAATTGGTGCTATAAAATACTCTTCCTAAAATAAGACTTACTACTTAGTTACTACTTGAAGAATGGATCTACTAGACAAAAACTTATGCTCAACACCTGAAGGATCTAAAAACCTGCACCAGTAAAATGTAAATTAATGATTGTAATGTATTAATAATAATAGATATAAACATAAGAAAACAATATATTAAGTGAACTTCATGTCCTTTAAACTGCAAACTCCACTTGCTTCCCCATAAATGCAAACAACTGGTATTCTAACCATTAACATATCTCCCATTTACCTCTAAGAAAAAAATAGACTTCACAAAATTCTACTGATTCTAATTTAACCAACTACTGTCTACCCAAAACCCATTTTGGCAAATGAAAAGTAATCTTCAAAAAACATGTACATTTGTTGATGATCTGTTCCTACTTTTTGTGACTTACTCTGCACCTCAGGGTTTTTGAGCTAAAATCACATTTTTTTCTCTTTTCCTTTCTAAAAATCATGTTTTAAAAGTCACAAATGACTGGAATTTCTCACATGCCAAATACCATGAATTTTTTACCTGGGTTTATAAGAAAAATATCTTTTGTTAAAATGTCTTGAGCTTTAAAGAAATAAATAAAACATGAAAACTGACCTTGTTAAGTGGTTCATTCTCTGTGGCCTCCAAAGCAGCATCTTAATACAAAATAAAATTAAAAACAATGCAGACATACTTATCAAGATCCTACTTTATTCCACAATAGGTTAAACAGTAGCTACATGAAAACGTGTAATACAACAAGTCTAGAGAATTAGTACAAAATGACTACAAAAGTGACATTGGCTTTTAAAAAATACATTTAAATTTCATTCTGAGATCAAAATTTCAGATTAAGAGATAAAGACATGAATCGTAATACTCTTAATTTCACTTAGGTATGGCATTGGTAATTAAAATAAGTAAAGAACAAAATAAAATTTCTATTGACCTACCAGAAATAGCTTCTTTAGCACAGTTTTCAGTGGCTTTGACTTCAATACTGGTCTTTATTTCAGAGTTTTCTGCATGAAATAGTCTGCTTTAATAGTCTAGTAAAACACTAATATAATTAAACTAATGAATCTAAACAGGAACTTAAGCTAGTTTGACATTTCAAGTCTCCTTAGGCTGACCTGACATAAGCCAAACATCTCTCTTTGAAAAACAAAAGACAGCAATCCCCACTTTGATAATTTTTAGGCAAAATTTCAAAATATACCTTAAAGATGATCTAAAGAAAATAAATGGACCCATAGAGGGAAACAACACACTGGGGCCTATTGGAAGGTGGAGGATGGGACGAAGGAGAGGATCAGGAAAAATAACTAATGGGTCCTAGGCTTAATATCTGGGTGATGAAATAACCTGTACAACAAACCCCCATGACACGTTTACCTATGTAAGAAACCTGCACATGTACCCCTGAACTTAAAAAGTTAAAAAAAAGAAAAGAAAACAAAGCACTGAATGACCACATTTCAAGCTTACCTGGTATAGTCACAGGTTTGTTAGAGTCTTTGTTTTTGACATTCCCAGTCTTTTTGGCTTCTAGAGACTTCTTTCCACCAGATTTTGCTTGTAAAAGTACAGTCAGCCATTATTCTAAAGGTCTTGTTAAATCATTTAGCATGTTTCACACTAATGTATTAGTAAATTAGTTTGACTTTATTACAAAAGCAGCTCTTTTCCACATAGTCATTATTTCTATTTATTTTCAGTACCTCTTTCCCAGTAAGATTAAAAGCAAATTTAAATCAAGATACAACTTTTTGGTGATGCCGTCAAATGAGCCACATGTTTAACCTTCATGTGGCAGACCAACATTGTAATCACACACACGCAAAAATAATACTGTGTAATTTCTGCAAAGATTCTTTAGAATTAGTCTGTTAGGAAAGGTACTACTAAAAAGATTGCTCTAGTTGCAAGGTGCTAAATTTATTTTAAATAGTGTTCCATTTCTTTATGAAAAAAAATGAATTCTCCTAACATCCTTTTTAAAAGTAACAAGCATCTAAGAAACTGTACAAACTGGAGAGGGCAATATGAATTGACAACTCTAAAAAAAGCGAAGGAAACAAAGATTAAACCATTTATGGAGGGAAACGACAGAGCAACCTGTGATTACAAAGCTGTCAAAAATGTACAGTTATATAGCTTTATATATATGTGATTGTTTACATGCACAAAAATATATCTGCCTATCTGCCAAAGATAAAATTCCAACAAAATGGGTCAGGTTTTAAATATCAAGGAAATATCTACTAAACTCTTCAAGTATTAGATGCTAAAAATTATTATACGAATTTAAAACATAAATAAAGAATAAACAATAAAATCTCTCCTCCCCAATAGTCTTACCTGTTTTGATTGAAGCTTTATTACCTTTAACAGCTACCGTTACCACAGATTTTACAGAACTTGCTGATTTCCCTAAATCACAAAAGATGCAGTCAAAACTGGTTTACTTAACTAGTATCAACAATCTCCAAAGAACCTCACAGAGAAAAAGATGTAAGAATAATAGGCTGTGTTTTATTCAAAACATAAAATGCTATCATCTTTGGGGACATAGGCCATTTTCTAAATCTAGCAATGATGATAATTTCTTCAGAAAAAAGAAATCACTGAAATAAGATATTTACCTCCCTACTGGGGTATAGGTCAAACATCCCTAAACTGAAAATCCAAAATCTGAAATGTTCCAAAACCTGAAACCCCGAGTGCTGCTGACATGACACCACAAGAGGGAAATTCCCATGTAAGTACTTAAAAAAAACTGTTTCATGCACAAAATTATTTAAAACACTGTATAAAATTGCCTTCAGGCTATGTATATAAGGTGTATATGAAACATAAATGAATTTCACGTTTAGACTTGGCTCCCATCCCCCAGATATTTCATTATATATATGCAAATATTCCAAAATCTGAAAAAAAATCCAAAATCTAAAACACTTCTGCTCCCAACCATTTTGGATAAGGGATACTCAACCTGTACTTAAAATAGCATTCATGCAAGTTAAATAAATTTCTGAATGTGTGGATCAACTAGAAGCAAAATTACTAATTCCAAGGACACAAAAACAATCCCATACTTTGAGCAGTTCCAAAAGCAGTTAAACCTAGATCCTCCCAACCCACACTTCCACGGCTCCTAATTGATTAGAAAGCATTCAAGAATACTTATATCATAGTCAGGTCATATAAAGATTGTTTTGACTCATTCCTACAGTTTCCTAGCTGTACAGTACTATTTAAATTGCTCTGACCATTATTTGTACCTACATTATCTATTACTATGGCCTATTTTCCAAGATGATACTGTTTATAAAGATGTGATCATGAAAGTGTTGCAGAAGATCATCAGAGAGCCCAAACCCTTTCCACCATTCAGAGAGCAACAGAAGATTTAACTTCGAAATTAGGATTCATAACAACTAGCGAGAATGGATGAGGAAAAAGCCCAAGATAAAAAATCAATAGATCTAAATTGAATTCCAATTTTTATTGAGAAGCTTTGGGGCACGAACAGATTTGTGTACACATTTCCCTATACATAAGGGTGGTGATTGCCAAAATTACCTAACAGGAACGTTATGAGAATACAATCATACTTTTAAAAATCATACAAAAAGCATTCATTGACATCTAAAAAAATCAACTGAAAGTTTACAAATCCACCCTTTATAGTCAAGACAGTCCATAATCTTTGCTCAAAAAGAGCAATACAAATCCTTATAGCTTGTCACGTAACTTGTCATTCACGACTTTTGCCACACTGCAGTAAACTGAGCCTCAGTGAGCCCTTAAGATATTTCTTTCACTATCCCTATGTTATTATCACAAATCACTTCTATCTGGGTACTGGGACTTAAGGAAAAAATAAAAAATAGCTGGCATTAATTTCCAGCAAGTAAAGGGGTGGCCATCAGCTTAATCCCAGTCTACCACATCCCCAATGACTCCCATACACTTGGTATCAAAGTAACATCAAAGTGTTGGCAAAATAAATGCAGCTTCAAGACAAGTTTCCTAGCCACCCATAACCCACTCAAATTACTGCTTCTATGAAACTACTATATGAAAATTCTGGATCTGCCACTAATAATGATTTTTGCCAGTTCCAGGCTGTTTCCTTTCCTTTTTAACATTATATGAAAGATTATTTGTTTGTTTATTTATTTGAGACAGAGTCTCACTCTGTCCCCTAGGCTGGAGTGCAGTGGCAAGATCTCAGCTCACTGCAACTTCCACCTCCCGGGTTCAAGCGATTCTCCTGCCCCAGCCTTCCCAGTAGCTGAGATTACAGGCGTGCATCACTGGTGCCTGGCTAGTTTTTTTGTATTTTCAGTAGAGACAGAATTTCACCTCGTTGGCCAAGCTGGACTTAACTCCTGACTTCAGGTGATCCACCCTCTTCGGTCTCCCAAAGTGATGGGATTATAGGCGTGAGCCACCATGCCTGGCTTGAAAGATAATTTAATACATTGATTTCTATCCACTTAAAGAGATGACCCTGAATTAATCAGGATTTAGCAGAACTGGGAGAAAAACTGGAAAGGATTATGCCAGGGAAAAGAGAAAAAACTTAATAATTACCTAAAATCCCACTATAGCTCACAAAAACTACAAAGGATCATATTTATTGAACTATTATATAAAAGTAAGGAAGAAGAGAGACCTCAATAAAAGAGAAAGAGGAAAATATGTGATACTCATCATAAGAAATTTCTCCAGTTAATTATTTCAATAATTACTATAGAAGCATTATCTAGTACATATCATTTCTCAAAATTGCTAGATGATTATAAATCTCAAAGATTAGCATGCATTCAATACAGACTATGTCATGTGAAATCCAAGACTACTACTGCCATACGATTTTAAAATACATTAAAGTTTTAACTAATAGTCTAGAATCCTAATTAAAAAAACATACCTGTAGATTTGTTTACTTTGGCTACAGATGCCTTGGCTTGTCCAGTTTTGGCTAAAACAACAAGAAAAACATTTAAGTACTACATTACAAATAACATCACTTGGATTTAGTTAAAAGTCAACCTAGCAATAATTTCGAAAGAACCCTGCAAGAAACAGCCCTATACTCATCTTTGTATGTCCATGGAATTACTATGGGGGCAAATTCTTAGATATGGACTTGATGTATCAAAAGGCATACAGATTTAAATTTTAACAAGTAACATTAGACTGACCTTCAGAAAGGCTGAACCAATTAATATTCCCATCAACAGTACATAAGCATAGGAATTATTCCCCATTTCCAAACACACACAATATATCAAGTCAAAATCCTGCCAAGTCTGACCTGCAGACTCAGGCTGAGCGACGGATGAAAAAAGTACACAGACACAGGTATTTTGCATGAGTGCGGCTAGGGGACTGTTCGGCCTTAGAGACACCAAAGAGAGAATGCAGCCCTGATAAGCTGGAGCCGCTTGTATTTATTCAGTACAGATTTAATGACAAAGGCCTGGAGCCAACACAATCTGTAGGTAATTGTCACCCCCACCGCCTTGGGAGCAGTCCTGCGCGCAATAGGATGATCAAAGGTCTGCAAAAGTAAATAAAACTCGTCTAGATAAATTCCTTTACACTCCTTTGTTACCTACTTCTTGCCCTTAGCGTCAGGGTAAGAGAATTTAGCTGCCTTCAGCCTTTATTCTCTCCCGAAGCTTTGCAAAACCTCCTGGACTTCCAAGAAGGTTTGCGTCTCTCCTTATAACTTTTCCCACCACCCTGACTGATCTCCTACATCTCCCCCTTTTGTTTTTTGCATCAGGTTTTGTTGATTGAAGAGTACAGATGTGCACAGCAGCAGGTTTGTCAGGCGTAGCGATTACTGCTCGTATTCCGGCTTTGCATCCTAGAATTAGTAAATAACATAAGACAAACATGAGTATAATTAGTAATATTTTTTTCCAATCAAGGAGTGAGGGTCTATCCAGGAGAGATGTTCTTGCACATCCTTCCATATAACTGTTTGTTGGACATGTAGATCTATGGCGTTTAGGGATTCTAGAATTTTAGTTTTAAGTTGCTTTACGTCTGCTGTTAAATTATCATGTAAGGTCACCCCGAGGTGTTGTTTCACCTCATCCCAACTATGTATTGATTGGTTCCATGGTAGAGAGGTGACACAGATATGCTTATGCTCCCAGTCACAGTTTAATTGCTGTCAGAATGCCAGCGCATCTTGTCACTCCCCTACATGTTCCAAGGCAGCCTCGAGGGCTTGCAGATGTGCAAGAACCTTTTGATTTGTACCCTGCTGTAAGAGAAGTTCATTAGACACATTTCTGGCCAAGTTATCTACAAAAGCAGCTATTTGTACTGATTCAGTAATAGATGCTACAGCAAAACTAGCAGTTGCTAGGATGACTATGGCTGAGACTATAAAGGCTGTAAGATTAACTATGAATCTTTGGTGTCTGACCTGGGACAGGGCATGTTCTAAGGTGGCAAGAGCAAAGGAACCTTGCCAATCGTGTATCAAACTGACTGGTAGGAATGCCTCAGATTGTCTCCTTAATACCATAATACTAGTAATATTTAAATTAGATATATTGTAATTAATGATACATGAGGTGAAGCAAGCCTGTCCTTGCACTCAGGTCACAAACATGGAGTTTTGAGGTGTAATGGAAATACTGGTTCCCATAAGAAAAACATATGGATGGGTAGTGCAAATCAGGCACTGATCTGTGTGATTATGCATAAAGGTCATAGTATAATTGTTACTGGAATTATGTTATGTCCCATGCCAGGTGTTAAGGGTGGTGCTAAGATGTCCCAGATGCCATTAAGTGTCTTGGGGTGGCAAGGACTCTACTTGGGGTCTGGGATATCCCATCCCCCCTTTGGCCCAAATCACAGGGGAACGGACATGGCTATGAAACTAAGATTGACACCACAATGGATGCAAACATCAGTATGGTCGCCCTGTAAATGACCGTGGGGGCTCCAGTCTAAGATGTTAAATTGCCTAACTGGAGACTAAGGGCTTGTCCCCCGTGACAGACCTCCCAACCAAAGTGGAATCCATTACTTTCCTGGCTTTGTTCTTTAGCACAGGGAAGAATGCTGGGGAAAGTGGCACTGATTGCCTTGCCCGGTTTGAGGCTACTGGCACAAGAATGTTAAGGCAATTCCTTTGCCATTTGTAGCCATAATTGTGTTTCGGCAGGTACATAGTAACCTTACACACAGTGGGAAGATAATGGAGTGATATGTAGTGTTACCTGGCACCTTAGTCCAATGTGTGCCATTAATAACGGACCCTACTGGGATAAGTCAATCCCTCCTAGCCAAGCAGTTAACGTTATTAGAGGCTGGGAAGGGGGTGCCTGCCCAGGTAACAGGGCGTAAGAAAGGCGGATCTAACAGATGAGCCCAATAGAGTGTAGCCGGTACGGGTTGCAGGGGAAGCGAGAGCATAAAAAGGATCCTACGTGAGTTGTAACTTACACCAGAGAGCAGAGCAAGGAACAAATTATCTGGAGTGAATGGTTTCTGTGTCTGGAGCAGGATTTGCTCAGCCTTGTAAGTTGTCTTCTTCAGCATCCCCCAGGTAATGTCCGGGGCTTGTGTCGTCTGAGGAAGCTGTGTTGTCTGGAGCTGCGGGTCCTGCAGGATCATTTCCTTCACTTCTGGTACTGTGTTGGGTCCTAGCCACGCCATGGTATGGTCTGATGCATCGTACTGGAATCCAAAGAGGGCCTGAGGGGGGTGTGAACACAAGCATATCATCTTCCCCACGTTAGCAATTCATTTGGACTACACCATACGTTACTATTTACATCTTTCCATAAAACTGCGGGTTTTATGTCTTGAGAGGTTTTAGCAAGGTGCTTTTCTATAGTTGATTGAAATTTATCATTTAAATTTTAGAAATTAAGGGTAAATAACACTTGTGCTAGTAGTGTTGCAGGGTCCTTACTCATTTTCCCCTTTTTGTTTTCTGAGCATATTTTTAAGGGTGGAGTGGGCACGTTCTACTATGGCCTGTCAGTTATACGGGATGCCTGTGGAATGTTGGATGCTCCATGTGTGACAAAATTGTTGAATATGTGAGCTGGCACAGGCCAGATTATTATCAGTTTTAATTTTTGTGGGCCACCCCATAAACGCAAAAGTTAAAAGATGTTTAATGATGTATCGTGTGGACTCTCCAGGAAGAGCATGTGCGCTAATTAGGTAGGAACTGGTATCAATGGATACATGTACATATCTTAGTATTCCAAATTTAGGGACGTGTGTAACATCTGTTGCTATAATGGATAAGGTTCTAGTCCTCTAAGGTTAACACCTGTTCAAGGAAGAGATGTGCCTGTGAGCTGGCAATCTGGGCACTGCAGGATAATTTGTTTACCCAGTCTTTGGGTAAGCTGCTATTGTTAAGTTTCTCTAATTTTGGTGGAAAAACTGAAGCGACTGGGTGGCTTGGTCAAGCAGTGACGTCATAAGCTGCAGGTCTGCTTGATCACTGCCATAAGCCAGTGGGCAAGGCAGTGAGCTGTGTGCTCGAATATGTGTGATAAAACTGTGTATGTTGACCCAGCAATTGCTGAAGTCCAAGAAAAGGTGTACACAGGGTAGGCTCGAGAGTGGACTTAATGAGGGCGGTCTCAAGGTTTTGCAACAAACAAACAGAGTCACTAACAATGTTAATGGGCTGAACGGATTCGGTTTCTAGGGCCAGTACTAGGGCTCCAACCTCAGCTCCCTGAGCGGTAGTAAATCCAGATTGAGTGAGGGAATTATGTGGTTTCCACCAAATAGCCGCTTTTCCATTTTTACCAGAGCCATCAGTAAAAAGCGTTAAAGCTTTAGGTATGAGGGAGTGAACTACTTTTGTTGGCAAAACTAGAGGAGTATGAGATAAGAACTGAAATAGTCTGCCAGCAGGAAGGGCATATTTTATATGGCCTGCATAATCAAAGAGTGCTAATTGAAAATCTAGAGATGGAGCAAGACTACTTCGAATTTCTACTCAAGAAAATTCTTATGACATTCAGGGTCATAACCCAGCCACAGATTGCATCGTCTGCAGCCCATATAGATGACTTTACTAACTAGCTGGATATAGCCAAATAGTGTTTTAGTCCCAGTATGTGAGCAAAAAACACATTCTAGGAAGCGCAGCCCTGTGGCCATCTGTCCTATTAATCCTGTAGAGGAGTGTTTAGCAGGAAAAACAAACAACTGAACTGAATATCGTGGATCTATGCTATCTAGTTGTCTCTGAGAAATAACTTGGTCTATTTCCTCAATTTCCCTTTTTGCTGCGGGGGTTAAATACCTGGGTGAGTCTAGGGCAGCACTGCCTTTTAGGATAGAAAACAGGTTCTGTAATTTATCAGTAGTTATGCCCAAGGTGGGGGGATGCCAGTTAATATCACCCAGTAATTTTTGATAATCATTTAAGGTATGTAAGTTGCTAGTATTTAATTTAACCTTTTGAGGTCTTACTGACCAGGAAGTTAGTATGTACCTAAGATATTTCCAAGGTGAGGACATCTGTACTTTTTCAGGTGCTATGATTAACATCTTAACGACAGAGGCATATAAACTCAAAAGTATTGGCTCTGTTGGGTCTGCTAGTAAAATATCATCTACAAAATGAATAATCTTGCAATTAGGAAATTTTTTTCTACTGGGGAGCAAAGCCTGATTTACATGATGCTGACACATGGTAGGACTGTTCAGCATTCCTTGAGGAAGTACTTTCCAATGAAATTGGCAAGCTGCCCTTTCATTACTGATAGCTAGTATGGTAAATGTAAATTGTTCTCTGCCCTGTTCTGCAAGGGGAATAGTATTAAAGCAGTCTTTTAAGTCAATATCGACTATAGGCCTATCTTGAAGAATTGCCACAGGGGAAGGGAGCCCCGTTGAAGGGGCCCCATAGGTTGCAAACTGCCACTGATAGCCCGTAAGTCATGCAAGTCCCCATTTCCCAGACCTTTTGGGAATGATGAAAATGGGCAAATTCTAAGGGCTGCTTGATGGTTCTATATGGCTGGCTTTTAATTGCTGAACTAACTCATGGGCTCACTGTTATTTCCCTCCCTTTAAAGGCCACTGTGCTACCCAAATTGGATCTTGAGAGAACCACGTCAGGGGTAGGGGAAGAATAACAACAGTGGCCATTATTAGAAAGGGGTTTGCAGCCCCCATTGGGCTAATCGGTCCCGTCCCCAAAGGTTAACAGGGACAGTCATGTTTAGAGTTGCTAACTGTTTTTTCCCTCCAAATCACAACGTTAGGGGGTGTGTGCTCTGCTTGGCTGTGTGCACTTAGCCAGTGCTGACAATTTTTTGTTTCTGAGTGACCCAAGGCCAAGTTTCTGACCAGTTTTGATAACTAATAATCGAAATATTCACCCCTGTATCCTATAAGCCAGTAAAATTCTTATTTCCGATTTTTAAGGTAATCATGGGTCTCTGATCAGTGATTAACTGGTTCCAATACACTCCTACGGCTCCCGTGCTTCCAAAACTTCCCTTCCTCTTTCCCTGGGCATTGGGGACCCAGTACGGTAAGAATAGTAACTGAGCTATTTTAGATTTAGGGGGAAGAATATGCAGACCTTTACACTCCATCATAACTAATACCTCAATCTTGATAATCACTATCAATTACCCTGGTGAGCACATTAATTCCTTTGCTGGATAGGCTTGATCATCCTAGGACCAATCCCACTGTTCTGGAGGCAGTGGGCCCCAGATCCCTGTTGCAATCCTTTTAGGGTCTTCTCCTTTTAGCACTAATTCGTTGGGGCAGAGTAAGCCCAATCCTGCGCTCCCAGAGGTGGCTGTTCTGAGAGAGTGGACTGTGGGCTTTCCAATTGACCGAGGAAAGCCGCTGGCATTGCCCAAGTTTGGAGCAGGGCCTGGGGCTGGCCCCTCATGAAGTTTCCCACCTGATTACTTAGGTGGTTGGCATCTTTATCAAATTTGGACTTGCACTGATTTGCCCAACGTTTCCCCTTTCTACGTCGGGGGCATATAGAAGGGGGTTCTTTTGCTGAGTTACCTTGGTCTCTACTAGTGGGGCACTGCCTCTTCTTATGACCTGGCTCTCCACACAGAAAACAATTTGGGGTTTTCTCCCTTTTCACTTCAGGAGACTTTATTGCCATGGCCAATATTTTGGCTTTGTGTGTTTCAGTCCCCACCAGTTGACGTGCTCGTGTAAGTTCCCTGGCCGTAACTGCCTTTCCTCTGACTGCCTGCATTGCTTGTTGGCAGTCGACGTTAGCATTTTCATAAGCCAACTGCAACAATAAGATTATCAGCGGCCTGGGGATGACTAATTTGTCTCTTAATTGCCTGGGTTAACCGATTGATAAATTCAAAAAATGGCTCCTGAGGCCCTTGTCGAACATTTATAAAGATCCTTGTTGAACTTCCGCTTTCGGAATTCGGGAATTCAGTCCCAAGCCCTCATAGCACACAAAGACACTTGTGCATAGGCTTAGGGAACAAAACTTAATTGTTGTTGGACACTGGCATAGGAACCCCTCCCCTGAAGCATAGCAGCTGTTATGTTTTGCCCGGCCAATTGATTCTGGTTGGCTTGTTGTTCATACAACTCATCATACTCTGTCTTCCAGAGGAGGTACTGACTGGGCTCTAAAGTTGTTTTAGCTAGCACTGACCAGTCCCATGGGGCCAAACAGAAGTTGTCTGCTATGGCTTCAATTAATCCTTTCATAAATGGACTAGCAGCTCCGTTTGCTCTGATGCTTTTTCTTATCTTTATAAGCGTCAAAAGAAATGGGTTCATATACCTGAGTACCTTGCTGATCTTGCATTACCGGGCAGGTTAAGAGCTCCCCTTCTAATGCCACTTGCCTAAGACAGGGTCCCACAGCTGTAGTGTATCCCTTGTCTTTTTTCCAATTTATTGGGGGAGGGGGCTCAGGGAAAACCTCTGTTTCCTCTTTGGTATCTTTACCCAGTAATGGCAGGGCTGAGGGAAGAGGAGGCGGCGGTAAGGTAGGTGATGGTTCCTTCTCCCTTCCCTTCTTGGGATCTTCTGTGTACAGCAGGGCCAAAGCAGCCCTAACTAAGGCCCATAAGGTTAAAGATGTTACTGGGACCCGTTGCCCTTGTTTATGGTATTGTTTAAGATTTCTCCCCACTTATTCCCAGAGCTCTAGGTCCAGCATGCCTTCTGCTGGGAACCATGGATTATGGGAAACAACAGTTTGCCTTAGGACCCTTAACTGAGCCTGTGAAACCGAGGCTCTGCTAGCTTTAAGCAGTTGTTTCAATACTTTTATATACTGTTTCTGTTGTGCGGACAGCTGTTGTCTCATGATGAAACTCTAGTCTGAGAATTCCCCTGAACTTGGATATCCCGAGTGGGCACCAATGACTTACTGACTGCACAGTCTCTTCGCCTTCATTTTCGGGGGTTCCGTCGTGATCCCTTGCAGTGTTCCTCACGAGGGGCACCAGCTGCTGAGTCTGATCCACCGACTCTGGCCGAGCGACGGATGAAAAAAGTACGCAGACACAGGTATTTTGCGTGAGCGCAGCTAGGAAACTGCTCGGCCTTAGAGACGCCGAAGAGAGAACGCAGCCCCAATAAGCTGGAGCTGCTTGTATTTATTTAGTACAGATTTAATGACAAAGGCCTGGAGCCAACACAATCTGTGGGTAGTTGTTGCCCCCGCCTGTAGGGAGCAGTCCTGCACGCGGATGATCAAAGGTCAGATGATCAAAGGTCGGATGATCAAAGGTCAGATGATCAAAGGTCAGATGATCAAAGGTCGGATGATCAAAGGTCGGATGATCAAAGGTCGGCAAAAGTAAATAAACTTATCTAGATAAATTCCTTTACACTCCTTTGTTACCTACTACTTGCCCTTAGCCTCAGGGTAAGAGAATTTAGCTGCCTTCAGCCTTTATTCTCTCCCGAAGCTTTGCAAAACCTCCCAGGACTTCCAAGAAGGTTTGCGTCTCTCCTTATAACTTTTCCCACCACCCTGACCAATCTCCTACAAAAACCTAACATGGTTAACTGAAATGATCAACCTTCCCAATGTGAAATGGAAACTGGTAGGATTTTTTTTTCTTTAATTATAAGTGTAGTTGTATCCGTCTTCATATGTTTAAAAGTCATCTCTACTTCTTTCTCTATAATCTGCCTAATCATACTATTTTCCAATTTATCTTTTGGGTTGAGGCTTCTTATTTTTTATTAGAGTTCCTTAAGAAAATTAACACATAGGTTAACAATTTTCTAAAGTCACTCAAAATACTTATGCATTAATACATTTTATGTAGTCAAATGTCTTCCTGATTGGGAAGGACTTCTCAACCTAAATTTTACAAAAAATATTCTCCACACTTAAAGAATACTGTTATCATCTTATGTATCATAGTAAATCTTTGATCCAACTGCAGTTTGATATAAGCACTTTTACTTTTTTTTTTTTGAGAGAGTCTTGCTCTGTTGCCCAGGCTGAGTGGCATGATCTCAGCTCATTACAACCTCCACCTCCCAGGTTCAGGCAATTCTCCTGCCTCAGCCTCCTGAGTACCTGGGTCTACAGGAGAGCACCACCACACCCAGCTAATTTTTGTATTTTTAGTAGAGATGGGATTTCACCATGTTGGCCAGGCTGGTCTCAAACTCCTGGCCTCAAGTGATCCAGCCACCTTGGCCTCCGAAAGTGCTGGGATTACAGGCGTCAGCCACCGCACCAAGCAAAGTGCTTTTACTTTTATCAAAAGTAAAAAAAAAGTAGCTAATTTAATGAATAATTGATCTTTTTCCAACTAAAACGAAATATTATCATACAAATTTACTGATGTTTTGTATGTTTTGGGAAATATCTCTGGACTCTCTTCTGTCCTACTTTTTGTCTATGTAACTATATGAAACTACTCTAAATCTTCGAACTTTGTAATATATTTTAATATTTATTGTGGATAGTCTGTTTTCATTGTTTTCTTTAAAGAACTGTCCTGCCTATTCTTCTATGTTAATTTCTTATAATATATAAACTTAGAATCAGCTTATGTAATTTAAAATGTTTTATTGCTATTATTCTTTATACTTAGTGTATAAAGAAAAAAAAGGTTTAGCTGGATGAGGTGTCTCTGGCCTGTAATACCAGCTACTCAGGAGGATGAGGTGGAAGAAGCACTTGAACCTGGGAGGTGGAGACTGCAATGAACTGAGATTCCACAACTGAACTCCAGCCTGGGCAACAGAAAAAAAAGAAGAAAAGAAAAAAAGAAAAAAAAGGCATCTTATAACAGTGAAGCTTTCTATCCAAGAATGCCATTTTTTCATTTAAGGCTCATTTTATGCCTTTTAATATTTTAGTTTTCTTTTTATAACTTCTACCATTTTTATTATTATAAATGGACTATTTAATATTAGATTACATAAGGAGCTCTTCTTTAAAAAGCAATTAAACATGACATATTAGAGAATTAAGATGGGTAATTATAATTAAATAGCACTGTATAATTGATTCTCTTAGGTTTTCCTTCGTACTATCATATTTGCAAATAACGGTGTATCCTACTTTCCAATTTCCATGCCTCTTGAATTACATTGTACTGGTTAATGGTTATTAGTTTTAAAAAATATTTATTTTAACTGAAAGAGGTGTTGATGCATATTCTCAGTTTAGTTCCCAACCTTAATGGGAATGCATCTAATGCATTATTAAACATATGCTGGCTTTTAACATATGTGTACTTGTATATGTATGTGTGTGCATAAATAAAAGTATATATACACACATACATATCATAAATTTAAGAAACTTTTTTTTTTTTTTTTTTTTTTTTGAGACAAGGTCTCACTCTGTTGCATAGGCTGGGGTACAGTAGCACGATCACAGTTCACTGAAGCGTCGACCTCCTGGGCTCAAGCAATCCTCCCAGATCAGCCTTGCAAGTAGCTGGCACATGCCAACATGCCCAGATAACTTCTTAATTTCTGATACAGACTGGGTCTCACTATGATGCCCATGCTAAGATTTCTTTTTTAAATGCTAGAAATGGATGTTGAAGTTAATATCCCTTTCAGTATTTATGGAAAGGATCATATGTTCTTTTTTTAATATGGTAGTATTGAATTAACAGATTTCCTCATTTTGAACCATCTTTATACTTCCAATACGACCCTCTCTTGTGCATAGTCCATTATTCAAAGTGCTCGCAGACACTATATGTTAAAATTTTACACTAAAATTTAACATTAATATTCCTACATATAATTCTATAGTTTTATGAAAGCTGTCAGCAATTAAAAAATATTTAACTTTCACTTTTGAGATAATTGTAAATTCACATGGAGTTGTATGAAAAAAGGAGAGACCCCATATACCCTTCACCCAGTTTCCCTCCAATGGTTAACACTTTGCATAACTGTAGTACAGTATCACAGACAGAAAACTGACACAATTGATACAATCTACCAACACCCAGATTTCACTCATTTTACATGTAATGTGTACTTAGCTCTGAAATTTTATCATAGGTGTAGATCAGTGTGACTACCACCAGCCAAGATACAGAATGGTTCCTTCATAATGATCTCTTCTAAAACCCATTTATAGCAATAGCCACCTCCCTCCCACCAACCCTGACTATCACTAATCTGTTCTCTCTCTGTAATTTCATTTCAATGTGATATACATGAAATTTTATAATATAAAACTTTTTAAAATAGCCATTCATCCACTGAAGAACATTTGGGTTGTTTCCAGTTTGGGGCAATTATAAACAAAGTACCCATAAATACTCGTGTATAGGCCCTTGTATGAGCTAAGTTTTCATTTCTCTGGGATGAGTGCCCAAGAGTGTAAGTGATGTCATATGGTAAGCATGTGTTTAGTTTTGTTAAGTTAAACTGTCATACTCTTTTCTAGAATGGCTGTACTATTTCACAATTGCTCTTGCACACAATGTATGAGTTTCTCTACATACTCATCAGCATTTGGTGCTATCAGTATTTTTTATTTTAGCCATTCTGATAGGTGTGTAGTGTCTTTGTCAGTATTTGATGTATTAGCCTGTTCCCCCACCTTTTCTCATTTCCCCTTTTACAGGAAGCTTTCCCTTCTCCTGAATGCCATGGTATAGCTGAAATCGATATTGCTTTCTGAAAGATTTGGTGGAACTCACATGTGGGAGTTCCCACAGGTGAGCAAAGGGCTTTTATTGGGAAAATAACTGACTTAAGCAAATAAACAAGAGGTGATCTCTGAATGGTGTAAATCACTTTCTTTAAACATTTTCTGAAATATTTTAAAATTTTCACAATAAACATTCATTACTTTTATACTTAGATTTAAAAGAATGTCATTTTCAGCTGGGAACTGAAAAGGTAAAAAGAAAAGGGGACATATTATTTCTAAAAAAGAGAAAAGCCATAACAAGAGAAAAAAATCATTCGATCAAGGAAGTTTCATCAGAGATGAGCCTTACAGGATAAATCAGAATCTGTCCTCCAACTCTCCCCAAAAGAAGTCTTAACTGACTTTTTATCTTCAGTACCTTGCCTGCGACCTATTAAGTGCTTACTGAAGTTAAATGAAGTCAGCCATCAATTCCATGCAAATAGACAGCATAAATAAAGAACCAAGGAATGAAGTAACATGGAAAATAAACTATTCTGAGTGACTACAAAATAATACACAGTTGACTGTTAATAGGTTCAAAAGATAATCTGGGGTCAAAGGGCAAAGAATAATTTATGGAAAGCCAAAGAATTTGGACTTTATTCCACTGGTTGCTAGAAGTAGAATGATCAGATCTGCTTTAAAGAGACCTCTGGGCAACAACGTGTATAATAAAGCAGAGTATGGAATAAAAAATACCAGTCAGGAGGCTATCTTCCAAAGTTCAAATGTGAGACGACAGGTCTGAATTAAAAGGAGTTACAGGCATGATGGAGCTACATATAAAGAATTTGAGAGCTGAAGTAGAGTCAGTGGAAAACTAATATGGATCCGCCACTGATTGGCTGAAAAGGGGAAGGATGTTATCTAAATCTGAATTATGTTGAACAGAAGAAAAGAGAAGACAGGGTTAAGAACTACTCTACCGGATGATTAGTGGTAACTGTTAAATAATATAAGAAAATGAGAAGAGTATACTCAAGGGGATAGAAGAGTTTATGTACGTAAGGGAGATGTCCTTAAAGACTGACAGGAAAGAAATCACCCAGGAAGAGGGCCAGGCATGGTGGCTCACACCTGTAATCCCAGCACTTTGGGAGGCCGAGGTGGGTGCATCACTTAAGTTTAGGAGTTTGAGACCAGCCTGGCCAACAAGGTGAAACCCCATCTCTACTAAAAAAAAAAAAAAAAAAAGAAAAAGAAAAAAAAAAAGAAAAATTAGCCAGGCATAGTGTCGCATACCCGTAATCCCAGCTACTCGGGAGGCTGAGGCAGAATCACTTGAACCTGGGAGGCACGGGTTGCAGTGAGCCAAGATCATGCCACTGTACTCCAAACTAGGCAACAGAGTGAAACTCCATCTCAATAAAAGAAGAAAAAAAAAAAAAAAAAAAAACCACCCAGGAAGAAAAGCATGACATGAGAAGAGGAAAAGATTATTAGGAAAACTAGAAAGGCTGGAGAAAAGTAGTGATCCAAGAAAATCAAGAAGTTTTCATTCTTGAGGGAGGTAATTTAGTATATGCAACGCTTTGGAATCATAAAGTTTTGCGTTCAAATTCTAACTCCTCCATGTGGCCCTGACTCATTTAACCTTTCTGAATCTATCTCTTCTAGAAAATGAGAACAATATATTTTTTTGAGGTGGAGTCTCGCTCTTGTCACCCAGGCTGGAGTGCAGTGGCACGATCTTGGCTCACTGCAACCTCTGCCTCCCAGGTTCAAGAGACTCTCGTGCCTCGGCCTCCTGAGTAGCTGGGACTACTACCACCACACACAGCTAATCTTTGTATTTTAGTAGAGACGGGGTTTCACCATGTTGGCCAGGCTGGTCTTGAACTCCTGACCTCAGGTGATGCACCCGCCTCAAACTCCCAAAGTGCTGGGATTGTAGGCATAAGCCATCGCACCCAGCCAAACATTAACTACAACTCAAAGAACGGTTTGAAAGATTAAACAAAATAACATAAATATACTATGTGCCCATGTGTCCAGCATAAATATCATACCCACAAATGTGAGGCTTCTTTTCTTTGTTTTCTCTCTTCTGGTACAGATTATGTTAGTAGGTCTGTCTACTTAATAAGTCATTTTTACCTTATTTTGTACACTAAATTCTAACTTTAAAACAAACTAATCCTGCATCACCTTTACCCTGGTTCTGCTTTAGCTTTGTGTCACAGAACTTCTCATTTTCTAAAACTCATATTATTTAATGTTTATTTTATATTTAATATTTGTCACCTCAAGTTAAAAATGTAAACTGTCTGGGGACAGCCATGCCTATTTGGTCCACTGATACATCCTAAGCCTCTACAAAGTGCCCCCTATCATGGGCATATAATAGCTACTCAGTAATTACTATTTTTCTTTTTAATTAGTACTGGGTAAGAGCTCGAATGTTTCCATTCATGATCAAATTACACTCTTGCTTCCTCCCTGTGCTTATAATCAAATTTATCCTTAAAACTGCTCTAATTAACTCTTCCTGTCACTCTTCAATCTGAGCGGATCTCAAAAAATTATCAAGTACCCTTCCTTTCTCACCTGTCACTTTCTCAGTCCTGTTTATAGGCTCCTTTTTCTTTCTACATTTATATTGCAAGGAAGTATTTTAGCTTTCCAAAATTTAGACCTTAAACTTAAAAAAATTCCCAAGTATCTCACTTTCAATGCCATATGATTGGCTGACTAAAGAATATCTCTAGCAGATACTCGTGACAGCTGAAACTTGGTAATGTTGAAATCTAAGGACCTAACCCCAAATTCAAAGGCACCACTGTGAGTTTTCCAATTGTAATCAATAATATCATCGCACTCTTAGTAAAACCTATCAGGACTGAAACTTGGAAATTTTATAATTATTTAAAAAATTTTTTAAACTCACTTACTGAAAAATTCCATATAATAAAATGCAAATTTTACCTCCTCACATCACTTAAATTAACCTTTTTCACATCAGGTCCTCATCATCCCAAAGTGAAGCCCAGCTGTTTTTTCTCAGTGGGATTTTTACATCTCTCCAATTTATCCAATCTATATAAGAATCCTAAACAATTAGTGAGTGGCTCCATATTCTCTACTGCAATTTCCCAGAGTCTGTACCAATTTTTACTAGCTCTTATCCAGAAAAAATGGAGTGTACTTTTGCCAAGCTTAGGAAACAGTGGACTAAACAAAGCTAAATAGGTTTCTTTCCTGAAGGATTTCATAAAATGTGTTCTGTGAATTATTTTTTCAAAAGAGAAAAAATAGCTATAACACACACCCCAAACCTTTTTACCCAAAACTTCTTTCAGAAATTACTCTTTAACATGACACATTCTGAAAATGCTACTAATGGGGTCAAATTTGAAAACTTCTCAGCATGACCCTTCAAGGCCTTCAATAGAATAATTGAACTTTGTTACCTTTGTTGTTGTGTGCCCCCCAGATGAAGTAATCTTCTGCCTCCACATTTTATCTCTTCACATAATGTTACCTAATTTAAAATCTTAATCAAAATGTACTGCCTTCCAGAAGCCATTCATAGTATCTCTGCTAACCTTCAATACTTCAATACTCTATACAACTAAACATTACGGGGAAATGAGATATTCCACAATCCAATTTTCACCTCACTAGTAAAACTTAGTGCCTAAATTCTTACCTCATTCCAGTTAGAAAAACCAACACACTATATTTTTACCTTCCCCAAACAGAACATACAAAACGCAATGTAAGTTCCTAAATTTGTCTCTGCCTTATTTTAGCTTTTCTTTCCTGTCTTTCACTATCGAGCTGTTTATTCTCACTAGTACTAGTCTCAAAACTTTCCACCTTTCTAGTCCTAAATGGACTAAGAAAAAGGAGAACCCGGATTATAAAACTGTATGCAAAATTTATTTAACTGGATTCATAATGATGGCTTCAAGTATTTTCCTGAGTATAAAGAAATAGCTTTTAGTACATGAGTATGATAGCATCCATTTCTGGATAGTCTTTTTTGCTTGCTTTTTGGCTCTCAATTAACCTCCAAAATCAAAGAGGACCAGATAAGCATTCTTAACATACCTTTCTTATGTTTTGTGTCTTGTGGGTTTATCGGGAAGGGATGGAGGGAGATATTGCATAACTAACCTAAACATGTAAAAAACAGCTATTAACTGTGGAACTACGATAGCTATTTCACATACATTATCTCACAGATTTGTTGTATTTACTCCAGAAGTGATTCTGTAATTACACAGCATTAAATATTAACCGCCTGCTTAATACAGGGGCCAATTAAAGAATGTAATTTGGGTCTCCTTCATTAAAGCACAATAGTGTCTTCATAGCATCATCATCTAAGTTTCTACTAAACTGACAAGATACACTCATTTGAAAGAATATTAAAAGTAACAACTTACCAGCAGAAGTTGAAGTAACAATTTCAACAGCTTTTGAAGCATCTGCATCTCTTCTATTTAAAAGGAGAAAAAATTTAGCAGCAACTTAGGAATTCTAAGTTCTACAAAATCCTAAAAATGTAATATTTAAACCTAAAAACGTTTAAAATAATTCAACTGGAGTGATATCCCTCTTAAACTATAGTTATAGTGATAAAATATATTTAAAATGCGGTTTTAAAAATTAAAATTTCTTAAGTCATATGCACATTTCATTCTCACATATGAAATCATAAAGTCACTTACTTTAAGGTAGATGCAGATACTTTCTTTGACTCTAAAGTCTTTTTCTTCACCTCTTTGTTCTACGTAGGAAAAATATTTTGAACAAAAGAAATTTAGTATAAAGCAATTTAGAAAATATAGAACAAAAATCTAAAATCTTCCTATTCTAAAGGACACATGATTATTACCTTTTCCTATTTATAAAGACATTTTTTTCAATTTGTGATTACACAGCCTAATTTTACATCTCATCTTTCACAACTCATCTGCATTTTCTTATCATTAACTACAGCAGTTTCTCCTTATCCAAGACCCCTGGTGGATGCCTTGAAACCGTGCTCGTGCTGAACCCTATATATACTATGTTTTTTTTCCTGTATATACATGAAAGTTTAATTTATAAATTAGACATAGTAAAAGATCAACAATAATAAAATAGAAAAACGCTCCCTTCAGCAGCACATATACTAAAATTGGAATGATACGGTAATTAGCATGGCCCCTGCGCAAGGATGACACGCATATTCGTTAGGCATTCCATATTTTAAATTAAAAAAATAAGTTGTAAGAATATAGTGTAATAAAACTTACGTGAATACGGTCTGTCAAAATATCTTACTGTACTGTAGATCTTAGCGACTTCAGCATACAATTTTTTTCTCTCCTTATTAAGTCCAGAACTTTCAACTTTTCACTTAAAGGAAACATTTTTCCCCTTCTCTTTGGCATATCCAAATTGCCAGCATCACCATACTTGCACTTTAGGGCCATTATTAAGTAAAATGAGGGTTAAACACAAGCACTGCAATACAGTGACGGTCAATCTGATAACCAAGACAGCTATTAAGTGACTAGTGGGCAGGTAGCATATAAAATGTGGATACTCTAGACAAAGCAATGACTCACAGCCCCAGTGGGCTGGAGTTGGACTGCATGAAATTTCATCATGCTAACTCAGAACAGGGCACAGTTTAAAACATGTTGTTTATTTCTGGAATTTTCTATTCAATATTTTCAAACCACAACTGACCACTGAAACTGCAAAGCCAAGCCTCAGATAAACGGGAACTACTGTAACTTTCAAAAACATGGTTTCTCATAGCACTGTGACATCTCAAATGTCTAAAGTTCAACTGCTATCACCCTGGTCTAATCTACTACTACCTTTTGCTTTGATTACTACAATCGCCTCGTAATGGTCTCTGCTTCAGTCCTTGCCATTCACTCACTCTCTATTCACAACATAAACCCAGACTGAACCTGCTGTTCCACAACTCAAAACCTCTCATTAGACTCAAGGAAAAAAAGCCAGTACTTAACAATGGCCTCTAAAAGTTTACAACGTATGTTCTACCTACCTTCTAACTCCCAAACCACAATACACTTCCTTCCTATACTTCTTCACTCCATCCCCAAGCATCCTTTCTACTCCTCTAAGATGCTACAAAGGTATAGGTTTGACAGGTGCTATTCCTTCTGTCTGGAATGCTCTCAATCCAGGACGTGGTTTGTTCCCTCATCTTCTTCAAATGTTTGCTCATATATCACCTTTTCAATGAGATCTTCCCCAACTAACTTACTGAAAGTTGCACAGCTCTTCATTCCCCAACAAGAGTACTTCTATTCCCCTTTCCTAATTTTTTTTTACCATAGCACTTGTTGAAAACAAACATAATACATATGCATTTTTAACTTATTTGTGGTCTTTCTCTCTCTACCCCTTGAAGTTAAAACTCTGTGATACCAGAGACTTTGTGTTCTTCAATATTCTATTCCCAGTGCATAAAGTCATGCTTAAACATTCAGCAAGTATTTGTTAATTGATCTGAATTTCATCATAACTGTTCTCATGCAATTTCATACTTTCTGTTCTTTTTGGGCACTCTTGTCATTTCCTTTTGCACTATATGGGATTTTATCCCACATGTTCCTTCAACTCAATTATTTAGAAGAAATTAGTTCTAGTGCTATTCTACTAATGGTAATTTTCAATTTTAAAAGAAATTTGAAACTACTATGTTCCGATGTATAAGTTGAAACATTTAGCCTTTACTCCTTGGCTACATTCCAATTTTTGATTATACATTTCACACGAAAATTATCTTTCTGGTAATTTTAAGTGATATTTTTTGAAATTTATTTTATAAAAATGTGATTATTTAGATTTTAGTCTATGTTTAACTGGTTTCATTGTTCACCGCCAACATTTTATACAATAACTTCTCCATTTCTTAAGATCTTCATTTTAATGTTTTAGAAAAAGATGTATTAGTGAAATATCTTCTAAGTCCATGCATGTCTGAGAATAAATACTGCCTTAACACACACCTTAGGATTCCACTTGAAATGAATGTACTCAATTACAACGAATCATAATCTTTTTCCCACCCAACTCTTAAGAATGTGTTGCTTTGCAATCTAAGGCTAGACTATTTCTTTGTATAGTTAAACTGTTTTCTGCCTAGATCACTATAAGGTGCCCCACCATAACCATGAAATTTAAAATCCTCAGAATTTAAATGATGTCCTCTTTCTGGAATTCCACTTATGTACAGATTGTGTCTTCTAAATATATCTACCATGCCTTTCCTCTAATCATTTTTCACTCTTTTAACTTTCACACCAAGAGTAGGATCACACCTCTCTTGCTCACCACTGCATCTTCTGTAGATATTACAATGCCTGACACAACAGAGGCATAACAGATGCTTAACTAATAAGAAATAGTTTCAGAATTAAAATGAAAACCTCTCATCCAAATTCTGATTGCGTATTTTCGCTTTTATCTCCTTGTTAATTCATTAGATTTTCTGTAATGCTCAAATATTCACTAACGCCCAGCATTATTTTTCATATCCATGCAATTCCTAGTTGACTACTTGCTCCAGTTTTAATTGTAATGTCCCCATGAATCTTGCTGAAAACACTGAATTGAAGTTTTAAAAATTGTTTTTTTTGCACAAGGTTGAAATGCAGTAGTATGTCATGGCTGAAAGCGTTTTATTAGAAATCTGATCCTACTTTTTTCCACATCAAGGGCTCCTGATCATCCCCCAGCTCCCTTTTGTTGAGATAGGGTCTCACTCCGTCACCCAGCCAACCTCCGCCTCCCAGGCTCAAGCGATCCTCCCACCGCACCCTACCCAGCAGCTGGGTGCGTGCCACCACACTAGGTCAATTTTTTAATTTTTTGAAGAGATAAGAGCTCACTATATTGCCTGGGCTAGTCTCAAACTCCTGGGCTCAAGCAATCATCCTGCCTCGGCCTCCCAAAGTGCTGGGATTACAGGCATGAGCCACTGCACTGGGCTCCTGATACTTTAAAGAAAACTTTCGAAGTATGAGAATATGGCCCTTTCCCTGGGAAAAAAAGAATGTTTGCTTTCATCGGATTACTGGTAACGGTGGGGCAAGGAGTAGCTCAAAAAGACTTAAGAATCACTGCTAAGAATGGATGTCGAGGTTATTATTAAATTATTATTATTAAAGACTAGGTTACAAGGTTATTATTAAAGACTAAGTTACCTAGTTTCTGACAAGAGTTGTACAAATCCATATTAACATAGGGATATAGGATTTTTTTTACCTTTTCTGTAATATTTAGATTCATAGAAGCAGCAAAATGGAGAAGATGTTACATGAAACACAGCTAGAGTTAGAGGCAGTCCTAACATGAAATATCAAATGTTGGGCGGGTAAGTTTTTTCTAGGTTTTGACATGCCATGCCAAAATCAAGATTTGGACCAAGAAAGCTATAGCACAGCTCTTCTTCTTCCTAGTTTGTTCTTTCAGCTTATTTTTGGCTTGCACTGGTAGAAAAACTTGAAGTGGTAACAGGCCAAAAAGATTGCCCCTTCCTGCCTCAGACACTTATTTACAAAACAAAACAAACAAACAAACAACAACAAAAACAATTGTCCACATACTTCCAATATGAAGAAGGCACAACTCAAATTCTGTTCAGAGTTCCCTCCACTCAATCCCTAGGCATGTTGCTCTGTCACAACAGAGGTGTCATGAGTTAGCCTTCTTGTTCCAGCATCATCCAAACAACATTTAGCTGAAGAACATTAATATTTGCCATGAAAATGGCATGTTTTCTAGCTTCTAGTGCTCGTATTTTCTTTACCTATTCATTGCTATGAAAATCATGACAGTAAATATGCCTGGGCTCTTGGACTTACACTGCTACTTTACCAACTTCATCAAAAAGTTGGCCAAGAGAATTTTTTAAGCTATTTGAAACATTCTATTTCCTTAAATGTATCCTTACCTATGTTCCTTAACTATGTTAACTGTTTAGAATGAAAGAAAACTGGCCTTCTCAACAATTCCAAAAATTTAATGATCAGCTAGGTCTTTCTGGACAGTCACTAGTATAAGCCACTATTCCTTTCTGTTTTCAAGGTTACTAATCTACCCACAAACCATTACCATTATCACAAAAGGCTGAGTATATTGATTAAACAAGTCTTCTAATTGGACTTCAGTGCTCTTCTCCACTTTAATCAATCTGCTAGGCTTTCTTTGCCTTCAAAATCATTTGCCTAACTCATTCTCCAAACCATTTCCAAATGAATCTTTCTAATCTCCGTTTTATTATGTCATGCCCTGGTTCAAAAACCTTGAATAACATATACCTCTCTACAGGATAAAGTTTAAGTTCTTAAATTATGTATTTAATCCTTGTTTCTCCTTAACTGCCTCTGCAACTAGATGGCCATGTGTCTGGTAGTTCTGGTAAATCAAATGCAGGCAAATGCTGCTGGGGAACTCACTCTTTCCAGAAAAGAAAACAAAAACTCATTTTGCTCTGCATTTTTATTCCTGTATGTCTCGAAGATAGAAAAGATGCCAGAAGGTGCAGAAACCATCTTACAAATGAGGATGAAAGATACATTCTACAGACAGTAGTGCTGGAAGACAAGGCGAGGTTCCTGAAGATATTATGGAGCTGTTGCACGAGCACTGGACCACCTACATGCAGATTTCTGTTATGAGATAAATATACCTCTTATTTGTTAACAATCCACTAGTGAGGTTTTATTAGTTGAAACTGAATGAAATCCTAAATGATAAAATTGTTAATAACTAAGGCCACACGATTTAATTTATTATCCAAACCAGGACAATGGGAATAAATGGATGGCATGTAGCAGGTATAAACTAGGATGATAGGTTACTCTAGTAGTAACTAACTAGAAAACATATGAGAACTAAAAAATAAAGATCCTCTCTAATAGCTATATGTAAAAATAAGTAAAATAATAAATTTAACCACCACAAAATGTTCAAGAACTTTATGGAAAAAAAAATAAAACTTGCTAAAGGGCATAAAAGGAAATCTAAATGGACAAACCATGTTCTTTGTTTGTTTAAGACAAAGCCTGGCTCTGTTGCCCAGGCTGGGGTGCCATGGTGCTATCTCAGCTCAGTGCTACCTCTCCATCGTGTGGGCTCAAGCAATCCTCCTGCCTCAGCCTCCTCCTGAGTAGCTGGGACTACATGCATGCACCACCGCACCCAGCTAATTTTTGTATTTTTAGTAGAGACAGGGTTTCATCGTATTGCCCCACGCTGGTCTCAAACTCCTGAGCTCAAGTTATCTGCCCACCTCAGCCTCTCAAAATGCTAGGATAACAGGCAAGAGCCACCAGCCAACGAACTATGTTTTTTGATAGAAAGACTTAGTGTTGTAAAAATACTATCACGAATTCAACACAGTATTAATTAAATTCCAGTAAGTTTTTTTTAAGAGAACTTAAACTGATTCTAAAACTAATGTGCAGGAGTAAATGTTCAAGATTAAACAAAATGAATTTAAATAAAGAGGAAAAACATTAACCAAAATGAATAAACAAAGAAAAATAACTCTACAAGAAAGACAGGGAAATATTAGGAAGCTATAGTAATTGTTGTAACAGAAACCACATAGTATTGCCACAACAGAAGAGTATGAAACACATCTATGTATACAGAATTTATACACATAAAAGAAGCTTTTCAAATCAACAAGGATAAATTAGGCATAAATAGTGTTGAGGCTAACTGGCTCCCATTTTGGAAATAATACTGATTCCAATCCTATATTATGCTGCAAATAATAGATTAAGGAATAAAACCTTTTAGGCACTAGCACAGGCAAGTTCTTAAAAAGACAAAAGAAAAAAAAGCAGGCCAGAAACAGTGGCTCATGCCTGTAATCCCAACACTTCGGGAGGCCGAGGCAGGAGAATCACCTGAGCCCAGGAGTGTGAGATCACCTTGGGCAACAAAGTGAAACCTCATATCTACAAAAAATAAATTAAAACTTAGCTATGCGCGGTGGCTTGCACCTGTAGTCCCAGGTACTCAGGAGGCTGAGGTGGGAGGATTACTTGAGCCTGGGAGGCGGAGGTGGCAATGAGCCGAAATTGTGCCACCGCATTCCAGCCTGGGTGATAGAGTGAGACCTTGTCTCAAAAAGAGGGGAACATGTCCTCAGAACCTCCTGAGGCTGTGTCACAGGCATAAAAATAATAAAGAAAAAAATGCAGAAGCCATAGAATACCAATAAATTTGAGTACATAAAAACATCAAACTTGGCCGGGCGAGGTGGCTCACGCCTGTAATCCCAGCACTTTCAGAGGCCGAGGCGGACGGATCACGAGGTCAGGAGATCAAGACCATCCTGGCTAACATGGTGAAACCCCATCTCTGTTAGTGGCGAGCACCTGTAGTCCCAGGTACTCAGGAGGCTGAGGCAGGAGAATGACGTGAACCCGGGAGGTGGAGCTTGCAGTGAGGCGAGATGGTGCCACTGCACTCCAGCCTGGGCGACAGAGAGAGGCTCCGCCAAAAAAAAAAAAAAAAAAAAAAAAAAATTCAAACTTGATATATGTATGCATAACACAAGCAACAGACTGTAAGAAAAGACTTCTTACATACAATGCAAAATTAGTGTCTAGAATGCACAATATTCATGCACCTTCAAATGAATATTTTTAAAAAGACAACAATAATAAAATAGGAAAAGATACAGACAACTCACTTAAACAGTTAATAGATATAGCTAACAATTATATAAAAAGATGAAGTTAATGAATAATCAAAAAGATGCAAATTAAAACTAGATATCATTTTCTATATAACGAATTTTTAAAGCTGAAGAAATTAAGATGTTGTTGGTAATACTCTCATAAATTACCAGGGAGTAAATTATAACAGTTATTTAGTGAGCAATCTTATATTATCCATTACTGTGCATCCTATAAACCAACCATTCCATTGGGTAGGTATCACCTAAAAAACCACTATCATAAATGTCAAAAGATGGCCTGTGAAGGTACACAAGGTGTTAACTAAAGTTCTGTTTCTAGAAACAACCTAAATATCAATCAGTAAGGAATTGGTAATACATCTGTGGTATATTCATACAGAGAAACACTATAGAGAAGTTACAAAGAATGAGGAATGCACTAACATGGTTAGACTACCAAATCAAATTATTGAGAAATGTGTGTTATAGAACCTCTATAAAGTAGCCATTCCACAGCTAGTAGAAAAATTAAATTACTAGAACACATAGCTGGGTGGAGCAAAATGGTAGAATAGAACCCTACACTGTTCATCCCATCCCCAGCAGGAACACCAAATTTTAACGACTATCTGCACACAGAAAAGCATCATCACAAGAACCAAATATCAAGTGAGCATTCATACTACCTGGTTTTGACTTTGTATCACTGAAAGAGGCATTGACGAGGGTAGCAGAGACAGCCTTAAATCCCTGACAGCACACCTCCCTAATCTGGCCCCACAACATGGACAGAGTCTGTGCACTTTAGGAAGGGACAGCGCAGTAACTAGGGGACTTTACATTGAACTCAGTGCTGCTCTGTCACAGTGGACAGCAAAGCCATGCTGTACTCAGCCAGCACCCATGCACTGAAGGAGCCTTTGGACCAGACCTAGCCAAAGAGGACTCATCCATCCCGGCAATAAGAATCTGAATTTCTTGGCAAGTCTCACTACCATGGGCTAAAGTGCTCCAGGGTGCTAGGTAAACCTGAAAGGTAGTCTAGGACACAAGGACAACAACTCCTAGGCAACTCTTAGGGCTGGGGCTGGGATTAGAGCTAGTGGGCTGGGATGGCATGTAACCTAGGGAGGTACCAGCTGGGAAAACTGGATATCCATATGCATTAATGAACCTGAACCCTATCTCTCACCATATACAAAAATCAAATAAAAATAGATTAAAGACTTTTATCTAAGATCTCTAACTATGAAACTACTACAAGAAAACACTGGAGGAACTCTCTCTCCAGGACATCAGTCTGGGCAAATATTTCTTCAGTAATACCCCACAAACACAGGCAAATGCTGTACAAAAATGAACAAATGGGACCACTTCAAGTTAAAAAGCTTCTGCAGAGCAAAGGAAACAACAGACAACCCACAAAATGAGAGAAAATAATTGCAAACTATCCATCTGACAAGGGATTAATAACCAGAATATATAAGGAACTCAAGCCACTTTACAGGAAAAAAATCTGACAAGGGATTAATAACCAGAATATATAAGGAACTCAAGCCACTTTACAGGAAAAAAAAAAACTAATACTCTGATAAAAAAAAAATGGGCAAAAGATCTGAAGAAACATTTCTCAAAAGACAACACATAAATGGCAAAAAGGCACACGAAAAGGTACTCAACATCACTGATCATCACAGAAATGCAAATCAAAACTACAATGAGATACCATCTTACCCCGGTTAAAATGGCTTTTATCCAAAAGACAGGCAAAAACAAATGCTGGCCAGGATGTGGAGAAAAGGGAACCCTCAGTATATTGTTGGTGGGAACGTAAATTAGTACGATCACTATGGAGAACATTTTGAAGGGTCCTAAGAAACTAAAAATAGGATCAACCATACAATCCAGCAATCCCACTGCTGGGTATATATACCCAAAAGAAAAGAAATCAGTATATTGAAGAGGTATCTGTACTCCCATGTTTCTTGCAGCACTGTTCACATTAGCTAAGATCTGGAAGCAAACTAAGTGTCCATCAACACATGAATAGATAAAGAAAATGTGGTACATAACACAATGGAGTACTCTTCAGCCATAAAAATGAATGAGATTCAGTTATTTAAAATAACATGGATGAAACTGGAAGTCATTATATTAAGTGAAATAAGCCAGGCACAGAAAGACAAAGATCACATGTTCCCACTTATTTGTGGTATCTAAAAAATCCCACAATTTGTGGGCTCTAAAACAACTGAACTCATGGAGACAGAAAGTCGAAGGATGGTTATGAGGCTGGGAAGGGTAACAGGGGGTAGAGGAGGGGATAATTAATGGGTACCAAAAAAAAACAGAATGAGTAAGACCCAGTATTAGCTAGCGCAACAGAGTGACTATAGTAAAAAATAATTTAATGTTACATTTTTAAACAATTATAAGAGTATAACTGGATTATTTGATACACAAAGAATAAATGTTGGAGGGGACAGATATCCCATTTTCCATAATGTGATTATTACACACTGCATGCCTGCATCTAAACATCTCATGTACCTCATAAATATATATACCTACTATGTACCCACAAAAATTAAAAATACAATAATTTTTTTTAAGATATAAAAATATTTTCTCAACACCCTATTTTAAAAAACACACACATACACAAAGAAAACCTTACAGGTGAGATATACATATAGCTTTTTACTTAACAGAAAGCTCATCCTTAAAGGGTAATTTAAAGTAATTCTATAGATATTATCTACGATCATATGAACTGAAGCACAGAAATGATCTAGAAAAATTAAAGTTACAAAACTTGATACTTCTAAGGAAGTAAAGGCCCAAAGAATGTACACTATACGATTTTGTTTATGTAAAGTTGAAAACAGGCAAAACTCAACTATGGCATTAGAAATCAAGTTAGTGTTTACTTGTGAGAAGAAGGGAGGGTGTAAGAATTGGGAAGAAGCAAGCAAGGGACTTCCAGATACTGTCAAATGTTCTCTTTTGTGACCTAGGTACCAGATTCACAGATGTTTGCTATTTTTGTGTTATATATGGCAAGTATTTTCTCCTAGTCGTCGTTATTTAATACTGTATATAGCACCATACATGTATGAGGAAGTTTTAATTTCAACATACTTGAATTAATGCACATATAATGTGTTGAGCTAACATTTATGTTTCTATGCCTATTTCTATATGTGTGCCATACTTAAACAAAAAAGTTAAACTAAAACAACAGTGATAAAACATTTAAGACCTAAATCCAGATTACCTGTGCTTTTTTCTTTCCTGGAACACATATTTTCACACTTTTTCCTTTTATCGTAAGAGGTGTTGTTTCAATGTACTTCATAATTGCAGTAATTGCCTCTTTAAATTCCATTTCTAGGTAAGCCTAAAATGAAATTTATTCCATCTTTAGTCACAAATCTATCTTTAAAAGTTCCTGCATTTTAAAATGGGCTTAATCCTTTCTTTTGTAACATCAAACTATGAAACTACCTCAAGTCATGGTTGCTTTTGCCTGTTTTTATTTTGGTCAAGTATAATTTGATTAAGGATGTTTCACACATTAAATGGACATTTAACCTTACATAATTTCTATACCACTACCAAGATAAAAAAAAATCCAGGCAGGCTCATGGAAGAAGAGGAAATGAGAAGGCAGGGCTCACTGAACAACAGGAGGGAAGGGAAGATATGGTCCAGCTTGTGGTAGGTCTGACATTTTAAAGGCTTCTTGCAACAAAGACAACACTATCACTATGTTCCCTGTCCTGACTCACAAACTTTTTAAAAAAATTAAGACAGAGGTCTTGCTATGTTGCCCAGGCTGGTCTTGAACTCCTGGCCTCAAGCGATCCTCCAGCCTTGGCCTCCCAAAGTACTGGGATTACAGACTTCAGCCACCACACCCAGCCTTAACTCACAAAACTTTTTTTTTTTTTTTTTTTTGAGACGGAGCCTTACTCTGTTGCCCAGGCTAGAGTGCAGCGGCGCCATCTCTAGTCACTGCAACCTCTGCCTCCCGGGTTCAAGAGATTCTCCTGCCTCAACCTCCCACGTAGGTGGGATTACAGATGTCTGGCTAATTTTTGTATTCTTAGTAGACACGGGGTTTCACCATGTTGGTCGGGCTGGTCTCAAACTCCTGATCTCAGGCGATCCACCTGCCTCAGCCTCCCAAAGTGCTGCGATTACAGGCACAAGCCAACACGCCCAGCCTTAACTAACTATTTTATGTTGTGCTTATGTGAAGAACTGTTCACAGTTCTTAACTTTATCATGTGAGTTATAGGAATATAACCCACAGAAAATACTTAACCATACAAAGGAAATAATTTGTTTTAGTATTATCTAACTGGTGTTCTAAAGTAATGACTGGCAAACTATGGCATACTACCTATTTTTGTAAATAGTTTTTTGGACACAGCCATGCTTGCGCATTTACATATTACTTATAGCTGTTTTTGTACTAGAATGCCAGAGCACAGTAGTTGAGATCCTACAGATGGCTTATAAAACCAAAAATATTTAGCTGGCCCTTTACAGAAAAAGTGGGCAAACACTTATTTTAAAGGATATAAAACATTATTTTGCGGCCTTGCTTATTCACATCCAGACATTTATATAACTCTCAAAGAACAATTATATATGCAGTACAAGCAGCTAAGGAACACAACAGCAATTTATAGAATCATTAAAGCAATCACTTTGTATGAATTTTTGCCACAGACTAAATGACTCACCTCTTTTCTATATGGAACAATTAGGACATCATTCACTTTCCCAAATGGTTGAAATAATTTTCTCACATCTTCTTCAGTACAACCATCCTCTGGTAATTCAGTTATAAGAAGAACCGAACCATAATGCAATGACTGTTCTTTCCGAAGCTATTTTTGGAGTGAAAGAAAATTTAAAATAAACCAAATTAAGCTACAATGTACAGTAATAATTTCCTATATAATTTCTTCTACCACTAATATTAGTACACTAAAGGGTCTTTTCCATATTTTTTACCCATTTTTCTTTTTCCTTCACCACCTCCTTTACGCATTTTTAAATCACGATTTTAACACTTTAATAAGATTTTAAATGCAAAAGTGGTAAGAAATGTTATTTATATTTTTTAACCCAGAAATGGTTTACAGGTGCTCTTTTCTGTTGATAGCATCTTATAGCAAATAAGATCTATGGAATGTTCCAAGGCCATTAGAGAGAATTTTTCTATGAAACTACATGGCCCACCAACAAGTAAAGCTGAAATTACAGCTTTGCTTACCCCCTCTGTTCTAATAATTGGAAATGATCTCTAGACAGGTATAATATTTTTAAAAATTCATATATAATGCATACCATTTGAATACACTGTAGTATCAACTTTACCGCTTACGTTAAAAATTACAGCCAGGCATGGTGGCTCATGCCTGTATCCCACTGCTTTGGGAGGCCAAGGCAGAAAGATCGCTTGAGGCCAGGAGTTTAAGACCAGGATGGGCAACATACTAAGACTCTATATTTTTAAAAAAAAAAAAAGGCCAGGCCTGGTGGCTCACGCCTGTAATCCCAGCACTTTGGGAGACCAAGGTGGATAGATCACAAGGTCAGGTGTTCGAGACCAGCCTGACCAACACGGTGAAACCCCGTCTCTGCTAAAAATAAAAAAAATTAGCCAGGCGTGGTGGCACACGCCTATAATCCCAGCTGCTCAGGAGGCTAAGGCAGGAGGCAGGAGAATCACTTGAACCTGGGAGGCGGAGGTTGTGTGAGCCAAGATCACGCCACTGCACTCCAGCCTGGGTGACAGAGCGAGACTCTGATTCAAAAAAAAAAAAAAAAAAAATTAAAACACCCAGCTGGGTGTGTTGGCGCATACCTGTAGTCTTCTACCTGGGAGCCTGAGGCAGGAGGATACTTGAGCTCAGGAACTTGAGGCTGCAGTGAGCTATGACTGTGCCACTACACTCCAGCCTGGGTGAGAAAGCGAGACCCCCATTTCTCTTATTTTTTACTAAATAAGAAAACTTAAAAAAAAAAAAGTTCCACTGCCACCACCTAGAAGTCTTGAAACAAAATGAAAAGAACTTCATATTATGAGACTAACTCAGCCTCTTCAAAATTTTCCCTATACTCAAAAATTTCTTCCCAATGCTCTTCAAAATTCTGTTAATTACTGGTTGATTATCAGAAGTTTATCCTTCTAAATGTAAGTTCTTTGGGGCAGGGAACAGCACTTACTGAAAGTCTTTCATGTATTTAAATACTGTTGAGAGCAATGCATTCCATACCTAAATACTTGAAGACTTATTAATATTAAAATATACAAAATATTTGATATTGGGCCTATTAGGATTTTCTCTGAAGATAGTCTCTTGATGTTTTAATATATTAATAGTGATTTAATAAACACATACAATAAAACAATACCTTAGTATCGTAACCAGTAGGTTACAGTCAAAATAACACTAATAAATCAGTACCAAAGTATAAATTTTACACTGTACAACAGAGTATTTGACTTCTGAACTGTACCACAAAAAGTATAGAACAGATGAATAATGATCAATTCTCAGGAGAGGCTCACTCTTATACCTTACTAAAAAAGATTACAAAAGCTCAATAATGCTGCTGGTGATTATTCATTTTCCCAATTAGAGAGCAAAACTCATCACAGTGATCTGCTTGTGAAGCTAGCCAAAAATGCCAAACCATCAAAATGTTCTTTTGACACATCAAATACCAAACCACTGGAATTCCTAAGCTACGAGATTTTGAACCTTGGACTTTTATTATACTCACAAGAAAAACCAGTAAAATATTCCATACTAAAATCATGTAACAAAACTCATAATTTCAAAGTTATTGGAAACACGGAATAAAAAAGTTAAGACAACTTCATTTTTTTTTTTTTCTTGAGACAGGGTCTTCCTTCTGTAGTTCAGGCTGGAGTGCAGTGGTGTGACCTCAGCTCACTGCAACCTCTGCCTCCCGGGCTCAAGTGATCCTTCCACCTGAGCCTCCCAAGGCCTCCCAAGTAGCTGGGACTACTGGCACCCGCCGCTACCCCCAGCTCATTTTTATATTTTTTGTAGAGAGGGAGTTCCACCACGTAGCTCTGGCTGGCCTCAAATTCTTAAGCTCGAGCGATCCACCCCGCTTGGCCTCCCAAAGTGCTGGGATTCAGGCATAAGCCACCATGCCTGGCAACAACTTTGTTTTCTGTTTGTCATAGCAAATGTACGCATATTTGCACTAACAAAGAATTACGAAGCCAGGCATAGTGGCTCATGCACTTAGGGAAGCTGACGTGGAAGGACTGCCTGAACCTAGTAGTTCGAGACCAGCCTGAGCAACATGGCAAGACCCCATCTCTACAAAAATTAAAAAATTAGCCAGGCATGGTGGCACACGCCTGTGGTGCCAGCTACTTGGGAAGATGAGGCAGGAGGATCACTTGAGCCCAGGAGATCGAGGCTGCAGTGAGCCATGCTTGTTGCACCACTGCAGTCCAGCGAGGATGACAGAGTGAAACCTTATCTCTAAAAATAATTATTAATTAAAGAATTACCTTTCGCTGGAGAGAAACAGCTTTATCAGACACCTGTTTACATTCTGACAAAGTGTCATCTTCAAGATTCTTTGATTTACAACGAATAGAATGTCCTCCTAGATTTGAATCACTCTTTGTAGCGCTTGTAGGTTTAACTGATGGTTTTGTTCCACTGCTAGTTTTAGGCTTTTGTGCTGGTGAATGTCCCTTATCAGCAGCTTCAAGATGCTTCTGTTTATTAAATTCTGTCCCATGCCCAGATCGTTGTACTACATCTTCTAATGCTTTTTTTCTATCTAGTAAAAAGATATAAATATAATTTCAATTGGAAAAAAATTAAGGTAGGAGCCATCTCATGACATAATCACATAGTGCTATTCTCAAGCTAAACAGGGAGCACACAGACAATACAAAAATCTAGATTTTATGCACTCAGAAGGCTTTTACATGAAGTTCCTTTATTCCCTTATACCAGTGATCCTCAAACTTTTGGTTTTGAGATTGCTTTACACTTATTGAAGACTACAAAGATTTGTGTTATATTTACTGATATTTACCATATTAGAAATTAAATTGTAAAAATATTTATCAATTCATATGTTAGGTTGGTGCAAAAGTAACTGCAGTTTTTGCCACTGAAAGTAATGGCAAAAAAAGTAAATTCCCATATTAACATAAATATTTTTATAAAAACCAACTGTAATTCCCAAAACAAAATTAGTGAAATGTGTAGCACTATAGTACCTTCTTCCACACATTTTAATGTTGAGCTTAAAAGAAGAACCTAAATTCTTATATCTGCTTCTGGATAAAGAAAATCCAGCCTCATGGAGGCATGTAATTAGAAAAGAGATCTCATAGAACTCTTAAAAGATCTTGAGGACCCCAATCGATCCTTGGGCCATACTTTAAGAAGGAATGCCTTATATAATTAAAGGTATCTCCATTTGAATTCAGCATTTTAGACTATACTAGACACAATAAGACCTGTGCAAAGTACTATTTTTGAATTTTTCAGGCTAGTCAAGTGAAACAGTGGGAGTGTCAAAGTACTTCTCAGATATTAACTATGGTTTCTTTCATTGTAGAAGAAGGTGTGTGTTTGTGTATGTGGGCATGCATGTGTGAGCTAGTTCTGAAAGGGTCATAAAATCAACATTAAGTCACAGGTTAAAAAAAATAATCTCAAAAACATTTTAAATTAATCCATGGAATTCTATAATCAATTATTAAAGCAAACTAAGACATTTTTACCATCCTTGGTTTTTAAATATGATGTTGATGGACACATACATTCACACACATTTCTTTGCCAAGTTACCAGAGGGAATAACTCTGTGGCATGTGGGTCAGATTTCATTTATCAACTCTAAAATTTAATAAAGTAGAACATTTCTCAAAATCCAAAAAGAAAGACATTTAAAAATTTAGTCAAAATAAGTACATTCACTATTTCATGGCCATCAGTGTACCTGATGATCTCACTGATCTCCTTGACATCCTCTCAGGGCTAACTGATCGAAAGCATTTTGGACTACCTCTAAATGGATTTCTAATTCGATATGGTGAACGGGATCTGGATCTGGATCTGTATCTAGAAATGAAACGATGGCAAATTCTTGGACTTCGACTTCTCGGCCTATACATGTAATGCATTGGGCTTCGAGACCGACGGAATCTGTGACTTGAGCTTGATCTTCTAGAACGCCTAGGACTGGGGGAATGAGAACGTCTTCGTGGAGTTTCATTTTCTTTTCTATTGCCCTCATTTCTACAAGCAGGGGGGCGGAAAAGAAAGTGATCAGCAATTTAATGTAAATTTAAATGATAATAAATGACAGAAGTACCTTGTTAAAAACAGACTGTTAACAATACCAAACTCTCATAAAAGATATGTACTTAAAACAAAAATCTGTTTGTTATGATGTAATTCAGCCTTATACGTAAATAAGAAACAATCAGAACAGTTTATCAGCCCTCCAATTGCTTGGATGTCTGTTTTCTAGTTTACAGAAGAATACGATAATGAATTTCTCTGGTTTTTCCTGTACCAACATTATTCCAATTATGTTTTTAAAGTATTAAATTATGTAAAGAATTTAGGAAATGATTTACGTAAACAGATGTTTTCAATAATTTTTTCCTGAAAGATTATGCCATCTATAAATATGACTTTGATTTCTCTATGTGTGTGTACGTGTGTGTACACACATAACCTGAGGAGAATCCCCTAGGGGATACAGAACTTAATAATATCACTCCTAGCATTCAAGGCATTTACAAGAGAAGATGTCATAAACATAAAATAATAATGTCAGAATAAAGTATTTTCAGAACAGGCTAAAGAAAGTAGATCAGGGGAGGGGCTGTGTCACCTTTAAGCTGGAATAAGTTAAAGATTCATAGAGGTTTTTGCATTTGCCTGTTGTTTAAATGGCAGAAGTAGAACTCAAAAGAATCACTTTCTTAAAATTAACTGTTTACTTTTAAAAGACAATCAGGTTTTAATAATATTACTATTTTTAAAAATTACCTTCTCGATGGGAGGATCTCAGGATTCCAATCAGGATACCTATTTTGAAAATAAACAATATTAACTAACAGCTAAAATCAGACTGTAAGGCTCAATTAATCTTTACCTGTAATATATCAAAAGGACTTTTCACAACTTTTATTGGAAATAAAATATTTTGAGAGTTTAATTCAATAAATAATCAAAGTATTATGCTAATAGGTGTATCAGGGAAACACACTCCCCATACTTTAAAGGCCTAAACTTTCATTTAAGTAAACCGGCCAGCATATGCACAGAAGTGTTAAGAGGTACAAGATACGAGCTTAGGTTAAGGGTTAAAAGAGAGAAGACAGTTCATCTACTTTACAGAACTCTAGGGAACACCACTCCTATCATATTCCATATGGCAACTCACAGAATACAACATGAATGGTGCCCCTTAACTTGCCCCAAGTAGTCCTCATAAAGATATGTCCACTGAGAGGAATCAGGAGAGAACTCATAGAAAGGGTTGCTTTTCAAGTAGCCCTTACAAAGATCTATTAATAGGAATGGATCAGGTTAGATTTCATGCAGTGGCAATATGTAAACTAAGATTGGAGGCAAAACATCGGTGTTTTGTTCCAGGAAGTGGTCTGGCTACAGCATAGACATGATGAAAAGGAATTATAAAGGGGGAAACTTGGACAGGCTGTCTGTTGTTTCAGGTAGAGACAAATTACGAAGAGCCTTAAAATCAGGTAATGAGGTTACACACAGGAAAAAAACAATGGGAACTTAACGAACATTTGTAAGAGAAGATAACAGGAATGTTTTCAGAATAAGTGTAAAGGAATATCTGGAATTAGGGGAAAAGATGAGAGCTGAGATATTTAGAAATCAGGCATGTAGAAGCCGCAATTATAGCCCTAAGAGTGAGACTAACACAAGATGAAGTTTATAGGAAAAAAGAGAGCCGAGGACAGAATCTTAGGCACATCGACAACTTTAGAGTAAAGCAAAGAAAAAAAATAATAAAAGATTAAGAAGCAATCACGGAAAAACTAGTAGGAGAAACAGTAATATCATAGAAGCCTAAGAAAAAGGCTGTATCTTCACTCTCAACTTCTAGAAAATCTGAACTCTAAGAGGCATCTGGACATGCTGATTATATTAAATAAATAAATCACTACATTTAAGAATAAAATTTCAGCAGCAAGATGAAAGCCAGGTAAGGAAATGGAGGCAGCAAACTTCTGACAAATCACCTAGCAGGAAAATAACGTTAGGTCGAACCTTATTAAAGTGGTTTGTCTTGGTTGCTATTTGCCTCAGACATTGTTAATGAGCTAACCCCACAGCAATTCTCAATTCCCTTTTCCCTTGTTTGCCTTTATTACAATGGCAAAAAAAAAGCTAAATATTTGCTTTCCCACTATCTCTAGAAGACAGCCAGTGGTAAGTTCTAACCAATGAGATACAGGTACAAAACCCCTGACAGACATCTGAGAAAGCGTCTGCCTCATTCTTCTTACTTTGAGAATAGATATATTGTCTGGAGCATCTTTTAATTATGAGAGGACAAACTGTGAAGACAAAAAAGTTAACTTTAATCCAACATACCCATCATCTAGTGTCAACAATTCCCAATATATGGATAATTTTGTTTCATCTATTTCCACACTTTTTAAAACTTTCATTGCTCTGTACCACCCAGGAGGATAAATTCCTAGTCTTACAGTGATTCAAAGCAAATCTTTAATCATCAAACAAAACTGGGTTTCACTATAGGTGCTGTCATTTAATGGCTAAGAAACTTAAAGCCAGTTACTTAGAATGTGTAAGCCTTAGCTTTCTCACATGTATATGCTGGAAATGAAGGTGATTAACAACACATCAAAGTTATTAAATTTCCAGGGGGTCTCTAGTTTATGGTTCACAAGAGCTTGAAGACTAATATTCAAGAGCTGGTAATAATGGTGGAGCATGGTGGCTCATGCCTGTAATCCCAACACTTCGGGAGGCTGAGGTAGGCAGATCGCTTGAGCTCAGGAGTTTGAGACCAGCTTTGGCAACCCTGTCTCTACCAAAAATACAAAAAATTAGCTGAGCGTGGTGGCACTCACCAGTGGTCCTAGCTACTCAGGAGGCTGAGGTGGGAGGATCACTTGAACCCAGGAGGTGGAGGTTGCAGTGAGCTGAGATAGCAATAAATAATATTGTTGATCTTCATTAGGTTCAGGTTCACCAAGTTCAGACCTGTTCACTAGGTAACACATGTTCTCATCTCTGCTGCCCAGAGCAGAAAGATAAAGCATGTATACATTCTGCAAGCAGAATTTGGAAACACCTCTATACTGCCCAACTAGTCAAAAATGTGCTTCAGAAGCAATAACGCTCCCAACAAAGGTGGTATAACATTAACTATTAAGAGCAAGGACCTAGTTAACTGATATTATCTTTGTCCCAATGTGATGCAATAAATACACATCACCAACGAAGCATTTGCAACAAAAATGTTCTCAGTGAATTTAATGCTAAGGAAACAAATAGAAAACTATAGGAAGTGGGACATTCAACAAGTTTCCCAGACATTTCAAGGAAAAAATCAACACCACAAAAACATCCTTCTCAAACAAAAAAAAAAGACAAACAAAACAAAAAACAAACGAAACAAAGAGTAGGCTATTCTAGATTAAAAGAGACTGTAATGCATAAATCTTAACTGAATACTGGATTGAGGGTATGGATGGGGCAAACAAGAAGAATTATAAAAGGCATTCTGGAAAGAAATGGGAAAATATGAATTTGGCTTATATATTAGAAGGAACTGTGGAATTATTGTTAATTTCCTTAAATGTGTTGTATTGTGGTTATGCAGAACATCCTAATACTTCGGAGATACATGCTGAATTTAGAAATGATGTCCCATAATGTCTGCAATTTATTTTCAAATAGTTCAGAAAAAAATGTATGAAGATATAATAAAGCAAATATTAACAAATGGTGAATATAGATGAAGAACACATAAATGTTTTTCTTCCTTTTTCTCTTCAATATTTTATTCTGAAAATTTTTTAAGCCATAAAAAAGTAGAAGGGATGATAAAGGCCCATGAGCTAAACTAGTTCCATTTAACTATGTGCTGCATGATGGTAGGGAAATTGTCTCTGTGCCTCACTTCTCTCATTGATAAAGTCTGGAATAATCCTTATACTTAACACCTCGTAGATGGTTTTGAAGACTAAATCAATTATGTAAAGCACTAAGAATGCCCAGCACACAATAAACACAGCATAATTACCTATTTTTAATATTAAAATTCTGATGCACTGTTATCTTTCCTCAACTACTCTTGTATCATAATCCAGAAAGAGCCAATAAAGCCAGAGAGAATAAGCCACAAGAAAAGAAAAATCTAAATATACATCAATGGAGGAATGAGTAGAAAGAAGGTATATCCCTATAACACAGCTTAAAAGAATAAAGAATGCAGATCCCAAGCACCTAACCAAATCTATTTATTAAATTATTTTGCAGTGGAGAGAAAGTTATGAAGCAATTATTCAAGTGCATACAACCTGAATGTGATGGTTAATTTTGGGTGTCAACTTGACTAGATTGAGGGATGCTTAGATGGTTGGTGAGGCATTGTTTCTTGGCATGTCTGTGAGAGTGTTTCCAGTGAAGATTAGTCTGTGAGTCAGTGGGCTGAGTAAGGAAGATCTGCCCTCAATGTGGGCGGGCATCACGCCATAGGCTGGGAGCCCAGATGGTACAAATAGATGGAAGAAGGTGGAATTCCCTCTCTCCACCCCTCCTTCCCTCAGAGCGGGATGCCCTTCTCCTCCTTGTTCTTGGACATCAGAACTCCAAGTCTTATGCAACTTGCATCAGCAGGCTCCTGGGGCTATAGGGCCTTTTGCCTCAGACTGAGAATTATGCTATCAGCTTCCTTGGTTTGGAAGCTTTTGAATTTGGACTGAGCCACACTACCAGAAACCCAGAGTCTTCAACACACAGACAGCATATTGTGGGACTTCTCCGCCTCCATAATTGTGTAAGCCAATTCCCCTAGTAAATCCCCTGTCATATATCGATACATAGGCATACCTCAGAGATACTGTAGATTCAGTTCTAGAACATCACACTAAGCGAGTCACATAAGTTTTTTGGTTTCCCAGTGCAAATAAAAGTTATGTTTAGACTATGCCAGTCTATTAACTGTACAATAGCATGTTTTTAAAAATGAACATGTATTAATTAAAAAGTACTTTATTGCTAAAAAATACTGATCATGAGCCCTCAGCAAGTCAAAATCAAAGATCACTGATCACAGATTGCCATTAACAGGTATAGTAATAATGCAAAAATTTGAAATACTATGAGTGTGACTCAGGGACACAAAGTGAGCACATGCTGTTAGAAAAATGGCACCGATAGGAAAGAGTCCTGACTGACCCAGTAGAGACAAGGGAAGAGGGAGGCCCTGGATCTGCCATTGTGATCAGAGTGAGGCCAGGTGAAGAAAAATGTGCAGAAGGTAAGAAACTGTGAAGGCATCATGAGGCCTGGTTAGGAGACACAGCCTGGAGAATTAGGAAAGACATACTGTTATTTTAAATTTCAAACCACAGTTACCTGTGTAACGAAAGAACCCTTAAGCCCCACAATAGGAAAAAGTGGAAACTGACCCAGAGGATGCCAGATCGAAGGATATATCCAGTTGCAGTTCTTACCAGCATACAGGTGCTAATACACACACTGTTCATTTTCAGCTTCAGCTCTTGATTGCTTTTGGCAGCAAAAGCACTGCTCAAGGCCCAGACGAGAGAGCGATTTGGTATTAGGGGAAACTGATTAAAATGGATTCTTGAATGGTGCTCCCCAAAAGATACATACATATATATGTTCCAATCCCTGGAACTTGTGAATGTTACCCGATTTGGAAAAGGATCTTTGCAGATGTAATCAAACTAAAATTCTTGAGATGAAATCATCCTGAATTATCCAATGGGCCCTAGATCCAATAGCCAGTGTCTTTCTAATAGCAGGGCATAGGGAGGTTTAAGGGAAGAGAAGGTGGTGTGAAGACAGTAGCAGAGATAGGAATGATAGGCTACAAGCCAAGGAATGTCAATGATTGTCCCCAGTCACTAGAAACTAGGAGAGAAGCATGGAACAGATTTTCCCCCAGAGCCTCGGAAGGGAATGGTGGCCCAACTAACACCATGATTTCAGACTTCTGGACTCTAAATAGAAATTTATTCTCTCCCAGTTTAAGTCAAAAAGAAAAAAACAAAAAGAAAAATGGCACCAGTAGACTTGACACAGGGTTCCCACAATCTTTCAATTTGTAAAAAAGGCAAATTATGGGAAGTACAATAAATCGAAGTGCAATAAAAGGAGGTACGCTTGTATTTATATATATCTCCCCTATTCATCTCTGTGGAGAACCAAAATACACTGGATATGGTTAAAAAATAGAGTAGAACATTAAAGTAGCAGGCATGGAAAGCAAATGCTTTAAATCAGGGTCCTACATGTATGAAAAAAATAATAGGCTTACCTACACTAAAGGCTTTAATAGATATATACATGCTGTTTGCTCAAGTAAATTAACGTAGCTATAATCCTCTTACTAGCATGAATGACTCTCTAAAATAAGTAACTCACCCCCATCCAACTAAAAATTCACCTTCATAAGAATTAAGACATCCCACTGGGTACCTCTGGGAAAATGTTGCTTAGGAGAGATTTTCGATTTTCGACTGTATTCCTTACAGTGGCAGTAAGGCGTATCTAATTCAGGTAACAAATTATCTCCCCATGATAACCTATGTTTGTCTTTACAGCATCTATATAGGATAGTAACCCCAATTTCCAGTCTTAGTGCAAAAGATCCAGGTGACACTTATCTCACTCTCAACACCCGGAGCAGACATATGACACAAACCGAGATGGACTACCCTATTCCCACAGCCACTATAATGTGTTTAGGGATGGACAACTAACCAAAATTGAACCAAAAGAGTCAAAACAAGGACTTCTGCCAGAGTTATGGAGAAAGAAGTGCTTTAAAGGAAAAAGGTCAGATGGGAGAGGCATATATTCTCAGAACCTCCCGAGGCTGTGTCATAGAGTGAGGGGTGGGATAAGGAAAACAAAAACAACAACAAAAAAACTCCTAGAAATGCCAGCTATACAGATCACTTACATCCAGAACCGTGGGGTCCATTTTGCTATGTGAAAGAAGTGTGTCCAAGATTTCATAAGGCCAATGCAAAAGACAACAGCTAAGAAAGAAGTATTTCTGACACCAATTTTTATTTGAGCATCCAATACAGCTGCTCCTGAAACTTATTAATAGAACCACCAACCTCATTTAAGCTTCCCAGTTAAGTGAGCTTACAAATTCTTACTTAAAAAAAAAAAATTTTTTTTTTTTTTGAAACAGGCTGTCGCCCAGGCTAGAGTGCAGTGGCACAATCATGGCTCACTGAAGCTTCTATCTCCTGCACTCAAGTGATGCTACCACCTCAGCCTCCCAAATATTATAACTACAGATGTGTACTACCATGCCTGGCTGATTTTTTTATTTTTATTTTGGTAGAGACAAGATCTTGCTGTGTTGGCCAGGCTGAACTCCTGAGCTCAAGCAAGCCTACCTGTCTCAGCCTTCCAAAGTGCTCAGATTACAGTCATGAGCCAGCAACTAATCTGCAACTTTAACCACTTACAACCAAAAGGATTCTCAATAATAATCTCAAATCCATTTGCCCAATAACACGTTACTCTCAGTCTAGTGGCTAGGAACTGTTTAATGGTACTAGGGAAGACAGAGTTTAATTTGATGTTACTCCAAGAGATACAGGAACATAGTGTTAAAATCACACTTTTTCACCTCTATGGCCAGTAGGGAAAACTTCACAGGTGCCCTGTCTTTAAGAAGAAAAAGGGGGAAGAATTGAAGAGCCAAGGTTAAGGAAGCAAGACATCTAGCTTGTCCATCCCTTACTTAAGGTATATTCTGAAAACTGGTTCTAAGTCAGAGAAGAGCTTTAGGTCCAAAATTAAATACTGGTGTTTGGTTTGCACTGATTTTCAGTTACTTGTCCTATGGGAAGAGGTGGAGATAGGAGAAGAAAGGATACCTGCTCTGATATAGATAAAAGATCCTGGGGAAGGTAAGCCAGCAAAGAATGAACTAATGACATAAAAAGTTTACCTACTGGGAATTAAGTTAGAAAAGTGTCAAAGGATATACTGAATTCTACCATTTTGGAAAAATATTAAATATACTTCCAGAAAACTAATATTTTTAAAAGACAATAGCTTTCCAAAAATATTTTTCTCCAAAGTATTATACTAAAGGTATTTAACAGTCACATCTGAACATTAACTATTTTGTAAATATGCTATCTATAATAAAGGAAAAATATATTCTTACTGTTGACGTAACTGTCGACAGCTCTCAATATGAGTAGATGTATTTTGATGCTGAATCCAATCCTATTGTAAAAGGAGAAAAGTGTTGAAATTAGAATATTCCTCATGTTGACTAATGAATTAGGCTTTTAAAAAAGACAAATAATATTTTGTTCAAAAATTAAACAAACGTACTCATAAATAGCATTTGGCTGCTCAGTAAAATTTTCACAAACAAAAATTAAAGGCCTTGAAACAAATGCACTTAATACCATACCTCACTGATCCCATTTGAAAATATTTTAGTACAGAAAACATTTTCAAAATCATACCCGTGGATGCTCATTTTGAAATCAATATATAAACTTGGAGAAAATAAAAGCATGGATCAGAAAAAACTTACTGCAAATATAAAAACAACACACCAGAAAACACCAAAAAATCTATAAGTAAAACGGTATCTGTGAAACAGCATCTTCAAAATACAATATTTCAATGACAAATACCTCTAAAATTCACGCTAACAACATCAACAATCAAAAAATGCCGCCGGGCGCAGTGGCTCACGCCTGTAATCCCAGCACTTTGGGAGGCCAAGGAGGGCGGATCACGAGTTCAGGAGATCGACACTACTGTGAAACCCTGTCTCTACTAAAAATACAAAAAATTAGCCAGGCGTTGTGGCGGGCACCTGTAGCCCCAGCGACTCAGGAGGCTGACGCAGGAGAATGGCGTGAACCCGGGAGGCGGAGCTTGCAGTGAGCCGAGATTGCGCCACTGCACTCCAGCCTGGGCGACAGAGCGAGACTCTGTCTCCAAAAAAATAAAAATAAAAATAAAAATAAAATAAAAATGCTACCTGATAGACCAGTACCATTCCATACAAGGTACTCACTATACTGGCAAATAAGATTAGGAAAAACATGGGGAAAAATGCTACTGATCAAATCTATTTTCAAAATTTAAAAGTAACAACATTTCAAAGATACAATATCCCTTACATATAGAGCTTTGAGCTTTACAATTAACGAAATGCTTCTTTTTTTTTTTTCTTTTCTTTTTTTTTTGAGACAGTTTCACTCTTGCTGCCTAGGCTGGAGTGCAATGAGGCGATCTCGGATCACTGCACTCTCCACCTCCTAGGTTCAAGTGATTCTCCTGCCTCAGCCTCCCTAGTAGCTGGAATTAACAGGCATGTGCCACCAAGCCTGGTGAATTTTTGTATTTTTAATAGAGACAGGGTTTCACCATGTTTGTCAGGCTGGTCTCGAACTCCTGACCTCAGGTGATCCACCTGCCTCGGCCTCCCAAAAGTGTTAGGATTACAGGCGTGAGCCACCATGCCCAGCCCAAAATGCTTTCTTATACATTACTTCATTTACAAATAAATCTGTCCTAAAATTACAATGTGTACCCATAAATAACTCTGGAAGATACATCTGGTTAAAAAAAAAAAAAAGCCAATACAGTTTACAAAGATACAGTTTCCAAGGTGAAACAATTAGTTAAAAGCAATATGTATGTTACTCAATGTTTTACTGTTCCTCCAGCATTTGGAAAGGCAGAAAACTTACTAAATAACTTCGTATTTCAACACTTTGCTTAAGGAAAATGTTATTATTTGTTTCCATTTGAAATACATTTTAGTTTAGGTCATTAGAAGTTTCCACAGTTAAAACCACGGTTGACAATAATTTTGGATTCTGCCTTGGCAAGAACTATCTGAAAGAAGGTACACTGATTTGCAATGCTCAGCATCAATTTAAACTCAGCAACAAGGTATGACAAATCCTAAACTATTTCATTAAGCCATGGAACTGATTGTGGACTACAAAAAAGAAATGTTTGTACATCCTGTTTAATAATACAAATAGAAAGCTAGAAGAAGAGTCTCTAGTAGTACTAAAACCCATATTTTTAATATTAATTGGACACTGTTTACATCAAACAGACACACTGGTGCAGGCAGTGGGTTGGGCATGATTTATTTGAACCATAAAGTGTTTTATCTGAATACGTTGCCAACATTTAATAATCCAGAGATTTTTACCCGCAAGTCCAGATTTCCAGCTTTTCTTGAAAAAATAGGAAGATACAGTAATACAGGATATCATTCTTACAGCAACTATCACCTGAAGATGATGGCTGCCCTATTTAAGATATACTCTTCTCAGTTCAACACACATACACACATTCTTAGGCTTGCTTCACAAATTGACATTACTTGCTTTAAGCTCAGTAAACACACCCATCCCACCCCAACTTCTAGACTCTCTAGTAATAGTTTCCACATTATAGTCCAAAAGCAGCACTGCCTCCCCAGAGAAAAAGTGATAATTACCTACTAGCAGGAGATGCTGCAAGGACTGCACAGAATTAGGCAGGCTCAGAATGAAACTGAAAATATATAACTACTCGTATCAGGGCTCACTCACTATTCTCAACAATTTTTTATTGTCGGTACTTTCTCAAACTGAATTATTTCAGTCATTATGACACAGCTCCTAAACCAAGGGAAGTTTCTCCTTTAAAATCTGAACCCCAATTTAACAAGCAAATACATTTCACGTTCTCAAAGTACATCTTCACAGCTATAGTTTCAAAGACTCGAAGGTGGGGAATATACATATTGTCAGATTTACTCAATAGGAAAAAGTTTACAATTGGTAATTTACATTTATTGGCTTCATATTTATGTCATATATACACACACAGGAACACTTACGAGGCTGCAAAATATATCACAGAAACGAGAGGCAGTGTGTACCATCGAAATCCATCTTCACAAATCCCTATCATTTGGCCACTTAGTAGTGAAAAATTCATTACTTAGATGAGCCCCATTCTGTTGTGCTGTTAAAAGGTGTGTCTGTTTTTTAATGGCAATCTATCTAGGTGAGCTCTAATGATGACTAAATGATTTCCTTTCCTCTCAAATTTTTACTTTTATCCTATTAACCCAGGTTTTTACCATCTTATACTTGAACAATTAAAGAAGCTTCCAAGTGGAAGTCCTACTCCACATCATCTCATTTCTATTTACCCTGCATACTTCAGTCAGATCTCCCTAAAATATACTTCCAACATGTCACTTCACTTATCAACAAACTTATTTAGCTTTCTAATGCCTCTCACCTCAAGTCTAAACTCCTAGGCTAGCTCTTCAAAGCCTTTCGTACTTATTTCTAATACGCTCATCACTCTTTCCCAACTGCCTCCTACCACAATGAAATGTAGTCTTCTCTCCGGACCTCTGCCTCTCTGTATGTTGTTGCCGCCAACCCTCCTCTTCTTTTTTTTTTTTTTTATTTTTTTTATTTTTTTTGAGATGGAGTCTCGCTCTGTCACCCAGGCTGGAGTGCAGCGGCGCGATCTCGGCTCACTGCAACCTTCTGCCTCCTGGGTTCAAGCGATTCTCTGCCTCAGCCTCCTGAGTAGCTGGAATTACAGGTGCGCATGACCACACCCGGCTAATTCTTGTATTTTTAGTAGAGACAGGATTTCACCATGTCAGTAAGGGTGGTCTTGAACTCCTGACCTCAGGTGATCCACCTGTCTCGGCCTCCCAAAGTGCTGGGATTACAGGCAGTGAGCCACTGTGCCCGGCCCCCTCCTCCTCTTTATACAGGCATATCTAAAGCCTCAATTCAAGACCCATCTTCAACCTACTCCATGAAGTCTTCTCTCCCACATCATTCTAGTCAAGACAGACTTAGTGCATTTAGTAACTGACATTCCATTAGTCTAACTAGGCTATAAAAGTCTTTTGATGTCAGGATGCATATTTATACTTATTTTTAAACACATACTGTTACAAATACAATAGTTAAAATAATTAAATTGGCAAATTGGTAATGATTAAATTGGTAAATTGATGATGCTGGCCTGAGTGATACATGCCTGAAATCAAGACAGAAATCTCTGTCCCCTACAGCATATCCAAACAAGTTAAATCAATCACAAAACCACTTGTTGTCTTCTAATTGTTTTAAATGTCTTGGGAGCATAATTTTTCTCCCCAATAAGACTGAATAAACTGCTTAATAACATCTAAAATTTTACACAGTTCCTCATTTCTGCCCCAGTACCTAATTGGAGTCAAGTACAAAACTGGTATCCATAAGTACATACTAAATTAAATGTACACCTTTTCTACTCTACAGAATACAAAACTTCAAGTTCTTTATTTAAAGATGTATTTTCTTGGATTCATTATGATTAATTAAAAGTTCAAAATCAATTAAAAAAAATTATGTGGTATGCCCAGTCACAAGAATACAGACAAACACTCAATTCACTACTTAGGCCAGGGCTACTTACAGATTACAATTAGGTGATATGAATTATTCTAAGACTTTCCCTTGTAAGGACTTTGCTATCCCTTCTGATGGAATAAGGCAACTATTATTTTAATAGAATTTGGCACATCTGGCTAAAATGGGGTAGAATGCTGCTTTCTTTTGCTGGAGTTAACCTTAAGAAAATACCAACAGATCTAATTATCAGATTCATGTTGACGAAAACCTAGTGAGTAAATAATGAAAAGAAAATCGAAAGGCAGCACTGGAAGAAAAGAACAAGAGCGTTAACACACAGATTTTTAAGCCTAAGTATACAACCAATTCCAGGCCATGGCCTTGAATCAAAGCTTTTTCCCATGTTAGTATATTCTCTTCTGACCCTTTACAATCTAAATCTATAAATCACATTAGTAAATAGAAGAAACAGTGATTGCCAACCATACGTAAGTAAATAAAATTTACTTGGAAATTCCTGCTCAAATCTACCAATGATTACGACTGAACAGTATGTTCTACATTATAGTACACTTCACTGCCTCTGCAAAATACTTCCTTCTAACTATACTATCAAACTACCTAAATCATCTTTATTTTTTAAAGATTTTTCTCTACAAATTTCTATCATTTTACACTATTTTCTGAGTCCACAGCTGGTCCCAGAATAATTACTGCACCTTGACTTATTTTTGCTATGAAGTTATTTTAGAAAGCTTCTTCTCAAAAAATACTAAAAATCACTAGTCTACATAAAGTCAGGAAATATTTAAATCAACATTAATTGTCTTTATCCCAAGACAGGTGTATATGTGCAAGGCTATAATATACTGTCTCTTAAATGTGTGCATTACAAATGGGTTATACCATCTCTTTGTATTTTTATACTAACAGATCCTTTTAGAGAAAGGTGATTCCATGTGACATTGTCTTGTAAGTACGCAGCTTATGTTACATAAATTTTATGTTGCGTAAGTGGGATAACTAAAAGTTCAAAATAAATGGACACACTACTAAAATATGGTGTGCCCGGTCATAGGAATACAGTAAGCCTAAAATTCAATTCAGTACTAAGGCCAGGGCTACTTAAGATTACAACTATGTATTGAGGTTGCAATTAAAATTACCTTCTGCCATTTCCTTAACGCCTAGTTAACAAGCAGCATACATATCAGAATTTAGAGAAAACTGGCGCTGAGCATCATTATACAGTGATCTTTTTTTAAAAACACTCACCTTCAAATGACTACATTCTACGTTACACAGAGAACACAAATGTGGAAATATTCTTGGAGATGCTGCATAATAATCATTCATCATAGAAGGAGTTGGAAGTCTCTTCATCTTCTGGGCATCAGCATGTGAAAACTTTGGTAGCCAGGATGCTTTCACAATACCAAAGGGAGACCGAATGGGAATGTCAGCCTGTGACTGGTAATTCTTTTTACTTCCTCTTGATCCAACATGTACGTTAGATGAATTAATCACAGGTTCATGTGGGATCCGCTCTTGCTGGCTTACAGATGAAATTAATTCCGACGAAAAAGGTTGCTGGTTCATAGATGGAGGAATCAGAGATTGACTCATTGTCTGGCTAACTGTTTGGTTAATGGATTGGTTGACGGATTTTATGGGTTCAAGGACTGACTGTCCTCCTGAAATGTGTAAGCCTGACATCTTGGTTCCACTCTCAACTGAGAAAAAGGACCGATTATTGGAGGACTCACCGGGGAAGTCCATTTGGCGAAATACGTCTTCAACAGGAAACATAGAATTACATATCACATTTGGATTGGGAACAGATGCAGAAATGTTCTGCTGTGACTGAAATTCATTCTCGACCTCATCAGTTGGAATTTCAGGATCATAAATACGTACTTCAAGTGGATCTTCTGTGTAGCCATATTTGCTTGCATGCCCATAATCGATCACATTACTTGAAACTGCTTCACTACCAAGTGTTTCTTTATTTCTGCTCTGAGAAGGTAAATTAGGTAATCGGCGCCCCATTTTTCGCATTCTTATATCCCTCAAAATTAATGGCATATTTTCAGGAGTTAGTTGTTCATCAGGATAGCGACTAAGTTCTTCTAGGTCTTCATTAGATAATCCAAAACTTGCTAAGATACTTGAGGCACTCTCTTTTGTATAGCGGCTCTGTACTTTGGGACTCTGCTCTGTAACCTGTGTTACAGAACTCTGTTTCACTGCCACTGATGCAGATATATGAGGCTCATCATCCCACCGGCTACCATGAGGCTTCCCCTTCTTCTGTTGTGCTTCATGAAAATCCAGTTTTTCTTTGGTCAATCTTGGATCAGTTCTGTGTTGAGTTACCTGAACATTCATTCTCTGTGGCCCCATGTTCTGATAAGATTCATGGCCAGCAAATCTGTGTGGAATTCCACGTGCTCTCCCTGCTGGGTAAAATCTTGGGAGACCCATAGATCCAGGCCTCATAAATGGTCCTGGAGGCCTCATCCCAGAAGGGTTAGGTGCTCGTGGCCTTTGAAGTGGAAAGTCTCCTCGAGGATTAAACCTGGGTCTCGACATGGCTATTTTCAAGAAAGCCTGATTTAATAAAGTATAAGGTGGTGTTGAACCATGTGAGGCAACGGCATTCAGCTGCTGAAGCGCCAACTGAGTCTTAATCTGAGCAAAGTGCAAAGGAGATGGGCCCAACAGAAGTGGGTTTGCAATGCCCAGGTTCAAGGAATTCACAAGTGGTGCGAAATTTTCCAAGAATAACACAAAGCTGAAAGTTAAAACACAAATATTAGATCATTTTAACTCAAACTACTTCATGAAGTGGGTTCTACAGCCAGTGTAAAACATTTTGAAATAAAGCCATGAAACCATTCTGCATTTCATATACTTTTAGAGTAAGGGCTTACGAAGATTTAAATTTCCCAAAAACTTTCTCTTCTTTTCTTTCCTGAATGCAGAACACAAGCCCCAAACCTCAAGCCAGAGTTCATGTACATTGTGTTGCACTGGGTGCTGTCCTAGGTGCTGAGCAGTAATTACAACTCCTTTTACATAATCTTGAAAAATACTGGGAATTTATTTCACGCTGTAATACTGGGGAAAAAAAAGATGAAGGCATTAAAATACTTATAAATGCACACATTTAATACGCATGTTATCAGATATACAAATAATGAAAGTAAGAACTGTAAGCCTAAAAGACCCATTTTTGTAAAACACAATCTTCCTTGGAATCAGCCTTGACATCTAATAAATCCCATAGGGCAATTAAACTACACTTATGTTCCTATTATTAAATAGTTGTTTCTTGTAAGATAAAAATTTGTTGCCAATAACCTGACTACAGAGTCTAAGAAAACAGTATGCAATGGCATGGAATTCGTTATAACATAGAACATAATACATAACAAAACCAGTAACCCTTCCCTTGGATTCCATCCATAGACGCAGTATGGACGAATATATATGGATGACAATAATGATTAACTATATAGAGCACTGTCCACGTGTCAGTCAGCGTTCTATGAACTTTAAATGGAATGGGTCATTTGATGCTCACAACAGTCCTGAGATATGTACAGTTTTACAGAGGAAGACACTAAGGCACACACAGGTAAAGTAACTTACAAAGAAAAGTGACTGTGCTGAGATTTGTATTCAAGGTTATCTGGTCCAGTAATCTGTGCTCTTAACCATTAACAGATGTGAGTAAAAGTAACTTACAGTTTCCAGGCACTTTATTAGTTAAAACTGGTTGCTGACCAGCCCATCAGACTGTACTACCCCCTTCAACACTCTTCTCAGAAAACAGTACTTTAGCTACCATTCAGGACCAAGGTCAGCAGCCACACAACTTGCCTTTTCTACAATTAAAAAATGTATGAGCATATAGACTATGCTGGTGCTATCAGGACCTCACTTTTATGTGTGATTGAAATGCATGGTGGAAAATGTGAGGTCTTGAGGCATCTACAATTGTTATAAACATCAACATCATGGATCCTATTTGCTAACCATCACTGTCTGGTTCAAGCCACAATTTCATCCGTTACTTTACTATACACTTTTCTCTATTTATATATAATGTTAGTAATTGTTAATTTGGCTGGGAAAATGGTCTTTATCTGGTTAACACCCTTCCCTCCAATCATTTTGCATGCTGCCACCACATTTAACCTTTGCAAAAGGACATTTTCACCACACAACTCCTCTGTTCAAAAATCCACAAATATCTCATTCCCTTCATTTCTTAGCTTTATTGTTTAAGGTCCAACCAATCTAACCAATCTCTCTAATTTTATCAGACAGGTATTTTTGCTATGCCTTTGTTCCTATTCTTCCCAAATCTCTTCATCTCTTCCAATCAAAAACAAACCTTGCCCTGGACGCTCACCTGACTTTATTCATCCTTCAAGGTCACCCCCATTCAACCTCCCTTGACTACCAATGCCAAGAGTGAGTCTTCCAATAATCTTTCTTTTTTTTTTCTTTTTTTAAAGACAGGGATGCACTTTGTCACTCAGGCTGGAGTCCAATGGCGCAATCTCGGCTCACTGCAACCTCCACCTCTTGGGTTCAAGCCATTCTCCTGCCTCAGCCTCCCGAGTAGCTGGGATTACAGGCATGTGCCACCATGCTACCTGGCTAATTTTTTGTATTTTTAGTAGAGATGGGGTTTCGTCATGTCGGCCAGGCTGGTCTCAAACTCCTGATCTCAAGTGATCCACTTGCCTTGACCTCCCAAAGTGCTGGGGTATGAGCCACGTCGCCCGGCATTCAATAACCTTTATTTATTGCTTGCACCATTTTTGGATTCTTACTATCTTATGTTTTTGCACTCACACACACATGGTCTTTTTCAACAACCTAATGTCAGTTGAAGGTTTATGTTCATGGCTAAGTCTTATCCCCCAGGCATATAAACCCTACTCCTACTCAAAAGATCCTCAAGTATTTGTTAAACTATCTGGTCACATCCAAAGTACTCATTAGTAACATGCACAGGTTAATTTTCAAATTAGAATGAAACACAAAAACACATCAAATACACAGGCTTTTGATTCACCAGATACAAGCTGCAGACACAAGCTTACCAAACAATGATACCTACATTCTGTTAAAAAGTTCATTTGTAACAAACTCACGGTCTTTTTAAACAATCATGAATCATATGAAATTGTGCCTACCTTCTACATAATAAAATATCTTCCAAAAACAACTGTCTTCACCCAATCCTAAAAGATACGCATTGCTTATGTAAGCAGTTTATCATGTAGTTATTACAATGCTTTCTGAACCACTTATTCCATTTGGTGAAGACTCCTCTTATAACTTCATAAGCACAAGCTCTTTCAAATAATGTTTCTCCCCCAAAATAAAACAGCAAAAGAACAAATTTCAATCAGAGTGATCTAATTACTAAATGGAATTGTGAATAAGTATCATTTGGAACAATCTCCATTTAAAATTCCTTAAAGGCAAAAATGTACTGTGTATTTCCTAATGTGCCCAACATTGCATTACAATGATTCAAGTACACATTTATAGAAGGTTAAGACAACTGCCCCTGACAAACTGTATTCTCCAGAATACTAGAGTACTCTAAGAGTGGTCTTCTACAAAGATGTTGCCTGGCCAAGAAAGTTTGAAGGCCACCATACTTGCCTTTTAGAGGGGAACAATGTCTATTAGCATATTAAAGTCTATGAGAGGCCAGGTGAGGTAGCTCACTCACGCCGGTAGTCCTAGCACTTTGGGAGGCCAAGGCAGGCCGACTGCTCTGAGCCCAGGGGTTCAAGACCAGCCTGGGCAACATGACAAAATCCTGTCTCTACAAAAAAAAATACAGGTGGCTCACACCTGTAATCCCAATACTTTGGGAGGCCAAGGCAGGAGGACTGCTTTGAGCCCAGGAGTTCGAGGCCAGCCTGGGCAACATGGTGAGACCTCATCTCTACAAAAATGAAAAAACCAAGCATGTTGGTTTTTTCCAACTAGCTACTCAGGAGGCTGAGGTGGTAGGACTGCTTGAGTTCAGGATGTCAAGGCTGCACTGAGCTGTTTCCACCACTGTACTCCAGCCTAGGTGGCAAAGCAGACACTGTCTCAAAAAATTCATATAAATAAAATATCTGCCTATGACCTATATGCCAAATAACATATCTTCAATGGTTAAAAAAAGTAAGCATTATGTTGCCTTTTCTTTGTGAATGAAATTTAAGGAGTATAATGGTCACCCCTTCTCTGAGGTGGATGCATTCTAAGATCCCCAATGGATGCCTGAAACCATAGATGGTACTAAATCCTATATATACTGTGTTTTTTCCTATATATCCATACCTGTGATAACATTTAATTTATAAATCAGCTACAGTAAGAGATTAACAATTAAAAATAATTAAAATATAGCATAATGAAAGTTTTATGAATGTGGTTGCTCTCAAAATGTCATTCTCATACCATACTCACCTATTTTTGGATGGTGGTTGACTACAGGTAACTAACTGCAGAAAGTATAGCCATGGATAAGGGGAGACTACTGTATACTCATATTTCATTTGCACAATTTTCACTTTTAATTAAAAAGGTTAGCTACATTTTTAATCATTTAGCAAAGTTTGTCTTCTACCATTCATATCCACTCCAAATAAAATGTTTTAACTAAAAGGATGCTTGTTATTTATACTTCAAGCTTTCTATTTATAAGGTATTATAGTTTCCTTTTGCAATTACATAATTCTGAAGCCTTATTTTTTCAAATTTAACTTAGGTGCCCCACCAACAGCACTTCTACTTTGTCACTTAACTTTTATGTATGTCCTTCTCAATCAATTCAAGGGAATAAAATTACAAGATTAAGTATCAGGCCATTCAAGACAGTTTTTTAAATGTTAAGTACTCCCAAGAAATTTTGAGAAAGTTTTCTTAGCAATAAATCTAGAGAATAAGTTCAAATTCAGCCTTTATTCATACAAAATAATTACTGACCAAAGATATTACAGCCAGAACAGATCTCTCCTTCATATAGCTAACACTCTACTTTTTAAGATGGAGCTAGTATCTCATGAAATTAGGGTAACCAAAATGATACAATATATAGTTAGAAATCTCTTGAAAACTTCCCTTTTCATGCTTCTGCAATTATAAAAGCTTGCAGAGAGACTGGAAACTGGTCAAATAAACTATAGTACATCTGTATTTTCAGCATCCACTGGCAGGTCCTTAGAACGTATCTCCCTCAGAAAAAGGGACACTACTACGTAAAGGCTTTTAATGACCAGAATCAGAATCCATACAAAAAAGATAGGAAAATTATTCTGGGTTGGAGAGAGTTTCAGAATTTGGATACTAAAAGTAGAGGGCAAGCTGTTATTTTATTTTTATTTTTTTTGAGACGGAGTCTCGCTCTGTCGCCCAAGCTGGAGTGCAGTGGCGTGATCTTGGCTCACTGCAACCTCCGCTTCCCAGGTTCAAGCAATTCTCCTGTCTCGCCCTCCTGAGTAGCTGGGACTACAGGTGCGTGCCACCACACCCGGCTGATTATTTTTATTTTTAGTAGAGACGGGGTTTCACCATGTTACCCAGGATGGTCTCGATCTCCTGACCTTGTGATCCACCCGCCTCAGCCTCCCAAAGTGCCAGGATTACAGGCATGAGCCACCGCGCCTGGCGGCAAGCTGTTAATTTTAACAGGAGATGGTGTGATACAACAGGAAAACGTGAGTTTTTTTGGTGGGGAGAGGGGAGCAGAAAGCAGAAAATTCAAATTCAAACTATAAGAGTCTGTCATCTACTTGTCAAAAAGGTCTATGACCCAAAAAGGTTAAGAAATTCTATTTAGGGGTGTCAGAATCTACATTTTTAAGGCCTCAATTCACATGGTTAGGAGACAATCTAATCTCTCTTCTATTCCATTTAATTTTTAGCTACTGGCTCTCCTACACTGCTACATGCCTAATGCCTTCTACTCGATCACTTCCATACATCTCAATTTTGCTAAACACTGATTTTTGTTGTTTCTGTTTTACTTATTGGCAGGCAGGAACATTTAATTGGGAATGACAGTAGGTCACAAATTTCCTTCTTACAAGTTTCCATCTAAATCCTGCATGCCACTGTGGGGTGGGGTGAGGAGATACATCCTAACAGACCCTTCTTTTTCCCCTTTTTGTTTTTAGTGGAAAGGAGTAAGCTCAGAATTATTCACTCAATGTATTAAATATCTTCTGAGAGCCTAACATGACAGTCACCAGGCTACTTTTTAGTTTCAAAGCCAAATAAAATACAGTTGCGTTCCTATAGCCAAAGTGCCAACAATCTAACAGAAAAAAAACAAATTTCAGTAACGTTTGTCAGTATTATAACAAGGCTGAGGTATCAGAAAAGGATTTCTGGAAGACAGAAATGCTTGAATTGAGTTTTGTAGGATGGCATCTTCTACAGTTTTGAGGAAACTAGTACAAATGAGATTTCAAATAACAATGTCTTACTAAACATGTTTATCAAATTTTCAAAAATTTGGAGTATCCTAAAGTCTTTGGATAAAATACTGTAAGACAGTTGTACTGGAAATGATAAAAAGTAAATTATAACTTATTAACTACATATTTCTGACAAAGGCATAATATTCAAGACAAAAAAAAATAGCTTCAGCTAAAACATTAGTCTTCGCACCCTCAGGACTATTTGATAGACGTCAGCTATGAAGACAGAAAAAAAGTGTTAGGAACCAACATCCCTTATGCCATATGTCAGCTACTGTTTTTAGTGGCTTTTTCAATCCTCTGCTCTCTCTACACCAATTCCCTTACCAAATTGCCAAGACACACACACACACGCACGCACAAAAATCTCCATTTCTAACTATAAAATTCAGTGTATTCCTGTCAATACTTCTCGTATGTACTTTTCTTTTTCCTCTCACCACCATCATCATCCCAATGCCTTTTCTTTGGCTATTATAAACTTTAAATCTACAGTTACCTATGTAGATTCACAGATGCACTGGCAAAAAGAGGCAAAAGTTACAGGCTCAAGTGCTTAATGAGTAAAATAATGTGTCTGAGATTTTCTTTAAAATAATCTGGGCGGAGGTGAGGGAAAGAGTGAACATGTGTAGTGGGGCAAGGGGCGGTGGTGGTGGTAGATGAAGGGAATTTGATGAAGCAAGACACGTAAAAATACTGGTTGTGGAAGCTGAGTCCCTAAGAATTTATCTGTGCTTTTTTTACATTTCTGAAGATTTCCAAAATAAAAAGTTTAAGTCCTAAATATTAGTATGACTTTTTTTTTTTTTTTTTTTGAGACAGAGTCTCACTGTCACCCAGGCTGGAGTGCAGTGACGCAGCCTCAGCTCACTGAAACCTCCACCTCCTGGGTTCAAGCGATTCTCCTGCCTCAGCCTCAACCTTCCTTCCCACTTGACTTTTTTAACTATTACTAAACAGTTTGATATTTTGCTGTCTTTGTTTCGTTCCACCTTTTGGTGGAAAATATTAATTTGTAAAATTTAGAAAATAAAATTAAGCAAAACAAGCAAAGTGATCTTGGTAAGAAACCTCTAAGAATTAGGTTATATCACAACGAAGAAAATAAAGCCTCTGCCTTTTTAAGATAATGATGTAACCTGAAAACAGTGTGATAAGAAACAGAAACTAAACAAAGGCAAATTTGGCATTAATACCTGGAAAACCACCAAACAAATTAAGACAGCCATTATAAAACCTTTCTCCTTTAACCCCAGGAGCTCTGGTCATAAAGAGGTTCGTTCATCGGAAGATTTATGGATAGTCATCTTATGAAATAAATAACCTGGAAAAACGAAGAGTTGAGATCAGGGTTCTTAACTATTAACTTGTTGGGGAAAAAACTGCAATTAAGTAGCATTAACCCTTTAAAATAAATGTTTTATTCCTAGTTATGTAAGTAATGTGTGCTTGTTACAGAAACAATAAAGCTGCAAACAAAATCCTTACCAATAAAACCATCACCCAGAGTAAATTAATACTCTGGTATAGTTTCATCTACTTTAGTGTACGTTCATGCACGCATGATGGGGGGGTGGGGTATATTAAACACTGTACAAAATTAGAAGTATACTATTTGCTCTTTTCAGTTGACATTTTATTTTTCTAAATTTACTATTTTTCAAAAACTGGATACTTAATAGTGACAAAACATGCTGAACCTTTGAACTGTTTTAACAAGTAACTAATAACTCTCATTTATGTCCTTTTAAGAACTAAAACATACCACTGTAAAACAAGAAATATTCAATATAATGTCAACCATAAAAATTCTTTCAGAAACATAGTAGAAACTGGGTTCTTGAGGAAGCCATGATGAAACGGCTTGATGAATTGAAAAGATAGCGCTATTAGATCCTGTGAGGTATTTCTGAGATCTCCAATACCACAGACAACCAAGAACTGCCTATTATTTTGATGCAGTCTTTCAGAAGGAAGGGAGCCCTTAATTTTCTTTACAGATATGGGCAGACTTTATCCAAAACCATCATCAAAAATCAATCCATCAGATAATGGCTCCATCAGACTTATAAGGAAAAGATTTATATCAAACACCATACTTTTGGACTTACACTACTTTAAAGTTTACAAAGCACTTTAAATATTATCTCGTCTGAGCTTCACAATGACCTTAAGAGGAAAGGAATTCCAGTTCACACATTAAGTAAAACACAGCTAGGAAGTAACAAGATTACAACATCTCCCATTGGTGTTCTTTCCATATACCAGATACATTAAGTGTAAATCTACTTTATAACTTTATTTCTAATCATAAAAAAGCAATACAGTTTCAAAATCCGCCCCCCAAAAAGAAAAACCACCCTATAACATGCAGGAAAGAAAAAAAAGTATTCTATAATCTTCCCACAAAGGGAAAACTACCACTAACATTATTTTTCTAGACATACACCCATATACCTCATTTGATACTGCTTTGTTAGAGCACTGTTTGTCTCAGAATATATAAATTCACTTTGGTACTTAAGAATGCAGTTATTACAATGGGTAGTTAATAGAAGAGGCTGATTGTTTATTCAGCTATAAAAACTAACATGTCATTCTGTGCTTTCCTGGTACTCAATCTGCTGATCTCTCCTACCACGCAGATAAAGCCACTCAGCCAACTTCTTTACTATTAGTCTTTGTCCTCTCTTGTCTCACAAAAGGCATGCAAGTAACAATTCTGAGGGTGCCACAAGTGTTGACAGAGAGTACCATGTTTCACGTTAAAATGCCAAAATGTGGTGCCTTCAAAGAAACAGTCAATGAAACAGAAAGCAAAAATAAGCAGAAAATTAGAAACGTTATTTGGCATCATGAAGGGCAACACCAAATTTCACTACTAACTGCAAGGATTGATAAACACCATGATTTCAGATTTGAAAAAAAATGGAAAACTGCTAATGCACAATGTTAAGAGATCTCCATGAGAACCAGGCATTAATCCCATATAGCAATGATTTAATATTGTTACCAATTTCAGGAAAATGATTTTTTGATAAATGGGCTATTGTAAGATATACCTTTTTATTTCTTAGGAGCATGTGACCTGCATACGTAAACAGGCCTCTAGAGCACAACATTGTATTTATTGTAAATGATGCTCCCCCGCAGATGTGCACTGGTGGCCTTGCTCTAAACACTCCTAGTAAGTGTAACAGGTTAGCCCAAGAGGAAACACCTTATCCAAGCTGGAACAAAGAAATCTTCCCTAGGATTTTTTGTTAAACTAGAAATGAGAAAAGTGGTAGATGTTTCTAAAATTCAAATGCTGTTAACAGCCCTATTTACTGCTTTACTGAGAAACTGCACCATAAAACAACAACAACAACAAAAGCCACTGGAACAGAGGTAAGCAAGACCAAGAAGTAAAGACAATAATGAAGGTATTCAATATCCAGTCCCAATTGTTTCTGAAGCCTAACTCATCCTTGCCCTCTCTGCCATTTGGTTATTTGCTTTTCTTCATGGAGTAACATGGCCAAAAAATGTTTCCATTTACCTAAAGTGGGTTCTAAAATCTTCAATTAAATATACCTAAACTGGCCGGGCGCGGTGGCTCATGCCTGTAATCCCAGCACTTTGGGAGGCTGAGGAGGGCGGATCACCAGGTCAGGAATTCAAGACCAGCCTGACCAACATGGTGAAACCCTGTCTCTACTAAAAATATAAAAATTAGCCGGGTGTGCTGGCAGGCGCCTGTAATCCCAGCCACTCAGGAGGCTGAGGCAGGAGAATCTACTTGCACCTGGGAGGTGGAGGCTGCAGTGCACTGAGATGGTGCCACTGCACTCCAGCCTGGGTGCAAGTGAGACTCCGTCTCAATAAAAAAAAAAAAAAAAAACCTAAACCGACTAAATGCATTAAAAGCCTTAAGCCTTGAAGTCTTTACAAGTGCAGATGAGCATACAGTATGCCATCTTTTGTGTTAAACAAAAAAGGAAAACAGGAAAACATACATATACCTCTTTATGGTTAGCACAAAGAAACAAAGGAAGAATAATACAGAAAACGATGAAGCTGGTAATCTATAAGGGGTAATGGATAGAAAGGATTGAAGGGATATGGTAATGTTATTTCAAGGAGCATCTTACTATACAGTTTTAACCTTTGGAAACATGTTAACAATTTACATATATTTTTAAAATCAGTAAGGATGGGATGGAGAAAAATATCTAACACTGAAAGCAAACTAATCCAATCATATTTCAAATGCATACCACAATACATTGAAGGGGAAAAAGAAAACTAATCCAAGAACTTATAAACCACTATTCAATTTATGTACCTCACAGGAGGCCACACCCCGAGTGTTACAGCCCCCCAGGAAAATAAATAAATAAAAAACGATTTATGTACCTCAGTTTTGATGGAGCTAAGGGAAAGAGAAGAATAACGAATTTTCACTCTTTTTAGTAATTTTATTTTTTGTAGTGGTATGGATGAAGCAATTCTGAAACTACTTTAGATACATCATAAGTTTGAGCAAGTAAGTAAATGTTTTGATGGTGCTAGGAACTTAGGGCTTTCATTGTGAAAGACAAGAAATACAAATAGGAAATAGGAGAAAGCAAGAAAGAACTGAAGAGTAATAAATTATCAAACACTGGAAAAAACAGAGTCCATAAATACATAGCAATAAATTAATCAATGCGGAAGAAGGGAAGCTCTTATAGAGTGCTGAGTACCTACTACTAAATGTAGAATAACAGTTGGAGTAGAAAATCATTTTGCAACCATCATAGTAAAGGATGGTTCAGGTAAGAATCATGAGTGGGTGTTACAGAGGTAAATTCTAATGAGCAGGATATTTGCATGGTCTTAAAACGTCTCTCCAGAGATTAATTCCAGGGGGAGTGGGGGGAAACAAGCACTTTAACCATAGCATATGCTCACACATAGTATCATGCATGAAGGGCAAATGGAAATGGTAAATCTCCAGATCTGATATCCTGGGGACATAGCATTAGTTACGTGATTTTTCTGCCCAGGGACATATAATCTACATCTAATCAAGAGGAAACATCAGATAAATCCAAAATGAGAAGTGCTCTATTAAAGAGAAAAGCAAAGCAGATTGTATTCTTCAAAAATGTCAACTTCACAAAAGATAAAGGCAGACTATGGAAATGTTCCAGACTAAGGAAGATTAAAAAGACATAACAACTAAATGCAACATCTGATCTTAGTTTAGTCCTGTACTGGAGGGGGAAAAAAAAACTGCTATAAAAAACAATATTGGGTCAATTGACAAAAACCAGAATACAAATAGTAGACTGAATAATTTTATAGGCTGCGCATTGGCTCATGCACGTAATCTTACTACTTTGGGAGGCCGAGACAGGTGGAATGCTTGAGCTCAGGAGTTCGAGACCAGCCTGGGCAACATGGCAAAATCCCATCTCTACAAAAAATATAAAACGTAGCCAGGCATGGTGGTGCGCGCCTGAGCCAGTACTCCCAGCCACTTGGGAGGATCGCTTGAGCCCAGGAGGCAGAGATTGCAGTGAGCCGAGATCACTCACTGGACTCCAGCCTAGGTGACAGAGCCAGACACTTCCTCAAAAAAATAAAAAAGGATTTTATAAACGTGAAATTCATTGAAGTTGGTAACTATGACTGTGAAAGAAAATATTTTTAGGAAATACACACTGAAGTATTTAGAGATAAAGGACCACAATATATGCAACTTAATGTCAAACTTTTCGGGAAAAAACCATATATGCAGGAGACAGGGAACTCCCCCACCACCTGTCACTTAAATTCATTCAAATATAGTTAATGGCACAACATTTCATGTCCAACATTGGACTATGTGATCTTCTTACTTTATACAAAGTCAAAAAAAAAAAAAAAACTATAGGCAATATGGCAAGAGGCAGAAAACCTGCAGTATAATAAAGAGCATCAGCCTTAAACACATTTTTGGATTTGGCCCTTCTTTTCTACATCATGTTCACTTCCTAACTATTGACTGTTAGTCAGCCTATTATGCAATCCATAATAATCTAATCTTTGGGGAAATTTCCACTGATCTGAAGATACCCACCCTGCTAGGAGGGGTGCCAGTGAATGACTTCATGCAAAATTAGTTAACTCCTTAAGTAAAATTTAGCACTACTAATTCAGCTTTAGAGAGGTAGTGCAGCACAGTCTTTAAGAACTTAGACCCTACATTCAGTGTTTTAACTCTGGTCCTGCTGCTTGCTAACAATGTTACCCTGAGCAAGCTGGTTAATCCAAGCCTATTTCATCCTGTGAAATAACTCTGGTCCCACTGCTTGCTAACAATGTTACCCGGAGCAAGCTGGTTAATCCAAGCCTGTTTCATCCTGTGAAAATGAAACAACAGTACCCATTGGGAATGCTGCTGTGAAGATTAACTAAAATTGTAAATCCTGACATGCAACAGGTGCTCAAAAAATGCTCAACAGTAAACAAAATGCTTAATAGGTGTTTCTTTCTTTTAGTAAGACGAGTAATTTTTGAAAATTATATTAGACATAGGAGTTAATTGCTTACATCCACCTTTCTTTCAGTATTTCCTATATTGAGATCTAGCAATTTGTTTAACAAGCACTTGTGTTTTTTTGGTTTTTTTTTTTTTTTTTTTTTTTTTTTTGGAGATGGAATTTCACTCTTGTTGCCCTGGTTGGAGTGCAAGGGCGCAAATCTCGGCTCACCGCAACCTCCGCCTCCCGGCTTCAAGCGATTCTCCTACCTCAGCCTCCCGAGTAGCTGGGATTACAGACATGCACCACCACCCCAGCTAATTTTGTATTTTTAGTAGAGACGGGGTTTCTCCATGTTGGTCAGGCTGGTCTTAAGCTCCCGACCTCAGATGATCCGCCTGCCTCGGCCTCCCAAAGTGCTGGGATTACAGGCGTGAGCCACCGTGCCCCGGCCTTATCAAGTACATTTTTAAAGTCACATCAAAATTCATGAATTCAGATGCTGATGAAGCAAAAGATTATCTAAATAATGTATAAAAAGCAAAGTTTTTCTTCAAGTAAACTCTAAGAAAAGGTAGGTGGGGAGTTTATAGACTTGAGAGTTATCAATCGTAACCAATTATAAATGAATTATGAACATTAGTTGGATCCTGACTCCAACAACCTTTACCACATATGCATGGGGGTGGGAGGTAGTGAGTTACAACTGGGGAAATTTGATATCTGTCTGAATATCTGACATTAAAATTAATTACTCATAGTTACTGTTGTTTTACGTGTAATATGCATGTTTTCTTCTAAACACTCTAGAGAAAATTCTGAACTATATATTGAACTGATAGAAGCATTTGTTTAAAAATAAGCAAGTAGAGATGAAACAAGACTGACCATTAGCTAGATAATTGAAACTGGACAGGCACATGAATGAATTAGTATCATTCTCTCTACTTTTGTATATGTTTAAAATTTTCCATAGTAAAATGGTTTTGTTTCTTTTTTTTTGGTAAAAATATTTAAAACAAAAGTTGGCAACTTTAACTCAGCAGAGACAATAGGCAAGTTAGCTAAAAGTTTAACCGACTGTGGAAATAAGATAGGAAATTTTTTTTAAAACTTGAATGAACAATAAATATATTTTGGTTCAAAAGAATTAAAAAATAATCCAAAATATATGTTCCTTAGGGTAACCATGAAGAAAACAGGCTGGGCGCAATAGCTCACACCTGTAATCCCAGCAATTTAGGCGGGTTAAGGTGGGAGGATGGTTTGAGTCCAGGAGTTTGAGACCAGCCTGGGCAATACAGCAAGACCTTGTCTCTATGAATTTTTTTAAAAAAGATTAGCCAAGTGTGGGGACGTGTGCCTGTTGTCCCAACTACTCAGGAGACTGAGGCAGGAACATCGCTTGCACCCAGGAGGTAGAGGCCGCAGGGAACCATGGTGGCCTTAGAGAAAGAGTGAGATCCTGTCTCAAAAACAAAGCAAAAAAACATAATGTACGTTAAAGCTATTTCTCCTGTTTCCTGGACTTTCTTTTCAAACCAAAACCCTGGACTTTCTTTTCAAACCAAAACCCTTATTATTCTTAACCCTCACCGGAGTTTTTTTTGTTTTTTTTTTTGGAGACGGAGTCTAGCTCTGTCGCCCAGGCTGGAGTGCAGTGGCGCAATCTCGGCTCACTGCAACCTCCACCTCCCGGGTTCACGCCATTCTCCTGCCTCAGCCTCCCGAGTCGCTGGGACTACAGGCGCCCGCCACCACGCCCGGCTAATTTTTTTTCTATTTTTAGTAGAGATGGGGATTCACCGTGTTAGCCAGGATGGTCTAGATCTCCTGACCTGATCCGCCCACCTCGCCTCCCAAAGTGCTGGGATTACAGGCATGAGCCACCGCACCCGGCCCTCACCCGCATTATTACAGTTGTGTGTTTTATTTCTACATCTCACCTTTTCCTCACTCTTTTTCCTTTCCATTATTCTCTTCTCATCTTCTATATACTTATTTTCCTTCCATTTTAATTTTCCATCACAAATTTCAAAACACTAAACAAAGTTAAAGCAATTAAGAGTAGATAAGCTGGATACACATGAGGGCTTATTAGCTTTAGCCACAAACATAATTACTTTCAATTTGGAGAGTCTCTAAAACCACTACATGGCAGCATTCATTAGCGCCTGTTTCCTTGCAAAACAGCCCAAGCTATGTTACTGGGTACCAATACTGGAAGTACTGTTTCTAAGTATATAAGGCATTTTATTAAGGATTTGGACAAATTTAGTCCAAACCTTAATCAGTATACATTAAGGTACAGTGGAAAGAGCATGATTTAGAGTCCAGGCTCTGGTGACTACCAGCTGAGTTCATTCACTCAACATCTGAGCATCTAATACATACCAGGCACTGGGAAAGATACAAAGACTAACGTAACAATCATATAAATGGTTACAATATATATTGATAAGTTCTACAAGAAAGGCATGTAAAAAGTTTATAGAAGCACAAAATATTTTAATGAAAGTTAGATTAGAGGGCCTTTCAACTCCAAAATTCTATTACTCTAAATCCTTTTAAGCCGTTTAATTAGAAGAGAATACCCACAGATTATAATTTTCTATCAAACAATGCTGCCTAAGCACTTCAATTTTGAAATACAAGTAACAGCTAACATTAAGCACCTAGTATGTGCCAAGGAATACGAGCTTTCCATACACTGTCTCACTTAACAGTCACTCACAAAAATCCCAAGCAGGAAGTAATAATGTCACCATTTTAGAGATAAGGAAACAAAAGCTCAAGAAAGACTAAAATAATTTACCAAAGTCTCACACATACTGAGGAAAAGGGAGATGTGAATCCAGATCTTCCGACTGCAAAGCCTATTCTCTTTCCACTAAACTACTTGTCTCATTTTCTTCCACTTACATAAAAACAAAATTTCCGGAGATCACCTACTTAAGAGCACCCAAGAAAAACCCTAAGATAGTCAAGTACAAAGTGATGACTTTTTTAAACTACAGTACCTAAACCTTTTTAACCTAGAGTACCTGCCGTATACACCCTCCAAAACAAAATGCAAAAAAGGATTACAAAACAAATACAACCAATATACAATAAATATGTGACCATAAACACATTATGAAAACTAGTTAATAAAAACGAATAAGATTTTGTGATTTCTTCCAACTGTTATATTTACCCTTTCTTGGTTCCAAGACAAATAAATCCCCAAGGAAGGAATGGCCCAGCATATTTTAATGTATAACATGCTGGGACGCCCTGTAATTATTTAGAAGTACATATTACAGAATATGGAGTACAAAATAAAATATAAAATGCTGTCAAACTTTTTTAAAAGACAGCAACATAAGTCCACTAAGTCTCAAATGTCTAATCATTAACAAAATTTAAAGCTATTTGAATGTCATTTACATGTTTGTTTTTCTCCGAAAACTTCCTTAAATTCACCTTTTTTTGGTCAATCCTTTTCTCCAGGTTATCAATTTTTAATTGTAAATCTGAACCAGCAAGCACAACATCCCTGAAAAAATAATCCTTTACAACAAATGAGGGGAAAAAGCAGAAAATTTTTTGTGCAAAATTCCAGAGCTCGTTGGAAAAAGTACTTGAACATAAATCGCTGGATCCTGGTGACAAGTTTTTCATCGGGACTCCTTTAAACTACTACAATTTCTGGTCCTGGCCCCAAACTTCGCCTAAGGACAAATTTTAAGATTAAGAAAAATTAGCTTCAGGTAGCCTTCACTCTATAGCTCAATCCATGATTTTGTAATACTGAAGTATCCCTCATTAACAATTACCTCAAACAACAAAAGATCTATTTCAAACGTTCTCAAGGATTCCAGTCTGTGATATATACATTCCCCCTTCCTTTAAGAGAACGGGGCCCAAGCTAAGAATCACACAAAAACAATTCACTAACGTTCTGTTTTCACAATTCCTCTGAGAAATTTGGAAATACTGTTAGGTATCACAACCATTTATGAGTCCTCAGTCTCCCACAGAGGTGATATTTTCTTTGGTTTCATACCTGCACTACGCAGCACAGAACACCAGCCCGGAAAAGCCGCTGGATCCTAACATTCCCTCCTTCATCCCGACACCCCCTCCCCAACCCCAAACACAAACACGCTCTTCTCTCCACGCTTCTTGCACAATGTCGCTGGTCAGAGGGCTCGGCTCAAACTCCACCGCCTCTTCGGGCCCGACGGGAACGCTTCCTCCCTGCTCGGCATTCCCTCACCACCGCTTCCTCGGCTGTCAGGCCCAGCGCAGCCTCGGCAGGCCGGGCGCTGCTGGGGAAGGGGCCGCCTCGGCCTCGCCAAAGGGCTCTTCACGATCCTCGGCCCAGTGCAACGGCGTCAGGCAGCTCTTCTCGAGGCAGGGTCCTTCACGAGTACCCGGACGGGCCCTCCCGGGTAGCGAAGTGAATAAACGACGGAGCAGGGCAGCACAGCACAGCTTCCCTTCCCATCCCGGGGGTCCCCCAACCTCCTCCCGCCCCCGCCGTCTGCCCGCCGCCATTTTGTGCGGAGCCGCTGCGACACAGATACAATAGTCGGCCCGGATCTCACAGGAAGGGCTCAGGACCCCCACGATACCGGCCTCCGCCTTCCAACCCCCTACTCCCCACAGGGCAGCGGTCCTACCTATGCCTACCCGACTAACAGCTGGATCCCATCCGCGCCCCACACAGTTTAGCACTCAGCCTCCAGTCTCGACGCCGAAAACGCTACCGCCTCCAAAGAGCTGCACGCATGCGCGCCTCCCAGCTCCTGCGAGCCCTCGTAGGCTCCCGGCGCCTGCGTACCGCTGGCACCGCGCTCGCCCGAAGCCCGAGAAGAGCCGGGCGGAGCGGGCTCCCGGAAGGGGCGCTCCCGCGTGGTGGCGGCGAAGGCGTGCGGCAAAAAAAAAAAAAAACTCCAGCGCCGTCTTCACTCTTTTGCTGGTTCTGTGCCTGTCCTCTCCAAACCGCTCATCCTTTTAAGACCTATATTGTCTCACCTCCTTCATGAAGTCTTCCCTGATCATTTGTGCCTTCAATAATAACATTATATGGCCAGGCGCGGTGGTTCACGCCTGTAATCCCAGCACTTTGGGAGACCGAGGTGGGTGGATCATCTGAGGTCAGGAGTTCGAGACCAGCCCGGCCAACAGGGTGAAACCCCGTTACTAAAAACACAAAAAATAGCCGGTGGCGCGCGCCTGTAGTCCCAGCTACTAGGGGGTGCTGAGGCAGGTGAATTGCTTGAACCCGGGAGGCGGAGGTTGCAGTGAGGGAAGATTGCACCACTGCACTCCAGCCTGGGCAACAGAGTGAGACTCCATCTCAAATAATAATAACAACATTATATTATAACAGGTTATATTCGCGCCTAGCACGTTAATATAATGCTTTGTATGGTCAAGATTTTGCCTGCTTTTATCCTGTCACCTTGCACCTTTTGATCCCTATGGCAATGATGTGTGTCATAGCTACTCAAAACTGTAAAGTAGAATTCAACCAAAGCTATTCAGCTAAAACTTTAACACTCTGAAAATCCTTTTGTCATTTCACAATAAAAAGCCCTATCTGTGTGGTAGATATTTGTAATCTCCATTTTACCCATGGAAAACCTTGGGATGACAGACGTTAAAGAACTGTGTTATGCAATGTTTTATCTTCTCGAGGTGGCTGTACTACACCAATATGAAAACCCAGTCATTGTTCAAAATCTGGTAAAGCTACAAGCCCTGCCGTATGCATACCACACAAATCACACCACCCACCCTGAGTCTCACACATCGGTTTTACCTAGCACTCAAGCAAATGCATTTCTTTTATTCACATTAAAACAAGCATTTGAAAGACTAAAAAGAAAAGTCGTTTTAAAAAGATATCTTATCGGATTTTCATTTCAAACCAAAAATCCTGCTAGGGACAACAAATCAAAAACAACAAAGAAAAAGCCAACAAGCTCCCCCTAAACACCAAATAACCCATGTTAACATTTGATAAGTTTCCTTCCATACATTTCTTTATATTCATACAAACACATTATTTGCATGTAACAGGAAATGTTTTCTTTTTTCACACATTAGCTATTTGCTTTTCTGATTACTGACATTTCTCCAAGTAAACCATATAATCCTTTTTTAAATAATTGTATAATATTCATAGTATAGCTGCCTCAGCAATTATTCAGCCTGTTGTTGAACACTGAAGTTGTTTCCAGTCTTTTTGCTACTGCAAACACTGCTGTATACAAAGACTTACCAAATTATGCTTTAATTTCTAAAGGCTAGAATCATCATAGTGGGAATGCTAGATTAAATGTATATGTGTGTACATACATTTAATTTTAATAGGTGTTGTAGAAAAACTTCCCAAAAAGTTTCTACAAAGTGTCACTTCCACTAAATATGTAAGAAAATAGGCAGGGCAAGGTGGCTCATGCCTGTAATCCCAGCACTTTGGGAGGCTGAGGCAGGTGAATCACAAGGTTAGGAGTTCAAGACCAGCCTGACCAACATGGTGAAACCCAATCTCTACTAAAAATATAAAAATTAGCTGGCTGTGGTGGTGCACGCCTGTAATCCCAGCTACTCGGGAGGCTGAGGCAGGAGAATCACTTGAACCCAGGAGGCAGAGGTTGCAGTGAGCCGAGATCACGCCACTGCACTCCAGCCTGGGTGACAGAGTCAGACTCTGTCTCAAAAAAAAAAAAAAAAAAAAAGAAAATAACCATTTCCCTACAAACTCACTTCTTTCTCAAACCTGAAATACTTTAAATATCATTGGACTTACCTGTTCTTTAAAGTTTGAAATAATTCACCTTTGAAATATCTTGTTTGGTGCTTTTTCTGAGAGTTGTTCTTCTCTAATTTTCTCTTGATACTTTATGATATTTAGTTGGATAAGAATTTCTCTCTCTTCCACAATGAATTTGGTAATTTATATTTTGCTTGAAAAGCATCCATTTCATCTAGATTTTCAAACATTTCCCTAGAGTTAGGCAAAGTAACTTATGAAATTTCTTTCATTTCCTTTATGTGGGCCCCTTATATGGCTTTATTTATTTGCACAGCACTTATCACCTTCTGATATACCAATAATTTATTTATTTGTTTCTTTTCCATCTTCCTCCACTAGAAATGTAAGCTCCCTGAGGTCAGGGATATTTGTCTGTTTTCTTCACTGCTTTATTTCCAATACAGAGAATGATAGTTGGTACGCAGTAGAAAATCAGCAAATATTTCTTGAAAGAATGAATGACTCTGATGGTGTGTATGTGTGTGTGTGCGTGTGTGTGTGTGTGTCACTGTCAAGCATCTTTTCATATCTACTAGCCAGGTGTATTTCTTTCTTTTTTTTTTTAAGTCTCCATTTAACTGTTTTATCTGGTGATAATAAACTGGCAACACAAAGGGGCCGAGGGTGAACTCCCAGCCAGGCTCCCGTGCCCAGGCTTTGGCAGGAGCCATGTGTATTTCTTCATTTAAAAAAACTCTTTTTCATATTATTTGTGCATATTTCTAGTGAAGTGATTGTCTCTTATCAGGAGGTAGCTCTCACTATATATTTGTCAAATATGTGGCAATTAGTTTCTCCTCACTGAAATTTTGTTTCTATCTTTTGCTATTATAAACTAAATGGTCATGAAATCAAATCTATCAATCTTTTCATTTATGACTTCTGAGTCTTCTTTTCATCCCACTCCCTTGAAGCATACACACCCAGAAATTACACAAAATTCTCCTGAGTTATCTAAACTTCACAGTTCATAATTGTTCACTTTTGTTTACAACCTCACAATTTTATTTTTTACATTTAGATGTTTAATCAATCTAACATAATTTTTATGGTATGAGGTAGATCTAGCTTCATTTTCTTCCAAATGAATAAAGGCAATCATGAAGGTTCCAGCTGTTAAGTAAACCATCCTTTTTCACATAATTGAAATATATCTTCCCCTTAAAAAGCAAATAACAAAAACTATTTCATTCCCATGTATAAAAATGGATTTATGGCTCTTCTAGTCTGGTTTAACGATCTATCTGTCTACCTCTGAGTCAGGGCCATTTCATTAACTGAGCCAGTAAATATGTATTGTTTATGTTTTTATTTTCTGTATATTATGATGTTTGACATCTTATTAACCTTTCTGGCTGGGGAGAAATTGCCACTCCTGGGGCTAGCCAATTCTTAGAGAAGGCAAAGTTCAGCCAGGAGCTTGACTTTGATATGCAAACTACCAATTCAGAGCCATCCTCCTCTATCTGGCAGGTATACCCCAGGAGGCAATATTCCTCTGCCTTAGTCATCCCAGGGTCAGGTACCAGGCAACCACAGACCACTCCTATAACTTAGAGCCTGTGGAAATGTTTCAAACTAGCCAGTCCTGAGCTGTTTACCCTGCTCTGTCTTCCCTTTCCCGAGAAACTCCAATAAAGGCCTTGGCCTGGGCTCCTCCTCCTGCCACTCGTTCCTGCCCCTTCTGCCTCCTGACAGACTTGGGTGTTTCCTCATGTGGCCCTGTATGGCAGAGCGTGCCTCCTGCTTTTAGGACCTGGGAGCATAGTAAACTTTGTTTCCCTGAGCTTCTCCTGGAACTCCTCTTGTGGCCGCACCTGACTGACCCTTACATAAAAGAACGCAGAACAAAATATTACTTGAGGGTGCACTCTGTGCCTGGAACTATTCTAGCCATCAAGGAGTGAGTAGCAAACCAAAAGGCAACACTCACTCCTGCCCTCATGGCACGTACAGCCTTGATCAAGGAGACAGACAATTAACAAGTACATTTATAGTATGTCAGATGGTGACAAACGCTATGGAGGAAAACAAAGCAAGATCAGGACACATAACAGAGGCTGCAATTTGAAATGAGATGGTCAAGAAAGGCATCACTAAGAAGGCAACATTTGAACAGAAATCTGACAAGTGTGTGAATAAGCAGTATAGAATCTAGGAGGAAGAGTATTCCAGGAAGAGTGAAAGTAAAATGTAAAAGCTCTGAGGTGAATGCCAGCTTGCTGTACTTGAGAAAGCAGAAAGGCCAAAGAGGCCACAACAGCATAATTAAGAGAGGACACGGGAGATGAGGTGGAGGGGAGCTGGAAACACTTGCTGGATTAGTGTGCTAGGGCTGCCGTAACAAATCACCACAAGTTGGGTGGCTTAGACAACAGAAATTAATTCTCTCCATTCTGGAGGCTTCAAGTCCACAGTTACGGTATCAACAGGTTTGGTTTCTCTTGACATCTCTCTCCTTGGCTTGCAGTTGGCTGCCTTCCCACCGTGTCCTCACATGGTCTTTTCTCTATGCACATGAATCTTCCTCTTCTTATAAGAACGCTAATCATATTGGATTAGGGCCCCACCCTTATGACCTCATTTAATCATAATCACCTCTTTAAAAGTCCAATCTCCAAATACAGCCACATTCTGAGGTGTGTGGGGAGTTAGGACTTCAACACATAAATTTGGGGAGGACAAAATTCTGTCCATAACATAGGCCATTTTGAAGGCTTTGGTTTTTTGCTGTGAATGAAACAGGAAGGTTTTGAGCAAAGGAGTAACATAATTTGACTTACATTACATTGAATGTTTACTCTCTGTCACTGTTCTAAGAACTAGAAGATATAACAGTTATCAAATACCTGCCTTCATAGAATTTACATTTTAGTGAAGGAAATAATAAACAAATACATAATGTGGTAATGTAAAATTTTAAAAAATACTGCAGTTAGGGGGAAAATGATGAGGCAGGGGCTGGGGAATGCTTTAGATAGAGTAGTCAGGGAAATCTCAGATAAAGTGACATCTGAGCAGAGATATAAAGGAAGACAGGGAAAAGACATGTAGATATCTGGAAGAAGAGTTTCCAAACCAGAAGAAACATCAAGTGCCAAAGCCCTGAGGCAAAATTTATTTCAGGACTAACAAGAAGGCCAGCTCAGAGGAAGAATGAAGAGGAAGGATGAGATGAAGATGAAGAACTATCAAGGAACCAGACCACACAAAGCCTTACAGGCCATTTAAGACAATGCATAACACTGAATAAAAAACTGGATTAGAGATCCCAAGAGTTATCCTTCTAGCTCCTTCGCTGATACTAACTTCACTGGATTTCAGATTTCTTACATGTAAAATGCAGGAAGAAAGGGTACTAAATTAGCTTTTCCATAAGATGTGAGTCTGGAAATCTATAAACTGAAAAATGCTCACCAATTTATGGCATTCCTAAGAAAATTTCTTTTTTATTTTTGGAGACAGAGTCTCACTCTGTCACCCAGGCTGGATTACAGTGGCACAATCTCTGCTCACTGCAACCTCCAACCTCCCAGGTTCAAGCAATTCTTGTACCTCAGCCTCCTAAGTGGCTGGTATTACAGGCATGAGCCACCATGCCTGGCTAATTTTTGTATTTTTAGTAGAGACAGGGTTTTGCCATGTTGGCCAGGTTGGTCTCAAACTCCTGACCTCAGGTGATCCGCCCACCTGGGCCTCCCAAAGTGCTCGGATTACAGGTGTGAGCCACCGCACCTGGCCAGAAAAATATTTTTTATCTTAGAGTCTACTATATCCAAGCATTTATGCCTTGTAGTCATGTGGATTATTTCAATAAATCCTCATTCCTATCTAAAAATGTCAATATTCTTGACAAGGAAAAAAAATCTATCCTACTGCACATCATCTTCTTCCACAATTCCCCACCTTCTTCCCTCACCCACTCTGTTGTCTGATTGGCCAGACAACAAGCATTGAGCAGCTCTATCCAGAGCTCAGCTTCTGCCTGCTCGGCACAGTCACAGCTCAATGCCTGATTAGAAAACAGAACAGTCATCACAAACTTTGTTAACCTAAATGGGGCTCTGTCTCAATGACATAGAGAATCTCATCACCATTTCAGCTCAAGTGCAAGTATCCTAATAAATAGGATCTGGGGGCAACTATGGCCTTTTTGTATTTAGAAACTAAATCTAAGAATTGGGATAGATAAAGGGCCATGATGAGAAGTATGAGAAATCCCAGAGTCATTTCCTGTCCTGAAAAAGGACAAAAATATCAAGAAAACTTGATTCTAACTGATCCTTAAATTTTGGAGACTATAAGGTGCAACCAGACATAATATATGGAGACGTTCAGAAACTCAAGAAAACAAGCAGTTATTTTTCTGAGTTTTAATCAAAGATAATGCAATGGCAAACAGAAATCAGTTTGTCTCTTCTTGTTAAGGTAGTTTTAAAATATGTTCATAAATTTCTTTAATACACTTCACTTCAAGAGGTGGAGCCTAATTCCCTTTCCCTTGAATGTAAGTCAGACTTAGTAAATTGTTTTCAACGAAGATAATGTGGTGGAAGTGATGCTATGTGACTTCCAAGGCTACACCATAAAAAGGAGAGCTTCTGCCTGACAGTTCCTAGCTCCTGGATTACTTACCCTCAGGAAAGCCAGCTGCCATGTTGTGAGAACATCCAAATAGCCTGTTAAACAGAAGCCCATAAGGCGTGCCAGGTGCAGTGGCTCATGATTGTAATCCCAGTACTTTGGTAAGCCTGTGTGCAGGGATTGCCTGAGCCTAGGAGTTCAAGACCAGCCTAGGCAACATAGCAAGACCCCATCTTTACAAAAAAATTATTTAAAAAATTAGCCAGTCATGGTGGCTTATCTGTAGTCCCAGCTACTTGGGAGGCTGAGGAAGGAGGATCACTTGAACCCAGGAGTTCCAGGCTGCAGTGAGCAATGATCACACCACTGCACTCCAGTCTGGGTGAAAGAGCAAGGCCCTGCCCCTTAAAAAAAAAAAGAAAAAGAAAGAAAATTGCCAGCCATTTCAGTGAGCCACTTTGGAGACAGAACCTCCAGCCTCAATTAAGCTTTCAGTTGACTATAGCTTAGGTAGATATACTCAAAGCAATTTCTTGAGAGACACTGAGCAACAACTGCCTAGCTAAGTTACCTCTGAATTCCTGACTCAGATGATGATAAAAAACGTATATTGTTGTTTTAAACCATTAAGTTTTTGGGTAATCTTTAATACAGCAGTACATAACTAATATACTTGTTATATGAAGACTATGAAATCAACTCATTAAAACCATGACTCAAAATCATTATACATCAATCAGTGGAAAACAAGCTGGGATTTAGAAACAATACAATTTTGACTTGAGTCCAACTTAAGCAATATTAATAATTAGTTTCCTCAAGCATAAAATAATAATCCTTTACCTGCAGGATCATCATCTTATGAACCTCTTACCCTGATAGCACTGTGTACACAGTCTACACACTAGCTACAAAAGCAATTCAAGATATGGAAAATCATGGCGGACAGGAGGTAGGACGAGACTGCAGCTCCTACTTGGAGGGACAGAACAGCGTATAGAGGCTCACATCATGAACTTTTGCTCCAGAATGACTGCAAGAATACATTAGGAAAGCCAAGAGAATCCACAGATCCTCTGAAGGAAGTGGATTGCTCCTGCAGGACCCAAGAGACACCTCCCCAAATCCTGTGAGTGCTCAAACTGTGGAAGTGGGAAAGGGAGATCATCTGCCCCCAAACACACACCCCCACTGGGGAACCTGAAGGTCTGGATTATGGGAGAAGATTCTGACCTTACCTGGAGCCGAGTCTATTTAGAGAGCCAAATGAAATACAGGGGTAGAGGAAGCAGCAGGAAAAGCCCTATAGGCTCACTGGGTCCCCCAGCAAGTCATTTCTGCCTCGCCTCACAGGGGTCCTTGAGGAGGGCTGCCAGAGGCACGGGGAAAAGGCCACAGGGAAAAGGAAACCTCCATCTGAACTCTGTAACAAATTGAACCAATCAAGAAGTCTTCTGGCCAGAACACAGGCTAGGACATGAATCCAGCGTGCAGACTCCACAGGCGGGGGAAGAAGGAAAGCCCTACTTACTTCTGCAGCTGGGAGGCAGGTAGCCTGGGGCAAGTTCTCAGGCCTGCTCGCCCACTGCCTGGAAACAGACTCAGTGCTGTTGTCGGGAACACAGTGGGAGTGAGACTGGCCCTTTGGGTTGTGAGGGAGCTGGATGAGGCCTGTGACTGCTGCCTTTCCCCCGACTTCCCTGACAACCTGCATGACACAGGAGAGGCAGCCATAATCCTCCTAGGAACATAACTCCATTGACCTGGGAACCTCACCCCCATCCCCACAGCAGCAGCATGCTGCAAGACTTGCCCAAGTAGAGTCTGAGCTCAGACACACCTAGCCCTTTCCCCATCTAACTGTCATTCCCTACCTACCCTGGTAACTAAAGACAAAGGGCATATACTCTTGGGAGTTTTAGGGTCCCTCCCACCACCTGTTCCTCCCCATACTACCACAGCTGATGCTCTCTTGAAAGCACCACCTCCCAGCAGGAGGCCAACCAGCACAAAAATAGTGTACTAATCAACCGAAGCTAAGGACCCTCACAAAGTCCATTTCAACCCTGCTACTTCCACCAGAGCAGGTGCCAGTATCCATGGCTGAGAGACCCACAGACAGTTCACATCACAGGACTCTGTGCAGAAAACCCCCAGTACCAGCAGGGAGCCTGGAAGACTTGCTGGGTGACTAGATCCAGAAGAGATATAACAATCACTACAGCTCAGCTCTCAGGAAGCCACATCCCTAGGAAAAGGGATCCCTAGGAAAAGGAGAGTACTACATCAAGGAAACACTCATGGGACAAAAGAATCTGAACAACAGCCTTGAGCCCTAGACCTTCCCTGACAAGACCCTACCCAAATGAGAAGGAACCAGAAAACCAACTCTGGTAATATGATAAAACAAGGTTCTTTAACACCTCCCAAAAATTACACTAGATCACCAGCAATGGAACCAAACCAAGAAGAAATCCATGAGCTACCTGAAAAGCATTCAGAAGGTTAGTTATTAAGCTAATCAGAGAGGCACCAGAGAAAGGCGAAGGCCAATGTAAGGAAATTTTTTTAAATGATACAAGAAGTGAAGGGCGAAATATTCAATGAAATAGGAAGCATAAATAAAAAACAATTAAAACTTCAGGAAACAATGGACGCACTTATAGAAATGTAAAATGCTCTGGTAAGTCTCAGCAACACAATCGAACAAGCAGAAGAAAGAACTTCGGAGCTCGAAGACAAGGTTTTTGAATTGACCCAATCCAACAAAAAGAAAAAAGAGCAAGAAAATATGAACAAAGCCTCCAAGAAGTCTGAGATTATGTTAAATGACCAAACCTAAGAATAATCAGCATTCTTGAAAAAGAAGAGAAATCTAAAAGTCTGGAAAACATATTTAGGGGAATAATTGAGGAAAACTTCCCTGGTCTTGCTAGAGAACTAGATATCCAAATACAAGAAACTCAAAGAACACCTGGGAAATTCATCACAAAAAGATCATCACCCAGGCACATTGTCATCAGGTTATATAAAGTTAAGACAAAGGAAAGAATCTTAAGAACTGTGAGGCAAAAACACCAGGTAACCTATAAAGGAAAACCTATCAGATTAACAGCACATTTCTCAGCAGAAACCCTACAACCTAGAAGTGATTGGGGCCCTGTCTTCAGCCTCCTCAAACAAAACAATTATCAGCCAATAGGCCAGGCGTGATGGCTCACGCCTGTAATCCCAGCACTTTGGGAGGCCTAGGTGGGCAGATCACAAGGTTAGGAGTTTGAGACCAGCCTGGCCAACATGGTGAAACCCCGTTTCTACTAAAAATACAAAAATTAGCTGGTCATGGTGGCACATGTCTGTGATCCCAGCTACTCAGGAGGCTGATGCAGGAGAATTGCTTGAACCCGGGAGGCAGAGGTTGCAGTGAGCTGACATCACAGCATTGCATTCCAGCCTGAGCAGCAGAGTGAGACTCCATCTCGAAAAAAAAAAAAAAAAAATTATCAGCCAAGAATTTTGTACCCAGCAAAACTAAGCTTCATAAGTGAAGGAAAGATAAAGTCTTTTTCACACAAACAAATGCTGAGACAATTGACAACTACCAAACCAGCACTACAAGAACTGCTAAAAGGAGCTCTAAATCTTGAAACAAATCCTGGAAACACATCAAAACAGAACCTCTTTATACCATAAATCTCACAGGACCTATAAAACAAACAAACAAAAAAACCCAAGGTCTACAGACAACAAATGAAACAATTAATGAACAGAATGGTACCTCACATCTCGATACTAACGTTGCATGTAAATGGCCTAAATGCTCCACTTAAAAAATACAGAACTGCAGAATAGATAAGAATTTACCAACCAACTATCTGCTGCCTTCAAGAGACACACCAAAAGCAAGCAGGAGTAGATATTCTTGTATCAGATAAAACAAACTTTAAAGCAACAGCAGTTTAAAAAGACAAAGAGGAACATTATATAATGATAAAAGGCTTTGTCTAACAGGAAAATATTATAATCCTAAACATATGCACCTAACACTGGAGCTCCCAAATTTATAAAACAATTACTAATAGACCTAAGAAATGAGATAGACAGCAACACAATAATAGTGGGAGACTTCAGTACTCCACTGACAGCATTAGACACGTCATCAAGATAAAGTCAACAAAGAAACAATTTAAACTATACCCTGGAACAAATGAACTTAACAGATATACAGAACATTGTACCCAACAACCGCAGAATACACATTCTATTAAACAGCACATGGAACATTCTCCAAGATAGACCATATGACAAGCCACAAAATGGGCCTCAATAAATTCAAGAAAATTGAAATTATATCAAGCACTCTCTCAGACCACAGTGGAATAAAACTGGAAATCAACTCCAAAAAGAACCTTCAAAATCATGCAAATGCATGGAAATTAAATAACCTGCTCCTGAATGATCACTGGGTCAAAAATGAAATCAAGATGGAAATTTAAAAATTCTTTGAACTGAACAACAATACTGACACAACCTATTAAAACCTCTGGGATACAGCAAAGGTGGTGCTAAGAAAAAAGTTCATAGCCCTAAATGCCTACAACAAAAAGTCTGAAAGAGCACCAACAGACAATATAAGGTCACATCTCAAGGAACTAAAGAAACAAGAACAAATCAAACCCAAACCCAGCAGAAGAAAGGAAATAACCAAGATCAGAGCAGAACTAAATGTAATTGAAACAAAAAAATACAAAAGATAAATGAAGCAAAAAGCTGGTTCTTTGAAAAGATAAACAAAATTGATAGACCATTAGCATGATTAACCAAAAAAAAAAAAAAGAGAGAAAATCCAAATAAGCTCAGTTAGAAATGAAAACGGGAGATATCACAACTGACACCACAGAAACACAAAAGATCATTCAAGGCTACTATAAACACCTTTACGTGCATAAACTTGAAAACCTAGAGGAGATGAATACATTTCTGGAAAGATACAACCTTTCTAGCCTAAATCAGGAAGAATTAGATACTCTGAACAGACCAATAACAAGCAGCAAGACTGAAATGGTAATAAAAAAAATTACCAACAACAAAAAGTCCAGGACCAGAAGGATTCACAGCAGCATTCTAACAGACATTCAAAGAAGAATTGGTACCAATGCTATTGACACTATTCCACAAGATAGAGAAAGAGGGAACCCTCCCTAAATCATTCTATGAAGCCAGTATCACCCTAATACCAAAACCAGGAAAGGACATAACCAAAAAAGAAAACCACAGACCAATATCCCTGATGAACATAGATGCTAAAATTCTTCACAAAATACTAGCTAACTGAATCCAGCAACATATCAAAAAGATAATCCACCATGATCAGGTGGCTTTCATACCAGGAATGCAGGGATGGTTTAACATATGCAAGTCAATAAATATGATATATACCACATAAACAGAATCAAAAACAGAAATCACATAATCATCTCAATAGATACAGAAAAAGCACTCGACAATATCCAGCATCCTTTCATGATTAAAACTCTCAGCAAAATCAGCATACAAGGGACATATCTCAATGTAATAAAAGCCATCTATGACAAACCCACAGCCAACATAATACGGAATGGGGAAAAGTTGAAAGCACTCCCTCCAAGAACTGGAACAAAACAAGGATGCCCACTCTCACCACTCCTCTTCAATATAGTACTGGAAGTCCTAGCCAGAGCAATCAGACAGGAGAAAGAAATAAAGGGCACCCAAATAAGGAAAGAGGAAGTCAAACTGTCACTGTTTGCTGATGATATGATTGTTTACCTAGAAAACCCTAGAGACTCCTCCAGAAAGCTCCTAGAACTGATAAAAGAAAGTTTTTCAACAAAGTTTCCAGATACAAAATTAATGTACGCAAATCAGTAGCCCTTCTATACACCAACAGCAACCGAGCTGAGAATCAAATCAAGAACTCAACCTCTTTTACAATAGCTGCAAAAAAAAAAAAAAAAAAAAAAAACCTCAGGAATATACCTAACCAAGGACTTGAAAGACCTCTACAAGGAAAACTACAAAACACTGCTGAAAGAAATCATAGATGACACAAACAAATGGAAACATAGCCCATCCTCATGAATGAGTAAAATCAATATTGTGAAAATGACCATACTGTCAAAAGCAATCTACAAATTAAACGCAATTCCCATTTAAAAACCACCATCATTCTTCACAGAATTAGAAAAAACAATCCTAAAATTTATATGGAACCAAAAAGGAGCCCACATAGCCAAAGCAAGACTAAGCAAAAAGAACAAATCTGGAGGCATCACATTATCTGATTTCAAACTATACTATAAGCCATAGTCATCAAAACAGCATGGTACTGGTATAAAAATAGGGATGAAGACCAATGGAACAGAATAGAGAATCCAGAAATAAACCCAAATACAGCCAACTGATGTTCGACAAAGCAAACAAAAACATAAAGTCGGGAGAAGACACCCTATTCAACAAATGGTTCTGCAATAATTGGCAAGCCACATGTAGGAGAATGAAACTGGATCCTCATCTCTCACCTTATACGAAAATTACCTCAAGATGGATCAAGGACTTAAATCTAAGACCTGAAAATATAAAAATTCTAGAAGATAGCACCAGAAAAACCTTTCTACACATTGGCTTAGGCAAAAATTCCATGACCAAGAACCCAAAAGCAAATGCAATAAAAACAAAGATAAATAGCTGGGACTTAATTAAAGTAAAGAGCTTTTGTACGGCAAAAGGAACAGTCAGCAGAGTAACAGGCAACACACAGAATGGGATAAAATCTTCACAATCTATACATCTGACTGTTAGGAACAAGCCCCCCAAAATCTGGCCATAAACTGGCCCCAAAACTGGCCATAAATAAAATCTGTGCAGCACTGTAACATGTCCATAACGGACCTAACACCCAAGCTGGAAGGTTGTGGGTTTACGGGAATGAGGGCAAGGAACACCTGGCCCACCTAGGATAGAAAACTGCTTAAAGGCATTTTTAAGCCACAAACAAAAGCATGAGCGACCTGTGTCTTAAGGGTGTGTTCCTGCTGCAATTAATTCGGCCCATTCCTTTGTTTCCCATAAGGGATACTTTTAGTTAATTTAATATCTATAGAAACAATGCTAATGACTGGATTGCTGTTAATAAATATGTGGGTAAATTTCTGTTCAGGGCTCTCAGCTCTGAAGGCTGTGGGACCCCTGAAGGTTTCCCACTTCACACTTCTATATTTCTGTGTGTGTGTCTTTAATTCCTCTAGCGCCACTGGGTTAGGGTCTCCCCGACCGAGCTGGTCTCGGCACATCTGACAAAGGACTAATATCCAGAATCTACAACGAACTCAAACAAATTAGCAAGAAAAAAACAAACAATCCCATCAAAAAGTGGGCTTCAGAAATGAATAGACAATTCTCAAAAGATATACAAATGGCCAACAAACATGAAAAAATGCTCAACATCACTAATGATCAAGGAAATGCAAATCAAAACCACAATGCAATACCACCTTACTCCTGCAAGAATGGTCATAATCAAAAAATCAAAGCATAATAGAGATGTTGGTGTGGATGCAGTGAACAGGGAACACGTCTACACTGCTGGTGGGAACATAAACTAGTACAACTACTATGGAAAACAGTGTGGAGATTCCTTAAAGAACTGAAAGTAGAACTACCATTTGATCCAGAAATCCCACTACTGGGGATCTACCCAGAGGAAAAGTCGTTACACAAAAAAGATGCTTGCATACACATGTGTTTAACAGCACAATTTGCAACTGCAAAAATGTGGAACCAACCCAAATGCCCATCAATCAACGAATGGATAAATAAACTGTGGTACATATATACAATGAAATACTACTCAGCCATGAAAAGGAATGAATTTATGGTACTTGCAGCAACCTGGATGACTGGAGACTATTATTCTAAGTGAAGTAACTCAGGAATGGAAAACCAAACGTATGTTGTCACTCATAAGTGGGAGCTAAGCTACGAAGACACAAAGGCATAAGAATGACACAGTGGACTTTGGAGATTTAAGGGGAAAGGGTGGGAAGGGGGTAAGGGATAAAAGACTACAAATTGGGTGCAGTATATACGGCTCGGGTGATGGGTGCACCAAAATCTCAGAAATCACCACTAAAGAACTTACTCATGTAACCAAATACCACCTGTTCTCCAATAACCTATATAAATAAATAAATAAATAAATAAGAAAAAAGCATTTCAAGAAAGAGATCAACTTTGAGAATGGAAGCATGTAGGGTTCAATGGACATGCTTTCCGGTGAATCAACTACAACTAATGAAAATTATTTTTTAAAAACCACCATGTAAAGTCTCTGTAATTCTTCTAAGGCCATCAGATGAAAAAACATTTTTGAAGAAAATCTACTAATTCTTGGTAAGAAAGTCTGGGACAGTTGAGTGAACTGCTCGTTCACCATCTCCACCAAACTTAGTGTGACAGAAACCCTACTCCAGTTGATATAAAGAAGAAGAAGGGACTCCTCTTTCCTACAGCTCCAAAGAGATATGGTATCTCTCCAGAAAAACAGGTGACCAGTACATCTCTTCCCCCCCAGCTCCATGTTATGGGGGCTAAGTTTCAGGTTTGCACAGCAGAGAGGTCTGGAGCTCCCTTCTTATGCCCAAACCACATTCATAAGGTGGAGGCTCTACACCAGATGGAGCAGGCCAAAAATACCGGGACCCAAACTGGCTTCCTCCCAATATGTTTGTAGTGCAGAGATTCCACTCCAAGGCTGCTGATTAATTCCTCTGTCAGTTTAAATCTATTGTTGAACCCCTCTAGTGAGTTTTCACCTAAGTTATTGTACTTTTTACCGCCACAATGTATAACAAATAATAGCACAAAAAAGGGGTAGAATCAATAGAGCTATAAAAGAGTCACATTTTAAAAATATCACTGGATAGGCAACATAGGGAGACCTCGTCTCTACAAAAAATAATAATAAAAAAGCCAGGTGTGGTGGTGCACACCTGTGGTCCCAGCTACTCAGGAGGCTGTGGCAGAAAAGGATCCCTTGAGCCCAGATGTCGAGGTTGCAGTGAGCCGAGATGGCACCACTGCACTCCGGCCTGAGTGACAGAGTGAGACTCTCTCTTTCTCCAGATATATATATATATATATACACACACACACACACACACACACACACACACAAACTACGCTATATATATCTATGACATATATATCATATATCTCACCAGAATTTTCTTTTTTTTTTTTGAGACAGAGTCTCGCTCCGTGCCCCAGGCTGGAGTGCAGTGGTGCGATCTCGGCTCACTGCAAGCTCCACCTCCCGGGTTCACGCCATTCTCCTGCCTCAGCCTCCCAAGTAGCTGGGACTACAGGCGCCCACCACCACGACTGGCTAATTTTTTGTACTTTTAGTAGAGACGGGGTTTCACCGTGTTAGCCAGGATGGTCTCGATCTCCTGACCTCGTGATCCGCCCACCTCGGCCTCCCAAAGTGCTGGGAATTACAGGCGTGAGCCACCACGCCCGGCTACTAGAATTAAGTTATGATAAATTTGAAGTAGATTCTGAAAAATTAAGATGTACAGTTGACCCTTGAACAACATGGGTCTGAACTGCATGAATCCATTTATGCAGAAATCTTTTTCAATTACTATAATGGAAAAATTTTTGGAGGTTTGCGACAATTTGAAAAAACAGATGAAATGCATAGCCTGGAAATATCAAAAAAAATAAAAAAGAAAAAGTTCTGTCATGAATGCATAAAATATATGTAGATAAGTCTATTTAATCATTTACTACCATAAAATATACAAAAATCTATTATAACATTAAAACTTACACATATAAACACTTGCAGACCATACATGAATCCATTTGCAGTTGAGAGAAATGTAAACAAATGTAAAGAGGAAGTATTAATTCATAAGTGCATAAAATTAACTGTAGTACATACTATATGACTGTAATAATTTTGTAGCCACTTCCTATTACTATTGCAGTGAATATCAGCTTAAAATGCCATGTGACACCAGTTGTCTCTCTAGTAAATTGCAAATTGCAATAAAAATTGATATTTCATATTTCTTGTGTATTTTTCATTCTGTTTAGTGTAATACTGTAAACCCTGAATAACACCATGGGACCCATACAAAGAGCCATCTGTGATGCTGGAAGTGCTCCTAAGAAGCAAAGTCATGATATTACATGAAAAAGTCAAATTGCTTGACATGTACCATAGATTGAGGCCTGTAGCTGCAGGCTGCCCACCATTTCCAGATAAATGAATCCAGTGTAAGGACCATCGTAAAAAATAAAAGAAAATTCATGAAGTCATCAATGCAGCTATGCTAGCAGGCACAAAAACCCTGCTTTTTTTTGGAAACAACTTTCAATGTAATATTAGACATGCAGATTCTATAAGTGTTCAGGGCTGCTATAAGAAAGGTATACCTATAGCCTCTAACATCATTCAAGAAAAAGTCAAGTCATAAGACAACTTAAAGCAAAGGAAGGTAAGGGATCTAGAGTTGGAGAATTTAATGTCAGCCAAAGATGGTTTGACAAATTTAGAAAGAGATTTAGCTACAAAAATGTCAAGGTAACAGGAGAAACAGCTTCTGTTGACCAAGAGGCAGCAGCTGAGTTTCCAGACATCATTAAGAAAATCCTTGAAGAGAAAGAATATCCACCTGAACAGGTATTTAACACAGATGAAAGTCCCCTATTCTGGAAAAAAGAATTGCCACAAAAAAACATTTATTAGTAAGGAAGAGAAGCAAGCACCAGGATTTAAGGCAGGAACGGATAGGCTAACTTTACTGTTTTGTGCAAATGCAGTCAGGTTTATGATCAGGGCTGCCTTTATTAATAAAGCTGCTAACCCAGATCCATGAAGGAAAAAGATAAACACCAGTGAAGTGTCTTTTGGTTGTACAACAAGAAAGCTTGGACAAGGAGAACTCTTTTTCTGAATTGATTGCACTGATGCTTTCTCCCTGAAGTGAGGAAGTACTCTGCCAATAAGGAATTGCCTTTTACAGTTAATTTGACATTGGACAATGCCCCTGGCCATCCAGAACCCTATGAGTTCAACACTGAAGACAATGACATGGTCTACTAGCTCCTAAACACAACATTAATTCAGTCTCTAGATCCAAGCTATGGAAGAGAACTTCGACAGGGAAGACACCATAAAAGTCTGGGAGGATAATACTATTGAAGGTACCATCGTTGTGAGGATTTTTTTTTATAGAGACGGTGTCTTGCTATGTTTCCCATGCTGGTCTTGGAACACCTGGCCTCTCAAAGTGCTGGAATTACAGGTGCAAGCCACTGTGTTTAGCCCATGGTTGTTATGGAATAAGTCACAAAATGCTATCACATTTGAGGTGAGGGGAGGGAAGGGAAGGGGAGAGTAGGAAAAGAAAGAGAAAGGGAGAGAGAGAAAGGGGGAAGAGGGAGGGAATAAGAAAGAAAGAAAGAGAAAAAAGAAAGAGAAGGAGAGAAAGAAAGAGAAACAGAGAATGACAGAAAGACAAAGAGAAAAGAAAAAAGAAAAGAAAAGGAGAAGAGAGGAGAGGAGAGGAGAGAAGAGAGAAGAGAGAAGAGAAAAGAGAAAAGAAAAGAAAAAAAGAAAAGTCTCCCAGCTATTTGGGAGGCTGAGGCAGGAGAATTGCTTGAACCCGGGAGGTGGAGGTTGCAGTGAGCCGAAGATCGCGCCATTGCACTCCAGCGTGGGCCACGCCGGGGCCAGGGACAGACAGGACGGGATGGAAAAAGGAAGGGAAGGGGAAAGGGAAGGGGAAGGGGAGGAAAGGAAAGGGAAAAAGGGCCATGAAAGCCATCAAGCCTAAAAAACTACATTCCTACTGGAGAAAACTATGTCCAGATGTTGTGCATGACTCACAGGATTTACAACAGAGCCAATCAACAAAATCATGAAAGATACTGTGGACATGGCAAAAAAGATGGGGGGTAAAGGGTTTCAAGACATGGATACTGGAGAAATTCATAATCTTTTCAAGATAGATACCACATCGGAGGAATTAAAAGATGATGATTTGATGGAGATAAGTGCTTCCAAATCAGTGCCAGACAATAAGGACAAATAAGAAGCAGCAGTGCCAGAAAACAAATTGACATTAGACAATTTGGCAGAAGAGTTCTGATTATTCAAGACTGCTTTTGACTTCTTTTACAACATGGACCCTTTTATAATGTGGGCACTGAAACTAAAGCAAATGGTGAAAGGAGGATTGGTACCATATAGAAACATTTCTAGAGAGATGAAAAACCAAAAACATCAGACAGAAATTATGATGTATTTCTGTAAAGTTACACCAAATGTATCTGGTCTGCCTCTCTTGACTCCTGTTCCACCTCCTCCACCATCCCTGAGAGAGCAAGGCCAACCTTTCTTCTTCCTCCTCTTCAGCCTATTCAATGTGAAGATGATGTGGATGGAGACCTTTATGATGATCCATTTTCACTTAATGCACAGTAAATATGTTTTCCTTATAATTTTCTTAATAACATTTTATTTTCTCTAGTTTTTTTTACTGTAGGAATACAGTATATAATACATACAACATATAAAATATGTGTTAATCAACTGTTTATGTTATCAGTAAGGCATCTGATCAACAATAGGCTACTTATAGTTAAGTTTTGGGGAAATCAAAAGTTATACATAAATTTTCAACTGTGTAGGGTGTCAGTACCCCAACCCCTATGTTGTTCAAGGGTCAACTGCCTATTATGGTAAGTAAGCCCTAGAGCAACAACTAAGAAAATAATTTTTAAAATATCTATATAATACAAAAATCATAAAAGGAATTAAGATGTACTCCCAAAATATTCATATAATGCAAAAAAAGCAGTAAAGGAGGAATAGAGGGAAAAAGTCATGAATACGAAAAAATGAAAATTGAAATGGCAAACATAAACTCAACTATATTAATAATATTAAATATGAATTAATGAATTCAATCAAAAGACAGTGATTGTCCCATCCAGTAAAAACACATGACCAATATATGTTGTCTTCAGAACGCACACCTGTTTTTTTTTTTGAGACAGGGTCTCCCAAGCTGGAGTGCAGTGGCATGATCTTCAGTTCACTGTAGCCTCCACCTCTCAGGCTCGAGCGATCCTCCCACCTTAGCCTTCCAAATAGCTGGGACTACAGGTGTGTGCCACCACGCCCATCTAATTTTTATGTTTTTTGTAGAGACAGGGTTTTGCCACGTTGCCCAGGCTGGTCTCAAACTCCTGAGCTCAAGCAATCCACCCACCTGCACTTCCCAAAGTGCTAGCATTACAAACATGAGCCACCACGCCCAGCCTTAGAACACACATTTTAGACTCAAAGACACAAACAAGCTGAAAGTAAGAGGATGGAAAACTATATATTACACAAAGAGCAAAAATATAAAGCTGAAGAGGCTATATGAATATCAGACAAAAAAGACTTTATGCCAAGTTAGTGTCAATAATACAAAAAAACTCTTGCTTCTTTACAGCACCACTCCCCTTTATGTTTGTGACAAACTACATCTCTATACATTGTGTGACCATTAATATAGATTTACAATTAGTGCTTTATGCATTTATTATTTGTATGGAAAAAAGAAGAGTTACAATTTAAACATGCAACATTGGTTTTTATATTTACCTATGTAAATTCTAGTTCTTTATTTCTTCATATGGTTTTGAATTATTGTCTACTATCCTTCTGTATCACCCTGAAAAACTACTTTTAGCATTTCTTTCTTTTTTTTTTTTTGAGATAGAATCTCACTCTGTTGCCTAGGCTGGAATGCAATGGCACGATCTCGGCTCACTGCAAACCTCCACCTGCTGGGTTCAAGCAATTCTCATGCCTCAGCCTCCCAAGTAGCTGAGACTACAGGTGTGTACCTCCATGTCCAGCTAATTTTTGTATTTTCAGTAGATACAGAGTTTCGCCATGTTGGCCAGGCTGGTCTCGAACTTCTGACCTCAAGTAATCTGCCCGCCTCTGCCTCCCAAAGTGAGCTACTGCACCGGGCCTCTTGTAGCATTTCTTATGGAGGTTTACTAACGACAAACTCCCTTCGGTTTTTTTAATCTGAAAATGTACTAAAAACCATTCAATGGTGCACTTTCAATATATGAACTGTATATGTAAATTATATCTCAATAAAGCTTTTATATTAAAGCTTCCTTTCATAACTAATTAAAGTGGATGTTAGGGTTACACAGAAAAGAGAAAAGCACAAGGGCCCAGCTCAGCTGATGGAAGGACAGTTTTCACAGAACAATGGAAAATGAACTCTTCATCATTCATGATCCTGCTGTCTTACTTAGTCATCTTGTCATTCCCTCTGAAATAGGCAACTGTCGTTCCCTACTGAGGTGACTCTACCATACATGTAACTCGGTCTTTCTAGGTTTCTGCTTCACCTCTAATCTTGGTTTCTGCTTCTTTTCTTTTTGAAAATTCCAAATCCAAATTTTTTTGGGTCTCATTGTCCATTTTTAGAAGACTTCTCACACTAGTCTACTCATAAGTCACTTGCCCAGCTAATATAATGTAGCTTTTAGCTATGACACTTACCCCTAATTTAGTTAACTATGGCAAAGACAGTAAGGTAACATTGTCTAGAAAATATTCTGAACCTAATAAAATGTATCATATAAAAATTTAGAGGGAAATTTTTAGTTTTAAGTGCTTATATTAGAAGTTATCAAATCAATAACCTAATAATCTTTCACATTAATATATATGTATATTTATATGTAATTATTTATATAAATACATAGATGCATAATTAAATACATAAAGACAACACATAAATAAATAGAAGAAAAGAAAGAAATGATAGAACTTATCAATGAAAAACAAAAGTTGGTTTTTTGAGATCAATACAATTGATTAATTTCTAGCCAGACTGACCAGAAAAAAAAAAGACAAATTATCAATATTCAAAATGAAATGTGACATTACTACAAACATCCCATAAATACTGAAAGGAAAAATAAAGGAATACTATCAAAATTTTTTTTGCCAATAAATTCAACAATTTTTGTGAAAATGGACCAACTTTTAGAAACTGCAAACCACCAAATATAACGCAAAATTAAATAGATAATATACATAGTCCTTCCAGATGAGATTTCTATTTTATAAAAATAAAATATATAGTCATAACTACTAAATAAATTGAATTTATAGTTAAAACCTTCCAAGAAAGAAATCTCCAGGCCCCGATGGCTACACAAATTAATTCTACCCATTATTAAAGAATAACACTAATTATATACAATCTCTTGTGGAAAATACAAGATGAAAGAACAGTACTCAAATCGATTATAAATTTAAATGTAAAGCATAAAACTATAAATATTTACAAAGAAAACACAGTGAAAATCTTTATGACCTGAAGATTTCTCTAAGATGAAGAGTTCTTAGACATGACACCAAAACCATATTCTATAACAGGAAAATTGATTAATTGGACTTCATCAAAATAAAAGCTTTTGTTTCTTAAAAGACACTAAACAGACTAGGAGAAAACATTTGTAAATTGCATATCTGACAAAGGACTGGTATTGAGAATATAAAAAGAATTCTTAAAACTCAACAATGAGAAACCGTCCAATTAAAATATGGGCAGTGGACTTGAACAGACTCTTCACTAAAGAGAACATAAAGATGACAAATAATAGCATGGAAAGATGTACAGCATTACTGGCCATTAGGGAATGCAAATTAAAACCAAGGTAATACACTACTACATACTTACTAGAATGGCTAAAATGACAATACCAAGTGCTCCCAAGAAAATGGAGCATAGGGTACTCTGACATGTTACTGGTGGAAATATAAAATGGTATAGTTGGGCGGGCGTGATGGCTTAACACCTGTAATCCCAGTACTTTGGGAGGCTGAGGTAGGTGTATTGCCTGACGTTGAGACCAGCCTGGCCAACATGGTGAAACCCCAACTCTACTAAAAATACAAAAATTAGCTGGGCATGGTGGCACGCACCTGTAATCCCAACTACTCAGGAGGCTGAGGCAGAGGAATTGCTTGAACCTGGGAGGCGGAGGTTGCAGTGAGCCGAGATCATGCCACTGCACTCTAGCCTGGGCAAGAGAGCGAGACTCCATCTCAGAAAAAAGGTATAGTCACTCTAGAAAATAGTTTGGCACTTTCTTATAAAGTTAAACATGCATTTACTGTATAAGCCAACTCTTGAGTATCCTAGAAAAATAAAAACTTATGCTCACACAAAAGCCTGTACACAAATGTCCATAGCTGATTTATTTAAATAATAAATAATAATAAACCCAAACTGGAAACAACCCAAATGTCCTTCAATGAGCAAATGGATAAACAAACTTTGGTACAATGGAACACTACTCAGCAATCAAAAGAATGAACTACTGATTCATGCAATAATGTGGCTGAATCTGAAGACATTATGCTGAGTCCAAGAGTCCAGTCTCAAGAAGTGATATACTATATGATTTCATTTATATGACATTCTCAAAAATGTAAAACTATAGTGATGGAGAACGGCTCAGGAGTTGCCAAGTTATAGTTGGGGGGAGAGTGGGATTATAAAGGGTTAGCACGAGGGAGTTTTTTGAAGTGATGGAATTTTTTTTTTAATCCTGACAATGGTTGTGGTTACACAAATCTATACATGTGTTAAAATACAAGGCACTGTACCCCAAAAGGGAAAAAATTCAATTTCACTGTACCTAAAAAAACAAAAAACAAAAAAAAAAAAAAAAAAAAACAGGCTTAGGATATCAACAAGCAAGTCTGAAAAGAAATGCAAATAGCCAACAGAGAAAAGATCCTCAAATGTATTCGTTATCAAACAGCAATAAGATATTGTTCACTCCTCAGGTTGGCAAAAATGAGAAAGATTGTTAATATCTAGTGGTGGTGAAGATGTGGAAGAACTAAGCAGCCTCATATGCCATGGTGTCTATGTAAACTGGTAAAGCCTTGTTACAGGGCATTCCGATGGCATCTTTAGGAACATGCACATATCCTTTAAATTAGATAGCACAAGTCCTTTGTGCAAGTCCAGTACTTACTACAGTATCTGGTATATAAGCTATCAATAAATGTTTGAAATGGTTGAAATAAATGGTTGAAAGAAGGCATGCAGAGCAGATATACATTAATAAAAATGGAACATATCAAGTAAGGTTTCCTGGAATAGAGGAAGCTGTGACCTGAACATCCAAGGATGGCTAGGGTTTAAATCAGTGACGAGGAAGGAAAAAAAAAAATTCTAGGGACAAAGAAAAGCTGAGGCACAGTGGCTCAAGAGACAGAATAAATATGGTAAATTGGCATCAGCTAGGCTTCAGTGAAAGTGAAAAGCAAGTAGCTCGAGAGTAAGAAATAAACATTTCTTCACAAGATGAGTTCTACCTCCTCCTTTAGGGTCTAAATTGGATTCCACCTTCCCTAAGTAATCTCTCCTACACCCAGAATTAATTGCTTGCCATATCTCACTTCCATATTCACCTCTTTGATCAGTGGTTTTCTTTTTTTTTTTTTTTTTTGAGACAGAGTCTTGCACTGTCGCCCAGGCTGGTGTGCAGTGGCACGATCTCGGCTCACTGCAAGCTCTGCCTCCTGGGTTCACACCATTCTCCCGCCTCAGCCTCCCAAGTAGCTGGGACTACAGGTGTCCGCCACCATGACAGGCTAATTTTTTGTACTTTTAGTAGAGACAAGGTTTCACCGTGTTGGCCAGGATGGTCTCCATCTCCTGACATCGTGATTCGCCCGCCTTGGCCTCCCAAAGCGCTGGGATTACAGGCGTGAGCCACCGCGCCCGGCCTTATCAGTGGTTTCCAAAGTTATCCTGCATCAGAATCACTTGAAGGGCTTATTAAAACACAGATTGCTGGCCCTACCACCCATTTCTGATTCAGAACTGGAACTGGAAATGACAATACAAGAATTACTGCTCTAGCCAACTTGGCTTCCTTTGAGTTGCTAAAATACCATTATAATGAGCAGCTGCTATTTTTGCCTTCCCAGCGTTCATCCCCTCTTCTCATAACCAAACCCTTTTCCAGCCAGGAACCACTTCCTTGCAGTTTAGGTGTGGCTGGATTGCCTTCTTAGACCACAGGAGACACATGACCCAGGCCTGACCAATCAGAATATTCCATTCCCATGGCCACAGTCATTGAATCAGGAACAGGAGTGTTGCCAATTAGAATCCTCTCCGGGATTTTTTTCTGCCGGAGTTATCAAAGAAGATGCTCTCTTTCTACCAAGGTTGTTATGCTGGCCCTCAAGATTACAAAATGGAAAAAACCTGTGAGAGAGAAAAGGAAGACCTGGATCACATCACTTGAGCCCTTAGATCCAGCCATGCCCAAAGCCAGACATTCCAAAGCCTTTTCTGTTCCATGTACACTATTACCATTTTGCTTAGGCCAATTTGAGTTTGGTATTTGTCACTTGCAAGCCAGGGTCCTGACTAACAAATGAACTGATAACATAAGCGGGGAGGGGTGGCGATGACAGACCTTAAATATGGAATGCGAAGAGACAACCTACAGAATGGGAGAAAATATTTGCAAACTATACATCTGACAAGGGGTTAATATTCAGAATATATAAGAAACTCAAACAACTCCATAGCAAAAACAAAAAAACACAAGCCAATTTTAAAAATGAGCAAAAGATCTTAATAGATATTTCTCAAAAGAAGAGACATACAAATGACCAGCAGATGTATTTTAAAATGTTCAACATCATTAATTATCAGGGAAATGCAAATCAAAACTACAATGAGATATCACCTCACTCCAGTTAGAATAGCCATTATCACAAAGACAAAAGATAATGAGTATTGTTGAGGATGTGAAGGAAAGGGAACCCTTGCACATTGTTGGGAATGTAATTTAGTATAGCCTTTATTGAGAACAGTATGGAGGTTCCTCAAAAAATTATAACTATAACTACCACATATTTAATCCATTAATACCACTGCTGGGTATATATACCCAAGGAAATTAAATCAGCATGTTGAAGAGATATCTGCACTCTCATGTTTATTACAGCACTATTCACAATAGCCAAGATATGGAATCAACCTAAGAATCCATCCACAGATGAAAGGATAAAGAAAATGTTGTATGCATACATATATATATACACAATGAAATACTACTCAGCCATAAAAAATTATAAAATTCTTTCTTTGTTTTTTTTGTTTTTTTGAGACAGAGTCTCACTCTGTCACCCAGGCTGGAGTGCAGTGGTGCAATCTCGGCTCACTGCAACCTCCGCTTCCCGGGTTCAAGCTATTCTCCTGCCTCAGCTTCCCAAGTAGCTGGGACCACAGGCACGCGCCATCACGCCCAGCTAATTTTTTCATTTTTAGTAGAGATGGGGTTTCACCATGTTGGCCAGGCTGGTCTTGAACTCTTGACCTCAGGTGATCCGCCCGCCTCAGTCTCCCAAAGTGCTGGATTACAGGAGTGAGCCACCACACCCGGCCAAAAATAATAAAATGCTGTCATTTGCAACAACATGGATGAATCTGGAGGACATTATATTGAGTGAAGTAAGCCAGACACAGAAAGATAAATACTGCATATTCTCACTCATATGTGCAATCTAAAAAAAAGTTGATCTCATAGAAGTAGAGAGTAGGATAGTGATTAACAGAAACTGGAGCAGGAGAGGTGGGGAAAGGGAAGAATGGGGAGAGGTTGGTCAGTGAATACAAAGTTAGGTAGGAAGAATAAGTTCTGTTGTTCTATTACACTGTAGGGTAACCATAGTTAACATAATGTATATTTCAAAATAGCTAGAAAAGAGGATTTTGAATGGCCTCATCACAAAGAAATGATAAATGTTTTAAGGTGTGGATTTGCAAATTACTCTACAAATTACTCTAATCAGATCACTATCAAAATATCATATTGTATCCCATAAATATGTACAAATTTTTTTTGAGACAAAGTCTCACTGTGTTGCCCAGGCTGGAATGCAGTGGCCCAATCTCGGCTCACTGCAACCTCCATCTCCAAGGGTCAAGTGATTCTCATGTCTCAGCCTCCTGAGCAGCTGGGATTTCAGGCGTGCATCACATCACGCCCGGCTAATTTTTGTATTTTTACTAGAGACAGGGTTTCGCCATGTTGGCCAAGCTGGTCTAGAACTCCTGGCCTCAAGTGATCCACCCACCTCGGCCTCCCAAAGTGCTGGGATTACAGGTGTGAGCCACTGCACCCAACCATAATGTACAATTATTATGCATCAATTAAAAATAAAACTTTTAAAGAGAGCCAATTAGAATATTTAACTGAAAAAATGTATACATACGGAATGCCAGGAGGATGCCTCTATCCTTATGTGGAAAGTGTGGGAAGTGATCATCCTTATTCTGTGGTTACAAAGGTGCTGGTTAAACTCCTGTAACTTGAAACACTGACTTTGCTAAGAACAGCAGAATGAAGAGAGGAATGGACCTGGGTCCATAATGATATAACTGAGCCACTGTTGATATTTATCAGCTTGAACCCATTCTACCTCTGGACTTCCTTTTATAGAAGGCAATAAATTGATTTGTTTGGATTAGGGTTTTCTGTAACTTGCAGTCAAAAAATTTCCTAACTCATAAATTCACTACTTCTACATCTAATTCTTGCAAAAAAAACAAGGTTCAGTTCAATTGGTCCAGCTGAAAGCAAACAGGAAAGACCACAGAGCCTTGCAAAGAGGTATATTTCTTGCCCACAAACAGTAAACTCTAAACAGATGTGAATCAGACAATCCGTAGCTTTTCTTGGTTACAGAAGCCTAAATTTCTGCCCAGCTAAATCAAAGAAGACATCACAGGAGAGATGATCAGGATTTAGGAGCAAATAATGTATTAATGGTGATTCCTGTTTATGCCTTATTCAGTGAGACAGATGATCATGCCAAGGGAACACTGGCAGACTGCTAGGTTTGAGGGGAAATTCATTAGTTCTGCCTTGTTTAGACATGTAGAGTTTGAGGTACCTTTGACATAAGCAAGCAGGAATGCTAAGCAGACAGTTAGATACCTAGGCTGGGGCTCTGAGGTTTATGAGCTAGAGACGTAACTCTGGGAAGTCACTGGCATGTATCTAATAACTTAAGCTGTGAGCCATCGGTGAGATTACCTACGGAGGTAATACCAAGTGAGGAGAGAAGATGGCCAAGTGTTGAGAATAGGCAATATCTAATGACCATGAAAAAGAGGATGAGCTTGCAGAAACAAATGAGGGTAAACTACACAATTGTTTTAGATCCATATAATACAATATTATTTGACAATTAATTTTTTAGATAACTGAAAGAGTTTAAGGTACGTGTAGTATGTTCCCATTTTTAAATAGAAAAAACACACATATGTGTAATCATATATCCAAAAGTACATATCAGGTAGGGTGCAGTGGCTCACACCTGTAATCCCAGCACTTTGGGAGGCAGAGGTGGGGGGATTGCTTGGGCCCAGGAGTTTGATACCAGCCTGGGCAATACTGGAGACCCTGTCTCTGTAAAAAGTAAAAAAAAATTAGCCAGCCATGGTGGTGTGCACCTGTGGTCCCAGCCACTTAGGAGGCTGAGGTAGAAGGATCACTTGAGCCCAGGAGTTCAAGGCTGCTGTGAGCCATGATTGCACCACTGCATTCTAGCCTGGGTGACAGAGTGAGACACTGTCTCTAAAAAAAAATTAAAATTAAAAAAATTTTTAAAAAGTGTTTAAAGAATTAAAACTGTTTATCAAGAGGTAAGTTTTTTTTTTGTTTTTTTTTTTTTGTTTTTTTTTTTTTGAGATAGAGTCTCGCTCTGTCCCGCAGGCTGGAGTGCAGTGGTGCAATCTAGGCTCACTGCAAGTTCCGCCTCCTGGGTTCACACCATTCTCCTGCCTCAGCCTCCCAAGTAGCTGGGACTACAGGCGCCCGCCACCACGCCCGGCTAATTTTTTGTATTTTTAGTAGAGACAGGGTTTCACCGTGTTGGCCAGGATGGTCTTGATTTCCTGACCTCATGATCCACCCACCTCGGCCTCCCAAAGTGCTGGGATTACAGGCGTGAGCCACCACGCCTGGCCAAGTTTTTTTTTTTTTTTTAAAAAAAGCTTAAAGTTAAGGCACAAAGTATAAGTATATGTATGACATGAGTAATTAACAAATCTGAACTTACAAGGAACTGCTATCAATCAATAAGAAAGTATTAAACAACCCAATAGAAAAATAAGCAATATATTTGAGCAGCCATTTCACAGAAAAGGAAACACAAATGGCTAATAAAAAGTGGCCACCTCATTAATGCTCTACCTCATTAATAATCAAGAAAATGTAAAACCTCAATGACATTCATTCAATTCAGTCAACAATATTTATTAAAGTCTTCTATGGGGAAGGTGCTGCTCTAAATTCTAGAAACACAACAGTGAACAAGATATGAAAAACTCCCTATCCTTAAGGAACTTAAGTTCTAGTGTGGAAAAGCAGTGGCAGTAAGTGGTCCGGAAAGAAATAAAGCAGTGAAGAGATAAGGGAGTGGGAGAGAAGCATGCCAAATTTTAAAGGGGATGGACAGGGAAAGCCTCACAGAGAACTTCACAATTAAGTGAAGGCCTGAGAGAGGTAAAGGAGCAAACTACGGAGATATCAGGGAGAGAACATTCCAGGCAGAGGAACAAGTAAGTGCAAAGGTTGTGAGGAGCACTAAACAGGCCAGAGTGATTGAAGCAGAGACCATTTTGCACACACCAAGCAAAAACCAAAAGACCAAATATTGGTAAGGATATGGAGAAACATTAATTCTTATATACGGCTAGTAGGAAGGTACATGGATCATGATCACCCTGGAAAACCATTTGTCATTTTCAAGCATTACCCTCGCAGGCATGTAGCCTAGAAAAACTCTTGAACAGGTGTACCAAGAAGCCAGTACAAAATGCTCACAGCAGCACTGGTTTTTTAATAGCAAAATTATTAAATTCTGGATTTTAATACCATTTTTAATTGACAGATGAGTGACAAAAATAAATGATATATACATAACAGAATACAACAGAGTAGTAAAAATACATGTGCTCTAGGTAAGTATCTACATGGATGAACATCTGGAATATACTCCTGACTAAAAACAAAAAGCAAGTTACAGAAGAAGAAGAATAGGAATCATTTTACGTAAAGTCTTCAAACATGCAAATCTAAGCAATACCGTGTTTATGATTTTGCCCATTAGTGGTAAGATATTTTTTCATGTAAGAGAATAAGAAATCATCACACCTATAATTCCAGCACTTTGGGAGGCCAAGGCAGTTGGATCACTTGAGCCCAGGAGTTGGAAACCAGCGTGGACAACATGGTGAAACTACTTCTCCCCAAAAAAACACAAAAACTAGCCAGAGATGGTGGCACACGCCTCTAGTCCCAGCTACTCAGGAGGCTGAGGCAGGAGGGTCACTTGAGCCCAGGAGGTCAAGGAAGCTGCAGTGAGCCATGATCACACCATTGTACCCCAGTCTGGGTGACAGAACAAGACCCTGTCTCAAAAAAAAAAAAAAAAAAAAAAAAAAAGAGAGAGAGAGAGAAAAAATAAGAAATAAAAAAGTCAGATTGGGGGAAGTTCAAAGAGAGGCACAGGATGAGTAAGGGTATAGAGGGCTTCAAAAATTATATTAATGTTCTATTTCTTCAATTGAGTGGTTGAAGAAATGGCGTTAATTTTATTTTTATGATTTTATCTTACAAATATCTCAGATTTTCTTTTGGATATTTGAAGTATTTTATTTAAAAAGTTTTATTTTCTAAAGAGAGAATGTACAAGCCCAGTGCAGTGGCTCATGCCTGTAATCCCAGCACTATGGGAGGCCTAGGCAGGTAGATCACCTGAGCCTAGGAGTTCGGGACCAGCCAGGGCAACATGGTGAAACCCCATTTCTACAAAACACATGAAAATTAGCGAGGTGTGGTGGCATGCACCTGTAGTCCAGCTACCTGGGAGGCTGAGGCAGTAGGACTGCTTGAGCCCGGGATGCAGATATTGCAGTGAGCCATGATTGCGGTACTGCACTCCAGCCTGGACAACAGAGTGAGAATGTCTCAAAAAAACAAAAAAGAGTGAATAAAGTAAATGTACAGATTTTAATTTCATTAGCAGATCATTTTAATGTGATCCTAAAATAGTTAAATATGTAAGGCATAATATCCTTTTAAAAATCTTCTTGATTATTGAAAAGGTCTTTCTTCTGTGCCCATAGAAAATACAGGGCAAAAAAATCTATGTTTTTGGCCAGGTGTGGTGGCTCACACCTGGCATCCCAGCACTCTGGGAGGCGAGGGGGGCAGATCATTTGAACTCAGGAATTCAAAACCAGCCTGGGCAACATGGTGAAACCCCATCTGTACTAAAAAGAACACAAAAATTAGCTGGGCATGGTGGCATGCGCCTCTTGTCCCAGCTACTTGTGAGGCTGAGGCACGAGAATCGCTTGAACCCAGGAGAGGGGGGGTTGCAGTGAGCCGAGATCATGCCTGCACTCCAGCCTGGGCAACAGAGCGAGACCCTGTTTCAAAAAAAAAAAAAAAAAAAAAACCCCACTTTTTTTTTCTTGTCTCACTTTAACATAAATATCTTTCATATAAATAAACAAAATCCCTATCCTTTTCTCTTCAGTGACTAATGTAAGGGTAAGAAATAGGGAAACATGACGGACAGAGGAAAAGGAAAGCTATTAAGTGCCTCCTAAACCAAAAGCAACTAAATTTTATTTGGAAGTTGTGTGTGTGAGAGAGAGAAAATCCTCATGCAGCTCACTCATCTACTTAATAAATTTTAAAAAGTTAACTCCATAAACCAATAGAAAATCATTTAAATTTTAATTCCATATAATTTTAACATTTTTATGTGCCAGGCATTGCTCTAAGTGCTCTTACACTTATAGATTCATTTAATCCTGAGAATAATCAATGAACTAGGCACTATTGTCATCTCCATTTTAGAGAAAAAGGAACCAAGGCACAGAGCTAAGTGATTTGCTGTATGTCGCACAGTTAATAACTGGTAATCTGTATCTGAACTTCAGCAGCAGGCCTCCGGAATCCACGCCCTCAACCACTATATTAGATTGACTTCCTCATATGATGGAGTCTTTTGAAAGGGGACAGAGGTACAGAGGACAGAAAAGAGAGAAAAAGAGAGCAGAAAGCTACGGAAACAATGCTGATGTCTGCTAAAGCCTAAGAGACAAATATCTAACTCATTTACCAGTATTGTTCTTTAACATGAATGAAATCTTTTCGTTTAAACAATGGGCAAGTATTGCAAAAAACCTGCTAGAGAAAGTATTCTGATCATTCCATAAAACTTGAAATATAGACATTCTTAAGCTTTCTTTTCCTCATTTCCATCAGGGAATGTGTGATTGCTTCCAAATCTAGCTTAAAAAAAAAAGATACCTTAGAATTTTGTCACCACCTTGTGGTCTTTTGTAGTAGTGCTACTGAAAACTTCAGAAGAATCTGGGCTGGGGTGCAGTAAAAACACCAATGCCAATCTTAGGGCTATTTTACCTGCTTTCAATAATTTTAATCACCTTCAATGGACTCCTGTATTTATCTACATTATTTTTTAAGTGTGGTGACCAAAATGAGGCACAATCCAGTCTATTACTGAAATACCAGACCAAGGTTGGCCATGCCCAAAACCTTTCTAAGGACAGCAGCTATCCTACCAAGCCCCTGCTAAGCGGAAGTCTGTGTGACTTTTCAGTTATAACTTAAGTCAAGACACTTCCTTGTACTGAACTTATTTTGAGTTTCCTTAGTCTAGTCCAGTAGTACATTAAGTCAAATCAGTTGTTTTTTTTTTTTTCCAGACAGGGTCTCGCTCTGTTGCCCAGGCTGGGATGCAATGGCACAATCATGGCTCACTGTGGCCTGGACCTCCTGGGCTCAAGTGATCCTTCCACCTCAGCCTCCCAAGTAGCTGGGATCACAGGCAGGCACCACCATGCCTGGCTAATTTTTTTCTTATTTAGAGACAGGTGTCTCACTACATTGCCCAGGCTGGTCTCAAACTCCTGGGCTCAAGTGATCCTCCCACAAAGTGCTGGGATTACAGGCATGAGCTACCTCGCCTGGCCAAATGAGTATTCTCAAATTAGTAACTATCCTATTTCCTCACCTCAGAGCTGATTTTTCCCTCTTAAGGGTGTTTCCCTTCCCCTCCTTAGGGAGGGAGGAGGGACAGGCTGGCACAGGGATAGTAAGTGCAGGTTCCAGAACACTTCAGGGTAAAGGTGGGAACTGAGGAGTCCTTCAAGCACATCTACTTCCTGGCAGCTCCCTGGAGTTGGCAACTGAGAGCCCAACTTAAATTCCAGATAGAACTTACATGCAACCATGTTGCCCATTTTCCTGTCTTGCTTATGGTCAAAATAATCCATGAAAAACCCTTACATTACTTATTCAGGCGTAGCATATACAGTTTTGTGCAACCAATCCCAAATCCCATGCTGTGAATTCCTCTCAGTCTTCACTCAGTTTTCTCTGTGACCCTATATTATTTCTTCTATTTTTTTCCCCTCTAGTGTTCTTAGCCTAAGAACACTAAGGCGGTATGCTCCTAAATCCCATCCCATCCACTGATGTTTGAAGATCTGCAGAGCAGTTCTTTGGTTGACCCAATACCTCAGAAGCTACTGACATTTAATGGCTGAGGGCCAGACATACCAAAAATCATTCAGTGTGTAAGACCCTGTCTTAAGACAAGCTGTGCTGCACGATAGTTAGGAAAACCACTACCGTTCCAGTGCCTGGCCTCCTGCATTATGTATAACTCTTCCTTATAAATGGTCAGTAAAACCCTTAAAATTACACACTATTTCACAGACTAATAAGATAGACTACATACTTAGACAAAGTGGAGAAAAGGCCAATGCAGTCCCCTGCCCTGTTTAATAATATATAATTTCCTTTCTTTTACCTACATGAGTTAGTTAATTTTGAGTAACTGAAATGAATATATGATGAGATTCTACTGTATCTATTCCCTACACTTTAATACACATTGTTCTGTATCTTGTTTTTTGACTTAATAATTCTTTGAGATTGCTCTACATTCATGTAAAGAAATCTACCTCATTCTTTTTAATGACTGTAGCATATTTCATTTTAGGGAGATATCCTAGAATTTACTTAACCAGTCTTAGTGAAAGAATTTTAAGTGAAAGAATTTTAAGTCAAAGTGTAAAGTGATGATATATATTTTGAAAAGATTATGTGGCTATATGGTAGGAAATGGCTTAAAGGTTTTCAACAGTTTATGTGAGGACCCCAGTGACAGGACATTACCACAGTATTCTTGATAAGCAATGACTTATTTTTACTGTTGATCTCTAATAATTCCCCAGTAGGGTGAAATTTTTTTTAAAAAAAAATATAAAATAGAGGCTAAGTCTCGCTACGTTGTCCAGGCTAGTCTTGAACTCCTGGGCTCAAGCAATCCTCCTGCCTTGGCCTCCCAAAGTTCTGGGATTACAGGTGTGAGCCACCATGCCTGGCCAGGGGTAAAATCTTAATGGAAGGAAGAAAGGATGGGAGGGAGGCAGTGAGGAAAGAATTTTGATGTAGTCCAATTTAGCTTTTCTTTCTCTTTATAGTTAGTATTATTTGCATCCTATTAAAAGTCTTCTTATACCAAGGTTATGAAGATATTCTCATATATTATCTTCTAGGAACTTCATTGTTTTGCTGCTCACATTTAAAACCACAACCCACCTGGAACTTTTTTGTTTTGTTTTTTGTTTTGAGACGGAGTTTTGCTCCCGTTGCCCAGGCTGGAGAGTGCAATGGCGCAATCTCGGCTCACCGCAACCTCCGCCTCCCGGGTTCAAGCTGTTATCCTGCCTCAGCCTCCTGAGTAGCTCAGATTATAGGTATGCACCACCACGCCCAGCTAATTTTGTATTTTTTGTAGAGACTGAGTTTCTCCATGTTGGTCAGGCTGGTCTCAAACTCCCAACTTCAGGTGATCTGCCCGCCTCAGCCTCCCAAAGTTCTGGGATTACAGGCATGAGCCACGGTGCCCGGCCTTTTTTTTTTTTTTTTTTAATAGTGTGACGTTGGGTCAAGCTTTGGTTTGATTTTTACTTTGTATGTTTTTTCCTTCCTTTTAAAAATAATAATATCTGATTGTCTCCATGCCACATACTGAAAAAAATTTAATTATTTCCCTTCTTCTCTTTAGGGTCAATTTGCTCATACATGAAGTGTCCAGATATATGTGATTCTGCTTCAGCACTCTCTATTCTAGTCTTTTGATCAATTTTTCTATTCTTCCATTAATATTACACTTTCTTAATAATTACAGTGTCATGTTGTCTCTCTCTTTTTTTTTTTAGTAAAAAAAAAAAAAAAGGCTGGAAGCAATCCTCCCACCTTGGCCTACTAAAATGCTGGGATTACAGGTGTGGGCCACCATGACCGGCCATATTAAGTCTTGATATCCAATATGGCTAGCCTTCCCACTGTTCAAGATTGTCTGGGCTATTCTAGGTCTTTTGCATTTCCAGATACATTTTAGAATCAACTTGTCAAGTTCTCAAAAAAAAAGAAAAAAAACTTACTGGATTTTGAGTTGGGACTGCATTGACTCGGTGAATCAATTTGTTAAGAAGTGAAATCTTTACAATATTGAGACTTCTAATCAACAAAATATGGTATATCCTTCTAATTACTCAGAACTTCTTTACCTTCTCCCAATAACATTGTATGGTTTTCTGCATTAATATTATGACTATATTATGTTACATTATTTAATGTTTACGATGCTTTTGAAAACAGTATCCCTTTTCAAAATTTATTTTGCTTATTCCTACAATATAGGAAAATAATTGATTTTTGTACACTGGCCTTAAATCTGGCAATAATTTAGTAATTTTTTGCATCTACATTCATGAGGAATATTGGTCTGTACTTTTTTTTGTATTCTTTATCTAGTTTTAGAATAAAAGGCCAGGTGCAGTGGCTCATGCCTGTAATCCCAGCACTTTGGGAGGCCGAGGCAGGTGGATCACCTGAGGTCAGGAATTGGAGACCAACCTGGCCAACATGGTGAAACCCCCCGTCTCTACTAAAAATATAAAAATTAGCCAGGCATGGTGGTGCACGCCTGTAGTCCCAGCTACTTGGGAAGCTGAGGCAGGAGAATCACTTGAACCCAGAAGGCAGAGGTTGCAGGGAACTGAGATCATGTCATTGCACTCCAGCCTGGGCAACAGGGTGAGACTCCATCTCAAAAAAGAAAAAAAAAAAAGTAATTCCTAGCTTCATACAATGAATTAGAAGGACAAAACCACATTATCTCAATTGATGCAATAAAAGTATTTAAAATTCATCATCCTTTCATGATAAAAATACTCAACAAACTAGGAATAGAAGGAAACTGCCTCAAAACAATAAAAGCCAGATACAAAAAACCCACAGCTAACATCATATTCAATTATGAAAAACAGAAAGCTTTTCCACTAAGATCAGGAATAAAACAACGATACTCACTTCAGACACTTTTTTTTTTTTTTGAGTTGTAGTCTCACTCTATTGCTTACGCTGGAGTCCAGTAGCACGATCTTGGCTCACTGCAACCTCTCCCTCCCAGGTTCAAGTGATTCTTATGCCTCAGTCTCCAGAGTAGCTGGGATTACTGGTGTGCACCATCATGCCTGGCTAATTTTTGTATTTTTAGTAGAGACAGGGTTTTGCCATGTTGGCCAGGCTGGTCTAGAACTCCTGAGCTTATGTAATCTGCCTGCCTCGTCCTCCCAAAGTGCTAGGATTACACATGTGAGCCACCAAGCCCGGCCTCACTTTTGCCACTTCTATTTAACGTAGCGTTAGAAGTTCTGGCCAGAGTAATCAGGCAAAAAAAAAAGAAATAAAAGACATCCAAATTGGAAAGAAAGAAGTAAAATTATCTCTATTCACAGATGACATGGTCTTATATGTAGAAAACCCTAAAGATTATACACACACGCACACACACACACACACAACCCCACGAGAACTAAAAAACAAATCCAGTAAAGTTGCAGGGTGAAAAACACAAAAATAAGTTGGTTTCTATACAATAGCAATGAACAATCTGAGAAGGAAATTCAAAACAATTCCATTTGTAATAGCATCAAAAAGAATAAAATACTTAGTGCGAATAAACTTAAGGAAGTAAAAGACTTGTATAATGAAAATTACAAATTGCTGAAAGAAATAAAGGAAGACACAAATAAAAGGAAACATATCCCATGTTCATGAATTGGAAGAGTTAATATTATTACAATGGCAATACTACCCAAAGCAATCTACAGATTCAATGCAATCCCTTTCAAAAATCCCAATAATGTTTTTACATAAATAGAAAAATCCATCCTAAAATTCATATGGAATCCCAAAGGACCCTGAATAGCCAAAATAATCTTGGAAAAAGAAGAACAAAGTTGTAAGATTCACACATCCTCATTTCAAAACTTACTGGCCGGGCGCGGTGGCTCACGCCTGTAATCCCAGCACTTTGGGAGGCTGAGGCGGGCGGATCACGAGGTCAGGAGATAGAGACCATCCTGGCTAACACGGTGAAACCCCGTCTCTACTAAAAATACAAAAAATTAGCCGGGCGTGGTGGCGGGCACCTGTAGTCCCAGCTACTCGGGAGGCTGAGGCAGGAGAATGGCCTGAACCCAGGAGGCGGAGCTTGCAGTGAGCCAAGATCACGCCACTGCACTCCACCCTGGGTGACAGAGGGAGACTCTGTCTCAAAAAAAAAACAAAAAACAAAAAACTACAAAGCTACAGTAATCAAAAACAGTGTGATACTGGCATAAAGATAGACATGCAGATCAGTGGAATAGAACAGAGAGCTCAGAGATAAACCTTCACATATATGATCAAATGATTTTCAACAAAGGTGCAAAAATCATTCACCAGGGAAAGGACAGTCTTTTCAACAAACGGTGTTGGGAAAAGTGTATATCCACATGCAAAAGAATGAAATTGGACCCTTACCTTATATCATATACAAAAACTAATTCAAAATGGGTCAAAGACCTAAACACAAAAGTGAAAACTATAAAACTCTTGGAAGAAAATATAGGGCAAAAGCTTCATGATATTGGATTTGGCACTGACTTCTTGGATATGACCCCAAAAGCACAGGCAACAAAAGAAAAAATACATAAGTGAGACTTTGTCAAAATTGAAAAATTTTTGTGCATCAAAAGATAGTATTCAAAAGACAGTATAGGTGAGTGAAAATGCAACCCACAGAGTGGGAGAAAATACCTGCAAGCAGTATATATTATAAGAAATTAATATCCAGAATATGTAAAAAACTCAAAAACGGTGGCTCACGCCTGTAATCCCAGCACTTTGGGAGGCCGAGGCAGGCAGATCACGAGGTCAGGAAATCGAGACCATCCTGGCCAACATGGTGAAACCCCATCTCTACTAAAAATACAAAAATTAGCTGGGTGTGGTGGCACATGCCTGTAGTCCCAGCTACTCGGAGGCTGAGGCAGGAGAATCGCTTGAACCCGGGAGGTGGTGATTGCAGTGAGCCAAGATAGCGCCATTGCACTCCAGCCTGGCGACAGAGCGAGATTCCGTCTAAAAAAAAAAAGAAAAAAGAAAAAAAAAAACCCAATTTTTAAAATGGGCAAAGAACTTGAATAGAAATTTCTCCAAGGAAGAATACAGATGACCAATAAGCACATGACATGATGCTCAACATCGTTAATCATTAGGACAATACAAATCCAAACCACAATCAGATATCATTTCACACTCACTAGGATGGCTATTATTAAAAAAAAAAAAAATTCCAGCAACAGAAAATAACAGTGTTGGTAAGGATGTAGACAAACTAGAACGCTTATGCATTGCTGGTGGTATGTAAAATGGTGCAGCCACTGTAGAAAACAGTATGGCAGTTCCTAAAAAAGTAAACAGAATTACCATAAGATCTAGTAATTCCACTTTTGGGTATATATCCCAAAAAACTGAAAGCAGGGACTTGAACAGATATTTGTGCACTAATGCAGCATTGCTTACAGCAGCCAAAAGGTGGAAACAACCGAAAGGTCCACTGATGAATGAATGGACACATGGCATATATACATACACGCTGAAATAATATTCAGCCTTAAAAAATTAAATTCTGATGTATGCTAAAATATGGATGAACCATGAAGACACTATGCGAAGTGAAATAAGCCAGACACAAAAGAACAAATATTGTATGATTCCACTTGTATGAGGTACCCAGAAGAGCCAAATTCATAAAGAAAGAATTGTAGTTACTAGAGGCTGGAGGGTGTGTAGAATGGATAGTTATCACTTAATGGATACAGAGTTTCAGTTTGAAATAATGAAAAAGTTCTGGAGATGGATAGTGGTGATAGTTGCACAATAATGTAAATGTACTTAATGCCAATGAACTGTACACTTCAAAATGGTTAAAATAGAAAATGTTATGTATATTTTACTACAGTAAAAAAAAAAATTAAATCAGAATGGCACATACTCTACTTTTTTTCTCCAGTGGATTATTTACATCAAGTAAATAAAAGACGAGAATAACTGCTTTGGCCATGTCTCAAAGCATAGGTTCCCCTCAGATCAGTAGTTCCTAGGAGGCCAGAGCCAACTGAATTTCCTAGAAGTGCCAAAGGCATCTCTGTCTCACCCATTACCTCAACAATTAGTTGTCACTGAGGACAGTCAACTGAGTACAACTATCACAAAGTCCCAGCCAGGTTGGGTAAAGGTCCACAGCTCACCACAGAGTATATACTTTATCTCAGACCCTGAAGTAATAGGAGGAAAGTAGGAAGATGCTGAAGGAGTTTGGGAGCTTTCCTAAGTTTCCATGTAAAAATCCAATATAGGTATAATTCAAGTTATATACAACAGTGGTTCTCAAATTTCAGCATGTATGAGAATCATCTGAAGTGCTGTTAAAACACAGGGTGCCACCACCCACTCTACTCCTCAAGAGTTTCTCTTTCTGGGATTTATGTAGGTCTGGGATGGGGACCAAGATTCTGCGCTTCCAATAAGTTCCCAGGTCATGCTGGGAACTGCTGGCCCAAGGTCCACACTCAGCGAACCACTGCAAAGAGTCCTCAGAAACAACTCCCCCATACCGATCCGACCCCAAAGAGGATCAAATGGGAGCAAGGAGAAACGTGAATATATTAACAGTGATAATTCAGTATCCACAAATTATTTAAGATTCAGAAAAATATTTTCCATTGTCCTCTTTTTCTCTTTCCTTGGGCTGGTTTGGAAACTTTAGGAAAAAAACTTTTCCTGTGGCCAAAAGCCTTACTAGAGAGTCTTTAAGGTCTACAGTTCTATGAAACAGCAACACACAGCAAGCAATTGAGAAGGCAGAGCCATAGCTGCATCCGAGCCAGGGCGAGGGTAGCACTGCCAGGGAGAAGGAGCACAAGGCAGCTTCTCATAGGCTGCAGACATCTGCTTCAAAACCAAAGAATTTCAGTGACACAACAACAGAAACGCAGGAGTTATTACAAAATACAACACAAACTGTGATGCTTCACCTAAACTTTTCATGTCTAAACAGAATTACATGTCTAAAACAGAGTCTGGGTGGAGTCTTGGATCCTATCGAAGCTTATAGGTATTATTTTTTTTAAATGGTTTGCCCTGAAGCTTTCACAGGAAATTCTCACTGAAGATTCTGCAGAGGGTGGGTGAAGGTTGAAGAGAAAAAAAATCTTATTACCTGATACTGGGCTGTCTAGTAGTATGTATTTACAGTGTTGAAATAAGCAAGCATAAATTTTCCATGCTCGTATCCTAAAACTGCCACCATAAAATAAACCACCGCAAAAATATGTTTAGTGCCTAAGTAAGGAAAAGAGGTACCAGTGTAAAATTAATTAGAACAAGATGATAACCATATTTTCATAGGCATCTTGCCCAAGGATATAGTCAGGTTGTACCTTCTGCCTATGACAAGAATCACAAATTCAAATATCTACAGGAGCCACGCCAGTGACATAAATAATTGAAGCGATCAAGATTTAAAAAACTCAAATGCCAGAAATAGAATTAAGCATTATTTTTAGTAATGTAATACAACACAAGCAGTTATGATATCAGAGATTATAAATTTGAAATTGAAAAAAATACAAATTAAAACAACAGGAACACAGGCCGGACATGGTGGTTCACACCTGTAGTCCCACTACTTTGGGAGGCTGAGGGGGGGCAAATCACCTGAGCTCGGGAGTTCGAGACCAGCCTGGGCAACATGGCAAAACCCCATCTCAAAGAACAAAAACAAAACAAACAACACCAAAAAAATAACAGGCACAGGCTGGGCACAGTGGTTCACACCTGTAATCCCAGCACTTTGGAAGGTCAAGGTGGGCAGATCACTTGAGCCCAAAAGTTCAAGACCAGCCTGGACAACATGGCAAAACCCCATTTCTACAAAAAACACAAAAAATTAGCTGGGCATGGTGGTGCACGCCTGTAGTCCCAGATACTCGGGAGGCTGAGGTAGGAGGGTGGCTTCAACAGGGAGGCAGAGGTTGCAGTGAGCCAGCATCACCCCACTATATTCCAGCCTGGGCAACAGAGGGAGATCCTATCTCAAAAACAAAACAAAAACCCCAGAAACAATTAATTACTAAATTTTTCTTGTAGGTCATAACACCACTGACCTAAAACCCAAAACTTGACACCTTTTCCCCTATACCAAGGTGTCAATGTCAGCTCCGATATCTAGAATTGCATGCAATATGTAATACAGAATTCAGCCCTGAATCCTTGAACTAAGAGAAGAAAAAACAACTCTTAAACACAGGCACTTTTTCAAGCAAAGATGAAATTTTTTGCAAAGTGATTATTGAATTTAGGGTAATTACTCCAAAGGTGTTTGTAGAATTCTGCTGCTCCAGTGTTACAATATTTAGTTTTCCATACACTTGCAGCTATCCATTCACATTGTTATTAACTGAGAAATGCTAGTTCATTTTTATAAAGTATAAAGTCAAAGACGTTGCCTTGGAATTCAGTCTTAAATTCCATTCATTTTGAGAATGAAGTAAGATGCTAATTTTCATTTCTGGAAACCAACTTCAGCACATGAAAGTGACGCAGATTATTCCTTAACATAAAAAGCCATTTTGCCAAAAAACATGTATCTACTAGAAATGAGAGAACTGAATCATACAAACGGGGCATTCTTTATGAATGCCCCTATAAATAAATATTTGCAGAATTTAAATGGGCAGTAACTTCAACCAAAAATGCCAAATCTTGGAGCCATTCTTCACAGGTAAACTGAGGCAACACTTTTCCCTTGTATGATACGTACAGGTTGATTTAACAGTTCAAAAAGCATTTTCAGCTCTAACCTACACATAGGAGACTAGCATGTTGTACATATCATTAAACCTGCAAAGTCCTGAACCACCTGAATTTCAAGTATCAGTATCCACTTCATTGTGATAATTACTAATAACTATATTGGTTGCATTTTTAATCTTTCAGCTTAAAATTATTCCTACTACAATGTATATTAAACAGAATAAATTCACATCTATTTCCGGCCAGGCATGGTGGCTCACACCTGTAATCCCAGCACTTTGGGAGGCCAAGGTGGGAGGATTACCTGAGGTCAGGAATTCAAGACCAGCCTGACCAACATGGTGAAACCCCGTCTCTACTAAAAATATAAAAGTTAGCCGGGTATGGTGGCGGGCACCTGTAATCCCAGCTACTCGGGAGGCTGAGGCATGAGACTCACATGAACCCGGGAGGCGGAGGTTGCATGAGTCGAGATCACTGCACTCCAGCCTAGGCGACAGAGCAAGACTTCGTCTTGAAACAAAAAAATTAATTCATTCATTCATGTCTATTTCCTTTCAGTACTTTGTCACTAAGATATCCAATGGTAACCCCTACTACTTACTATTTCAGGAGCATTTTCTATACGTAATCAAGCCGATAAATTTTTACCCATTTTTGTTAAATTTTGACTTTTTTTATATAAATGAGTCCTTTGATATGGACCCTTCCATGAGCAATAAATACAAAAGTTTTTCAACTGATTAAAATTTTCAGACACCACACATATTGCTGTGTGGTATTATCTATATGTTTTCCTTAGCTTAAATTGAAAATATCATAAATGATTTTTTTTATTTTTTATAGAGATGGGGTTTCACTTTGTTGCCCAGGCTGATCTCAAACTCTTTGGCTCAGAATCCTCCTACAACGGCCCCACAAAATGCTCAGATTACATGCATGAACCACTGCACCCAGCCTCCATAAATAATTTAAATTTGTAATGTAACTTGCCTTTTAAATTCTCAGCCATATATTCAATATGCTATGAAACAGTGTTCCAATGATATTTACATTATTTATATATGTTTCTTTCTGTTTGAGAAACATAATTTCTTCTCTTTAAAAAAAGGCACTGTTCTAGGAACTTATCATCTATATAAGGTATTGACACCCAGGACATTTTTTTTTAACCAAAAGCTATATATCATAATGATATCCCTTATTCAATTCCCATTACAAAACAAACCATTTTATCTTTTCTATATACTAGTTATGTCATTTATTATGTATCGCTGATTTTTTTTTTTTTTTTGAGAGAGGGTCTCCCTCTGTCACCTAGATTAGAGTGCAGTGGTGCCATCACAGCCCACTGTAGCCTTGACCTCCTGGGCTCAAGCCATCCTCCCACCTCAACTTCCCCAGTAGCTGGGATTACAGGCACACACCACCATGCCCAGATAATTTTTTTGTACTTTTTTGTAGAGGCAGGGTCTCTGTATGTTGCCCAGGCTTATCTCAAACTCCTGGACTTAAGCGATCCACATGACCTGGACTCCCAAAGTGCTGGGATTACAGGAGTGAGCCACTGTGCCTGGCTTATAGCTGATTTTTAGGCGGCATCTTAATTTGTTGGTTTTAAAATGGCATCTTCGTTTACATATTAAAACACAGGAATATTCTTTACTTGCACATACACACATAAAATGCCCCCTTACCTCTTAAGAATGAAAAGACCTTTTTATTTTCCTACTTTTGGGAGAAAAAAAGGACCCAAAAATATTTTTTTCTGAAAGCTACAGTGGAAAAACAGTAGCACAAGTACAAAGGATAAATGTCTACTAGCACTTGGTCTACACACTCAGGTGGCATGAGGAAATGGTGGGGAGCACATGCCTGTCTAGAAGGGACAGGTGCTCCCTAGCTCCAGCCTACTGCAGCCATGTGCTAATGTTGTCTCAGCATTCCTAGAGCTTCCAAGCCTTTACACACTGGAAATGGAGGTGGTATGTATGTGTGTGTGTGTGTCTGTGCCTGCTTTATTTTAAAGTGTTGGCAGCTGATTCAAAACACGTATGAAACACCATGAGGGCCAAACAAATGATCCATGGCCCATCAGTCTGGAAGATCTTCCCTCCCAGTCCCCCCAACACCCATCATGAGATTTAAGTCCTATTAACATCCATCTATATTCTTAGGAAAACTAGTGAAGCAAACAGCAAAATCTTTTCACAAGAAAGACCTCCCATCTTTGGCTGGGTCTTTTTGTGGGGGTGAGGGGACTGGATCTTGCTCTGTCACCCAGGCTGGAGTACAGTGGTGCAATCATGGCTTACTGCAGCCTCGATCTCCCAGGTTCAAGAGATCCTTCCACCTCAGCCTCCCAGGTAGCTAAGATTACAGGTGTGGGCCACCACACCCAGTTAGGTTTTGCAGTTTTTGTAGAGATGGGAGTTTCGCCATGTTACCCAGGCTGGTCTCGAACTCCTGAGTGCAAGCAATCCGCAGTAGGCTGCCTCAGCTTCCCAGAGGGCTGGGATTACAGGTGTGAGCCACGGTCCGTGGCCTAGCTGGGTCTTAACAGCCTCTACCAACCTTGGTTAACTGCCCAGAACACCCAGTTACTTCTAAAAAGTCCGCGTTTTTCTGGTTTTGTTTTTGTTTTCTTAATAGCCTCTACCCTCTAACTTTTTGTCATCCAAACTGTCCTGGTTCTAATAAAACAGAGATAACCAGGAGTTAAACTTTTCTAAACTACAATTTGTAAAGGAAAAAAATGATAATAATAATAATAATAAAAAACAAGAAAATTCTGGGATGAGAAATTCTGTTTCTGTAGCTGGTTTGTGTCATAACTCTTAAATACATGGCACATATTCTGTCTATCTGAGAAGAAATTAGCAATGCCATCCTTCCCTACGAAAAGTAAAAAACTTACAGAACAAAAATGCTTAAGCAACTATATCATTTAAAATAAATCACCTGTAATCCCAGCACTCTGGGAGGCCGAGGTGGGAGGATCACTTGAGCCCAGGAGTTTGAGACTAGCCTGTGCAACAAAGCAAGACCCCGTCTCTACCAAAAAAATAAAATAAAATAAGGGCTGGGCCCGGTGGCTCATGCCTGTAATCTCAGCACTTTGGTAGGCTGAGTCAGGCAGATCACTTGAGGTCAGGAGTTCGAGACCAGCCTGGCCAACATAGTGAAACCCCGTCTCTACTAAAAATACAAAAATTAGCTGGGCGTGATGGTGAGCATCTGTAGTCCCAGCTACTTGGGAGGCTGAGGCAGAAGAATCACTTGAACACAGGAGGCAGAGGTTGCAGTGAGCCGAGATTGCGCCATTGCATTCCAGCCTGGGTAAAAGAGCAAGACTCCATCTCAAAGATAAATAAAAATAATAAATAATAAAATAAAGTAAAATTAGCTGAACCTATAGTCCCAGCCACTTGGGAGGCTGAGGTAGGAGGATTGCTTTGAGCCCAGGAGTTAGAGGCTGCAGTGAGCCATGATTGCACCAAGGCATTCCAGCCTGGGAAACAGAGTGATACGCTGTCTCTTAAAAAAAAAAAAAAAAGACACTCTACTGCTTCAACGGCTAAAGAAACCAATAAGACTACTACTCTACTGCAAACTAGCAACATATGCAGTGAGATAAAGCATAGTAACACTTTGGTTAAGTGATTATAAAATATCACTTAGAGATACCCAAATTTTGGATCCAATGATGTTAATATTTATACAATTCACAGTACTGGTAATGATAAGGCATTTGCAGATGGCAAAAGGGTAAATAACATTTCTATACTGCTGAGTAAACAGAATTTGGTGACATGAAACTAACAGAAGAGAAACTTTTTTAAAGCGAAGCAGTTTTGAAGAAATGCAATGCATATAGGTTTACTTCTGGGCTCCCTGTTCTGTTCCATTGGTTTTTGTGTCTATTTTTATACACTTACCATGCTTTCTTAATTACTATAACCTTTAAATGAAGTTTGAAGTCGGGAAGTATAGTGCCAACAGCTTTGTTCTTTCTCAAGATTGCTTAGGTTACTGAAGTTGCTTAAGGTTACACTCAAATTCTACCATTGTTTTCTATTACTGTGAAAAACACCACTGAAATATTGATACAGATAACATTGTATCTATAGATAACTTTGGATAATATGGTACTTTGCCAATATTAGTTATCCTAATGGAATATGTTTCCATTTATTTGTGTCTACTTCAATTTCTGTCATCAGTATTTTATTTAGTGTATAGATTTTTATCTCATTAAATTTATTTTGATTAAATTTCCTGTTTAAAAAAAAGAAAATGGGATGCACATTTGTTAGGATAAAGGCCAAGCTGCTACAGTGAAGGTTCCAAAATAAGATGGCTTAAATAAGATCAAAGTTCCCTTCTTTCTCAATTAACTTTCTAGACATAGGCTAGCAGCTTTGTTCTGTGATGCTGTCTATGCCTCCCAGTTCTTTCTGTCTTGTTGTTTGATTCCCCCTGTCTACATGGTTGAAGCCGGCACACTACACCATGTGTGCCTTCCAGCCCCCATGAAGGGAGAGCATTCCTAGTCTGTCTAAAGCATGCATTCTCAACAAGGTCAGCATCATCCCCAATGGGAAAAAAGGTGGTTCCTGGGGGGTACAGAGGTAAAAACATTTTAGTCTTTTTATGGATAAAGCACAGATACATACATACAGGGCATATGCGGGTATATAGTATATCTGTGGCATTAAAATTTCAAGGGAGCAATTACGGAATAAAAGTCGAAAAAGGCTCCTTATGGGAGTGATAATGAAAAAACGATTAAGAAACTGTTTTAAAGGCAAGTACCAGAAGGTGCACACATTACTTCTGCTCCCAAGAACTTAAGTCACACAAATAAACCAGCTGCAGGGAAGCCAGAAATAGATTCTCGAGCTGGGTGTCCATTTGCCCAGATTAAATTCAGCTTCTCCCCCATAAAAGCCTTTTTGGAGGTTTGCTTAAGTGTTCCCATGACACGACAGAGCAAGTAAGCCAAGAGACCATGATGGAAACAGCAGTGTCTCTTATGACCAATCCTTGGAATGCACACACTGCCATTTCTACCATTGTATATATCGGTGTACAGACCAACCCCCATACAACATGGGAGAAGACTACACAACGGTGTGAATACCAGGAGGCTAAATCTAGGCATAATCTAAGAGACTGGCTTTTTATTTGAAAGAATAATGAGAAGTTCCCGTATCTGTATAAATGGAAAACCATTCTGGTTAAATTCTGGTTGTCCTCCAAGCCCCTGATGAAATGTTTAACTTCCCAGCCAGAATTCATTGCTTCTTCTTTTCTGATTCTATGTCACACCATTTCCACCTCTGGTACTATACCTATCATGCTGTATAATCCTTCACTATGTACATGGCCACATCTCCAATGAGAACATAGGGCTGAGGCTTACTGACTTTGATGCTCTCCAAGCTTGGGGCAGTGTCAATTGCAAAAATATTGCCAGTCGCTGTCAATGTTTATTGGAAGGGAACCCAGTCTGGGACCAAAGTAAGAAGCTTTCTAAATTCTTATCTATTTTGGGGGGAGGTGGGAATGTTTAATGGGTACAAAGCAAAAATAAAAAATAATGAATAAGACCTACGATTTGATAGCACAATAGGGTGACTATAGTCAATAATAACTTAATTGTATATTTTTAAATAACTTGAATGTAATTGGTTTGTAACTCAAAGGATAAATGCTTGAGGGAATGGACACTGCTATTCTCCATGATGTACTCATTTCACTTCTTGTATGCCTGTATCAAAATATCTCATGTACCCCATAAATATACACAGCTACCATGTACCCACAAACATTTTAAAAAATAAAATATAAAAAAAATCATCTATTTCAGTCATCACTGATTTGCCATGTGAACCTAAACAATTTGCTTAAAACAAGCAAGCAACCTAGCAAATGAAACATACCCAGAATACAAATTTGTTCATTTCAATGATACATATAATTTCCCTGTCAACCAGAATTTTTGCATAGATAAATTTACATGGGAAAGCAAATTAAAATCTACACTTTTCTAGATGAGCATTGCAGGGGAAAATGTGTGCTTCAATGGAAAACTTTTAAGCTTTATTTATATCACACTCTTCCAACTTATCTGATTCTAGCCTTTCACTGCTGTTGAACGATTTTACCTTTCTAGTTTCTACTGAAAAAAACTGATAGCAAAGCAAAATAACACTTGTCTCTAGGCATGTAAATTCTGCCTGGCGGAGGTTCAACCGACATCCCTTCTCCACTATGTAAGAAGCCACTGCTACCTTCATTTGTGAGTCATTTCAATATTCCTCATCTATAAATCTAACTGTTCCCTAGATTCTCCGTTTGAACTGGTTGTAACATCTTACTGGTTCCTTCATTTAATTAATGAGTTAAATAAAATAAAATATCTAAGTTAAATAAAACTTTTTACGACATACACACAACAAGGAATAGGTAGATAACTATGAAAGGGAAAACTGCGAGACTCAGAAAAAATGGGAGATGTAGGCTTCTCAAGCTCTTTGTTGGTCCAAAGACCTACATATTTAAAAAGTACTGAGACTTCAAAGAGCTTTTGTTTATATAGGTATAACTATCAATATTTATCATCTTAAGAAAAACAGAAATTTAAAATTACTAGTCCATTTAAAGATAAAAAAACTCATTTTTATGAAAAATAACTAGTTTTTTAAAAAAACAGTGATAAGAGTGGCACTGTTTTACATGTCTGCCTTTGGTCTATTGCAATGTCCCACACCTCTGGAAAACTCCACTGTATACCCTGAGAAAAAGCCAAATATCACATTAGTATCATTATGAAATGGGTCTCAGGAGCCCCAGTCCACAGCTTGAAAACAGCTCATCTAGTCATGTTTACCCATACAAAATGTTTGGATACACCCTTTCCCAGTGCCTCACTCCCATCCTGTGGCAGCCAAGTGACCATCTCAGTTCCATAGCAGGAGAGAGTCTTTGACCTCCAGGTTACCAGTAGAGGGCATGAATAAGGCATGAAGCAGAAGAAGGATAAGTGAAAGCCTATGTATTAACTGTGGGGCCCTATGCTCCTGTGCAGAAGAGTTCACAGAACATGCCTGAGACTACTATGCTTTGAAAGTCTTACTTGCAAGCTTAGCCCATGGCTGCTGTCTGGTAACTTTGATTTCAGGAAGGTTCCCACCATTCCCTAACAGTGAGTGGCTCACTGTACCTAAACAGTGTAAAAATGTAAGAATAGTGGTTTATGCTGAGCACCTGATTTCCTTCTAGGAGTGTGGAATTATGGTAAACGCTAGGCAGAGGGTGCCTATGTAACCTGCACCCAGTTATAACCTTGCGCACTGAGTCTAAGGAGCTTCCCTGGTAGACAACATTTCACGTGTGTGGTCACAACCATTCAGCACATCCTGTGGAACTCCACTGAGAGAGGACCAGGGAGCTTGTGCCTGGTTTCTCCCAGACTTCACTCCATGCACCTTTTCCCTTTGCCAATTTTGTTTTGTAACCTTTCACTGCAATGAGCCATAGCTGTGAGTATGACTATATGCTGAGTCTTGTATGTCCTCCTAGTAAATCGCTGAACCTGAGGGTGGCCTTGGGGACTCTCAACACATTCCCCTTTCCTGTCCCTACTCCCAGGATTACAGCCTATGCTGCACAGGGCTGGAAGCGTCTCCCTGAATAAACTGAAAAGCCAAATAAAGAGGAAGAAAGACTTCAAAAGGCAGAAACAATCAAGGAAACAAAAGAAAACTCCAAAAACAAAACTTGGAATTAATATCTTTAAAAAGATATGAAAATATATGACACTCATAAAAGCAGGATGCTTTGAAAAGAAGCAATTAGAGAACAAACAGCTCTACAAAATTAAAAATATGATGATCATAATGAAATACTGAATAGAAGGGTTAGGAAGATAGCTGAAAAAAATCATCCAGAGAAAGTGAAAAAAAAACAAAAAAATGAAAAATAGAAGAGATGATAAGAAAATTAAAGGATCAATCCAGGTGGTCTAAAATCCAACTAAAGAAAAAGAGAACAGAATAAATGGAAAGGAATAAATTATTAAAGTAAATTTCATCAAACTAGGGGAAAAAGCGGGGGGAGGTCCTCAGGTTAAAACGGCCCACCAAGTGCAGAGCACAAGAAATGAAAAAAGAATCACACCAGTGAATATGACACAAAATCACAAACTTTCAGAAAACCAGAGAGACTATACTAAAAAGCTTTCAGAAAGGGAAAACAACCCATATAAAAAGAAACAGGAAACTTAATTATATCAGATTTCTTAACAGCAACACTAACAGCAGACACACTAGAATTAAACCTTTAAAATGCTGAGGAAAAACTTAGACTTTAAAATCAGCCAAACTGTAATTCAAATGCAAGGGTAGAATAAAGACATTTTTAAGACATGCAAGGACTTAGAACATTTATCTTTTCTTAGAAAGTAACTGGACTAATTGTTTCAGCAAAATGAAGAAAACCAGATTCATGATCTAGATAACAGAAGGTCCAAATCAGGAGAAAGGTGAAGGAAAGTCCCAGGACTATAGCTATGCAAACCTAGACAACTCTATCTTCTAGGTCTTCTATTCAGAGTTCATTTTGACTATCATATTTTTAATTTCATAGAGCTCTTTCTTGTTGTCTTATGGTTTCTTTTCATAGCGACCTGTTCTTATTTTGTAGGTGCAATCTCTTTTGTTATCTCTTTAAATACATTAATCTTTAGGTTTGTTACAAACTTAGAACCAGACCAGATTAGAGTATGAAGAATGGAAGCTATAGGAAGGAAGTTTAAGGAAAAAATGGCATTGGTAAATCCTTACATTTGTTGGCCCATTTGATGGCACTGCAGCATTTGGAAAAAATTAACCACGGGATGAAAGAAAATTAGGTAAATTAGTTTATCATTTGGCTCAAAGGCTAGTCATGTTTACCTGGTCATAATAATATAAAACCTAACTACTAATTTAACAAAAAATTATGACAGAATCTAAATTGGGAGGATGGAAGAAGGATACAGAAGAAAGAGAGAATAAAGAGTTAAATCCTCACTTTATCAATTCTTAATTTATAAAAAAGTAATACCTAAACTATTTAAGTCAAGAAGTGGTTATAAAGTATACTTTTTCAGAAAGACAAAGGTAAATACTAGAAGAAAAAGTTAAAGGACTTCAAAGTGTTTGCCTTCAAGGAGAGAAACAGAGTAAAAAGAAATTAACAAGTGTCTGGTATTTTTGTGGTAAATCTTCAAGAACTGCTTTATTTGTTCAATCATGTACATGTATTACTTTGATTTTAAAGTAAAAATTTTAAAATAATTTAATTATTTAGCCTAGAAGGTTTTACAACCCCTTATCTCATGCTTAAGCACTCTAAGTGATTCCTTTTTCACACAGCAAGAGTGTTGTACCCAATACCCCAACCACAAAGAAAACTCTTTGTCTCTTCAAGGTCCATCTTTTCTGTTTTCTCTTTTTTTTGAGACAGAGACTCACTCTGTCACCCAGGCTGGAGTACACTGGCGCGATCTCAGCTCACTGCAAACTCCACCTCTCAGGTTCAGACGATTCTCCTGCCTCAGCCTCCCGAGTAGCTGAGTAGCTGGGACTACAGGCATGCACTACCACGCCCAGCCAATTTTTGTATTTTTAGTAGAGACGGGGTTTCACCGTGTTGGCCAGGTTGGTCTTGAACGCCTTACCTCAGGTGACCCGCCCACCTAGACCTCCCAAAGTGTTGAGATTACAGGCATTAGCCACCACCGCACGGCCATCCTCTTTTCTTTCATTCTCTTTCTTTGCTAATTACTTTTCAGGGGAAAAACAAACAAACAAACAAAAAAAACACCTTTCATTGAGGATGTTCTCTGTATTGGTAAGAAAAGATCTCTCAGATACATTTTCAAGTGGAAAAAGCAATGGAAGAAAACTGCAAATACATATAAGAAGGGGAAATGTAAACTTGTTTTCACTTTTATACATATAAAATATCCTGGGAGGTGAAGTAATAAACTAATAATAATGATTACCCAGCATGCAACTTGTCAGAATGAGAATTGAGAAGCCGAGAAACAGGCAAAAGATAGAGACTTTACATTGTATACCTTTTTAAACTTTTTAATTTTTAACCCTGTGAAATTATCGTCTACCCAAATAATTTTTATTAAAAAAATTTAAGTCATTTCTTTATCTTAATCAAAATTAAAATATTTTCAAAAACTTGGGAAATAACGAAAATAAAGAAATGATACTCCAAAGATCCCACCTGCCCAGAAGCAGGGGAAACAAGATACTTTACTGATTCAAGCTGTGAATCCTGTTACCCAAGTGAACCTTGGTATAGATCTCAAACTGTAAATTTTTGCACATGTAAGTCAGAAGTGAGGGGATTTAACCTTCATACCAAAACCACAGCTCTTACATGAATGCAGTAAGGAAAATGTTGAGGCCTTGGAGAGAGGGGGGGAAAAATATTTTAGTAATGGCACATTACTGAGAGATGACAGAAAGACTCAAGTTATCAAAACCTTCTAATTGAAAGCCATTTTTAAAAATCACAGCATTTAATGTTAGTGGTCATAATATTATAATATTCAAAATTACTAAAGCATTTTATCATCACATCCATTTCTTGAAGGAGATAATGTCATAATATTAATAGTTTCTGGTGGGGCTGACATTTCAACGGAGAAAAAAAATAAAATTTTAATACAACCTATAAGCCATCCCATCCACCCACATATACCTACCCAGAATTGCACATTTGACACTATTAGCACCATTCCAAATTTAGAACCTGGGCACGTGGTTGTGGATGAAAGCAAACCTAAGCAAATTTGGGAAAAAATAATCCTTCAAAACTGATGACCGAAAACAAAATAAGAAAGGTCAAAACTTATTATTTAGGAAATAGAAGTGTCAATGTACATTCAAATGTTTACCCTGAAATGGAAAATTATTTTGGATGAAATATAGCAATACCGTACAATTTACCAAATCATAATGAACCCAAGGCATTTTTTAAACGAGCAATCTCCAACAAATTCCTTAAACCATTCTATTCCCGTAAATCAGCACTAAATAAGTTTTCCTTGCCACCAAAAAACGTCCCCAGAGGCAAAAGGTATGGAAGTACTACATTTCATAGCTCCCCTTCCTCGAAGACACAAAATTAAATACAAAGACACTAAGAATCCCGACCCAAATCCTTTAAGCATATGTAAAAGATCTACAGAAAGGCTAAATTGGGGGTGCTTTTTGGTTTTACAAGACAATTCACAGTAACACTGGCAATTTTAAAAGGGTGCATTTAAAGTACTTAAGCTTCCCCTAATTACTGAATAAAATAGGTCAGCATTTGTATTTCCCAACATCCTATTAAGAATAATTACAGTAGTCTACCATTCCTCTATATGCCTTCATTTTTTAAAAAATCCATAATCTTCCAATCCTCAGAATTCTGGCCGCAGAGGATAACTTACAGCACCTCTTTCTCAAGCCAGCAATCCCTTTTCCTAGTCCTTATGGGGTAAGAAACAGGCACTCCTTTCCCTTCAAACTAACCCAGGGGCCTGGGAAAGGGCAAAGCAAGCTGAAACAATGTCACCAGAACTTGGACCTAGAAACCAGAGCCAAGAAGGATGACATAACACTAGAGCGTTCCGCTTCTGCAAAATGTCTATCATTCTCTCCACTGCCTGCTCTCAGCAGCTCACACAAACGCCACAAAGATTGGGAGAAGGCAGTACAGCACTAGTATTCATTTGTATCAAGAAAGAGCAATTCACTTCATTACTCCGAGCGTCCGTTGTAGCCTGCTCCATCCAGAGGACCGGAGGCAGACTCAAGCAAGAAGGATGAAAAGAAAGAGCTGATGCTGCTATGAAGTGACCCCCTAGATGGGGACGTGAGCAGTGTCCCTTGTGACTCTTGGAACATCCAAATCGCTGCAATAAACAGCCGGGCCAGCAGGACAGCCTCTCCCACGCTGGGGACAGCCCGGAGCCCGCAGCCTAGTGGCTGACTTTCCTTCCGCTAAGTGGATGGGCGCCGGGGGGCGTTATTTACACCATTCCAAAATCTGGAACCTGGGGGTGTAGTTGTGGGTGAAAGAACGCCTAAGCAAAGTGGAAAAAAAATCCTTGAAAATTGATTCAAAACACAGAGCGTGGCTACTTTATTCTTCTGTAGTATGAGAAATTTCTTTTTCTTTTTCTTTTTTAGGACCACTGCAGCGGGATCTTGCAGTAGGGGAGAGAGAGTGGATTAACTCCCTGAGAAATTTCTCTCATGAAAGAAATCTATTACCATACAATAAGAAGCTCAAGATTTATTATTTAGGGGGGTAAAGGGGTCAATGTTGCGTTCATATGACTACTCTGACATCAAAAACTATTTTTGGATGAGATAGAGCATATTATGCAATTCTACAATGTATTTTTTTTTTTACAAGAGTAATCTTTAAAAAGAACTGGAGCTGGTCCAAGCGATTTCACCGACACAGAAGCCACGTTGTGCCCCCTCAATCCACCGCTCCCAGATACCCTGCAGTGTGAGGGATCATTCAAGAACCGCCGTCTCCCCAGACCCGCGTGCACAGCGCGGCGCGTCCACTGAGCCGGTCTAGGCTCGCAGGAGGCGCTGCCACTGCGAGGCCGAAACGAGTGTCCCGGAAAACGCCGGCCCGGCCAGGCGTTCTGCCGCTATTCGCTGACCGACTGGCACACCAGCCCATGCAACTTAGCGCTAAAGACCGGTAGCCTGGGGAATGACATTCACGGGGGGAATCCGAACCCCATTCCCGCGACGCGGGGACGCCAACGTGCGACGCCCTGCCGGCCCGCCCCTTCCTGCCCACCCACTGCCAACTGCCCCAGAGCACGGGCGAGAGCGCGGCATATAGGGCAAAGGCAGAGCTCACCGCTTCAGCGAGTCCAAAACCTGCGGTGCCCCGGCAGTCGCGGAATCCGGGCTCTGCGCGGCAGCCTGGGCTGCCGCCGGGGTGGTATTCCCGGCAGGAACGCCGTCCCGGGGCATCGCAGACGGCGCGCGCGGCTCTCTACGCGCCTCACACGCCTTGCACGCCGCCGCTTGAGCCTCAAGGCGCAGGACTCCGTGCGGCGGGACCCGCCCACCCCCGAGGCCAGCCAATGGACGCGGAGCGCGGGAAGCCGGGGGCGGGGCCCAGCTCCTCCCCTGCAGCCGAGCAACGCAGCAGGCTCCGCGGTCCTGCGCTCGCGCCCGCCCCACCAGGAGCGGTCTGGGATTGGGGGAGCACATTCCTCAAATAGAAGGTCTGTGAGGCCTAAGGTGTTCGGCACGCGCTGCTGCTTTTGCGGGAGTCTTTCTGTCCTTTTTAAGACTAATAATTTCTTCGCCTGCTGTTTACAGAACACCTATTTAGGGCCAGCCACAGTGCTTGGGGACACATGGAAATAGGAAAAAGCTTCCACTTAGAGGATCTCCCAGTCATTCCGGTGGATGAGCAGATATGAAAACAGGTAATTAGGGGAGCCCACATAAGGCACATTCCAACGTCAAAAAACGTGTAGGGGTGGCGCCTGCCTGTGGTCCCAGGATGAACCTGTTTTGGATTAGGACACACCCCAGAGGACAACTTCGCTATTTCTGTGTCCACCTCACCTAAACCTGGCAAAGCAGGCACACGGGGAGGAGTCCAGACAGGTGACAGGAAACTATTTTCTGATTTAAGGAACACGGAAAAAGGAACAAGGGAAAAAGTGAGAAAAACTTGGGAGGCTGAGGCAGGAGGCTGAGGCGGGAGGCTGCAATGAGCCATGATCGCACCACTTCACTCCAGCCCGGTGTCTTAAAAAAAAAAAAAGCCTTGTTGTGATATGGGGCAGGGTGTGGGGCACGAGGAGATTTCGGCCAGAGGACAACTAAGAGATTTGTTACCCTGGAATTCTGGTGGCCGTTATTCGCAATGGAGAACAATGCACGTTCATTTTCTTTTTTTCTTCAACTTTTAAGTTCAGGAGTACATGTGCAGAACGTGCAGGTTTGTTATATCGATATACATGTGCCATGGTGGTTTGCTGCACCTACCAACCCATCGTCTAGGTTTTAAGCCCTGCATGCATTAGGTATTTGTCCTAATGCTCTCCCTCCCCTTGCCCCCCACCCCCCCAACAGATCCCAGTGTGTGTTGTTCCCCTCCCTGTGCCCATGTGTTCTCAATATTCAACTCCCACTTATGAGCGAGAACATACAGTGCTTGGTTTTCTGTTCCTGTGTTAGTTTGCTGAGGATGATGACTTCCAGCTTCATCCATGTCCCTGCAAAGGATATGATCTCATTCTTTTTTATGGTTGCATAGTATTCCATGGTGTATATGTTACCACATTTTCTTTATCCGGTCTATCATCGATAGGCATTTGGATTGGTTCCATGTCTTTGCTATTGTAAATAATGCTGCAGTAAACATACGTGTGCATGTGTCTTTATAGCAGAATGACTTATATTCCTTTGGGTATATACCCAGTAATGGGATTGTGAGTCAAATGGTATTTCTGGTTCTAGATCCTTGAGGAGTTGCCACACTGTCTTCCACAATGGCTGAACTAATTTACATTCCCACCAACAGTGTTGTGTGATCTTATTTCTGAGTTCTTTATTCTGGCCCATTGGTCTATGTGTCTGTTCTTGTACCAGTACCATGCTGTTTTGGTTACTGTAGCCTTGTAGTACAGTTTGAAGTCAGCTAATGTGATGCCTCCAGCTTTTTTTTTTTTTTTTTTTTTTTTTTTGCTTAGGATTGTCTTGGCTATTTGGGCTCTTTTGGTTCTGTATGAATGTTAAATAGTTTTTCTAATTCTGTGAAGAATGTCAATGGTAGTTTAATGGGAGTAGGGCAGTATGGCCTTTTTCACAATATTGATTCTTCCTATCCATGAGCATGGAATGTTTCTCCATTTGTTTGTGTCCTCTCTGATTTCTTTGAGCATTGGTTTGCAGTTCTCCTTGAAGAGGTCCTTCACTTCCCTTGTTAGCTGTATTCCTAGGTATTTTATTCTTTTTGTAGCAATTGTGAATGGGAGTTCATTTATGATTTGGCTCTCAGCTTGCCTGTTATGGGTGTATAGGAATGCTATCAATTTTTGCACATTGATTTTGTATCCTGAGACTTTGCTGAAGTTGCTTATCAGCTTAAGAAACTTTGGGGCTGAGACAATGGGGTTTTCTAGATATAGGATCATATCATCTGCAAACAAAGATAATTTGATTTCCTCTCTTCCTATTTGAATACTCCTTATTTCTTTCTCTTGCCTAACTGACCTGGCCAGAACTTCCAAAACTATGTTGAATAGGAGTGGTGAGAGAGGGCAGCTTGTCTTGTGCTGCTTTTCAAGGGAATGCTTCCAGCTTTTGCCCATTCGGTAGGGTATTGGCCATGGGTTTGTCATATATGGCTCTTATTATTTTGAGGTGTTTCTTCAATACCTAGTTTATTGAGAGTTTTTAACATGAAGGAATGTTGAATTTTATCAAAGGTCTTTCTGCGTGTAGTTTTCGTCTTTAGTTCTGTTTATGTGTTGAATCACATTTATTGTTTTTTGTATGTTGGACCAACCTTGCATCCCAGGGATGAAGCCTACTTGATCGTTGTGGATAAGCTATTTGAAGTGCTGCTGAATTCAGTTTGCTAGTTTTTTTTGTTTTGTTTTGTTTTGTTTTGTTTTGTTTTGTTTTGGAGAAAGAGTCTTGCTCTGTCACCGAGGCTGGAGTGCAGTGATGCAATCTCAGCTCACTGCAGCCTCCACCTCCCAGGTTCAAGCGATTCTCCTGCTTCATCCTCCTGAGTAGCTGGGATGACAGACGTGCACCACCATGTATGACTAATTTTTTGCATTTTTAGTGGAGATGGGGTTTTGCCATGTTGGCCAGGCTGGTCTGGAACTCCTGACCTCAAGTGACCTGCCTGTCTTGGCATCCCAAAGTGCTGGGATTACAGGCATGAGCCACCATGCCCAGCCCAGTTTGCCAGTATTTTATTGAGGATTTTTGCATCGATGTTCATCAATGTTTCCTTTTTTGTTGTGTCTCTGCCAGGTTTTGGTATCAGGATGATGCTGGCCTCATAGAATGAGTTAGGGAGGAGTCCCTCCTTTTCAATTTTTTGGAATTGTTTCAGTAGAAATGGTACCAGCTCTTCTTTGTTCCTCTGGGAGAATTCAGCTGTGAATCCATCTGGTCCTGGGCTTTTTTGGGTTCGTAGGCTATTTATTACTGCCTTAATTTCACAACTTGTTATTGGTCTATTCAGGGATTCAATTTCTTCCTGGTTCAGTCATGGGAGGGTGTATGTGTCCAGGAATTTATCCATTTCATCTAGACCTCCTAGTTTATGTGCATAGAGGTGTTTATAGTATTCTCTGATGGTTGTTTGTATTTCTGTGGGGTCAGTGATATCCCCCTTATCTTTTCTGATTGTGTTTATTTGATTCTTCTCTCTTTTCTTCTTTATTAATCTAGCTAGTGGTGTTATTAATTTTTTCAAAAACCAGCTCCTGGATTTATTGATTTTTTTTTTAGAAGGTTTTTTATGTCTCTATCTCCTTCAGTTCAGCTCTGATCTTGGTTATTTCTTGTCTTCTGCTAGCTTTGGGGTTTCTTTGCTCTTGGTTCTCTAGTTCTTTTAGTTGAGATGTTAGGTTGTTAACTTGAGATCTTTCTAGCTTTTTGATGTGGGCATTTAGCACTAAACATTTCCCTCTTAACACTCTTTTAGCTGCATCCCAGAGATTCTGGTACATCATCTCTTTGTTCTCATTAGTTTCAAAAAATTTATTGATTTCTGCCTAATTTTATTATTTACCCAAGAGTCATTCAGGAGCAGGTGTTCAATTTCCATGTAGTTGTGTGGTTTGAAGTGAATTTCTTAATTTTGAGTGCTAATTTGATTGCGTTATGGTGTGAGAGACTGTTATGACTTCAGTTCTCTTGCATTTGCTGAGAAGTGTTTTACTTCCAATTGTGTGATCAATTTTAGAGTAACTGCCATGTGGCACTGAGAAGAATGTATATTCTATTGTTTTTGGGTGGAGAGTTTTGTAGATATCTATCAGGTCCTTTAGATCCAGAGCTGAGTTCAGGTCCTGAATACCTTTGTTAATTTTCTCTCTCAATGATCTGTCTAATATTGTCAGTGGGGTGTTAAAGTCTCCCATTACTATCGCATGGAGTTTAAGTCTCTTTGTACGTCTCTAAGAACTTGCTTTATGAATCTGAGTGCTCCTGTATTGGGTGCATATATATTTAGGATAGTCAGCTCTTCTAGTTGCATTGAACCCTTTACCATTATGTAATGCTCTTCTTTGTCTTTTTTGACATTTACTGGTTTAAAGTCTGTTTAGTCAGAAACTAGGATTGCGACCCTTGCCTTTTTCTGTTTTCTATTTGCTTGGTAAATTTTCCTCCATCCCTTTATTTTGAGCCTATGTATGTCTTTGCACATGAGATGGATCTCTTGAAGAAAGCATACCAATGGATCTTGCTCTTTATACAGCTTGCCATTCTGTGTCTTTTAATTGGGGCCATTTAGCCCATTTACATTTAAGATTAGTATTGTTACATGTGAATTTGATCCTGTCATCACGATGCTAGCTGGTTATTTTGCAGCCTTGTTTATCTGGTTGCTTTATAGTGTCACTGGTCTGTGTATTTCAGTGTGTTTTTGTAGTGGCTCGTAATGGTTTTTGCTTTCCATATTTAGGGCTTCCTTTAGGAGCTCTTGGAAGGTAGGCCTGGTGGTGACAAATTCCCTCAGCATTTGCTTGTCTAAAAAGGATCTTATTTCTCCTTCACTTATGAGGCTTACTTTGGTTGGATATGAAATTCTGGGTTGGAAATTCTTTTCTTTAAGAATATTGAATATTGGCCCCCAATCTCTTCTGGCTTGTAGGGTTTCTGCTGAGAGGTCAGCTGTTAGTCTGTTAGTCTGGTCACCTTTGTAAGTGATCTGGCTTTCTTTTTTTTTTTGAGATGGAGTCTGGCTCTGTTGCCCAGGCTAGAATACAGTGGTGCAATCTCGGCTCACTGCAAGCTCCATCTCCTGGGTTCACACCATTCTCCTGCCTCAGCCTCCCAAGTAGCTGGGACTACAGGTGCCCGCCACCACACCCAGCTAATTTTTTGTATTTTTAGTAGAGACAGGGTTTCACCATGTTAGCCAGGATGGTCTCGATCTCCTGACCTCGTGATCCACCCGCCTTGGCCTCCCAAAGTGCTGGGATTACAGGCTTGAGCCACCGCGCCCAGCCATGATCTGGCCTTTCTCCTGGCTGCTCTTAACATTTTTTCTTTAATTTCAACCTTGGAGAATCTGATGATTATGTATCTTGGGGTTGATGGTCTCATGGAGTATTTTACTGGGGCTCTCTGCATTTACTGAATTTGAATGTTGGCCTGTCTTGCCAGGTTGGAGAAGTTCTCCTGGTTGATATCCTGAAGTTGGTTTTCTAACTTGGTTCCATTCTCCCCATCTCTTTCAGGTACCCCAATCATTTATACGTTTGGTCTCTTTACATAATCCTATATTTCTCAGAGGTTTTGTTCATTCCTTTTCATGCTATTCTGCTATTGATACTTGTGGTTGCATTGTGAAGTTCTTATGTTGTGTTTTTCAGCTTCATAAGATCAGTTATGATCCTCTCTAAACTGGCTATTCTGGCTATCAGCTTCTGTATTGTTTTATCACGATCTTAGTTTCTTTGCATTGGTTACAACATGCTCCTTTAGCTCAGCAAAGTTCATTATTACCCTCCTTCTGAAGCCTACTTTTGTCAATTCAGTTATCTCAGCCTCAGCCCAGTTCTGTGCCCTTGCTGGAGGGTGTTGTAGTCATTTGGAGGAGAGGCATTCTGGCTTTTTGAGTTTTCAGTGTTTTTGCATTGATTCTTTCTCATCTTTGTGGGCTTATCTGCCTTCGATCTTTGAGGTTGCTGGCCTTTGAATGGGGTTTTTGTGGAGTCTTTTTTGTTGATGTTGTTGTTGTTTTCTGTTTGTTTGTTTGTTTTACTTTTAATAACCAGGCCACTCTACCAAAGGGCTGCTGTGGTTTACTGGGGGTCTGCTCGAGACCCTAGTTGCCTCAGTTTTTCCCATACCTGGAAGTATCACCAGTGAAGGATACAAAACAGCAAAGATGGCAACCAGCTCCTTCCTCTGGAAGCTCCATCCCAGGGGAGTACTGACCTGTTGCCTGCCCCAACATACCTGTAAGAGGTGGCTGGAGACCCCTGTTGAGAGGTCTCACCCAGTCAAGAGGAACGGGATCAGGGACCCGCTTAAAGAAGCAGTCTGGGCCGGGCACGGTGGCTCACGCCTGTAATCCCAGCACTTCGGGAGGCTGAGGTGGGCGGATCACGAGGTCAGGAGATCGAGACCATCCTGGCCAATATGGTGAAACCCTGTCTCTACTAAAAATACAAAAATTAGCCCGGCATGGTGGTGCATGCCTGTAATCCCAGCTACTCAGGAGGCTGAGGCAGGAGAATCGCTTGAACCCAGAAGGTGGAGGTTGCAGTGAGCTGAAATTGCGCCACTGCACTCCAGCCTGGTGACAGAGCTAGACTCCATTTAAAAAAAAAAAAAAAAAAGAAGCAGTCTGGCTGCTTTTTGGTAGAGTAAGTGTACTGCATTGGGGGGACCCTTCCTCATCCAGATCATTTGTAGTCTTTTGGCCAGCAGGCTGGAACGGCTGAGTCAACCAAACCACAGAGATGGCAGCTGCCCCTCCCCATGGGAGCTCCATCCCAAAGAGGGATGAGAGTTCTATTTTAGAACCCTGGCTGGAGTGTCTGAAGCCCCTGGAGGGAGATCCCGCCCAATGAGGAGGAATGGATCAGAGTCCTGATTAAAGAAGCAGTCAGACCACAATCTAGCAAGGCCGCTGTGCTGCGTTGTGGAGGACCCTTCCTCGTTCGGACTATTTGTATTCTTCAAAGCCATTAGGCTGGAACAGCTGAGTCTGCTACTGAACTGCAGAGATGGCGGCCGCCCCTCCCTCTCTGGAACCCAGACCCATCTCAGGCAGATTCCAGCCTGTTGCCATTGGCTGGCTGGAATTCCAAGCCAGTGGGTCTTAACTTGTGGGGTACGATGGAAGTGGGACCCACAGAATGATGCTGATTGGCTTCCTGCATTCAGCCCCCTTCCCAAGGAGATGTAGGGAGGGATTTCCCACCTTGCCAGGGATCCCGGGGCTGGAGTATGTAAAACTCCCTAGTCTCTGTGTGTGCCTCAGCTGCTGCTCTGCCAAGATTCCACACAGCTCTCTGCTTTGGACCCAAGGCCCAGGTGGCATGGGCTCAGGAGGGGAACTCCTGATCCATGGGGTTGCAAAGATCTGTGAGAGAAGCGTGGTTTCCCAGGCAGGGTCGCACAATCACTCACTACTTCCCTTGGCTGGGGATGGGGGTTCCCTTGGCTCCCTGTAGCTCCCAGATGGGGTGTCGTCCCCTGCCCCCTGCTTTTCTTCATTCTCCGTGGGTAGAGTTATTTGCCTAGTTAGTCCCAATGCAAGAACCTGGATATTTAAGTTGAAGGTGCTGAATTCACTCGCGCCTTTACATTCCCTTCAGTGAGTGCTGTGGACTGCAGCTCCTTCTAATCGGCCATCTTGCAACAGCTTTCAAATCTTTCAGTCTTATATCCACATGTCATTTTCTTTTCCTTTTTTTTTTGTACAGAAGACTAGATAATATGCATGACATGGTTAAAATTTTCAATTGTGTCAAAAATATATGCAGTGAAAAGACAGTTTTCATCCTCCACTGCCTCCTGCCCCCAGCTTTCTTTCCTCTTAGACTACCACTGTTGACCAGTTTCTTGCATATCCTTTCAAAGACATTCCATGGGTTAAGAAAAATTATAAATGTATATATGTATGTATTGACTATATTGTAAGGTACGGACTTAAAACATTCCATATATGTTACCAAATTAATATCCATATATAGTTCATGTCAGTTGTGGCTCCCATAACAATTTGTCAGGACCACTGTTTCAACACGTCTCTATACAGTACATTATCAAATTTAATTTTTAATTTTCTATTCAGTTGTTGGTCTTTTTAAAAATTGTAGTGCATAGATATGTATACATGCATATATATATATATAAAATAATGAAAGTAGTCCAATATGAATAAATTACTTATCTTTTACCCCCTTTGTCTTTTGGCTTGTTTACTGTATTTTTGCAGTGAATTATTATTATTATTATTATTATTGCAACAGGGTCTCACTCTGTCACCCAGGCTGGAGTGTAGTGGCAGCCACAGCTCACTGCAGCCTCAACCTCAGGGGCTCAGGTGATCATCCCTCCTCAGCCTTCCAGGTAGCTGGGACTACAGGCATGTGCCACCATGCCAGGCTAATCTTTTGTAGAGACAAGGTTTTGCAGTGTTGCCCAGGTTGGTCTCAAACTCCTGGACTCAAGCAATTGGCCCACCTTGGCCTACCAAAGTGCTGGAATTACAGGCATGAGCCACCATGCCTGGCTGAATTATTTTTGATTTTCATATAGTCACATTACTTTTTCTAACTTTCTAGGGTTTTTTGTTGTTGCTTTTACTCTTTCCTAGAAAGGCTATCATATCCCCAAGATTTAAAAAAATTCTCCTATGGTAGCATCTAGTCTGCTTGATATCTATATGGTTATAGTATATAATATACTGTATGTATATGTGTATATATATGTGTATATATGTGTATATATATACACACACACCAATATACTATATAATGCAAATAATCTATTATAGAAATAATATCTGTTATGACAAAGAAATAAATTAGGGCCGGGCATGGTGGCAGCAGTTTGGGAGGCTAAGGTGGATGGATCACTTGAAGCCAGGAGTTCAAGACAGTGAAACAAAAACCACATGATTATCTCAATAAATGCAGAAAAGGCCTTTGACAAAATTCAACAACCTTCATGCTAAAAACTCTCAATAAACTAGGTATTGATGGGACGTATCTCAAAATAATGAGAGCTATCTATGACAAACCCACAGCCAATATCATACTGAATTGACAAAAACTGGAAGCATTCCCTTTGAAAACTGGCACAAGACAGGGATGCCCTCTCTCACCACTCCTATTCGACGTAGTGTTGGAAGTTCTGGCCAGGGCAATCAGGCAGGAGAAGGAAATAAAGGGCATTCAATTAGGAAAAGAGGAAGTCAAATTGTCCCTGTTTGCAGATGACATGATTGTATATCTAGAAAACCCTGTTGTCTCAGCCCAAAATCTCCTTAAGCTGATAAGCAACTTCAGCAAAGTCTCAGGATACAAAATCAATGTGCAAAAATCACAAGCATTCTTATACACCAATAACAGACAAACAGCCAATTCACGAGTGAAATCCCATTCACAATTGCTTCAAAGAGAATAAAATACCTAGGAATCCAACTTACAAGGGATGCAAAGGACCTCTTCAAGGAGAACTACAAACCACTGCTCAATGAAATAAAAAAGGATACAAACAAATGGAAGAACACTCCATGCTCATGGGTAGGAAGAATCAATATCATGAAAATGGCCATACTGCCCAAGGTAATTTATAGATTCAATGCCATCCTCATCAAGCTACCAATGACTTTCTTCACAGAATTGGAAAAAAGTACTTTAAAGTTCATATGGAACCAAAAAAGAGCCTGCATTGCCAAGTCAATCCTAAGCCAAAAGAACAAAGCTGGAGGCATCACGCTACCTGACTTCAAACTATACTACAAGGCTACAGTAACCAAAGCAGCATGGTACTGGTACCAAAACAGAGATACAGACCAATGGAACAGAACAGAGCCCTCAGAAATAATGCCACGTATCTACAACTATCTGATCTTTGACAAACCTGACAAAAACAAGTGATGGGGAAAGGATTCCCTATTTAATAAATGGTGCTGGGAAAACTGGCTAGCCATATGTAGAAAGCTGAAACTGGATCCCTTCCTTACACCTTATACAAAAATTAATTCAAGATGGATTAAAGACTTACATGTTAGACCTAAAACCATAAAAACCCTAGAAGAAAACCTAGGCAATACCATTCAGGACATAGGCATGGGCAAGGACTTCATGTCTAAAATACCAAAAGCAATGGCAACAAAAGCCAAAATTGACAAATGGGATCTAATTAAACTAAAGAGCTTCTGCACAGCAAAAGAAACTACCATCAGAGTGAACAGGCAACCTACAGAATGGGAGAAAATTTTTGCAACCTACTCATCTGACAAAGGGCTAATATCCAGAGTCTACAATGAACTCAAACAAATTTACAAGAAAAAAACAACCCCATCAAAAAGTGGGCAAAGGATATGAACAGACACTTCTCAAAAGAAGACATTTATGCAGCCAAAAAGCATGAAAAAATGCTCATCATCACTGGCCATCAGAGAAATGCAAATCAAAACCACAATGAGATACCACCTCACACCAGTTAGAATGGCGATCATTAAAAAGTCAGGAAACGACAGGTGCTGGAGAGGATGTGGAGAAATAGGAACACTTTTACACTGTTGGTGGGACTGTAAACTAGTTCAACCATTGTGGAAGTCAGTGTGGCGATTCCTCAGGGATCTAGAACTAGAAATACCATTTGACCCAGCCATCCCATTACTGGGTATATACCCAAAGGATTATAAATTATGCTGCTATAAAGACACATGCACATGTATGTTTATTGTGGCACTATTCACAATAGCAAAGACTTGGAACCAACCCAAATGTCCAACAATCATAGACTGGATTAAGAAAATGTGGCACATATACACCACAGAATACTATACAGCCATAAACAATGATGAGTTCATGTCCTTTGTAGGGACATGGATGAAGCTGGAAACCATCATTCTAAGCAAACTATCACAAGGACAAAAAACCAAACACCGCATGTTCTCACTCATAGGTGGGAATAGAACAGTGAAAACACATGGACACAGGAAGGGGAACATCACACACCGGGGACTGTTGTGGGGTGGGGGGAGGGGGGAGGGATAGCATTAGGAGATATACCTAATGTAAATGACGAGTTAATGGGTGCAGCACACCAACATGGCACATGTATACCTATGTAACAAGCCTGCACGTTGTGCACATGTACTCTAAAACTTAAAGTATAATAATAATAAAATTTTAAAAAATGACAGTGAAACATGATGAAACCCCGTCTCTACTAAATGCACAAAAATTAGCCAGGTGTAGTGGTACATGCCTGTAATCCCAGCTACACAAGAGGCTGAGGCAGGAGAATTGCTTGAACCTGGAGGCAGAATTTGCAGTGAGCCAGAGTTCGCACCACCACACTCCAGCCTGGGTGATAGAGCAAAATTCTCTCTTAAAGAGAAAGAGAGAAAGAGAGGAAGAGAGGGAGGGAGGAAGGGAAGGAGGGGAGGAGGGAAGGAAGAAAGGAGGGAAGGAAAGAAGGAAGGAAGGAAAAGAAAGGGAGGGAGAGGAAGGAAGGAAGGAAGGAAAGAAAGAAAGAAAGAAAGAAAGAAAGAAAGAAAGAAAGAAAGAAAGAAATAAATAAATAAATAAATAAATCAGGGCAAAGGATTTGAATAGCCAGTTCTATAAATGCCAATAAGCACATGAAAGGTGCACAACATTACTAGCCATCAAGTAAATGCAAATCAAGACCATAATGAGATACTACTTCACAGCCACTAGAATGGCTATAATAAAAAAGATAGATAGTAACTAGTGTTGGCAAGCGTATAGACTGAATTGTATCCCCCTAAGATTCCTGTTTTGAAGCTGTAACCCCCAATGTGACTACATTTGAATATTGGCCCTTTAGACAAGTACTTAAGGTGAAATCAGGTCATAAAAGTGAGACCCTAATCCAAAATGACTGGTATCTTCATGAGAGGAGGAAGAGACACTAGGGATATTTGCACAGAGAAAAGGCTATGCGAGGACACAATGAGAAGGCAGCCATCTGCAAGCCAAGGAAAGAACTCCTGGGAGAAACCAAACCTTCTCATACCTTGATCTTGGATTTCTAGTTTCCAGAATTGTGAGCAAATACATTTCTGATGTTTAAGCCACCCAGTCTGTGGTATTTTGTTTTGGCAGCCCTTGCAAACTAATACAGCAAGAATGTGGAGAAATTGGGACCCTTATATACCACTGGTGGGATTGTAAAATGGTACCACCACTTTGAAAAATAGTCTGGTAGTTACTGAAACAGTTAAACATAGAGTTACCATATGACCCGGCAATCTTTGGGATAATGAAATGTTGTAAAATTGTGGTGATATTTGTACAACTCTCTGAATATACTAAAATTCATGGAATTGTACACTTTCAATGGAGGAACTGTATTTGAATTATATCTTGATAAAGGTGTTAAAATCAATACCCAGATTTTACTGAACAAGGGTCAAAGTATATGTGTAGGCTGGGCACGGTGGCTCATGCCTGTAATCCCAGCACTTTGGGAGGCGGAGGCAGGTGGATCACCTGAGGTCAGGAGTTCGAGACCAGCCTGGCCAACATGGTGAAACCCCGTCTCTACTAGATACAAAAAATTAGCTGGGCATGGTGGCACATGCCTGTAATCCCAGCTACTTGGGAGACTGAGGCAGGAGAATCTCTTGAACCTCGGAGGCAAAGGTTGCAGTGTGTCGAGATTACACCATTGCACTCCAGCCTGGGCGACGAGCAAAACTCTGTCTCACAAACCAAACAAACAAAACAAAACATATGTGTAAATAGTTCACACATGAAGAAACTCAGAAAAGTTAATTTTGGGGAAATTATTAGCCTTGCTGCAGTGCTAATTGAAAATTAAAAAAGAGAATATTGATGGAGTTAAATTGAGAAAATTATTTATTAGAACAACTTTTCAAGAGTGCTGTAGCAAAGCACACGATCTATGAAATCGTTTATTTTCAGCTCATAATCTACATTTGGGATTATAGTCAAAACTATTCAAATACCCAATAACTGGGAAGATACGTATTAAAGTAGCAAACATGGGCTATATTATAATAATAAATGGGAAATTATGTATAAGATAATGAGAAAAGTAGAATACTAACTAGTTTGCAAATGTGATGACTGTACATAAATAAGTCTACATTGTTGAATATAATGAAGAGAAATTAGTAAGACATGGTACCAGAATTCTTCTTAGGGAGAAAAAAAAAACTGTCTTTATTTGGGAAAATACCCTGATAAGCTGTTTCGGGTATAAAATGACACTCTGAAAATATGGGTACGAGCGGAAGCCCTGGCAACACAAGAAAAACTGCCCTGCCTGAACCCCGAGAGAAATTAATTTTTCCCCCTGAGAGAAAGAAAAATAAAGTGGTGAGAAGAGATGAGCCAAGCAAGGAGGAGAGGGGAGAGACAAGTCAAGGGGAGAAGTCTGGGTGGTACATAGAATTAAGGAATAATGGGAATCTCTGGGGAAAGGGTAAAAAAATTGACCTTTTATAGAACAAGAGTGTCTAATATACAAATTTAAAGTTATTTTTCCAAATCTTAAAATCTCACTAAAACTTTATGTGAATGGGGTTTTGTAGAAACTGAGGGAAAGGCTCATGTTGAGGTGGTTGGAACAGTGAAAAGACAGTGCTCATAAAAGTAGGGGCTCAGGAGTAGAAAGGACAGAAGAAAATAAGCCCCTCAGAAATTACTGGTAATTGGCCAGGCACAGCAGCTCATGCCTATAATCCCAGCACTTTGAGAGGCTGAGGTGGGTGGATCACTTGAGTCCAGGAGTTTGAGACCAGCCTGGGCAACATGTTGAAATGCCCTCTACAAAAAAGTTGGCCAGGCACATGTCTATAGTCCTAGCTACTAGGGAGGCTGAAGTGGGAGGATTGATTGAGCCAGCAAGGTTGAAGCTGCAGTGAGCTGAGATCATACCACTGCACTACAGCCTGGGTGACAGAAACCCCGTCTCAAAAAAAAAAAAAAAAAAGAAATTACTAGTGATGCTAATCTTTGAAGGGCTATGGACACCCACATTGGATGTCCGGATGACCTTATTTTGATTGCAAAGGGGAGGGAGGGTCTGGCTGACATTTTCCTTACATAAGGATAAGAAGATAACATGATGTAAATGTAGGTGTTTTAAGTTTATGAGAGGCTTAAATGTATGAATTTTTGTTAAAAAATGTCCATTTGTTCTAACAACATTGATTCCCAACTACTAACTAAAACAGAATGAATGGATCCTGGTTAAGCTCCTGTCTCAGTGAAATCCAGTGGACATGATTCAAGTGTACCTGTATGATGGGTAGGAGAAATGGAAATGAATATGTAAAATGTAATAATTTATACTCTTTCTTAGCAGTAAGGTTGGAAGGAATTTAGGTGAGATCATCCAAATTTAGAGAAATCATCCTTTTATTATTTTTTTTTTGAGACAGGATCTTACTCTGTTGCCCAGGCTAGAGTGCAATGGTGTGTGCACAGCTCACTGTAGCTTTGACCTCCCAGGCTCACTTGATCCTCCCACCTCGGCCTCCTGAGTAGCTGGGACTATAGGTGCATGCCACCACGCCCAGCTCATTTTTGTATTTTTTTATAGAGATGGGGTTTTGCCATGTTGCCCAGGCTGGACTCGAACTCCTGGGCTCAAGCGATGTGCCTGCCTTGGCCTTCCAAAGTGCTGGGATTATAGGCATGAGCCACCATGCCCAGCTAGGAAAATCATTCTAATGCATTTTATGTTGAAGTGTTACTAGAGCAAAAATATGGTCAAATATTCAAGAAGGCTGGTATGTGATAAAGTTCAAAAGAATGAATGTGTCAATAGCACTTTCATGGAGTGTTTAGAAGTTCTTAATTGCCCAGCTCCAGAATTCATGACTTCCATTGACCTGGCCAGAGGAGGATTACTAAACAGTCCTAATTTACAGATGGCAGGTCTGTGGCACAGGGCCTAGAAGTGATTTCCCAAGGTTATAGAGCAAGCCAAAGGGTGAGATGAAAATAGAACTGTACCTCACACTCCCATGCAGCTATATGATAACTTGTGTACTGTCAGCAAAGAGTTGTGGAATGAATGTCCTGGACAGGTTAGCATAGATTTATGGCTAAAGGAGTCTTGCTCAATAATTGCAAATGTTACTTGACAACAGCAAATGACCTACCTAATCTTATAAACAGTAACATCCTGGGCACTTTGGCAAAATCTTCAGAGAAAATAAAATTCCTGTTCGACAATTGAAAAAAATTTTAAATGCACAGCTCCATTGTCATGAAGCTACCACTTTTGTAATGCTTAAGCCTATAGAGATAGTCACCTTCAACCCTCCCCCTCTAAAGACTAAACTTCCAAGTGGTGACTCCTCAACTCTGTAATATCAGCAAACTTATAGGATCTTGCAGAAGTGTCTAAATGTTTTCATAAGTTTAGGATTTTCTAGAGACTAAAGTCTTCACTGGTAATTTTCTGCAAGTCTCCTTACTGAATTAACAGAACTAGAAAGTAGAGTGGAAGAATCTGATAGTGACAGCCTAGGGCTCAGCCACTAAATTTATGTCTCTAGGTAGCCAGGCTATGGAGAGATCGCTCACCTAGCTGTGATGCTTATACCTAGGGATGTTTTAGGAAAACAACAAAAGGTAGGACCACTATTACGTGACTGTTCTCTAGGATGGCTTCTTACGTTGTACTGATCTACTTAATAGATAGGTTAAAATTTCATGTTTTCAGAAGTGTGTTCATCCCATTCCCACTTTTCAGAAAGGATTTTTTTTTTTTTTTTTTTTTTTTTTTTTGAGACACAGTCTTGCTCTTGTCTCCCAGGCTGGAGTGCCATGGCACGATCTCAGCTCACTGCAACCTCTGCCTCCGGGGTTCAAGCCATTCTCCTGCCTCAGCCTCCAGAGTAGCTGGGATTACAGGTGCCCGCCACCACACCCGGCTAATTTTTGTATTTTTAGTAGAGACGGGGTTTGGCCATGTTGGCCAGGCTAGTCTCGAACTCCTGACCTCAGGTGATCCACCAGCCTCAGCCTTTCAAAGTGCTGGGATTACAGGCGTGAGCCACCATGCCCGGCCTCACAAAGGATTTTTAAAAATGATTTCTGTGGGCCGAGATGGCACCACTGCACTCCAGTCTGGGCGACAGAGCAAGACTCCGTCTAAAAAAAACAAAAATAGATTTCTGTGTAAATGGTCTAATACTTTCGGTCCAGCCCTAAGTGAGACTCACAATCACAGGGATTCTGTTTTGTTTTTGTTTGTTTGTTTGTTTGTTTGTTTGTTTTTGAGACAGAGTTTCACTCTTGTTGCTCAGGCTGGAGTGCAATGGTGCGATCTTGGCTCACTGCAAACTCCGCCTTCCAGGTTCAAGCGATTCTTCTACCTCAGCCTCCCGAGTAGCTGGGATTACAGGCATGCACCACCACTCCCGGCTAATTTTGTATTTTTAGTAGAGACGAGGTTTCTCCTTGTTGGTCAGGCTGGTCTCGAACTCCCGATCTCAGGTGATCCACCTGCCTTGGCCTCCCAAAGTGCTGGGATTACAGGTATGAGCCACCGCACCAGCCAGGAATTCTTTACTGCTAGTTTCCTCCCCTTCATATACGGGGCTACACTGTTACTGCTTCTGATCAGTTCTTCAGAGTCATGGTCCTGACCAGAAAATAACATCTGAGGGAACAACAGAAGAAAGAAAATTAGAGGTCCAGCAACTATTTCTCAGCAAGCTGTCACTGACTGGTAAACTGATGATAGAAGTCAGTCCCTTTCCATAGCATAACATCATATCTGAAAGCATCTTAGAGGTCCCATAAAAAGCAGGAACTACAGAACTACTTGGACAAAATGTATGTCAAAAATACCCACCAATAAAATCTGAGTTATTGAAAATGTTACCTTTACAGGCAATATTTTATTAATAAACAAATAACCCAATTATTATGAGGTAAAGGAATAATCCAAACAACCAAATTTGCATGAAACTTTCTGCTCCTTCCATCTCTTCTAGCATAAATATTTTGGCTGCTGCCGTTTTCTTTCCTTTCTAGCATCGCGGTGACATAGGTTAGGAATTTCTGTGTTAAACACACATAAATATGTAGCTTAAATACATTTTGTTGGTCCGGTGTAGTGGCTCACTCCTGTAAGCCTAGTGCTTTGGATGTCAGTGCTTTGGGAGCCTCAAGGGAGGATCCTCAAGGAAGGATCACTTGAGGCCAGGAGTTCGAGATACCAGCTCTACAAAAATAAAAATAAAAAATTAGATGGACATGGTGGTGTTGCACCTGTGGTCCTAGCTATGGGAGGATAGCATAAGCCCAAAAGTTTGAGGCTGCAGTGAGCTAGGATTGTGCCACCGCACTCCAGCCTGGGAGACAAAATGATATCCTGTCTCTAAAATAAATCAATTAGTACATTTTGGATGGGGCATGGATATAGCTTTATTCAGAATGCCTTTTGAGTATTCTTGGTCATTCTACTGTTTGGATTCCGGCAACATACAGGATTCATCTCTGCCAACCAAAATAGAAAGGCCATATTTCACACAGAAGGAAAAAGAAATGTGAAGAAATGCATGGGATCAATAGTTTATCTGGGTTGCCCGTTTTCTCCCTTCTCTTAGTTTGACCCATGCTCTATTTTACTGTCCTGGCTTTTTAGTTAGAACCCTGGTTTAGTAATTTCTGTGTGTACAATTCTAATATATGGACTATTAATATTTTAATTGATTCACGTATTCATTCATCAGTCTATTTACCAACATTTTTGTCAACATAGGGAGCACGAGCTCCTCCTACCCTTAATAAGGCTGCAGTTAAATGGGGGAAATTGTTTGCCACAGTGACAAACACAATGTAAAAATGTATGAAATGCTAAAGGTATGCTTTGGGGTAAGAAAGACTTAAGTTCAAATCCAACTCTGCCATTTATTAACTGAATGATCTCCATCATATTACTCAACTTCATTGAGTTTCAGTTTCACCATCAAGGAAAATGAATGTGGCAGTTATCTTTCAAGATGGCGCTAAATGATGCTGGTATTCATGCCCTTGTGTAATCCTCTTACCTTGAATGTGAGCTGAACCTCGTGACTTGCTTCTAAAAAATAGAATTCTGCAAAAGTGATGGAATGCCACTTCCATGATAGGGATACAAAAGACTGGCTACCTTCTTACTAGATTTTTCTCTATTGCCTTTTTAGCTTATATACTTTGATGAATCAAGCTGTCATTTAGAGAGCCTCGTGGGAAGGACTGAGAGAGGTGTCTAGCCAACAGCCACTGGGCAACTGAATCCTACCAACAACCATGTAAATGGGCTGGGAAGCAAATCTTTCTCAGGCTTGAGATGACCACAGCCCCGGTCGGCACCTTGATTATAGCCTGTGAGTCCCTGAAGCAGAACCAGCTAAGTCAGCCCAGATTCCCAACCCACAGAAACTCTGAGGTAATAAATGTTTAAAGCCACTACGTTTTGGGGGTAATTTGTTACACAGCAATAGATAACTAACATAATGGGATTACATATTCCTTACAGAATTATTGTGGGGATCAGAATGTATATAAGAATTAGAATAATGATGATGATGATGGTAATGACAACAGAAATCCCAGCTGAGCTTAAAATAAGGTTCAGAAGTGCTACTATTGTGAAGAAAATATTTTTAGTACTTGACCCCCTGAATACTACAAGAAAGATGAAGGTATAGGGAGCAGGGTAATATTGCATTTCTCACTCAGGACCAAACTGACTGATAGAAAGGGGCTTGTGAGCAAAAACCAAAGTAGCAGTTTTATGAGACTCAGTGAAAAAGAAATGTTGCTTGGGAGCCCAGGTGACAAAGTTTGACAAAGAATTTGGAAGAGGGCTCTTCTCCCACTTCTGCTCAATTTGGAGGCTAGCTACCGCTATGTTTGTGATAGGTGAAGAGGAGACCATGGGAAGGAGCATAAGCATGCTGGATTTGGGGCAGCTTCTGGAAAGGTAAGCTGAGGACCTACATCACTGTAAGCCAATGAAACTGAGAAGATAAGTGTCTTATAGGATATGCAGAGTTTTGACAAAGAAGGGTGAACTGAGGGAATAGCACACCAAAGATTCAGAGCTGTGAACATAAATTATTTCCTTAGGGAAAAGCAAGTGGTCTTGTGTGACCAGAGAAAGAAGTACAAACTAGTGAACACTTCTTGTTCTGATTCTGATTCAGTCCCTAGAGCAGTGATTCTCAAAACTTTTAGGTGTTAGTTTCCCTTTCTAATAATTTTCTTAGAAATTATTGATAGCTTCCAAGAGCTTTTGTTTTGTGGATATCTTTTGAATATTTACCATATTGGAAATGTAAATGGATACATTTTTTAAATATTTAGTTTGCATTCATCTAACAAAAATAAACCCATTACATGTTAACATAAATAAGACATTTTAATGGAAAATACAGTTTCTAAACCACAACCAAAATAAATGAGAAGAGTGACCTTTGACATTTTTTAAAATTACTCTTGTGTCTGGCTTAATAAAAGACATCTGGATTTTCATATTTGTTTCTATATCAATATCTGTTGCAATATCACGTAGCCTCTGGAAAACTGCAGCATACACTTGTGACAGGATGTAAGTGAAAATGGCAAATTGTGTCTTTGTATTATGAAAATAGTTTTGATCTCCCAGACCCCCTGAGAGAGCTTCAGGGACCTGGATCACACTTTGAAAATCACTGCCCTAGAACAAGAGCAGTAGATATTATTCAGGGAAGAAGCCAGAGTTTACTTGTGTAGTAATGATGATGATGATGATAATTAATAATAATAATAACATTGAGAGCTAACATTTATTGGTTGCTTCTAAGCACTCACAAAAACCTGAGAAGTGGTTACAATTATCCTTTACAGATGAGGAAACTGAGGACAAAGACATTAAGTAACTTGCCCAAGTTTACACAGCTAATACGTAATGGTGAAACTCCACACAAATACAGGCAGCCTGGCTCCAAAGCCTGTCCTCTTACCCACTGCACCACCCTGCCTCTCTCACAGACAAAGCCCTGCAGTATAATTGACAAAGGCTTGAGTCATCCTGATCGCCCACCCCTTTTCCCTCCTCTCCTTGCCATTTTCAATTTCAATGCCCCTTTCTTTTTCCCTGCCTGTTTAGGGAACTCATATTTCTCTTCACTCTGCACTAAGTCCTTGTCCATTGCCTGTTGTTCATTATTCCCACCACTCCACAGAAACTGCTCTTGCAAAAGCACCAGTGACCTTATAATTATCAGATTCAATGGCCGCTTATCAGTCCTTGCCATCCTTGCTCTTTGAGATATGGGTTATTACTGACCACTTTCTTTTTTTATTAATATTCTCTCCTGTCTTAGGTATTCTGACACCAGATGCTTCTGTTTCTTTTACTACCTATTCGATAATTTCAGAAAATCCTTTATGGTGGTCTTCTTCTTTGGCCAGTCCCTTAAACATCTTAATTCCCCATTATTTGGTTCTAGGCCCTTCTCATTCTGTATCTTCTCCAACTGCCATGGCATTCACTTCCATAGACTTAATTACTAAATATATACTGTTAAGGTCCAAAGATATTATTTATAGCCCAGGCATCTGTCATATGTCCAAATGATGCCTGGACATATCCTCAGGCACCTCAGAATCAAGACATCCAAATCCTTTTTTTTTTTTTTTTTTTTTTTTTGAGATGGAGTTTCACTCTTGCTGCCCAGACTGGAGTGCAATGGTGTGATCTTGGCTCACCGCAACCTCCACCTCCTGGGTTCAAGCAATTCACCTGCCTCAGCCTCCCGAGTAGCTGGGATCACAGGCATGTGCCACCATGCCCGGCTAATTTTGTATTTTTAGTAGAGACAGGGTTTCTCCATGTTGGTCAGGCTGGTCTTGAACTTCCAACCTCAGGTGATCTGCCCGCCTCAGCCTCCCAAAGTGCTGGGATTTCAGGCATGAGCCATCGTGCCCGGCCCACATCCAAATCTTAATCTATCGTCTCTCTCTTCAAACTGGTCTCTCCTCCTGTGATCTCTGACCTGGGAAATTATACCACCATCCTCCATGAGCCAGACACTTGGGAGTCATTCCAGACTTCTACCTGTCTCATGGTTCTACTGGATCTACCTCTGAAACATTTCTGATAGCTACCTTTTCTTCATTTTCATGGCTACTACCCTAGCTTAGGCCCTCCTCTTCTCCTATCCAGACTATTATACTAGTCTCATTAGTAGTTCACTTCTAGTTCTGGCTCTTGACAGTTCATCCACAGCAACCAGGGTCACCAGTCTGCACAAATATAGGGACCATCATTACCTTGACTCCTACATTATTGGTGCCCCTGGGAGTTGTAGAACCCTGAGGCTTTGTACTATACTACTGTTGAATCCCATGTCTAATTAGGTTACTCCATATCCAGAAACCAATGATTCCCCATTTCCTGAGGAAGCCCAACTCATGGTTAGTGTTCAGTTATTATGCCTGGGTAATAAACTGCTCTAAGCTTAGTGATATAAAACAGCAACCATCTTATTAGATTCATGGATCGTCGGGGTCAGAGATCTGGAAAGGATATGAGGACAGAGTTTGTCTCTGTTTCTTGATGTCTAGGGCCTTACCTGAAAGTATCTCAGCAGATGGTGATTAGGATCATCTGAAGGATCATTCGCTCACAAATCTGGTCCCTGGGCCAGGTGGAGAAGATCAGGACTGCTGACGACAGCACCTATTTGTAGCCTCTCCTTTTGGTTTGGTTTCTTTGTAGCTTGATGGCTTTGAGGTAGAGCATTTCAGAGTTCCAGCTGCAAGTGCTCCAGAGAACAAAGTGGAAGCTATGTCATCATTTAACAGACTCTGAATTTTCAGTGTCACTTCTGCCACATTTTGTTGTTTATAAACAAATTTGTCCAGATGCAAGGGGAGGGTACATGGACTTTACCTCTCAATTAAAAGAATATCAGGGCTAGGTGCGGTGGCACATGCCTATAATCCCAGTACTTTGGGAGGTCGAGGAAGGCGGATCACTTGGAGTCAGGAGTTCAAGACCAGCCTGGTCAACATGGCGAAACCCCGTCTCTATTAAAACTACAAAAATTAGCTGGGCATGGTGATGCATGCCTGTAATCCCAGCTACTCGGGAGGCTGAGGCAGGAGAATCACTTGAACCTGGGAGGTGGACGTTGCAGTGAGCCGAGATCACGCCACTCTACTCCAGCCTGGATGACAGAGCGAGACTCTGCCTTAAAAAAAAAAAAAAAAAAAAAAAAAATGAATATCAGGTCACATTATAGATGAGCAAGTGTGGAGATGTTGTTGTGGGCATCTGTAGAAAATACAATCTGCCACACAAATCATACCGCAACTGCCTGCAAGCCCAGTCTCCCCACCTGCCATCTCTCCCTGACCTCTGTGCTCCAGTCACACAAACTCCTGGCTGCTCCTTTCAGCACATGCCACTTCCTCCACTTACACACTCCTATACCTCCTTTAAGAGTTAGCTCAAGGACTGCTTACTGAAGGCAGACTTAGGCAAGCATAAATAAAAAATAATCCTATAAGCTTTCAAGCAGGGAAAATAAAAAACAGGTGGTGTTATAAGGGTTAAAATACATTTCTGAGGCCAGGCGCGGTGGCTTATGCCTGTAATCCCAGCACTTTGAGAGGTTGAGGCAGGCAAGCAGATCACCTATTATGTTCCCTTAACATGTGAACAAGTTTTATTTAATGTTCATGTATTTATTGAGTATCCACTATATGCCAGGCACACTTCAAGGTGCAGGGAATAGAATGAGATAGCAGGTGTTGTTTTGTCCCCACCCATATACCCACAGGCCTTACCATTATAGTGCACACCATCCCACTTTTAATTACCAGTATCTGCATCTCTTTGCCTGTTAACTCTCTTCAGCAAATATGGTGTGCCCATGGGCAAGTGGGCTCATCAGGCCAGAAGTACATAAGAATTAACACGCCCAGAAACAACCCTCATTCAGTGACTAACATGAGTTGGTGTATTAATAGCTCAGCAATCATACCCCTCAGAGTATATTCTTTGAGGCCCAGAGTTCCCATGCAGGATTAAGCTCCAGTTACCCACAGTGGTAACTTGCTTGATAATGTGTCCTTTATTGACTGCTTTCTCATTCCTGTCTCACTTCTTCATACTCTTACTGGCATTTCCTGGGATAATATCCCATATAAACAATCACACTCAAATTCTTGTCTGGGGTCTCTCCTGGGACATCCCAAACTAGGATAGATGGTTAAAATAATATATTTCTTTAAAATGCAAAGCCCTGACCTCATGAAGAAGGTATATAATAAATAAGTAGACAAATGAATGTGTGATTTTAGGAAATGAGAAGTGCTATGAAGAAAAATAAAAGACTAATGAATAGAGTCATTGGTAAGCTTAGGGGAAGGGATGCTATTTGAATAGTGTGGTCAGGGTGTTCCTTTGTTCTGAAGAAGTGACATTTGAGAGGCTTCAATGAAGTGAGCGAGACTTGAAAATGTCTAGAGAAAGAGCATTGTTGGCAAAGCACCTGAAGCAAGAATGGTTTCCACATGTTTGAGGAACAGCAAGAAGGCCAGTGGGGGCCCTCTCCTCTCCTTACCTATACTCTCTCTTTTGATGATGTCATCCAGGCTCCTTGGTTTAAATACTATCTATTTACTTTCAACTCCCATCGTCATATCTCCAGCTGGAACTCTTTCCTAGAATCCAGACTCGTAATACCTACCTAGTTCCATTTGGATTTCTAACAGACATCTCAAACTTAACTATTGGGATAACTGGTTAGCCATCTGGGCATTGTTGGGGGAGATTAGTTGAACCCCCACCTCAATTCCTAAATCAAATAGATAAATTCCAGATTATTTTTGCATTTAAATGTAAAAAGTTGAAACTGACATTAAAAGAAAATACAGTGAATATAGATAGAGGTGAAGGGCATTTTGAAGCATAAAACGAAAGTCTTAAATCCTAAAGAAGAACAGGTAAGTTTGCCCTACATAAGAATTTTTAAAACTTCTATGCAGGCATTTATTAATAAATATAGATGGGTAAATTATAAAGAAAAACAAGAGAATAATCAGCTTAAAATTCTATATAATAGTTACATTTTGGGGAGGAGGTAACTCAGCAATTTTACTTCTATAAATTATCCTATGGAATGAACAATACAAATTTCTAAAGATATATTTGCAAGGGTATTAATCCTCATATTTTATGTCAGGAATAACACAAAAATTAATAGGGAACCAGTTAAATACTTACGACAAACATACAACAATAGAATCCTATACATATATTGAAAATTATAGTCTAACTTTTCAAAAGAAGACATACACACAGCCAACAAGCATGAAAAAATGTTCAATGTCACTAATCATTAGAGAAATACAAACCAAAACCACAATGAGATACCGTCTTACACCAGTGAGAAGAGCTATTATTAAAAAGTGAAAAAATAACAGATGCTGGCAAGGTTGCAGAGAAAAAAAAAGCTTATACACTGCTGGTGGGAATATAAATTAGTTCTGCCATTGTGGAAAGCAGTTTGGCGATTTCTCAAAGAACTCAAAGCATAACTATTCAACCCAGCAATCCTATTATTGAGTATATGCCCGAAGGAGTATAAATCACTCTACCATAAAGACACATGCATGTGTACGTTCATTGCAGCACTTTTCACGATAGCAAAGATTTTAGAATCAACCTAAATGCCCATCAGTGGTAGACTGGATAAAGAAAATGTGGTACATATATACCATGGAATACTACACAGCCATCAAAAGAACAAGATCATGTCCTTTGTAGCAATATGGATGGAGCTAAAGGCCATTAGCCTAAATACATGAATACAGGAACATAAAACTAAATACCACATGTTCTTGTTTATAAGTGGGAGCTAAACACTGAGTACATATGGACACAAGGGAATAACAGACACTGAGGCCTACCTGATGATGGAGAGAGGGAGAAAGGTAAGGATCAAAAAACTACCTATCCAGTGTTATGCTTATTACCTGGGTGCTGAAATAATTTGTAAACCAAACCCCTGTGACATGCAATTTACATGTAACAAACATGTACAGGTACCCCTGAACCTAAAATGAAAGAAAAGAAAAATGATAGGGGATAGTTTCCAAGATGGCTGAAAAGGAAGAGCTCTGGTCTGCACCTCCCAGCGAGAATGACACAGAGGACGGGTGATTTGTGCATTTCCAACAGTGGTACCTGGTTCATCTCAATGGGACTGGTTGGACAGTGGGTGCAACCCACAGAGGGCGAGCTGAAGCTGAGGGGGCATCACCTCACCTGGGAAGTGCAAGGGGTCAGGGGATTTCCCTTTCCAAGCCAAGGGAAGCTGTGACAGACTGTACCTGGAGAAACGGTACACTCCTGACCAAGTACTGCACTTTTCCCACAGTCTTAACAACCGTCAAACCAGGAGATACCCTCGCATGCCTGGTTCAGCGGGTTCCACACCCACGGAGCTTGCTCACTGCTAGCGCAGCAGTCTGAGATCAACCTGCAAGGCTGCAGCCTGGCGGGGGGCAGGGGCGTCCCCCATTGCTGAAGCTTGAGTAGCTCACATTGTAAACAAAGAGGCCAGGAAGCACAAACTGGGTGGAGCCCACCACACCTCAGCAAGGCCTACTGCCTCTATAGATTCCACCTCTGGGGGCAGGGCATAGTATAACAAAAGGCAGCAGACAACTTCTGCAGACTTAAATGTCCCTGTCTGACAGCTCTGAAGAGAACAGTGTTTCTCTCAGCATGGTGTTCGAGCTCCAAAAATGGACAGACTGCCTCCTCAAGTGGGTCCCTGACCCCCGTGTAGCCAGACGGGGAAACACTTCCCCGTAGGGGCTGACAAACACCTCAAACAGGCGGGTGCCCCTCTGGGATGACGCTTCCAGAGGAAGGATCAGGCAGCAATATTTGCTGTTCTGCAGCCTCCGCTGGTGATACCCAGGCAAACAGGGTCTGGAGTGGACCTCCAGCAAACTCCAACAGATCTGCAGCTGAGGGGTCTGACTGTTAGAAGGACAACTAGCAAACAGAAAGGAATAGCATCAACATCAACAAAAAGGACAAAAACCCCATCTGTAGGTCACCAACATCAAAGACCAAAGGTAGATAAAAATCACAACGATGGGGAGAAACCAGAGCAGAAAAGGTGAAAATTCCAAAAAACAGAGCACCTCTTCTCCTCCAAAGGATCGCACCTCCTTGCCAACAAGAGAACAAAACTGGATGGAGAATGAGTTTGACGAGTTGTCGGAAGTAGGCTTCAGAAGGTCAGTAATAACAAACATCTCTGAGCTAAAGGAGCATGTTCGAACCCATTGCAAGGGAGCTAAAAACCTTGAAAAAAGGTTAGACGAATGGCTAACTAGAATAAATAATGTAGAGAAGACCCCAGATGACCTGATGGAGCTGAAAACCATGGCACGAGAACTTCATGATGCATGCACAAAGCTTCAACAGCCGATTTGATCAAGTGGAAGAAAGGATATCAGTGATTGAAGATCAAATTAATGAAATAAAGCAATAAGACAAGATTAGAGAAAAAAAGAGTGAAAAGAAATGAACAAAGCCTCCAGGAAATATGGAACTATGTGAAAAGACCAAATATATGTTTGATTGGTGTACCAGAAAGTGACGGGGAGAATGGAGCTAAGTTAGAAAACACTCTTCAGGATATTATCCAGGAGAACTTCCCCAACCTAGCAAGGCAGGCCAACATTCAAATTCAGGAAATACAGAGAACACCACAAAGATACTCCTCGAGAAGAGCAACCCCAAGACACATAATTGTCAGATTCACCAAGGTTGAAATGAAGGAAAAAAATGTTAAGGGCAGCCAGAGAGAAAGGTTGGGTTACCCACAAAGAGAAGCCCATCAGACTACCAGAGGATCTCTTGGCAGAAACCCTACAAGCCAGAAGAGAGTGGGGGCCAATATTCAACATTCTTAAAGAAAATAATTTTCAACCCAGAATCTCATATCCAGCCAAACTAAGCTTCATAAGTGAAGGAGAAATAAAATCCTTTACAGACAAGCAAATGCTGAGAGATTTTGTCACCACCAGGCCTGCCTTACAAGAGCTCCTGAAGGAAGCACTAAACATGGAAAGGAAAAGCCAGTACCAGCCACTGCAAAAACATGCCAAATTGTAAAGACCATCAATGCTAGGAAGAAACTACATCGATTAACAAGCAAAATAACCAGCTAATATCATAATGACAGGATCAAATTCACACATAACAATATTAACCTTAAATGTAAATGGGCTAAATGCCCCAGTTAGAAGACACAGACTGGCAAACTGGAAAAAGAGTCAAGACTCATTGGTGTGCTGTATTCAGGAGACCCGTCTCATGTGCAAAGACACACATAGTCTCAAAATAAAGGGATGGAAGAAGATCTACGAAGCAAATGGAAAGCAAAAAAAAGCAGTGGTTGTGATCCTAGTCTCTGATAAAACAGACTTTAAGCCAACAAAGATCAAAAGAGACAAAGAAGGCCACTACATAATGGTAAAATTCACCAAGAAGAGCTAACCATCCTAAATATATATGCACCCAATACAGGAGTACCCAGATTCATAAGCAAGCCCTTCGAGACCTACAAAGAGACTTAGATTCCTACACAATAATAATGGGAGACTTTAACACCGCACTGTCAATATTAGACAGATCAATGACACAGAAGGTTAACAAGGATATCCAGGACTTGAACTCAGCTCTGGACCAAGAGAACCTAATAGACATCTACAGAACTCTACACCCCAAATCAACAGAATACAGATTCTTCTCAGCACCACATAGCACTTATTCTAAAATTGACCACATAATTGGAAGTAAAGCACTCCTCAGCAAATGTAAAAGAACAGAAATCACAACAAACTGTCTTTCAGACCACAGTGCAATCAAATTAGAACTCAGGATTAAGAAAGACTACATGGAAACTGAACAACCAGCTCCTGAATGACTATTGGGTAAATAACGAAATGAAGGCAGAAATAAAGATGTTCTTTGAAACCAATGAGAACAAAGATACAACATACCAGAATCTCTGGGACACATTTAAAGCAATGTGTAGAGGGAGATTTATAGCACTAAATGCCCACAAGAGAAAGCAGGAAAGATCTAAAATCAACACCCTAACATCACAATTAAAATAACTAGAGAAGCAAGAGCAAACAAATTCAAAAGCTAGCAGAAGGCAAGAAATAACTAAGATCAGATCAGAACTGAAGGAGATAGAGACACAAAAAACCCTTCAAAAATGTAATGAATCCAGGAGCTGGTTTTTTGAAAAGATCAACAAAATTGATAGACTGCTAGCAAGACTAATAAAGAATAAAAGAAGAATCAAATAGATGCAATAAAAAACGATAAAGGGGATATCACCATCAATCCCACAGAAATGCAAACTACCATCAGAGAATACTATAAACACCTCTACACAAATAAACTAGAAAATCTAAATGAGATGGATAAATTCCTTGACACATACACCCTCCCAAGACTAAACCAGGAAGAAGTTGAATCTCTGAATAGACCAACAACAGGTTCTGAAATTAAGGCAGTAATTAATAGCCTACCAAGCAAAAAAAAAGTCCAGGACCAGACGGATTCACAGCTGAATTCTACCAGAGGTACAAAGAGGAGTTGGTACCATTCCTTCTGAAACTATTTCATCAATAGAAAAAGAAGGAATCCTCCCTAACTCATTTTATGAGGCTAGCATCATCCTGATACCAAAGCCTGGCAGAGACACAACAAAAAAAGAGAATTTTAGGCCGATATCCCTGATGAACATCGTTGCGAAAATCCTCAAGAAAATATTAGCAAACCAAATCCAGTAGCACATCAAAAAGTTTATCCACCATGATCAAGTCGGCTTCATCCCTAGGATGTGAGGCTGGTTCAACGTACACAAATCAATAAACGTAATCCAACACATAAACAGAACCAATGACAAAAACCACTTGATTATCTCAATAGATGCAGAAAAGGCCTTTGACAAAATTCAACACCCCTTCATACTAAAAACACTCAATAAACTAGGTATTGATGGAATGTATCTCAAAATAATAAGAGCTATTTATGACAAACCTACAGCCAATATCATACTGAATGGGCAAAAACTGGAAGCATTCCCTTTGAAAACTGGCACAAGACAAGGATACCCTCTCTCACCACTCCTGTTCAACATAGTGTTGGAAGTTCTGGCTAGGGAAATCAGGCAAGAGAAAGAAATAAAGAGTATTCAATTAGGAAAAGAGGAAGTCAGATTGTCTCTGTTTGCAAATGACATGATTGTATATTTAGAAAACCCCATTATCTCAGCCCAATATCTCCTTAAGCTGATAAGCAACTTCAGCAAAGTCTCAGGATACAAAATTAATGTGCAAAAATCACAAGCATTCCTATACACCAATAATAGACAAACAGACAGCCAAATCATGAGTGAACTCTCATTCACAATTGCTACAAAGAGAATAAAATACCTAGGAATCCAACTTACAAGGGATGTGAAGGACCTCTTCAAAGAGAACTACAAACCACTGCTCAACGAAATAAAAGAGGACACAAAGAAATAGAAGAACATTCCATGCTCATGGATATGAAGAATCAATATCATGAAAACGGCCATACTGCCCAAGGTAATTTATACATTCAATGCTATCCCTATCAAGCTACCACTCACTTTCTTCACAGAATTGGAAAAAAGTACTTTAAAGTTCATATGGAACCAGAAAAGAGCCCACATAGCCAAGACAATCCTAAGCAAAAAGAACAAGGCTGGAGGCATCACACTACCTGATTTTAAACTATACTACAAGGCTACAGTAACCAAAGCAGCATGGTACTGGTACCAAAACAGATATATAGACCAATGGAACAGAACAGAGGCCTCAGAAATAACACCACACATCTACAACCATCTGATCTTTGACAAACCTGACAAAAACAAGCAATGGGGAAAGTATTCCCTATTTAATAAATGGTGCTGGGTAAACTGGCTAGCCATATGTAGAAAGCTGAAACTGGATCCCTTCCTTACACCGTATACAAAAATTAACTCAAGATGGATTAAAGACTTAAAGGTAAGACCTAACACCATAAAAACCCTAGAAGAAAACCTAGGCAATACCATTCAGGACATAAGCATGGGCAAAGACTTCATGACTAAAACATCAAAAGCAATGGCAACAAAAGCCAAAATTGACAAATGGGATCTAATTAAACTAAAGAGCTTCTGCACAGCAAAAGAAACTATCATCAGAGTGAACAGGCAACCTACAGAATGGGAGAAAGTCTTTGCAATCTACCCATCTGACAAAGGACTAACATCTGGAATCTACAAAGAACTTAAACAAATTTACAATTAAAAAAACAACCCCATCAAAAATTGGGCAAAGGATATGAACAGACACTTCTCAAAAGACATTTATGCAGCCAACAAACATATGAAATAACACTCATCATCACTGGTCATCAGAGAAATGCAAATCAAAACCACAATGTGATACCATCTCACGCCATTTAGAATGGTGATCATTAAAAAGTCAAGAAACAACAGATGCTGGAGAGGATGTGGAGAAATAGGAATGCTTGTACACTGTTGGCAGGAGTGTAAATAAGTTCAACCATTGTGGAAGTCAGTGTGGCAATTCCTCAAGGATCTAGAACTAGAAATACCATTTGACCCAGTGATCCCATTACTCGGTATACACCCAAAGGATTATAAATTATGCTACTATAAAGACACATGCACACTTATTGTGGCACTATTCATGATAGCAAAGACTTGGAACCAACCCAAATGTCCATCAATGATAGATTGGATTAAGAAAATGTGGCACATGGCTGGGCACAGTGGCTCACGCCTGTAATCCCAGCACTTTGGGAGGCTGAGGCGGGCGGATCACGAGGTCAGGAGATCAAGACCATCCTGGCTAACACGGTGAAACCCCGTCTCTACTAAAAATACAAAAAATTAGCCGGGCATGGTGGTGGGCACCTGTAGTCCCAGCTACTCTGGAGGCTGAGGCAGGAAAATGGCATGAACCCAGGAGGTGGAGCTTGCAGTGAGTCGAGATGGCGCCACTGCACTCTAGCCTGGGTGACAGAGTGAGACTCCATCTCAAAAAAAAAAAAAAAAAAGAAAAGGAAATGTGGCACATATACACCATGGAATACTATGCAGCCATAAAAAAAGATGAGTTCATGTCCTTTGCAGGGACATGGGTGAAGCTGGAAACCATCATTCTAAGCAAACTATCACAAGGACAGAAAACCAAACACTGCATGCTCTCACTCATAGGTGGGAGATGAACAAGAAGAACACATGGACACAGGGCAGGGAGCATCACACACCAGGGCCTGTCAGGAGGTGGGGGGCTGGGGGAGGGATAGCATTAGGAGAAATACCTAATGTAAATGATGAGTTAGTGGGTGCAGCAAAACAACATGGCACATGTATACCTAGGTAACAAACCTGCACATTGTGCTCATGTACCCCAGAACTTAAAGTATAATAATAAAAAAAGAAAAATGATAGCTGTGATTTATTAGCATGAAAAAATGCTCAATATTTTTTTCAAATGAAAAAAGGAGACTAGAGAACATTATGTATATGACAGTCCCATCTGTGGCTGTGTGTGGTGGGGGGTGTTTAAAGAGAGAGTTATATGGAAGGAAACAGGTTATCTCTGGATAATGATATTTCTGGACACATTTGCCACCCTTTTAATATTTTTCTGGTTTGCCAGCCTTTTAATATTTTCCTGGCTCATTAGATTTGTTTATTAATATAAACTGTCATTTTGTCTAGAAAAATAGACACCCTTGTCTAGATAAAATATATTCATTCTTCAGAGCCCTTGGTCATCAACTCAAGGAGAGGATAAGGTGGGCAGGACAATTCTCTTCATTTTTCAGATGGAATATCTGAGAGCTAGAAGACAGATGAGGGACCTTGCCAAATGGCCACACAGCAAGTTAATGTCAAAAGTATTCAAAAAGTATATTTGCTAGCTATTATATAATTAGCTATTATGTAAAAGTACAGGACACTTACCACAATCATTAGGAACTTATCTCAGGATGCAAGATTTACACTATGTATTCAGGTGATAACACCTAAATAGCTATGGACAAATAGCATGTGCCATAAAAATTTGAGGAATTTCAGGCTTCTGGTTAGATAATGGAAAACCTTAAAGCAGCAGCTTGGAAGGAATTCACATGGCAAATGGTTAGGAAATATCGCTCCTAAGAACAAAAGGGCAGGTGGAAACTGGAGACCCACAGTTTATTCCATTCCTGTTTGTATGGGCTCCCCATGCCCCATACAGTCTGAAACCCTTTGTAGTTCTCATTTATACTTTAGTTTTTTCCACTCTCTGTGTGCCCTTCAAGGACAAGAACCATGTCACATTCACCAGTGGGTCCACAGCACCAAGCTCAGCAGCAGATATAGAAAAGATAGTCAGTAGGTGGGTGTTGAATGAAGAGATGAATGGATGAGGCAGTATCACTATGTACAAGACCTTGGAGACCCACAGACCATTCCTGTTCTTATCTACTTCCCATATTTTCTAATTTTCCTCCCCAGCATATAGGTGAAATTAATACATGTATCACTTTTCAGGATACAAGATGCAAATACACAAGTGCTGGGGAAGTGACAAATTAGAGCCACTGTCCTACCTGTTTCCCCAGGCCCTCAACTCCTGGCTCTGCCAAGGGCTCGCTGCCCAGAAACAGATGCTGTTCTCTCTCCTGCCAGCTTGCTGTGCTGACAGCTATAATTGCTAAATGAACAGCCTGTGTTTCTAGTAGGGAGAGAGGTTTTCAAAAGAGTGTTTGGGCTCCTGCAGCCCTGGAAAGGGAACACAATATTGGGCAATCAGAAACTACCACCTCAGCAGGAGAGATTTTCCATTACAGGAGGGGTAAATTTGGAACCTGGAAGTATTCTTGGAATTTTGGTTCCCAGAGTATAGTGGGACACTTGTGATCATTGGGAATGTGGATGCACTTTGCTTTCAGCATGCAAGCTACCATAGAAAAATAATGATTTGCAGAAGATAAATTGCATAATGGTAGTGAGGTTTGTGTGTTCTGGAAGTGTATTTAGGACATGGAATCTTAAATAACTAAGTATTTATTTAATAAATAAGTATTTGTCGGGCATGTACATGTGGAATAGAGAAACCAAGAATTCTGAAAAATGAACCTTGAAGAAAAGGTAACTTTGCTGGGGAATAAATCAGACAGTCACAAAGACATAACTAAAAATGCTAGACAAAAGTGATAAAGATCATATAACAGATACAAGTACTTGCAAAAAGAAATTATTACTCCCAATCCCCTTAAAATAGATGTATTTGCAAATGAATATTTAGATTACTGAAATCAGGAGAGACCTAAGAAACCGCTAGAGAACTTTGCAAACTATGTTATTGCCATCTCTAATCTCAAATTTGCTCTGCAAAGTTTCCTTATGATAAAGACCTTTGCCCAATGTTTCTGGTCGACATTGATAATTGATAACATATTTTCACCCACATAGTCTTGATTTTTCATTAGCATAATCATTTTATACCTAGCTGTATTTTAGCTTCTGGTAGATCTATTGATAAAAACTAATTTTTAGCTTTTATTTATAACTGCTTTTAAGAAAAATATTTAAACGGAAAAACAAAAGAATAGTACATGGAATTATTACCTGCATCCAAAACTAGTTAAATTTTTGTCATATTTACTTCACATATATGTATATATATGAGTATGTATTACTAAACCATTTCAAAGTGAATTTCAGTTGTCATGAGTTAATCTTTAAATATTTTCTTAGAGCTCGAAAACATTAAGAATATTCTCCCTATTAACTGCAATAGCACCATTACAACCAACAAAATTACCAATAATTCTCTAATGCTATCTAACATCTCCAGTACATATTTGTATTTTCTCAACTATTCCAAATGTATCAAAAGTATTTTAAAGCTTATTATTTAAATAAATGGTCATTGATATCGTCATTACCACTAAATAACTATCACAGTATCATGTGTATTCTTAGTTATATAATGTTCCCTCCTAACCTGTGCATTTAAGTTTGGCCAGCCTACTCAAGCATCTTGAGATTGCCCCCCTCTTTTTTTTTTTTGAGACAGAGTCTTGCTCTATTGCTCAGGCTGGAGTGCAGTAGTGTAACTTCGACTCACTGCAACCTCCGCCTCCCAGGTTCAAGCGATTCTTCTGCCTCAGCCTCCAGAGTAGCTGGGATTACAGGCGTGTGCCACCACGCCTGGCTAATTTTTGTGTTTATAGTAGAGATGGGGTTTCACCATATTGGCCAGGCTGGTCTCAAACTCATGATCTGCCCGCTTCAGCCTCCCAAAGTGCTGGGATTACAGGCGTGAGCCACCATGCCCGGCCTGGCTATCTTGACCCTTTCTACAAGTTCTAGCTAGGTCCTCTTTCCCTTTTGTGTTGTTGTTGTTGTTTGCCTTTATTCCTTACCTTCCTTTCGTCTGGCTCCTAACCTAGCTTTATTTGCTTTTGTCACCTCTCAGACGTGACACTACTTTCCCTCTCCAATCTTAGCCTTGGCTCTCTTTTGAACAGTTGTTGGACTCTCCCTCTGGATGTCTTTCTGTCAGCTGTTCTATCCTAATTGACTTAACCAATGCCAACATCAGCCAGATTATGCCTTTGAGGTCTGCTGGGGCCCCTATCTTGGGGGATGGGACATCCTATCTTGGGGCCCTGTATTGGGGGATAGTTCATGATGGGTAGAGTGGAGGGGATTTCAAGTACCATGGAGGATTTGTCATGATTCAGCCACACCAGTCTTGCCCTGCCTCACTGTGGCTGACTACTCTTGCACGGCCCCATTCCTGGCTCCCATGTCTCTGCCTGGCAACTTCACATTGCTGCTTCATTGAACTATCTGTTTGGTGCTGTTCTCTAGACCTCAAATACAAGAAGAGTTTTTCTGCATTCCAATTATGCTTAGAATCCTCTTCTTAGGGCAGATAGAGAGGGCAGATCAGTACATGCAAGTACCCAAGGAAGCCAATGATTTGATGTTCCATTAAATCAGTGCTTAAAGAGTATTTGTTCAGTGTTTCTTTAGAGAAAAAAGCACTGTGTGGGGAAGGACTACAGGTCCTTGTGTATTTGCATACTCAACTCAGCAAAACAAAGCCTTGTGGTTGACTGGACCCACTTTCTGTAAAAGAAAAAAAAAACATTTGGGAAGAAGAAAGGAAGCAATATTGCTGAAGTTGAAATGTTGGGGTAGGGGGCAAGCAGGGAGAGAGGACAGTGACCCAGAAGACCACATGAATCCAGCTGTTCGTGGAGGCTGTGTGTCCAGAGCCAGCTCCTATTAGTCACATGCTGCCCACACTGTCTGAGGGTCTTGACCTCTCCAAGCCGAAAGCCAATAACCAGAGCATCTCCTGAAGGACTCATGCCTGCCACCCACCAGCATTGCTTGGGACCTGGAGCATCAGTTCCTCTGTCACATCAATGCCAGAGGTTTCGGATGCATACCACCTACAGGGAGGCTGAGGGGCTGCCCTGTCATCACTCCCTTCTCTAGTACAAATGTCCACTTGAATTTGTGCCCAGCCTGAGATCTAGCCAAGCAGCTGCACTCCCTTTTCTGAAACTGAAACTCTTCTCACAAACCATAACACCAATTCCTCAGCCAGCCCCCAGTGACCTTTGTAAAGAGCTCCTACCAGGACTACCAAGGCCTCAGTGTAGCTCATAGCCATATTTGGGGGCATTGGATGTTACTAGCGGCTCATTCGCTCCTTTCCTACCCTCACAGCACCACTAATTGACTCATTCAGGAGGTAAACTGATTTGTTAGGTCCCAGGAAGCAGCTCTATAATCCAGAGGCTGTAGGGTTTGTTTGTCCCTGCTTTGACCTTGTCTGAGCCAGTATGGCATTTTATAGTCTCTAGACTCTTAGCTTACAGCAAAGTTATAGGCGTACGTGCATCTCAGAAGGACATCAGATCTGTTAACTGCAAACCTGTTCCCATTTTGCATGGAAGCTGAGCCCAGTGGAGACAAAATATTATCCCAGGGAATGGAAATTTTAGCTTTTAGCCACTGTTTCCTGAGGTCTCAGCATCTGAGGGTAGGACATACATCTCATACATCTCATCATAGCCTATAGCAGCTGCCACATACAGGGCAGTTCTGTTGATACAAGGCAGGCTGCCTCTTTTTACTATTCTGAGTTTCCAATATCATATACTCTAGGCAGTCAAAACTTCCAGGTAGACACTGTTTCCCTAAAGCTCAGGGGGCATGTGTTCAGGTTGATGCTCTGCCACCATGCTTCCTGACTAGTTATACCTAGCCCTGAATATGGTCTCCAAAGGCCACAATCAAAAATGGCATCCTACACCTTACTGCTACATGACATCTGCACACTGAAGGAACACCTGAGACATGTAAGGAATTAATGTGTCCTGTCCAACACTCAGTGCTGCCTTGAATGTTCCTGACCCAACTTTCTAACAAGGACATTTTTCATATTAGCCTCAATCTGCACCACTGGAGACAGTCTATTAATCAGATCTTCCTTTACAGAGGACTCAGTCATTTGACCTCTGACCTCACTTTCAGTTCATCTCCCAGCTTAGAAGTCTGCAACCTTGTCCAGCTGAATACTGCCCACTACACACAGTGATGACCAAATGGAGCACCTTATTCAGTGGCTCAAAGGGAACCTATCATCAGCATCTGTGTGCCTCTACAGAGCTCCTCATCATCGCAGGGTTTGTTTTCAACACTTTGCTCCTTCTCTCTAATCAGAGCACCTGCACTGTATTTCTACATCTCCCTGTACTACCAACCTGAAGCTCCACAAACTGCATAGTACTGATGCTTCCACCACCCTCATGTCCACTTGACCTTGAGCCTTCAAACCTCCCAGACCGCCCTGTGGATCAGAGCTGAGAAAATAATAAAGACAGGTATCACTCACTTTAATTCACTTCCTTCCCTAGGAATTAACAAGCATTCTCTGGGTTTTGCTTCTAACCTGTTCTCATGCTAGTCCAGCTCTTCTCAGCTCTTGGCTCTTGACTTTGCCATCATTTGAGGCACTGTTCCTGTCCTTTGGATTCTCTGAGTGAACTTGGTTTTCTGGACTTGACCCATTGAGTTCTTAAGCCAAAACCCTTGCCTTGCTCATTGAGTTCTTAAGGCAAAGTCACTGCCTTCAGAACAGTGACTGGTACTTCAGGACCTGTATCAGGCATCATGGGTTAGGTCAGGCTGTGATGACAAACAATCCTAAAGTCTCAGAGACTTAATACAGCAAAAGTTTGTCACTCTTTCTCTATGTTCATTGTGATTCAGCAGGGGCCTCTCTCACTGTAGTTACTCAAGAGACCCAGGCTGATGGAGGCTCCATCTCAACATCTGCTACTTGATCACTGTGATATGAAGAAGATGTAGAATATGATCTACTGGCTTTTAAAATACCTGTCCAGGCTGGGCATGGTGACTCACGCCTGTAATCCCAGCACTTTGGGAGGCCAAGGTGGGTGGATCACTTGAGGTCAGGAGTTGGAGACCACCCTGGCCAACATGGCAAAACCCCGTCTCTACTAAAAATAAAAAAATTAGCCAGATGTGGTTGCAGGCGCCTGTAATCCTAGCTACTCTGGAGGCTGAGGCAGGAGAATCGCTTGAACCTGGGAGGCACAGGTTGCAGTGAGCAGAGATTGCACCACTGCACACCAGCCTGGGCAACAGAGCGAAACTCAGTCTCAAAAAAAAAAAAAAAACCCAAAAAATCTGTCCAAAGCACATATGCTTCTCCTACATTTTACTGGCCAAAGAAAATCACATATCCATGCCTAACTTCAAAAGGGACCGAAAAGTGCCATCTATCATGAATCTAGAAAAACTATTGGAGGATTTGGAATGACAGGTCCAGGACCCAAACCTTCGGATGGCCCATTTGCTGTCACCCCCTCTCAAGGACCAACCCAGTGCCTCAGTCCCCTCTGCCACTCCTTGTTCTCAGAAGGCACTTCCATTCCTTTACTGCTGTTCACTCATCTCACGTTGCCTCTACGACCTTGCTCCTGTTCTCTGTGTTGCCCCTAAGATTAACTCCCCAGTGTATGAACTATAATTTTGCCTTTGATTCTGATATTTGCCTTCTGGCTTGGACCACATAAACATGGGAAAGAGGTGCTTTGTCCACAAGCCATGCCTGGAACTCACCAAAGCCAGGTAAGTCCTTGTTTAGCCCTGCTTCTGACAGCAGAAGTTTAGACACCCAGAGTCCCAGGACTTCCAGTTGGAGGACAAATACCAAAGCTGTGTCCAAGGGAGGGTGCTAAGGCTGAGGTAAGTCAGCCAAACCCAGCTATCATGCAAAGAGCCAAAGACAAGAAACAGGATCCTGAAAGAAGGTCAGGGAACTGGGAAACATGACAGTGAAGACTGGCAGGGAGGACACTGCAAACAGAAGCTCCTTAAACAGAGTCCCATATTCACACCTTGGGGTTTTCTAATGAAATGTGTTTAATCAAAGAAATACCTACACACAGTTTGTAAAATCAATTGGTTTTTCACGGCTGATAACAAAAATCACCAGTTCCCCCTGCCACCCTTGAGGCAATGCTTTTCTGCTTTTTTTTTTTTTAGACGGAGTTTCGCTCTTGTTGCCCAGGCTGGAGTACAATGGTGCTATCTCAGCTCACTGCAACCTCTGCCTCCTGGGTTCAAGTGATTCTCCTTCCTCAGCCTCCCAAGTAGCTGGGATTACAAGCATGTGGCACCATGCCTGGCTAATTTTTTGTATTTTTACAAAATACATGGGGTTTCTCCATGTTGGTCAGGCTGGTCTCAAACTCCCGACCTCAGGTGATCCTCCTGCCTCGGCCTCCCAAAGTGCTGGGATTATAGGCATGAGCCACTGCGCCTGGCATGCTTTTCTGCTTTTATCTGCTTCTTTTGAGATATATATTTCTCATATGTTAAGAAAAACGCTTATATACTTATTCTTGGATTTTTTTTTTTTTTTTTTTAGTTTTAGACTAGTCTAGTCTATCCATTTGCCTTTCTGCTGTGAAATATAAAGAATTAACTCTCTAATGCCACTCACTACATAGCATTTGGTATGTGCTAAGCACTGTTCTTTGCCTAGCAAATACTAAATGCTATGTAGTGAGTAGCATTAGAGAGCTCCCTAGCCTACTCCCTATCCTCCCAATGTGGTTATATCCCAAAATTCGTTATAGCCATATTTGGTATTCAGATGATGATGATTATGTGAGTATTGTCATAAAGGCCCCAGAGCATAGTGATTAAGAGTAAGAACTCTGGAAATAAGTTACTTAGGTTTGAATCTTGCCTCTACCCCTAGCTGTGTTTGACAGGCTGAATACTGTCCCCTCAAAAATGCCCAGACCCTGATCCCCAGAACCTATGAATATGTTAACTTACATGGTAAAAGGGACTTTGAAGATGTGACTAAATTAAGGATTCTGAGATTGAGAGATTATCCTGGATTGCTAGGTGGGCTGAATCTAATCACAAGAGTCCCTGTCAGAGGAAGGCAGAGGAATCAGAATCAGAGAGAGTTGTAAGGACAGAAGCAGAGTCAGAGGGCGAGAAGATACTACGCTGCCAGCTTTGAAGATGGAGGAAGAGGCCACCGGCCAGGGAATGCGTGTGGTCCCTAGAAGATGGAAATGACTAGGAAAGGGGTTCCCCCTAGAGCTCCAGAAGGAATACAGGCCTGCCAACACCCTGATTTTAGCTCACAGAAACCTCTTTTCGGCCTCCAGAACTATAAGACAATGAATTTGTATTGTTTTAAGCTATTAAGTTTGTGGTAATTTGTTTTAGCAGCAGGAGACTGATATACTGTGTAATATTTGACAAGTACCTTTACTTAACATCTTTGCCAAATATTTCTGATCTGTAAAATGAGCTGCTGGGAGGTTTAAATGAGTTAATAAATGAAAGACACTTAGAACAGTGCCTAGCACACACCAAATGCTGCATGTGTATTTTTTATTATTGTTTGTAGCTAAGCTACAAAGAGTAGTAGTATGATTATGTGCCTTTTCTTTTATCTTTTCCTGAACTGACAATGCCATCTTAGTCTTCCGTGCATTTATCATTAACTTATTCCCAGCTGTGAAATCACCTGTCAGTATGGCCATGAATTTTTTTTAAATGGTGACGTATCAGTTCCTGTTTTTCTGGAAGACATCACTGCTGGAGCACTCATCTCACTGCAGGCAGCCCGCACTCTATGCCTGCGGGACAGGTCTTGCCCCATTCACTGTCATGCTGAGAAATACCCGCCATTCTTCTCTTTTCTTAGCTCTCCTGCTTTCCTTAGTTATGTGTCTTCCTCTTTCTTGCTTTCTAATTTTGATGATGGTTTTGTGTTTTTGTGACATGGTCAGTCAGGTGCAGCCACAAGAGGAGGCACAGGAGAGGCTCATGAAAACAAAGCTTATTATACTCACAAGGCTTAGAGAGGGGATCACTGCATGCCACACAGGGTCACAGCGGGAGGCACCAGGTTTTGGCTTGGTAGCCCAAGACAGGAACAGGGAAAAAGCCTAAGCTAGAACCTTAATTGGGATTTCCTGGGGAAAGGCAAGGCTGGGTTTAGGAATGGCAAACTCGAATGATTTGGGTAGGCTCTAAGCTATAGGGATTGTCTCTAGTTGCCTGATACCTGGCTCTGGCATGATTAAAGCAGATGAATATTGCTTCTTGGGGTCTGTGGGCCAGACAGAGAAAGTACGGCTCCTGCTGAGCCCTTTGCCATCTCTAAGAATTGACCGGCCCCAGGAGGGGCAGTTTCTCCCCATATTTTTTTTTTTTTTTTTTTGAGACAGGGCCTTACTCTGTCCTCCAGGCTAGAGTGCAGCGGCGCCATCACAGCTCACTGCAGCCTCCACCTCCCCAGGCTCAAGAGATCCTCCAACCTCAGCCCCACCCCACCCCCACCCCCAGTAGCCAGGACTACAGGCTTGCCCACCACACCGGCTATTTTGTATCTTTTGTAGAGATGAGGTTTTGCTATGTTGCTAGTCTCAGTCTCCGGGGCTCAAGTGATCCATTTGCCTCAGCCTCCCAAAGTGCTAGGGTGACAGGCATGAGCTACTGAGCCCAGCCCCCAGCCAGATTTTTAAAGATGTCAAACATCATTATATACAGAAAGTTGAAAATATACAAAATATACAATACAGTAGTGCATATCCTCCAGTAGCCCCTGATAAAGGGTATCTGAGAATTAGATTTCTTGAGACTTTGCTTTTCTGAAAATATCTTTATTCCACCCTCACACTGAATTGATAGTATGGCTGGGTATAGATTTCTAGCTTAGAAATCATTATCCTTCTGAATTTTGAAGGTATCGCACCACTGGTTTCTATCTTCCTGTTTTAGTTGTGGAAAGTCTGATTTTCTTCTGATTCCTGACTTGTTTGTGTGTGACCTATTTCTTTCTGAAAACTTTTAGGATCTTGTCCTTATCCCTACAGCTTTGCAAGTGCTTTGACTTGAATTGCAGCTTTTAATAAAGAGTCAGACTCCATTTTTAATATTTGACTGCTGACAGCTTTTATTTATTTACTTATTTTTATTTATTTGAGATGGAGTCTGGCTCTGTCACCTAGGCTGGAGTGCAGTGGCGCGATCTCGGCTCACTGCAACCTCTGCCTCCAGAGTTCAAGCAATTCTCCTGCCTCGGCCTCCAGAGTAACTGGGATTACAGGCCTGCACCACCACACCCAGCTAATTTTTGTATTTTTAGTAGAGATGGGGTTTCACCATGTTGGCCAGGCTGATCTCGAACTCCTGACCTCATGTGATTCACACACCTCAGCCTCCCAAAGTGTTGAGATTACAGGTGTGAGACACCAAATCCGGCCAGCTGACAGCTTTTAATCACCATCCTCCCTCTTACCCTCTTGCCCTACATGTAGGCAAGTCGGTAAAAAAAAAGTGCACCCTCCTTGGGAAGTTCAAATCTTGCAAGCCCTAACCTGTTAATGAACACCCTTACCCCAGCCCTACCTGCTAGCCACAATTAAACCCAAAACCAGTCACCCCTCCTGCCTCTCTCATTTGTTGACCTGCTTGGAAGCCTGAAGCATGGAAAATCTCATGATATGCACGATACATCTTTTGGTGCCTTCTTGGTACTTGTGTGGTGTCATCAGGTTGGACATCTGAATGCATTCCTCCTCTACAGGAACACAGAACACCACCACTTACTAGCTGATCTGCCTCAGTTTATCCATTTGTAAAATGGGAATAATAGCAGTACTCACACTGTTGTTTTGAAAATTAAATGGGGTTAATACATGTTAAGTGCTTAAAGTGATACCTGGCACACAGTTAAAACTTAACAAGTGTTACTTATTACTGGTGTGGGCCCTTTTTATTCAAAGTGTTGGACACTTGATGAATTCCTTCAATTAAAGGACTCAGATTATTTCAGTTATGAGGCATGGTTTTGATATTTAATTTATATCCTCCTCTCTTGGGGACTACTCTCTCCTTCTAGAACATTTATCATACTTTCTCTCCTATTTTCCATCTAACTTTCTTTTTTATTTTGCTTTACGAGACATAAAATTTCATGTCTTTATCTTCCAGTTTTTCTGTGATCTTTAGATCCATTCTCTTCTTTTCACTTAATAGTAAAACTCGTGTTTAACTAGTCACCTGGTCATATAACTCATTTCCCAGTCTCTCCAGTGTTGCGGGAAGTCAGGGACCCCAAACGGAGGGACCTGCTGAAGCCGCGAAGAACATAAATTGTGAAGATTTCATGGACATTTATTAGTTCCCAAAATTAATACTTTTATAATTTCTTATGCCTGTCTTTACTGCAATCTCTGAACATAAATTGTGAAGATTTCATGGACCTTTATCACTTCCCCAATCAATACTCTTATAATTTCCTATGCCTGTCTTTACTTTAATCTCTTAATCCCATCACCTTTGTAAGCTGAGGATGTATGTCGCCTCAGGACCCTGTGATGATTGCGTTAACTATACAAATTGTTTATAAAACATGCGTGTTTGAACAATATGAAATCAGGGCACCCTGAAAAGAACAGAATAACAGCGATTTTCAGGGAACAAGGAAAGATAACCATAAGGTCTGACTGCCTGAGGGGTCGGGCAGAATGGAGCCATATTTTTCTTCTTGCAAGGAGCCTGTAGACAGATGTGTGAGTAGGAGAAATATAGCTGAATTCTTTCCCAGCAAGGAATATTAATAATTGATAACCCTGGGGAAGGAATGCATTCCCAGGGGTAGGCCTATAGACGACCGCTCTGGGAGTGTCTGTCTTATGTGGTTGAGATAAGGGATGAAATACGCCCCGGTCTACTGCAGTGCCTTCAGGCTTACTAGGATTGGATTGTAAATTCCAGCCTAGTGAATTCTAGTCAGACCAGTTGTCTGCTCTCGAACCCTGTTTCCTGTTAAGATGTTTATCAAGACAATGCATGCCCAGCGGGACATGGACCCTCATCAGTAATTCTAATTTCACCCTTGCCTTGTGATCCTGCTCTGCCCTTTTGCCTTGTGATCTTTTATTGCCCTTTGAAGCATGTGATCTCTGTGACCCACTCCCTATTCGTACATCCCTCCCCTTCTGAAATCTCTAATAAAAACTTGCTGGTTTTGAGGCTTGGGGTTGCCATCACGGTCCTACCAATATGTGATGATGCCCCAGGAAGCCCAGCTGTAAAATTTCTCTCTTTGTACTCTTTCTCTTTATTTCTCAGACCAGCTGACACTTAGGGAAAATAGAAAAGAACCTACATTGAAATATTGGGGGCTGGTTCCCCCGATACTCTGGCAAGCTAAGTTTATCCAGATGACTACGTTCTATTTAGCTGGATGGAAATGGTGAGTGGAAGACTTCCTTGAAGTCTCTTGAGGGCAGAGACATATCCTTCTTTACTTCTTGCTCCTGCCTGCTGTGTGGAATATGGAAGCCCCAGAGTTTCTTACTTCCAGGCTGCTGATATGTGAGAGCAAAATGAAGCTCTAAATTTTGAAGAGTTTTTATTTTTAATTTCCAAGAATGCTTTTTTGTTCTCTGAATGTTCCTTTTTAAAAGCAGCATTTTATTCTTTTTTGGTGATACAGTATCTTATTTTTAAAGAATATTAAGGGTTTTTTTTCCATTTTCCTCTGCTTCTTGCATTATTTCTGTTACCACTGAGTTAATTTTTTTCTGTATATTTATTTTGATCTTTGTCATTTATGTTAGAGGCTTTCCTCAATTTTCTGGTAATCATTAGCTGTCTGTTTATATTAAAGAATGAGGCACTAGGCTGGGCACAGTGGCTCACACTTGTAATCCCAGGGCTTTGGAAGGCCAACGTGGCAGGATTGCTTGAGGCCAGGAGTTTAGGACCAGCCTGGGCAATATAACAAAACCCTATCTCTACAAAAAAAAAAAATAATAAATTATCAGGACATGGTGATGTACACCTGTATTCCCCATTACTTGGGAGACTGTGGAGGGAGGATCACTTGAGCCCAGGAGTTTGAGACTGCAGTGAGCTATGATGGTGTCACTCTACTTCCACCTAGGCAATAGAGTGAGACCCTGTCTCAAAAAAGAAAGAAAAAAAGAATGAGGTACTATAAAGATAACAGTGTGTAATGGGGCTTGTTGACTAGTTGGTCTCTCCACAGGGAATAAGGTGGGATCCAGAAATTTCTTGGGTACTTCTAAATGCCAGTATCTCTAGGTATTTTATCGTGGGTTAGTCAATGTCCCCATAGAAAGATTATTTGCCTAGTAGAATAAGCCTGGGTGCTTGGACTGATTAAGTCATAGATGAGTGGATGATGGTGCCCAGAAAGAAGTCTTGAAGTGTTCAAGTGGAAATTGCCCAGGGTTAGTGATCCTCAGTTGCAGAAGTCCTCCTGATTCTAGCATGAATGGATAATACAACTTTCTTGAGAGAGGAGTCAAAGACTCTTCTCTTTTTCACTTTCTTCTTGGGGTACCTGAAGATGTCTAGAAGAATCTTTTGGTTGGCTGTTGGTGTATCCACTGATTTCTTTATCTCCCAGCTTATCTCATTTTCTTCCAGGAACCTCTCTAGGTTGTGAGGGGAGACCAAAAACCAACTAGATATCCACTCCACTTTAAAGCTTTGTCTGGTTAAATAAAATGAACCTTATAAGAAATGCTTAGCTCTTTTGGGAAAAAGTGATCTGTCTCTGTAATAATCTCTCCATACCCAGCAGTGCTTCTTTCCCTAAGGTGGCTTTCAGGAGTATGGTAAGAGAGGGCTTATGAGATCTTATAGCTTTGAAAAATAAGCTCTCTAGTGCCAGATAGTATACTTGCACATTCAGAAATGTAGTCCCCAAGTATTAAAGGACACTATCAATATAGAGAAAGGGCAACTCACAGGATATTTGCAAATCATATATCTGATAAGGGATTAATGTCCAGAATATATTTCTTTAAACCCCTACAACTCAAAAAGAAAACAATCTGATTCAAAAATGGGCAAGGGACTTGAATAGACATTTCTCCAAAACAGAAGTACAAGTCGCCAATAAGCACAAAAAAAGATGCTCAACATAACTGATCATTAGGTAAAGGCAAACCAAACGGAGTGGTAGCTCATGCCTGTAATCCCAGCAGTTTGGGAGGCTGAGTTGGCAGGATCATTTGAGTCCAGGCACAAGACCACCCTAGGCAACAAAGTGAGACCCCATATCTACAACAAATTTAAAAATTAGCTGGGCATGGTGGCACGTGCCTGTAGTCCAGCTACTTGGCAGGCCAAGGTGGAAGGATTGCTTGAGCCCAAGAGTTGAGGCTGTAGTGAGCCATGATCACGCCACTGAACTCCAGCTCGGGTGAAAGAACAAGACCCTGTCTTGAAAAATAAATGAAATAAAATTGCATTCTGAGTTATGGGAAAAATAAAATAAAATGCAAACCAAAACCTGGATAAGGTACCATTTCACACTCATTAGGATGGCTATTATTTAAAAAAAAAAAAAAAAAAAACAGAAAAGAAACTACTGTTGGCAAGGATGTGTAGAAATTGGAAACTTCGTACATTGTTGGCGGGAATGCAAAATGGTGCAGCCACTGTGGAAAACAGTACGGTGGTTCCTCAAAAAATTAAACATAGAGTTACTATATGGCCTAACAATTCTACTTCAGAATATATACCCAAAATAATTGAAAGCAGGCCCTTGAACAGATATTTGCATACCAACATTATTCACAATAGGCAAAAGATAGAAACAACCCAAATGTCCATCAATGGATGAATTGATAAACAAAATAGGACATATACCTATAATGATGCTACTCAGCCTTAAAAAGAAAAGAAATTCTGATACTTAAACGTGGGAGACATAAAGCCAAACACAGAAGGACAAATATTACATAATTTCACTTACACGTGATACCTAGAGCAGTCAAATTCACAGATACAGAAAACAGAATGGTGATTTCCAGGGGCTGGGGTAAGGGGAGAATGGGGAGTTAGTGTTTAATGGGTACAGAATTTTTGTTAGGAATGATGAAAATGTTCTGCAGGTGGATTGTGGTGATGATTGCACAAAAATGTGAATGTACTTACTGTAACTGAACTGTACACTTAAAATAGTTAAGATGGTAAATTTTATATATATTTTACCACAATTAAATTTTAAAAAATGAAATGATGTAATCTTCAAGGTTGAAGATTTATTGCCCTAATAGCAATAGGATGTGGGGAAGGGTGATGGGCTTCTCTTGCCTCCCTCCCTCTCATTGACATCATCTCCTACAACTTTATGACTGGTTTTTGTCTCATATCTGTCCCTGCCCACCACCACCAGATACCCACATTGCTACCTCATTCCTTCATTGTCTTTTGGCTTCCATAGTTTCTGATAAGAAATTTGCTGTAATTCTTATCTATTTTTTCCCCTCTGTATGTTTCCCAGCCCCTTCCTGCTCTTCACTTCTTCACATCTCTGTTCAATGGTCTTTCCTCAAACAGCTCTTAAACTAACCATTCTACTTAAAATGGCCATATTTTTTTTCTGCCTGCTTTTAAGACTTTTCTCTTTATCACTGGTAATAGCCAGCCATGAATTTATAATAGATGGCACCAGTGGTAGGAAGTGAGACGAGAGAAGTTCATCAACCCTTCCTTACATCCCATTGCTATCCTGGTAATAAAGGTTCATCCTCAAGGAGTATTTCTGACTGCTCAAGGACACCACGTGGACCAGAAGAGCCTGTTTTTCAAACCTATGAGATTGTGTAAACTTTCTCTCATCATACACCGGAAGGCCAATTCAGGGAAAGAAGCAGTGGAGGGTATGGGGATGCTATCCTAGAGAGAGATTTTTTTTTTTCTAAAAGACACATGTTTCTTGCAGGCGTCATTTAAATTATGTAATCAAATAAAGCTTTAAACCAGAGTTGGCAGCCCTAAATGGATGTACACCTAATACACAACTTCAAAATACATGGAGCAATGTGAATAGTGATCCTGGAGTTGTGCACTGTAGTGGCTCTGCTTATTAGCCCCTTCCCACTCTTCACTTCTTCACATTATTCACATCTCTGTTCAGTGCTGTTTCCTCAAACAGCTCTTAAACTAACCATCCTACTTAAAATAGCCATTTCCCCAACCATCCCATGACTCTGCTTTATTTTCCTTTGTAGCATTTATTCACAACATACCATTTTATTATTTATTGGTTACTTTTCTGTTGTCAGTCTCCTTCACTACAGTATAAACACCATGGGTGCATCTTCACTGTCTTATTCATATCATATACCCAGTTCCATGATCAGAGCCTAGAACATTCATAGTAGATGCTAAATAATACTTGTTGAATGAATTTATTTATTTACTTATATCATTTAATATGAAGTATGTATTAGTCCATTCTCACATTGCTATAAAGAACTACCTGAGACTGAGTAATTTATAAAGAAAAGAGGTTTAATTGACTCACCGTTCCTCAGGCTGTACAGGAGGCATGGCTGGTGAGGCCTCAGGAAACTTACAATCAGGGCAAAGGGGAAGCAAGCACGTTTTCACATGGTAGCAAGAGGGAGAGAGAGCTAAGGGGGAAGGACACACACTTTTTTTACCATCAGACCTTGTGAGAACTCACTCACTATCACGAGAACAGCAAGGGGGAAATCTGCCCCCATGATCCAATCGCCTCCCACCAAGTCCCTCCCCCAACATTGGGAATTATAATTCAAAATGAGATTTGGGTGGGGACACAGAGCCAAACCATATCAAAGTATACAGCTAATATTTATAATTGTTATTTGAGTTTATCTTTTTCATTTTTATATTTTTTCCATTCATTCTGCAATTCCCTAACTTTGTGTCATGTATACAGTCAGCTTGAGAGGTGGGGGGGAGAGAAAAATGTATAAAGTAAGAGCTCCACAAAGAAATCCCTACTTCCTGTGGAATACAATTCGAAGTCCTTTGCAAGCAGATTGGACATTCTAAATCCAAGGGAGGCAATAAAGTTTTATTTTAATTTGTATTTATTGATGTATTTTTTTTTGAGTCGCAACCTCACTCTATTGCCCAGATTGGAGTGCAGTGGTGCGATCTTGGCTCACTGCAACCTCTGCCTCCCGGGTTCAAGTGATTCTCCTGCCTCAGCCTCCCGAGTAGCTGGGACTACAGGAGCCCGCCACCACGCCCAGCTAATTTTTGCATTTTTAGTAGAGACGGGGTTTCACCATACTGGCGAGGCTGGTCTAGAACTCCTGACCTTGTGATCCGCCCGTCTCGGCCTCCCAGAGTGGTGGGATTACAGGCGTGAGCCACCGCGCCCGGCCAAGTTTTATTTTTTTAAAGCACTCAAGAAGTTAGGTTTGTTTCTAGAAACGTGGAAGCATCCGTCTGCTTCCTTCCAGCGTCCCTTTGCTTCCTTCCAGCCTCCCAAGGAGCCCAATTCCTTAATTTTCCCTACAGAGAATAGCACCAGGTCCAAAGCAGCCTGAATCAAAGCTCCTCCTTTGGTAATTGACAGCTGAGGGAAATCCTACTGAGGCCCACCCCCACCCTCCTCCTTGCTAGGCTGACAGGCAAAACTCGGTGGCAGTGGCTTCCAGCTCAGCCAATAGACGAAGCGGGAGCAAGAGCCTGTGTAAACAAACCCAGAGTGCGGCGCCTTGGTCTCCTCCCCCACGAGTGGGCCGGGCGCATCCTTGGCCCAATGCCTATCCCAGGCTAGCGTAGCGTCCTTTCAGCCAATCAGAGCCGGCATCTCCCTCAAGGAGGTGTTCCACCACAGGAAAAAAAAAATGAAGGAAGAGAAAAGACAGACATTAAAACCAATCAGAAGCTGAAACTTCTGAGGGAGTGGGCGGGCACTGCTTCACATTTAGACCAATAAAAACCACATATGCCATTCTAGGTGACCGAACGGCATCTTCTTTGGCCCAATAGACGAATGGGGCGGTGCCCGGCAACCAATGGCTTGGGTTCGGGGGCGGGGCGAGGAGGCAGTGTGCAGTAAGAGATAACCTGGCAAGTGGTAGTGGCGCTTCTCGGGTGCTGTGCTTCACGTTTTGGTACTAAAGGCCGAGACTGTTGTGGCGACGGCGACCTCTACGGCAACGGCTTAAGCTCTCGGAGGAGTGGCAGAGTACGATCTGAAGGAGGGGCTTCTGGTTAGCCCAGGTGGGCTCGGGTGCCCGGGCTGCTGGGGAAAGGACTCGAGGGAAACGCCGTTCTCCCGGCTCTGGGGGCGCCCTGCGCCTCCCTTTCTGCCGCCGTCGGGGCTGTGAAGGGCGGCACGCGCCTGCCCGAGCTCCTGTAGGGAGGGAAAGCGCGCGGGGTCCCACGTCGCGGCCATCGGCGAAAAGGGGCGTCCGCTGGGGTCAGCCCCTGCCCCTCGGGAGCAATAGGGGGTTTTCGTCCCTTTCCCCCCCGCACAGGTGCTCTGTTTCCCCCCGACTCCCACCCAAGTTCCTGACTCCCCTCAGCGTCCTCCTAACACTCGAACCGAATTCTTGGCCTGAGTCCCATTTCTACCCAGGTGCAACAATGCTAGGCAAATTGACCCGCGCGGCATCCCCCGCCCCTCTCCCCGGGCTGGAGCGGGAGGGATTGCGCGTCGTGCCCTTCCCCTATTCGCGGCCCCTGCGCGTCCTCTGCCTTTTTATACTTGCTCCATCTCCCCCTTGACTCCAGCCCTCATTCTTCATGCCTCATTTGCCTGGGAGACGTTCGCCACTTCTCTTGTGCCTTGCGGTCCGTGAGTGAGCCCATCACCCCCTACCAACCCCTAAATTCCATTCTCATCTCTCCAGAAAACTAACATTTTCCACTTGCCTCTTCCAGGCAGCTGGAAGGTGAACTGAGAGAGGCAGAATACGCAGAACAGGGAGTTTGGCAAGGTTGGGAACTTTAATGTTTTGTTCCTGGTAGACTGTTTTTGCCTTCAAATGGCATTTGACCATTATACCCGCTCTAGAATCTTTGTCCTAATGCAGTTCTTTTGGTGGTAATTGCTGAAAATGCAGTTGAAAAGGGCTAACTAGAAGCAAGGGATTTAAATTTTGTTACTATTATTTTCAGTAAATTGAATTGGATTATACTTTAAACAGCTTAACTGGGGTTTCTGGGAGTTTGTAGTGTAAGGGCCTGGCTACCCTACTTTGTCATAAAATATAGAACATACTTAGTTGTACAGCACAGTGTGATTCGATCACACCCAACCTATGAAGGGATAATAACAGCATTGAATCTGTCCAAAAACAACATTCCCTGTTCCCTTTTCACCTTCATAGTATATTCGTTTGGTTTCTAGTAATGTCGGTTCTAGCCATATGTTTTTTGATAACAGTACAAACTATGCTGTGCCTAAGTAAAATTATGCCAACAATTTTATGGGGAAAAGCTAATGCACTGCTCTTAGCTTTGATTAAGATTTTAGACGTTTGAAAATATAAATTCAGATATTGGACAGTGAGGGTTTTATTTTGAAGGTTGGAGGAGATTGAAGTGTTGGGGTAAGACTGATAGGCTCCTCTGGCTACTTGTATATCGGGGTGGGGAGAATATACAGGTTTACAAAATCTTGTAAATTCTCACAGTGCTTAGTTTCCTGACTTTTCAAAAATTGGAATTGTTTTTCCTAGCTTTCAGTGGAGAAATGTAAGCTATGAGTTTAACATCATGTTCACTGTGTTTTGGCCAGGATTTTGCAAGCTTTTGTGGAAAAAATTATATTGCTTTCTTTATCCTGTTTGTAATGTATGTATCAGTATGCTTCCTTGTATTTTACTGTGGTAAAATTGTATCTTGTATATAAAGAAAAAAGTCTATTATAGTGAATTAAAAGAAATCTTTACTCTGAGGTGGCAGCCTTGTCTAATGGACCATATGTTTAAGCCTTGTTAATAAATCACACTAGAGCCTAGCACAGTGGTGTGTGCCTGTAATCCCAGCCACTTAGGAGGCTGAGGCAGGAGGATTGCTTGAACCTAGGAGTTTAAGACAAGCCTGGGCAACATAGTGAGACCCCATCTCAGTCAATCAACCAATCAATCAATTACACTAAAAAGAGTAAGATCTTAAAACTGTTCCAACAAATGTCTGGGTGTCTAAAACAAGGAAAAGAGTTTATGACAGAGTTACAGCAGTCATCAGAGAAAAATCCTGGACAAATTGCAAATCTGTAACAGTTGTGAATTGCTGTGACTGCAGCTGAAAACCAAAGTTATTTTTGTGCAGTCTTTTTTGGGAGTATTTGTGTTTAATAATAACTTGTTTGCAAATTTAGAGGACTCTAGCTATGATTTCTTCTTAGAGACCTTGAGGAGCTCACAGTTTAATGGAAGAGAGAACTAGAAACCAATAATTAAATGCAGAGAGTGAGGTTCTGCAGTAGAAGGTATATACAGGGTGCAGAGAAGCACGATGGCACTGTGTTCTGATCTCATCTCCTACTGCTCTAGACTTCCTGAAGTGCCATTTCCTGAACCTACCTGTTTTTTTCCACCATCTGGACCTCTCTCTGTATGCACCATTCTCTCTCCTTGCAAGCCTTTTCCACACCTTATGTGCTTGGTGAAATTCTGTTTCTTCAAAATCTTGAAGCCTGCCTCTGCCTCATCCAAATGTTTTGCCTACTTCTCTGTTATTTCTTTATAAATAATTATAGTCAATTCTCATTATTTGCAGTAGTTATATTCTATAAAGTTGCCAAGAACACTGAATTATCAAATATTCAACCCTTGTTCCCAGGGAAAATATATACATATATACATATCTCACACAGATTACAAAATTAATTCCTAAAAACAACTCATCCTGGTAGATTGAATTTTCCTTACTTACAAAAAATAAAGGAAGTACAGAAGTGTTAAGCGATTTGCCTGAGGCCTCTCTACTAACAGGTGCCAGAGTTAAGATTCAGACTCGTCCAGATGGCCCCAGAGCCAGAGCTTCTTGCACTACGCTGCACTGCCCTCTGCTGTCTCTGTCCTCTGGTCATCTTTGTATGAGGGCTGAGACAAGGCTGAGGGTCACCTTGGGACTTGGGCAAGGAGTGACATATTTTTCACTACTATGTGTATATCCATAAGTCACCTTGAAAGCTCCACAAGTATTTGGGGATTACAAAGACATTTTAGCAAGTAAGCAAATTTGCAAATATGGGATCCACAAATAATGAAGATGAACTGTATTTGTAAGTGACTGCTAGGGTCTGTTTCATGGTAACCCCTTTCCCCAACAATGTGGACTATTTCTTTAGCTTATTTGATAGTTTGTACATTTATTCATAAATTTATTCAGTTATCATATATTCATTCATTCAGTTTGTTCATTTATCATATATTAAGCACTTACCATAAGTCAGACTCGGCTGAGCGTGGTGGTTCATGCCTGTAATCCCAGCACTTTGGGAGGCTGAGGCAGGTGGATCACGAGGTCAGGAGTTCAATACCAACCTGTCCAGGATGGTGGAACCCTGTCTCTACTAAAAATACAAAAAAATTAGCCAGGCATGGTGGCAGGAGCCTGTAGTCCCAGCTATTCAGGAGGCTGAGGCAGAGAATTTATTGAACCCAAGAGGTGGAGGTTGCAGTGAGCCGAATCGTGCCACTGCACTCCAGCCTGGGTGACAGAGTGAGACTCCATTTCAAAAAAAAAAAAAAAGTCTGTGTTTTTGTTTGTTTGTTTGTTTTTGAGATGGAGTTTCGCTCTTGTCACCCAGGCTGGAGTGCAATGGCACGATTTCAGCTCACTGCAACCTCTGCATCCTGGGTCAAGCAATCCTCCTGCCTCAGACTCCAAGTAGCTGGGATTATAGGCTCACACCACCACACCCAACGAATTTTTGTATTTTTAGTAGAAACAGGGTTTCACCATGTTGGCCAGGCTGGTCTCGATATTCTGACCTCAGGGAATCCACCCATCTTGGCCTCCCCGAGTGCTGGGATTACAGGCGTGAGCCTCTGCATCCAGCCTCAAACTCTGCTTTAATCTGTGGTGAACAAGCTGGAGATTAAGGTCCTGCCCTGTGGATTTTATATTTGCCTAAGAAAGACAGATAAGAGCTAAGTCAGGAGCTCTGGGGAAAGGCCCAGGTTGGAATTATAGATTCACTTGACCAAGGTAAACCTGGTGTGCCTGCTCCTACTTCACATCCCCAGACATACTTCCAGAACATTTCCTTTTGTATTTTTGTGTACAAACTTCCTTTTGAGCCTCTCTCCATTGTCACATGTCAACCTCTACTTGTCTTTTGTTGATTTTGAGGCCACTTGCCCATGTAAGTGGCAGGATATTATAGAAGAATCATGCTGACCTGGGTCTTTGAATTCTGGTTCTGCTACCTACCAACTGAGTTCCTTTGGTCAAGCTCTTGGACTTCTGAGCCTGTTTCCTAATTCCAAAAGTGGTATATGATGTGTTAGTCCCTGGTGGGTTGCAAGAAAGAGGCACACACATATCAGCTTTGGTGATGAGGGCTGAATGTAAACTTGGATGGAAAGTCATCTAAGCAGCCATATTGTCTCTTGGCCCTAGTACTTTCAAAACTTCACAGAACATTAATTTAGCAGTATTTAGTATTTGAGCTCTGAAGACCTGCCCTCTTTTGCTTTGTTCACTCAACATTTGTATTTTCCAAGAGAGAATATCTGATTGGATTAGTCTGTCACCTTCTAAAAACAGAAGGCCCCTACTAGAGAGAATTTTGAGCTGTGCCATCATGTCCTTGGTGATTGATCTCCCTGAAGTTCAGCCTATATGCCGTCCTCAGCTGAAGCACTGAGCCCTGGTCCAGTCACTTGTGGCCACAGAAGTAAGGTTGGTTTTATGCATTACCAGTCACACAGATATGCTACAGATATGCTTTTTTGTGTATGCCACAGTCACACAATAGTTGTATTGTGTCTGGAGTTGGTTCCTGCCTGTGGGTTCACGGTCTCACTGACTTCAAGAATGGAGCCCCAGACCTTCGTGGTGAGTGTTACAGCTCTTAAAGATGGTACGGACCCAAAGAGTGAGCGGTAGCAAGGTATATTGTGAAGAGTGAAAGAACAAAGCTTCCACAGCCTGGAAGGGGACCCCAGCAGGTTGCTGCTGTGGGCTCAGGTGGCCAGCTTTTATTCCCTTATTTGTCCCCTCCCATGTTCCGTTTCTGGGCTATCAAGAGTGCCCTTTTTTCAATCCTCCCTGCGATTGGCTACTTTTAGGGTCCTGCTGATTGGTGCATTTTACAGAGCGCTGATTGGCGCATTTTGCAGAGCGCTGACTGGTGCATTTTACAATCCTCTTGTAAGAGGAAAGTTCCCCAAGTCCCCACTCGACCCAGGAAATCCAGCTGTCCTCACCTCTCAGTATGACTATAGCATATTTTAAAAGAACCCTTTGGAGAGTTTCTTTAGAAGACGATTGAGAGTATAACAGTTCTAGAGTTTCATGGCCTTTTGTCCAATTCAAATACTTACCTAATATAATCATAGATAATTATTAATAAAGAATCTAACAAGGTAATTGACACATGTCAAATATTCAATACATCTCCCTTTTGGTATTGCATTTAGTATTATAGTGTGGTTATTTGTTCATATGGCTGTTTTTCATACTAGACCGTGAGCTCTGTGAGGGCAGGGTCTACAGTTTCAACTGTAGAAATTCTGAACTCTTCCTGAGAGAATGGGAGGATAGAAAGGCTTCCCAGAGAAGGTATTATTTAAGCTGATATCTTTAAGGGTGAGTAGGAATGCTTTCCAGGTGAATAAAACCTTCAGACATCATTCCAAACCGAGACTAGCAGGTGCAAAGGCACAGAGATATAGAGATGGTGAAGTTTACTTATGTGCTGTTTGTATTAAAAATACAAAGAACAAATAAAAACAAAAATTAAAAATCATCTAGAGGAAAAACTATGAATGGGCTTGGCCAGAGGGCATGTCACAATTGAGTTAGCTATGACCATAGATACTCAGTAATGGATGGAAGTTTTAGGGAAAGAGTATAACATTCTCAGGTTGTTGGCAGAGTGTCTAGAACAATTTAGAAATACAGGTAATTGAATTCTGGGAATGATTACACTGTAGTGAAATCATTTACTTCTTCTCTGCCTGTGAAGCATACATGTGTTGCACACTGTTCAAGGTCCTGAAAATGAGACTTCTTCTCAAGGAGCTCATGAGCAATCAAGGGAGACAGATGGGTGAGCAGCTGATTATCATGTGACAAGTGAGGTAATAGAGGTATAACAAAAATGCTATCTAAACAAGAAGAAAGGAATAATTAGTAATATATGGAGTGCTGGGGAAAGATTTCTCAAATGAAGCTGGCCGGGTGTGATGATGGCTCACGCCTGTAATACCAGCACTTTGGGAGGCAGAGGTGGGAGAATCCAGGAGTTCAAGACCAGCCTGGTCAACAGAGCAAGACCCTGTCTCTATATTTGAAAAAATAAACAAATATTTTTTAAAAACGAAGTGATATTTGAGCACTCTGGAGCACTATACAAATATAGGACAGACTGAAGGAATTTATCCACCTTAATTTGAGTTAACATTTTTAAACATTTTATATTGCAGAAATAGTACATATTCACTGTTGTGAAATTAGAAATAATTGATTGGCAAGGAGCAGGGGACTACAAAGCACTCCACAGATCCACCATACTGAGACAGTGGTTAGTGCTTTGATGGGTTTATTGTATACTTTCTATGCATATACATGTATTGTATACATACATATGCATGGTTAAATAGAAATGGTTCATCCTAGCTGTTCTGTTTATCCCTTTATTTTTATGAAATAAATCCCCAAAGAGTACATTTGCTTTGTCCAAGGGAATCTTTTGTTACGTGCTGCTGTACATAATGAAAACTGAAAAAGGGGCTAATATTTCAGCCTAGTGACCATGTGGGCTTGCAGTAATTTAAATAGAGGCCTCATGAGAGGCACCTTCGGAAATGAATTTGGTGTGTGTAGGTGGTTATGCTTGGCATCATTGTTTGTGCTAGTATGATAGGGATGACTTCAGTGCCTGCCATCAGGGAACTGGTTAAGTAAACTATGGTACATCCAAATGATGGAATACTGTGTAGTTGTAAAGAAGAATGAGAAAGACCTATGTACTCATGTGGAAGAACTAGATATTGTGTGTGTTTTTAAAAAAGGAACAAGGAATGGTATATGGATGGCATAGTGTATATGGTATGCTACTTTTTGTGTTGAGAGAGAAGAGTAGAGTAAGAATATACGTGTGTTTGCAGAGATAACTTCTGAAATGATAATAAGAAACCAATTAAAAGTGTTTGGCTGTGGAGGGAGAATAGGACTATGAATGGGATTTTGCCACATACATTTATAGATAGTTATATTTTAAATATTTTTGAACTATGTATTTGCGCACATTACCCTTTTAAAAATAAGTGAATGAAGGAATGAAGTGGGATTATGAGAACGAGATAAGAAAAAAGGTTCTATGGGGCTGCCCATCTTTTTAGTACCCAGAGAATATTAATACATAGCAATAGCAGCAAAAATTGGAAGAGTAGCCCCAGGAAGGTGGGGAATCAGCCTTTCCTTTGTCTTTTCCTCAATTTCATATATTTTAAAAAATGAGAAGAGTAAAACAATTTAAAACAAAAATGTTTCCAGAACTTGTAAAATAAAAGGAATATGGGGCAGCTTTGTGTAGTGCACATCCCGAAAATGGGCTGATTCACCTCAAGAGGCAAGGAGTCAAGCTCTCTAGCCTACATGGGGTACATACATGAGAAAAATAAGAAAAAGAAAAGAAATGTAAAAATAAATGAAAATAACACTTATCCCTGATTATAAAGGAAATCACATTCTTTTTACAATAATTTAACAAAATATAAAGAAAAACCCTTAGGCTGGGCGCGGTGGCTCACGCCTGTAATCCCAGCACTTTGGGAGGCCAAGGTGGGTGGATCACAAGGTCAGGAGATTGAGACCATCCTGGCTAACACCGTGAAACCCCGTCTCTACTAAAAATACAAAAAAAAAAAAAAAAAAAAATTAGCTAGGCGTGGTGGCGGGCACCTGTAGTCCCAGCTACTCGGGAGGCTGAGGCAGGAGAATGGTGTGAACCCAGGAGGCGGAGCTTGCAGTGAGCCAAGATCGCGCCATTGCACTCCAGCCTAGGTGACAGAGTGAGACTCCATCTCAAAAAAAAAAAAAAGAAAAAAAAAGAAAAACCTTTAATTCTGCCACTCAAAACATTCTGGTTTGCTGCTTTTTATACTTTTTTATGCATATAAACATTTTTAAAAGTAGAATCATAAAATATAGTCTTTTGTCACATTATATTTTGGGCATGTTTCTGTGGCAGTAAATATATCCTGGCATCATCATTTTTAATAGCTGGCTATATATTAAGTGAATCATTGCCACTCCAGAGGTGAATTTCCTTATATATACATTTTAATGGACTTGAGCAAGCATTTTTGGACGGAATTCATAGAAGTAGAATTTCTGGAGGAAAATAACAAAAAAACAGTTTTAGGGTTTTTAATAGAAATTTTCAAATTATCCTGCAGGAAAATGGGTTCAGTGTATACTCCCACCAACAGTGACAGAGTTCCAGTTTCGCCCTTCCATTTGTCATCTTTGCTCGTCTTTAAGCAGAAAATCTCATTGTTTTAATTACATTTTCTTTAATTTCTAGTGCTTTTGAGTCTTTTTAATATGCTTATTGGCCATTTTTATTCTTGTGGGAAGTGCCTTATTTCTCCATTATTTGTTTTTTTCTGAGTAATTTTATAAAATTATAAAATAATTTTATCTTTTTTATCATTTTTCTTTTTCTGAGTAATTTTAAAGATTTCTTTATAGGCTAGGGATACAAACCTTTTATCTGTCATTGAGGTTACCAAAACTGTCTCCCAGTAAGTAATTTGTCATTTTGCTTTATTTTTTCTTTCTTTTTTTGCTAGCCAAGCTCCAAAGTCACATTTCACTTTATTTTTATTGGGCTGAATGAAAGCATTTTAACTTAGTGATTTTAGTGTAAACAGGAGTAGGGCAGAATGTAATTATCTAGGTCTTGGTCTGTCACCCAGGCTGGAGTGCAGTGGCATGATCATAGCTCCTGCAGCCTCAAACTCGTGGGCTCAAGTGATTTTCCCGCCTCAGCCTCCCAGGTAGCTAGGACTACAGGTATATACCACCACGCCCAGCAGATTTGAAAAATTTTTTGTAGAGATAAGAATTCGCTATGCTGCCCAGGCTGGTCCTGAATTCCCGACTTCAAGTAATCTCCCCCCTTGGCTTGCCAAAGTGCTGGGATTGTAGGCATGAGCTTCTGCTCCCAGCCGAGAGCTTACTTTTGTTTGCTAGTGGTGTTCTTGGTATCTTTTCATATTTGAGGCTTTATTGCTAGTACTGAGGTATTACCCTCACCATCTGAGGTTTGAGGACTTTTGTTTTTAATATTGAACAGATGGAACTGTTTAGTTCTGCATCTTTGCAGGTAACACAATGTGCCTACCAGGACTCTGCCTCATGTCCATTGAAAGCAAGAAGCAATACAGTAAAACTTTGCCTGGGTAGAGGCTTTGAAAGAATGGAGTATTCTGGTTTAATTCTATTAACTTGGAAGTATGAAGGTGAAAAAATTCAAAAGTTTAATTTCCTGTAGAATGCAATCCAAAAATATAGGCTGGGCTTGGTGGCTCACACCTGTAACCCCAGCACTGTGGGAGGCCCAGGTGGGTGGATCACCTGAGGTCAGGAGTTTGAGACCAGCCTGACCAACATGGTGAAATGGTGAAACCTTGTCTCTACTAAAAATAGAAAAATTAGCTGGGCCGTGGTGGTGGACTCCTGTAATCCCAGCTACTCGGGAGGCTGAGGCAGGAGAATCACTTGAACCTGGGAGGCGGAGGTTGCAGTGAGCCAAGATCATGCCACTGCACTCCAGCCTAGACGACAGTGAGACTCCGTCTCAAAAAAATTAAAATATATATATATAGCCAATAATTCCACTTTTCTTCTCTTAGTAAGTTTGGACATTCAGAGCTACTTGGTATTTTATTATAGAACTCCTAGTGTGCCTGAGACTTACATTGTGAAGATCCTTTTCTAAAACTTTAGATGTAAGAGGATGTAAATGGTTTTGTATCAGAGCAGTCTGGATGAGAACTGACACCTGTAAATATACTTTTTAGACTAAGTCTCTGATTGCCATTTGTTCTTATTTAACTCATAAAAATAAAATACATTGGATGGAGGGTGAGAGTAGAAAGGAGATATATGTCTTTTAATTGGATGTCATTATTTCATATCAAGATAGAACATACAGTATCCCTGGCTTTGGGCCTACAGAAAGAAACACATTTTTCTAAGTGCTATATGCCAGAGGTTCTTGAACACCTGGAGGGCTTATTGCAACACAGATTGCTGGGCCCTATTCCAGAGTTTCTGATTCATCAGGTCTAGGGTGGGGCCTGAGAATTCGCATTTATAACAAGTTCTCAGGTGATTCTGATGCTGCTGGTCCAGAGACTACATTTTTGAGAACCATTCTTGTATACTAAAAATTGTAGAACTCTAGAAGAAAGCTCTTTGGTCTGGGATGAGAAACATACAGGTTATGGAGCAAATCATGACAGATTCAACCCTTGATCCCAGCCTAGTGTGGAGTTCAGGTTACAAGCAATACACAGTGACATAACACAATTCTTGGTTTTTTATGATTGGAAGTCATAGCCAAGTATCTAGTGAGAAACTCCATTTCATTTGCAAGGCTTAGAGAGGCCAGGAGATTCTAGGCAAATAGGATTTAGTGATTAACCCCATGAAAGTAAGAGTTATTTATGTCCTTCTTCTCTCCCCCATCACTTAGCATTTAGCCTTTAGAAGGGCCTTGTATTTTTTAAAACTGGTAAAGAGCTTTGAGTGCTTATTAAATCGAAACCTTTGTGTGTTTTTAAAGATATTAGACATGTATCTTGAGATTATTTTAAACAGTAATGTAGGAGAATAAGAGAAACTTTTTCCAAAAAAGAAAAATCACTATGATTATTTTATCTTATTGGAATGTTGGATAATATAGTCTCCTTCATTAATCATCAAGCATGCTATGGGTTTTCCATTTTTATAGGATTTGTACCTCAACTGAGGTAATACTGGTAATTCTTGTACTCCATTTGAAGATGAAAAATCAAGGCCAAAATCAAAGACCTGGCATAGAAGCTGGATAATGAAGACAGCTTCAAAGGAACACATAGATACACACACACATAGATACACAGATATATAAAGTACACACAAATATATTTTTTAAAGTTTTATTTATTGTTATTATTGTCAGCACAGACAAAGATATCTGTGCTGAACTTAGGCATCATATGTAGAATCTTTGCGTTGAAGAGAAAAGAAACTGTGGAAGCCACACCTTTTCATAGAGGAGTTTTGCTTTAACAAGTTTTTCTTGCTTGTCAACTCTAATTTCTATCGTTCCACGGCTAATAGTCTCAGTTGACCAGCTGGTTCAGCCTAGACTGTTTGAAGGAATAACTAGTATTACAAACAGTGGGTTAGGCAGATTCCTTACTTGGAAACATTCCTGTTTTTCTCCCCTTACCCCTCAGAGAAGAGTTTGAGTGAAGAAGGGTAGAACTAGAACCCACAGATTAAACTGGTGGCTCTGAAGCCTGGCTGCACATCAAAAACAACCCAGACTGTTTTCTAGAAAACGACACAGATTTTGCGCCTCACCTTTAGACCATCTGAATTGTGATCTCCTAGGATGGACCTTTTTGGGAGGCTGGGGGGAGTCTGCATTTTTTCTTTTTTTTTTTGAGACGAAGTCTCGCTCTGTCACCTAGGCTGGAGTACGGTGGCACGATCTTGGTTGTGTCTGCATTTTTTAATAACTTTCCCAGGTAATTTTATATAGGCTCCTGGACTGTATGCCTCAGATCAGATCAGTGCCAGTCCCAGGTGAATTTTCACCAGCTTATTGTGAAATAAGAAGTATAAGGACCACATAGTATTTTTTGTAACATTAAATTCATTCAGTTTAAAGAATTGTCTTTTGCATTGAATTAAGACCTTCTTTTGTTTTTTTGGTGCTAAAATATCCTTTTATAGAATGATGTTGATAAGGATGTTTTTACCATCTTTGTATGTTTTTTAATTTGGAATCCTATATTGTCCTCAATATTTTTTAAAATCTCCTGGTTTATGAAATCCTAAATACTGAGTGTCTCTGATCTAATCATCCTTGGAAACTGTTTTTTAAATTATTTGGAATACAGGTTCATAGAGGGTCCAAAGCCCTTGGAACTAGACAACTCTCAGAATTCAGAATTTTTCAGGTTTAGGAAGATGCTTTCTCTGTTACGAATGCCTCAGTGTGTCTGATGCAGCATCCTTAGTCACCCGATACATTAATATTTCTGAGCAAAACAGGAGTATTCACACTAAGTGGGTAGATAAAGGCTGTATATAGCTTCATATCAGTTCAGGCCAAATTTTACTGTCCTGCAAGTTTTGACATAAAACATATGAAAAATTCTTGGTTTTTAGAGCTGTTTGGATATTAGAATTGTACATAATGGATTGTAGACCTATTTGGAGGTTTGGTTTCTCATCCTAAAAGTATTAGCAAGCTTCAAATTAAATGGAGCTTCATATGTTCATGGTAGGGAATGTAATTTATTTTGATTTAAATAAACCACCATGTGCTGTGATTGGTTTGTGTTTTCCTTCCAAAGACCTCAGTACTTTTGTTGAATAGCATTTTTCTTCAGCATGGTTCTCCGAACCCCATTTTTAATATTTGAGATCAAATCAGAGTTTTCTATTATAGCCTTTCTGGACCTAAAGTGGGAAGTGTGAGTATGGGGTAGTCACTACATGGAAGTGGTTAAGAGCATGGGCTTTGGGACCAGAAAGACCTAAGCTTAAGCACTAATTCTAGTACTACTAGGTTATACTTTAGGCAAGGTGTTGAATAAATCTCTGATGGCTCATACCTGTAATCCTAGCCACTTGAGAGGATGAGGTGGGAGGATCACTTGAGCCTAGAAGTTCAAGTCCAGTCTGGACATCATAGTGAGACCTGTCTCTAAAAAAATTTTTTTTAATAAATAAATGAAAGGTGGAGTATTTGTATGAAAACAACTGGGAGACTAACAGTCCCTGCCTTGTGGGATTGTTATGAAGATTAAAAGAGAGACTGTTACCGAAGTACTTAGAAGAGCTATTATTTTGTTGCTGTCCTTTCCCCCTTGTATTTGGATAGATTACGATAGTTGTTTTTTCTATGTAACTTAATTGTCCAGTGGGGTTCTCATTCCTTTAAAGGCCTGGAGAAACTTGTCTTAAATGCTTTCCCAATTCATAAATTGGGACATAATTCCCAATTCATACTTAAGTCTCACCGTTGCAATTTAGACATAAAATCTGCCTCTTGAGTGGTTTCCACACCAAAAAATCCACAGACTCCTGAATTTTATATGGGCCTAATAGTCTTACTGAAAATTGGAAGTCTTAAGTTGTAGTCCATTTTACACAGTGTGAGGCCTTTCATACTCTGAATGTACGACTCGACTTTTTCTTCTTCACTCTGTCTAGCACTGTGCCCTCATTAGCCAGATTAATGTTCCCCTTTCTCCCAAGAAATGTTCTGACCTTACCCTCGTCCCTCAAGGACCCTCTTTCTCCCCCAGATTAACTTTCAAAGAGCTTTTCCAACCCAAAATGGCACCCTTCCTGAAAAGATTTCTAGTGGATACTGTTTTCTCTACCTCATTACAGATGTATTATGCTGCTTGGCTCCCCTCTCCCCACTTTGTTGTGGCAAACCTTTATTTCCAGAAATATGTCAAAGAAAATGAACATGTGATCCCTTTTTGTGATTTTTGTTGGGATTCACTGTATGAATTTCTTCTAGTTTAGATAATTCCACTGTGGCAAGCTTTTATTCTTATTATACAGCTCGTAAAGAGAATGTTATAGTCATTTGGTGTTATTAATGCTAAAATAGTAAACAAGAACACAAAATTTTCTAGATTAGAAGTGTTTTTCCCCACTGCTCCCCAGGCCAGGCACAGTGGCTCACATCTGTAATCTGGCACTTTGGGAGGCGGAGGCAGGAGGATTGCTTGAAGCCAGGAGTTTGAGACCAGCCTGGGCAACAAGCAAGACCCCTTCTCTAAAAAAAAAAAAAATTTAGCCATGCCTGGTGGTGTACACCTGTAGTCTTAGCTACCTGGGAGGCTGAGGCAGGAGGATTGCCTCAGCCCGGGAGTTCAGTGCTGCAGTAAGCTATGATTGCACCACTGAGCTCCAGCCTGGTCTACAGAGTGAGACCCTGTCTCTATAAAAATTAAAAAATAGGCTGGGCATAGTGGCTCATGCCTGTTATCTCAGCACTTTGGGAGGCTGAGGCAGGAGAATCACTTGAGTCCAGGAGTTCAAGACCAGTCTGGGCAACATGGATCCCATCTCTAAAAAAAATATAAGTAAGTGTTTTTTAATCCCTCTTGAGTAACTTGATTTGTCAAAAACAGATTCCAGAGTAGTGCTGTCACTGACTGTGGGGAATAACTGTTCATACTCAACGAAGAGTGCTCACTTACAGATCCTAACCCCTAAGGGCATGGGCTTCCTGCTGAGGAAATGAGATTTAGAATACAGCGTTCTAAAAATGGCAGTTAACAGATTATTTATTAAGGACCTGGTGGGTGCACAGAGGCATGCTAGAAGCTGTAAAGGACTTGATTCTTGCCCTCAAGAAACTTCCAAGGTTATAGACTAGTCCCAAAACAAGTAATGAGTGATGCTCTCTCAAATATACATACAATCAAATGTGAGATGGAGGTGAAGATGGGGAAGACCTTAGGCTCGGAGATTGTATTCAGGCTTTTATAGTGGCATTTATTTGATATAATTATGCATTTAAAAAACAAATTGTCATCACATCAGTCTGAAATGTATGGAGACACTTGTTGGTGAGAAAGGTTTTTTATATATAATAATTTACCCATAGGAATGTTTTTGATTAACGTTGTCTGTTAAAGACTTCACAATATTTCCCCCATTAATAGTCTATATCTTTTTGGAGCTGATCTGGAGAAGTCAAGGACCATATGCTAATTGCTATTTGATGTTATTCTGGGAGGACAATTGATTGGCTTTGGGGCAAGGAGTTGGAACTTGAGGACTCAAAGGTGGGTCTGAGTCTAGAGATCTTGCCACTGACTTTTGGCAAGTCTTTTGATTCTACCTTTGAAACTGCCTTTAAATGCCTTGTGGAGTACATTTTATGACTGTTCTGTACGTTTCCAGTAGAATGATAGTAATATCACAGAACATCCTTGGGGCATTGTTTCTAAAAGTTTGGGATTGTTAATAGTTACTAGGTTAAAAATGTAATATATGTAATAAAGGTAACAAATTAATACATAAATTTGGGAAATGCTTGGTAAATTAAACAGGACTTCTCAGGACAATGAATTTACACATGGCCATTTTTTTTTTTTTTTTTCAAAGAGCATTCACAAGACTGTAGTTTGTAGAACACTAGTTTGGGAACTGTTGGTGTAGGAATTAGGGTAATTAGGATTTGGACTATTCCAGGTAGAGGTTGTCACTATATTCGAGGAATTGTTCTTAAGTCTTTAGTCTTTCTATATATCGGAATTACCTATGGCAAATTAACAAGCAGAAATACAAAAATTGGGCCTTGGCTCAGGCCTAACAAATCAGAATATCTGCAAAGTATGGATGTGGAAAAACTTCCAGGTGATTCTATATACTCCTAAGACTGAAAACCGCTCAATTAGAATAGACCTTCTTGCCACTTGCTAAATGCAGTCTTTTTTTTTTTTTGAGACAAGTCTTGCTTTTGTCCCCTAGGCTGGAGTGTGATGGTGCAATCTCGGCTCACTGCAACCTCTGCCTCCCGGGTTCAAGCGATTATCCTGCCTCGCTTCACCCCCTACCTCCCCGAATAGCTGGGATTACAGGCGCCTGCCACCACGCCCAGCTAATTTTTGTATTTTTAGTAGAGACGGGGTTTCACCATGTTGGCCAGGCTGGTCTAGAACTCCTGACCTCAGGTGATTCACCCACCTCGGCCTCCCAAAGTGCTGGGACTATAGGCATGAGCCACTGCGCCTGGCCAGCTAAATGCATTCTTAATCCTATTTCAGTATGCTTCTGTTTTGTTTTCTTGGGTCTGGTCCAGGGACTAGACTGTTGCTGTAATTAAGTTCAGTTTTATTATTCTTCCCAGAGTATCTGTATCCCAGTTTTCAGATTCCATTTCCTCAGTGGGGCAAACTTATAGGTCAGTATAGGACAAGTTTTAAACATTAATAAAAAAGAGGTTGTATTGTATTTATATTGTCTTTCTCATTTGGCAGCCTTGAGTTTAATTTAGAAAATGCCTCTATTTGTAATTTACCTTTGTTTTGATATATTTTACAAATATAGGGACCACATAAGTGATTTTCCTCTTTTTCCTGACTTCCTTGTCAACTAATATGTTTTTGAAAGCTTCTTGTTAACTTATAATTGCAGGTAAGTTCCATTTTCTGTTTGCTTAAGCTCACTGACGTTATATTTGCAAGCACTGTTCTTGCATCAAATGGAAGATAGCCAATGGAACATTTGTGCATTGAGGTCAATATAGGAAAACTTAGCAGAATGACTACTTATTTGTTTTCTGTTAATGTCCATGCAGCTGCTCTGGAAATAAATGAAATGGAAGTACATGGGACAAAATCATTCTAATTTGAAATTTACCTGGAACCTTTTAAAAAATTTTCATATACATGTCGTACGTCTCCTCACCCCACCTAAAGCTGAACTACTCCCCCTTTCTCTTTTTTTCCTTTGATCCTTCACCAAATAATGGAGAAAATCTGATGGGTTTATTTACTTAGTAAAAGAAAATCTTGTAAAACAAGGAGAGAAATTATTTTAGTGCAAAGTATGACATGGTATATAAAAATATGTTCTGGCTGGGAGTGGTGGCTCATGCCTGTAATTCCCAGCACTTTGGGAGGCTGAGGCGGGCAGATCACGAGGTCAGGAGATTGAGACCATCCTGGCTAACACAGTGAAACCCTGTCTCTACTAAAAATACAAAAAATTAGCTGGGCATAGTGGCACGTACCTGTAGTCCCAGCTACTCAGGAGGCTGAGGCAGGAGAATCGCTTGAACCCAGGAGGTGGAGGTTGCAGTGAGCTGAGATCGCGCCACTGTACTCCAGCCTGGGGCGACAGAGTGAGACTCCATCTTAAAAAAAAAAAAAGTTCTATGTGATTTTAAAAGGCTTTATAAAATTATTTATTGTATTGCTTATGTAGCTTTAAAATGTTTATTTGTGTTTGTGTATGTGTGTGACCCTGTGAAAAACTGAAAGAATAAACAAAAAGTTAGAAAGTTAGAAAGTTGGAGTTTGATGCATTAATCCAGGAGCTGTCTGGGCAGGCCAACTTACACTTGGGGGGTATAAGCATTCCTGCTACCAGGGAAGTGAAATTTCCTACCATGGAGTAAGGATGTTTCATGTGGCTTTGTAATGGATAAAATCTTTCTCCTGATGCTTTTCCTACTGCTCTGATTTCGTGTTCACCATGCAACCATCTTTTACTAATTAAGCATCCCAGGCATTTGGATTTTGAATGGTGGGAATGTATTAGCTATTCGAAAATAAATATTCCCTTCTGCCTTCCCAGGACCTACACTATCAACTATACTTTCTCCCTCCTGTATGTATAACCTGTCCCTCTCCACTAGACCCTTTCTATGAACATTTAAATGTGAATTAGAGTTTCTAATCTTTAAAGATGTCATTTCCGTGGACTTCATACCCCTCCAGTTTCTGTCTGTTCCTGCCTCTTCCCTTGGCAGCTGGACTCTGAGTTATCTCATACTTGGTATCACCTACGATTCAGCCTACCTCCATTTGGCTTTCATTCTCATTTTTTCCGTGGAAACCGCTCTCATTAAGGTCATCAGAGACTCCATGGTCCTGAATTCTGTGGACACTTCTCAGTCTTCTTCCTACTTGACCTTTCAGCAGCCTTCTGTATTCCTACTTTACTGGAATTGGATTCATTCCCTGTGGCTGCTGTGACAAATTACCACAAACTGGTATCTTAAAACAACATTTATTGTCTCATAGTTCTGGAGGCCAGAAGTCCAAAGTCAAGGCATCAGGAGGGCCACTTTCCTTCTGGAGGCTCTAGGGGAGAATTTGTTCTTTGCCTCTTCCAAATTCTGATGGCTGCAGGCATTCCTTGATTTGTGGCCACACCACTCCAATCTCTGCCTCCATGGTCACATTGCCTCCTCCTCTTCTGTGTGTGTGTTAAATCTCCCTCTGCTTTTCTCTTATATACCTATCATTGAATTGAGGGCCCATCTGAATAATTCAGGATGATCTCCTTATCTTAAGGTCCTTAATTATATATACAAACACCCTTTTTTCCAAATAAGGTAGCCTTCACAGATTCCATGGATTAGGACATGGACATATTTTTGGGGGGGCTACCATTTAATCCAAATCAAGAAAATACAGAACACTGGGTTCGGTATTTTCTTGATTTCTGTGATGTCACACTCTTCTGATTGTCTTCTCAACTCTCTGGGTTCTTCTCAGTTTCCTTTTCATGTTGCCTTCCTCCTCTACTTGACTTTTTTTTTTGGGGGGGTGAAATGGAGTCTCGCTCCATCACCCAGTCTGGAGTGCGATGGCGCGATCTCAGCTCACTACAACCTCCATCTCCCAGGTCCAAGTGATTTTCCTGCCTCAGCCTCCGAGTAGCTGGGATTACTGGCATGTACCACCACATTCAGCTAATTTTTGTATTTTTAGTAGGGATGGGGTTTCACCATGTTGGCCAGGCTGGTCTCGAACTCCTGACCTCAAGTGATCCACCTCCCTCGGCCTCCCAAAGTGTTGGGATTACAGGTGTGAGCCACAGTGCCCGGCTTCTACCTGACTTTTCAAAATATTCACACACATCAGTGCTGGGTCATGGGCCCTCTTCTCATCTCACTTTGCATTTTCTCCATAGGCAGTATCTTCTATTCCTATGACTTCAGTTACCATTTATATAAACGACTACTCCAACTTCCTATATTTAGGCAGACTTCTCCTATTCTTGGTGCATACAGCCAACCTACTTAACATCACCATTTCAGTGTTTCAGAAGCATTGCAAATTTAACATGTCCAAAATAGAACTCATCACCTTTTTTACCCCCACGCCCCTATCACCACCCAAGAAAAGTTTGCCCTTCCCACAGAGTTCCTTAGCTCAGTGAATGACATTACCAATCCACCCAGTTGCTTGTGCCAAAATTATCCTTGATATTTCCCTCACTCTGACTCCCCACATCTAGTTCATCACCAAAAACCTCCTAAAATAGTTTTAGAGTCTACCTCCTTTCTTCTTACTGCCATCATCTTAGTTCAAGCAGCTACCCTTTTTTCATCTGGATTGGAGCAATAGCTGCCTTACCAGTCTCTCATTATTAACTCTCAGTCTCTGCAATCCATTTTCCACATGGCAGCCTGAGTGATCTCAAAATATGTCGAATCATGCTACGGTGCATTATAAGGAGTTTCAGAACTCCTTATAATGGCTTCTATTATTTAGGATGAAATCCAAAATCCTTCATGTGGTCTCTTAAGGTCCTGAATGATCTGATCTGGCCCCACCTGCCTCTCCAACCTCATCTCTCTTCCTTGTCATTCTCTGGCTATATACGTACCTACCTTCTTGTAGTTCCCGAAAATTCCCTCCTGCCTTTGATTCATTGTACGTCATTTTCTCTCTCCTCCCTATTGCTAGTAAGCTTACATTCTTTAGGTATCAATGAAAATGTTTCTTGCTCAGGGAAACCTTTCTGAACCATCCCCCTCTCTCCTGGACTAGATTGGGCCCCCTGTTGTTTTCTAATAGTCCCTTTTATAGCATGGATCATTATTTTTAACTATTTTCTTGTCTCTCTCCTGAGAGAATGTAAATATCACCAGGGCAAGGGCTGTGTACCCTATCAAAGCAAGAGTCAAGCCCAGTGCCTCAGCACAGAGGGTCAGTAGGCACTCAGATATTAATGAGTGAATAGATTTAATGATCTTAGTTGTTAAGATGTAGCTGAGAGAAAGCAAAACCCGAATCATGTGGCAGAATATTTGAAATAAAATTTAAAGCTGTCATCCACCATATTTACTTTTTAAAATGGTATTAACCAGACTGAAGGAAGTAATGAAACTGTAGGAAACAAAATAGGAGGGAGTAGTTTTTATTTCAGTTGTTCAGTAGACTTTTTCCAGGTAATTCAGTCAAAAGTCCTAAGTAATCTTAGCAAACTGTTATCATAGGCACATTGCAGGTATGTAACTTCTGAAAAATATTATTTAAGTTCAAAGAATAGCTAGTTTTTGGCATAAGCATGTTGGATCTGAAAGTTGTGGGTGTTTAAAGTGTTAAACTGATGAAGCATGTATCCTTGAAATATCCTAGATACATTAAAAGTCCTGGAGTTCTTTCTAACTTGGAACATAAGTCCCTATTTCAAGCCACATATTTTAGACACAAATATGTCTTGACCCTTGACCATGATAGTGCCAACTCAAATGCTTGGCAGGCCTTAGCACCCCTGTATTGACTATTAACAGGGTTGTGAGCTTTCCCATTTTCAGCCAAAGTGACAACTGTTATTTCTTATTTTCAGCATGTTTGACATGTGTATAAGAGGGAAAGTGGGGTGAAGGGGAAATAAGTTTCAAATTGTTCTTAGGTTTCAAGATGCAATATAGTCACAGACCAGACACAAACTCCTTTATCTACTGTTGAGGTCTAATTCTTAAAGAACTGCTTCTCAAGCAGTGACCTATTTCAAATTGCACATTTGTCTTCTTGATAGATAAAAAGATGTTGTGACATAGTGGTTTGTGTGGCAGAGTTAATTGCCAGTGTTTATTGAATACCTGTATAAGCTATTGTTAGGTGACAACTTTCCCCAAAGATTAGCAGGTTAAAACAACTAATATTTATTATTTCATAATTTCTGTGCATCAGGAATCTGGGAGTAGCTTAGCAGGGTGCCTGTGCTTGAGACTCTTACAAAGTTGCAGTCAATCTGTCATCTGGGGCTGCTATCTCATCTGAAGGCTTGACTGGGAGGAAAATGCACTTCTAAGCTCACTTACATGATGGTTCATTTCCTCTCCCATGAGCCTCTCTGTAATGTAACTCACAACATGGCAGCCATTCAGCCTCTTAACCCGATTTATGTAACCAAGCATTCCTCCCATCTCTGGAAGCTTTGGGCATATTTTCTTTGTCCTCACTACACTAGACTTTCATCCTTGGTGTGGATGAGGATCAAGTGAAATAATGAATGTGAAATGGTGAAATGGAATGACTAGAGAAACACAGTGATCAAGCATGGACCGTGAGCTGGGGAAGAGCTGGAAACAGAGAATGTTACATGAAACTGGGAGCAGGAACTTCAGGGAAGTTAAGGGTGATGATCCTGTCTTCCCTTGTGTCTTCCCCAAGTTGGAAACATCCAAATGCCTTCCCTAGGAGTTACCAGTCTCCAACAAAAATCTCCCTATTGCCACCTAGCTAGTAAAGCCAGGGCACATTAAGCACCAGTTCACTCACACCCAGTAGGCCCACAAAACAATGTTGTTCTTGAACTATGTGCCTTAAAGTGTGGGTATGAAAGTGCTTTATTAATTTTTAAACAGTATAAAAATTAAGTTGTTGGAATGCTGCTGTTTGGAAACACCAAACTTTCTAATTGTGTGGAAAACACAGGTTGAATAGTACAAAATACAAATCAACACTGTATAATATTGTAAGAGAATCACTTGCCTAGTATTGACAATACCATATCAGTGTTTTTAACTTCTGTGAAGTATTTGCGTTAAGTTCATTAACAGTTTTTGTAGATTTTATGGTAATTCCCCACTCCCTTTCTCATGAATAAGCACATCCTGGAATTTGCTATCTGTGTTCCACCTTGCTCTTGAATTAGAAGGGTTTTTTTTTTCTTTCTTTCTTCCTTTGCCTTCCCTTTCTCTTTTGCCTTACAATCATGTACACTCAGGACTTACTTTTTGGGCACAGGAAGATTTTTTTTAAAAAAACTGAACTCTGATTTCTGATTCTCTATAGTGATTTTCCATATTGGTGGTGAGAAATCAGTGTGCTAGTTGCAAACAACTGCCAAATCTTTGGAAATAATAGTACAGTATATCTTGCTACCCAGCAAGGTTCAGGACCTTTAAGAGTCTCTGTGCTCTTACTTACAGGGCAAATACAGTTGCCCTGGCATTTAGAACAGACTTGCTTCTATCACTGTTATGCTACAGATGGAAGTGGTAAAAATAAAGAACTGGTTTCTTTCCCTCTATAGCTTATGAAATTATTATTATGGATCTGTATTTGGAATAGACATTGATTTCTTTTGTTTCTATTTAAAATATGTTAAGCAGATATATTTCATATTAGTAGCCTTATTTAAACCTACAGTGATTTAAATGGGTTCTATTTTAAATGAATTCTTTTAGAACTATGTACTACTGAGTTGTTTTTCCATCTATTCTTTGCTCTTCACAATTTTACCTTGTCTTTTTAGAATATTACATTTCTAATATCCATAACAGGTTAGGAAATTGCAAAACAAAACAAACAAAAAATAAAAACAAAAAACCTTTAAAGAGAACTAAGAAAGAATATTTTACTGTATCCAGAAACAGAAAATAACTTATTCACAAGTGTTGCCAAGATGGAAACAACCCCTGGGAAATAATTTGTTATAGAAACTTAAAGAAGCCCCAAGGAAGGTGGGAGTCGGGGTAGAGATGGAGTCAAGGTTGAAGAGAGATGAGTTAGAGAGGGAAAGTTGCCTAAATACAATTAAGCCTCAGGTATTTATGGAACTCATAATATTGTGGTGAGTTACAAAATCTATAAAACTCAATCTTGCTTGTCAGGAATTGAGAATCTAATTGGAAGGAGAAAAATTATGCATATCAAACAACAATTAAGTAGTGTTAATGCTGTACTAAGTACAGAAGGGAAGCAGTGAATAAATAGCGAAGGAAAGTAGTGAATGAAGACTGGAATGATTTTTGAGGAATTGTTAAGATTTAGATGAATAACAGAAAAAGATGTATTCTAAATGATAGCAAAAAACATCAAAATGGGTTTAGAAGCCAAAATAAACAATTTTATGTACATACAATTTTACGAAGCTGTAGACAGAAACATATATATGAGCTAGAAAAATTTAAGGCCGGCAAAAATTGCCATAAAAAATTAAATATAATGAATAACATATTTATTTTAGTTATAAACTTTCATTTAAATTATTTTATAAAAAATAAAAATTATAACAAATATAATAAATGTTTTTACAAAAGATAAGGAAAAGATATATACCCCAATAGAAAAATGGGCAAAGTACTTTAGCAGTAAAATTACAGAATAAGAAATATAAATGGCCAGTAAACATATCTTAAGATAATCAGCCTCAGTAAAAATTAAGGAAATGTAAAAAAATGCAAGTTTTATGAGATTGGCAATGGTTTAGAAAATGATAGTACTCATGAATGTTGGGAAACGGGCACTTCCACACCACTGGTGGGAATTTAAATTCTTATAGTAGTGTGGCAATGCCAAGAGCCTTAGAAAAGAGAACATACTCTCCAATGTAACAGCTCTATTTCTAGGAGATAAAAAGAAATAATTAGAAAAGAAGACCTTTATAAAGGAGAACCTTTATAAACAGAAACATTGGAAACACCCCCAAAAGATGGTATGGCTATGTTATTAAACAACATAGGAATGAGAAAAAGCAAATGATGGGGCATCTTGTATCACATGATCCTATTACTATTGAGAATGGATACTTGGGAAATGTGTGTGTATGTTTGTGTATACACAAACATATGGGAATTCAGGAAGGTTATATGCGCAACATTGTTAATTGTTCTTAACTCTGGATGGCTGGACAACAGGTGGCTTTTGTTTTTTCCTTTTTGCTTATCAATATGATAAACATGTATTTTTTAAAATACATTTTAAAGAAAAACAGCTTGAGAATTAGAATAAGGAGTAGGTGCTTACAATGTTCATTAAGAATGCATTTTCACTGTTTCAATGTTAAGGAAGCTGTAATGATCTTGACTAGGTTCCAGGACCTACAGAAATTTGGCATGGGAAGATTCCTACCCCTCCCACCCCTGTCCCACCTGCCTAGAAAGACTAAGTGAGCCTAAGTGTTAATAGACATCTTTTCTTTTAACTCTTAAATAATTGTACATCTGTCTAGTTGATAACTGCAGGATGTGGATGGTTTTATAAGAGTTACAGACTAAGTTTCTGTTTATCTATAGTTAAAATCTTTGACTTAGAATTTCAGAAGCTTCTGACAGAATCTGCATGTTTTAGGTCTCTACATTTCCTTTATCCTTATATTCATTTTATCTTTTCTTTTGCTTCTCTTTAGGTTCCATCATAATGAATGGATCCAATATGGCAAATACATCACCGAGTGTAAAATCCAAAGAGGACCAGGGGTTAAGTGGGCACGATGAAAAGGAAAACCCATTTGCAGAGTACATGTGGATGGAGAATGAAGAGGATTTCAACAGACAGGTAAAGAAAGAACTGGAAAAGTGGAAGATTGATGATACATGTAACTCAACAGCTATAATATTTTACTGCCAGTTTATTACAAAAGAAATGGATACAGTTAGCTTTAGAATAACTTAAAAATTCATTGGTGGGGGGCCTCATCTGGAATGACCAAGAAACATCTTCATCTGGTAACAGACCAGAGTGATAGTACCTTGGAGGAAGATATTTATATTTTTCTTACCATGTTGATTAAAAGAGGAAACAAATATCAGACTAATTAGTTGATATCTGAACATCCTCACGTGAGAGCCCATGTTTAACCAAATAGATTTGCATATACTCCACACTCTGATATGCCTTCTAAGTGTAGTTCACATTACACAGTAACTACTGCAGAGGGTCCCTGCCCTCAGCCTTGTTCTGGCTAGATTTGTTTATGACATTTCTCTCAGCAACTGTAGACCATTCTAGAATATTCCCAGAATTTAAATCAAACAAGACTCTTATCAATCTTAGAGGATTGACATAAAACCCTTGTACCAAACCATGGTAGCTGAGGTCCTTTATCCTGCCCTGATTCTGCCTTTAATCCTAGGAAGCCCAGTGGTTCTATAACTCTCTGTAGTGATCAATGTGAAATTAATTGCTTGAACAGTGGAGCACTAAAAAACAGAATGGTAGTGAGGTTGTTTTTCTATACTTTGTAGTTTGTTGCTTTCACTTGCTTATAGGAAATGTGATACTCTGCATTTCATTTTGAAAATAAATGAAGACATAAAAGAAGTTTAAGGCCAGGCATTGTGGCTCATGCCTGTAATCCCAGCACTTTGGGAGGCCAAGGTGGGCAGATCACTTGAAGTCAGGAGTTCAAGACCTGCCTGGCCAACATGGTAAAACCTCATCTCTACTAAAAATACAAAAATTAGCTGGGCATGGTGGCACCCTCCTATAATCCCAGCTACTTGGGAGGCTGAGGCACAAGAATTGCTTAAACCAATAGGTGGAGGTTGCAGTGAGCCAATCGCACCACTGCACTCCAGCCTGGGCTACAGAGCAAGACTCTGTCTCAAAAAAAAAAAAAAAGATTAAGAACTCTCACTGAAGGTAAATATGTTTTCCATGGGATTTTAGAACAGTCGTGTTTGGCATTTTTGTTGACCTAATGGTTTCACTCTTCCTTTATCCAGCCTCTGAATGAAATATATGTTGTTGAAAACATAAAACAATTTTCACTAGCTTTGTTAACACTCACTGACATGCTCTTAACCCCAGTGATCAGGATTGCACCAGGGCTATTAGAAGCCAGATGTCTGAGCTGTGGGTCAGCTGTGCACTCCTACATTCAAGAGTTTAGCAAACTCAGAGACAAGGTACATGGAAAAGTGCTGGAAAGCTAGGGGCTTGCAGAAACACACATACACATTCACACACACACACACACACACACACACACACACACACCCACACACACAAAGAGATTGAGGAAAGACAGTTGAGAAGCTTTAAAAATTGTAACTTTTTTTCTGGAGATCTAGGTAAGCAATGACAGATATATGCATGGCAGCTTCCAATATTGCAGTAAATACCAGGCCTTAAGAAGGGCTGAGCAGATAAACAATTGTTTGCTCAAATTCCCCCAACCCTAATGTTTTACAGGTAATACTAGCTTGGCAACATAATTTTGGGTTTTTTTGTTGTTTTTTGTTTGTTTGTTTGTGGAGGTGGAGTCTCACTCTGTAACCCAGGCGGGAGTGCAGTGGCTCAATCTCGGCTCACTGCAACCTCCACAGTCCAGGCTCAAACCATTGTCTTGCCTTAGCCTCCTGAGTAGCTGGGACTACAGGCATGTGTCACCATCCCTGGCAAATTTTTGCATTTTTAGTAGAGATGGGGTTTCGCCATGTTGGCTAGGCTGGTCTTAAACTCCTGGCCTCAAGTGATCTGCCTGTCTCAGCCTCCCAAAGTGCTGGGATTACAGGCGTGAGCCACCGTGCCTGGCCTGGCAACATAATTTTGAAACTGTTATATGATTTCAGGTCATAGGAGTAAGTATTTCGGAGAAGCCTTCTTTATCCTTCATTTGGGAGCAGGAGGGTTTAGGAATCTGGGATATGATTGATGTCAGTTCTTTCTGAACACCTGTATATTACTCTGTTACACTATGGTGTGCTGTACAGTTTTTACCACTGCCAACCCCCATTCCATTACTAGCATAGTTTTCATGGTAATTCAGAAGTGGTTTTGCATACCATGTACCTTGAGTTGGATCTTAAGGAGTAGAAACTGGTTTCTAGCTAGCAACCCTGATACAATGTCTTCTGACTTTCTAATAAAATATCTAACAAAACATAGAATAAGATGAAAACAGCTTACAACCCCCCAAACTCGGAGTGACATTCATTGGTCTTTTGAAAAGATTTTCATTGACTGTGAGGCTGATAGAAGCAGATTGAAATGTAGTTTTGGGGGAAAAAGGATTAAGTCTCAAGAAAAGTAGTGGGACTTTTATTTTAAAGTAACTCAGGAAAGAAGAAGTAAGACCTAACATACTAGTTATAATTGTGAATGGCTTATATCCTCCAACACCCACACACATACAAAACTTTTTAAGAAATGGGGTCTTGCTATGTTGCCCAGGCTGGACTTGAACCCCTAGGCACAAGTGGTCCTCTCACTACAGCCTCTTGATTAGCTGTGACTACAGGCATGTGTCACAGTGCCTGGCTAGAATTTTTAAGAGAGAAGATAGGTGGTGGGCGCCTTTAGTCCCAGCTACTTGGGAGGCTGAGGCAGGAGAATGGCGTGAACCCAGGAGGCGGAGCTTGCGGTGAGCTGAGATCGCGCCACTGCACTCCAGCCTGGGCGACAGAGTAAGACTCCGTCTCAAAAAAAAAAAAAGGACGCAGTTGGGTTAAGGGGGAAAAAAAGGGAGAAGTGTAATTATATGCAACTTGGAACATACACTCTCACTGGCTATTCAGGCCACAGAAAAAGATGGAAAATGCTTAGTGAATTGTAAAATCTTATGGGTCATTTCTAACTAGATTTTTTTTTTTTTTTTACTCTAAGCTTCTGTCATTTTCCCGTTGGGTGTCTATTAAGTAAAAATCAGGGTAGATATATTCTGAAATGTCAACAATATTCATTATGTGTGAGTGTTGAGATTAAGGGGGCTTTTTTTCCCTTCCAATTTGGTTTTCTTAGTTCTGATTTCCCAACTCATATGCAAAGAAAATGGATTACTTCCACAATAAGGGAAACAGGTTCACATGTAAAGAACCTAAAAGAGAAACATCTGAATTAAAATGCTTCAGAAAAGGAAAACAAAATAATGAAGATAGAAAATATCAGGAAATTTCAAACACAAAGCAATATAAGTACTGGATAAAGTGGAAATTGAAGGGAAAAAACAGTTCTCTCAAACCCTGCTACTGCTTTATCAACTAAGTTGATTATGTAATATTCTAAATCCTTCGTTGTCATTTCCACAGTGTTCAGAATATGAATAGGAACAAAGATCATCAAGATTCAGGAGGATGGCAAAACCCAGTCCAAGGAAAATAAAAATCATAGTAAAGTGATACAGGAGCTGAAAGACAAAATAGGCAGTATAAAAAAAGAACCTAACAGGTTTGACAGAGCTGAATAACACAAGAATTTCACAATGCAATCACAAGTATTAACAGCAGAATAAACCAAGCTGAGGAAAGAATCTCAGAACTTGAAGACTGGTTCTCTAAAATAAGACAGGCCAGGCATGGTGGCTCACACCTGTAATCCCAGGACTTTGGGAGGCTGAGGCGGGGATCACCTAAGGTCAGGAGTCAGAGACCAGCCTGGCCAACATGATGAAACCCCATCTCTACTAAAAATACAAAAATTAGCGGCTGGGCGCGGTGGCTCACGCCTGTAATCCCAGCACTTTGGGAGGCCGAGGTGGGCGGATCACGAGGTCAGGAGATCGAGACCATCCTGGCTAACACGGTGAAACCCCGTCTCTACTAAAAATACAAAAAATTAGCCGGGCGTGGTAGCGGGCGCCTGTAGTCCCAGCTACTCGGGAGGCTGAGGCAGGAGAATGGTGTGAACCCAGGAGGCGGAGCTTGCAGTGAGCCGAGATCGCGCCACTGCACTCCAGCCTGGGCGACAGAGCGAGACTCTGTCTCAAAAAAAAAAAAAAAAAATTAGCTGGGCCTGGTGGCAGGCACCTGTATCCCAGCTACTCGGGAGGCTGAGGCAGGAGAATCTCTTGAATCTGGGAAGTGGAGGTTGCAGTGAGCTGAGATCACATCACTGCACTCTAACCTGGGCAACAAGTGTGAAACTGCATCTCAAAAAAATTAAATAAGACAGTCAAAAATAAAGCAAGAAGAATAGAAAGGAATGAACAAAAACCTCCAAGAAGTATGGGATTATGTAAAGAGGACAAATCTATGTATCACTGGCATCCCTGAAAGGGAGGGGAACAAAGTAAATAACTTGAAAGATATATTTCAGGATTGATATGGTTTGGCTCTGTGTCACCACCCAAATCTCATCTTGTAGCTCCCATAATTCCCATGTGTTGTGGGAGGGACCTGGTGGGAGATGACTGAATTATGAGGGTGAGTCTTTCCTTGCTGTTCTCATGATAGTGAATTGGTCTCACGAGATTTGATGGTTTTAAAAACGGGAGTTTTCCTGCACAAGCTCTCTCTCTTTGCTTGCCGCCATCCATGTAAGATGTGACTTGCTCCTCCTTACCTTTTACCTTCTGCCATAATTGTGAGGCCTCCCCAGCCACATGAAACTATAAGTTCAGTAAACCTCCTTCTTTTTTAAATTGCCCAGTCTTGGATATGTCTTTATCAGCAGTGTGAAAACAGACTAATACAAGGATACCATCCATGAAAACTTCCCCAACCATGTTAGAGAGTCCAACAGTCAAATTCAGAAAATACAGAGAACTCCTGCAAGATTCCACACAAGAAGATCATTCCCAAGACACATAATCATCAGACTTTCCAAGGTCAAAATGAAAGAATATTAAAGACAGCTAGAGAGAAAGGGTAGGTCACCTACAAAGAGATCCCTATCAGGCTAACAGCAGACCTCTTGGCTGAAACCCTATAAGCCAGAAGAGACTGGGGGACTATATTTAACATTCTTAGAGTAAAAAAATCTTCAACCAAGAATTTATATCCAGCCAAACTAAGTTTCTTAAATGAAGGAAAAATAAGATCCTTTTCAGATAAGCAAATGTTGAGGGACTTCATTACTACTAAACTTGCCTTACAGGAGACCTTGAAAAGAGCACTAAATATAGAAAGGAAAGACCACTACCAGCTAATACAAAAACCCACTTAACCACACAGACCAGTGTCACTGTAAAACAACCACACAAACAGGCCAACATAATAACCAGCAAACAGCACAATGACAGGATCAAATCCACACATATCAATACCAACATTGAATGTAAATGAGCTAAATGCCTCACTTAAAAGGCACAGAGTGGCAAGCTGGGTAAAAAAGCAAGACCCAATAGCATGCTGTCTTCAAGAAACCCATCTCACACATAATGACACTCATAGGCTCAAAATAAAGGGATGGAGAGAAATCTACCAAGCAAATGGAAAACAGAAAAAAGCAGGGGTTGCAATCCTAATTTCAGACAAAACAGATTTTAAACCAACAAAGATAAAAAAAGACAAGGGAAGGACATTACATAATGGTAAAGGGTTCAATTCAGCAAGAAGACCTAACTTTCCTAAATACATATGCACACAACATAGGAGCACCCAGATTCATAAAGCAAGTTCTTTATGAATCTGGGTGCAAAAAGACATAGACAGCCACATAATATTAATAATGTGAGACTTCTATACTCCACTGACAATATTAGATCATTGAAGCAGAAAATTAACTAAGATATACAGGACCTAAATTCACCATTGGAACAAATGGGTCTGCTAGACCTTTACAGAAGTCTCCACCCAAAAACAACAGAGTGTACATTAATCTCATTGCCACATGGTACACACTTTAAAATTGACCACATAATTGGACATAAAACAATCCTCAACAAGTGTAAAAGAACCGAAATCATACCAAACACACTCTTGGACCACAGCACAATAAAAATAGAAGTCAACACAATGAAAATAAAACCATACAATTACATGGAAATTAGACAACATACTCCTGAATGACTTTCAGGTAAATAATGAAATTGAGGCAGAAATCAAGTTATTTGAAAATAAGGAGAACAAAGATACAACATACCAGAATCTCTGGAACATAGCTAAGGCAGTGTTAAGAGGGAAATTCATAGCACTAAATGCCCACCTCACAAAGTGATAAAAGATCTCAAATTAACAACCTAACATCACAACTGAAAGAATTAGACAAGCAAGAGCAAATCAACCCCAAAGCTAGCAGAAGACGAGAAATAACAAAAATCAGAGATGAACTGAAGAAAACTGAGACATGAAAAACCATTTAAGAGATCAGCGAATCCAGGAGTTGGTTTTTTGAAAAAAGTTAATGAAATAGGCCAGGCGTGGTGGCTCATGCCTATAGTCCCAGCACTTAGGGAGGCTGAGGTGGGCAGATCACTTGAGGTCAGGAGTTTGAGACCAGCCTGGCCAACATGGTGAAACCCATCTCTACTAAAAATGCAAAAATTAGCCAGGCATGGTGGCATGTGCCTGTAATCCCAGCTGCATGGGAGGCTGAGGCAGGAGAATGCATGAACCCAGGAGGCAGATGTTGCAGGGAGCTGAGATTGCACCACTGCACTCCAGCCTGGGTGACAGAGCGAGACTTCATCTCAAGAAAAAAACTAATGAAATAGGCTAGTAGCTGCAGTAATTAAGAAGAAAATAGAGAAGATCCAAATAAACACAATTAGAAATGACAAAGGGAATGTTACTACTGACCCCACAGAAATAAAACAACCATCAAAAACTACTACAAGCACTACACACATGAACTAGAAAACCTAGGAGAAATGGATAAATTCCTGGACACATAAACCCTCCCAAGACTGAGCTAGGAAGAAATTGATTCCCTGAACTGACTAATAATGAGCTCTGAAATTGTATCAGTAATAAATAGCTTACCAACCAAAAAAGCCCAGGACATGATGGACTCACAGCCAAATTCTACCAGACATACAAAGAAGAGCTGGTACCATTCCTACAGAAACTATTCTAAAAAATTGAGGAGGAGGGATTTCTCCCCAACTCATTCTACAAGGCCAGCATCATCCTGATACCAAAACCTAGTAGAGACACAACAAAACAAGAAAACTTCAGGGAAATATCCTTGATGAACATTGAATCCTCAACAAAATACTTGCAAACCAAATCCAGCAGCACATCAAAAAGCTAATCCACAATGATTAAGTAGGCTTCATCCCCGGGATGCCAGGTTGGTTCAACATGCAAACATCAATAAATGTGATTCATCATGTAAACAGAATTAAAGATAAAAGCCACATGATTATCTCAATAGAAGCAGAAAAGTCTTTTGATAAAATTCAACATTGCTTCATGTTTAAAACTCTCAATAAACTAGGTATTGAAGGAATATACCTCAAAATAATAAGAGTCATCTATGACAAACCCACAGCCAACGTTATACTGAATGAGCCAAAGCTGGAAGCATTCCCCTTGAAAACCGGTACAAGACAAGGATGCCCTCTCTCACCACTTACATTCAACATAGTATTGGAAGTCCTAGCTGGAGCAATCAGGCAAGATAAAGGGCATCCAAATAGGAAGAGAGGAAGTCATACTATATCTGTTTGCAGACAACATGATTCTATATCTAGAAAACTCCGTAGTCTCAGCCCAAAAGCTCCTTTAGCTGATAAATAACTTCAGCAAAGTTGCAGAATACAAAATCAATGTACAAAAATCACTAGCATTCCTATACACCAACAACCACCAAACTGAGAGCCAAATCAGAAAGGCAATCCCATTCACAGTTGCCACACACACACACACACACACACACACACACACAACCTAGGAATACAGCTAACCAGGGAGGTAAAAGATCTCTACAATGAGAATTTCAAAACACTGCTCAAACAAATCAGAGAAGATGCAAACAAATGGAAAAACATCCCATGCTCATGGATAGGAAGAATCAATATCATTAAAATGGCTATACTGCCCAAAGCAGTTTACAGATTCAATGCTATTCCTATCAAACTACCAATGACATTCTTCACAAAACTAGAAAAAAATATTTCAAAATTTATATGGAACCTAAAAAGTGCACGAATAGCCAAGGCAATCATAAGTAAAAAGAACAAAGCTGAGGGCATCACGTTACCTGACTTCAAACTATACTGCAAGTCTACAGTGACCAAAATAGCATGGTACTGGTACAAAAGCAGGCACATAAACCAGTGGAACAGAACAGAGACCCCAGAAATGAGACCACACATCTACATCTGATCTTTGACAAAGCTGACAAAAACAAGCACTAGGGAAAAGACTCCCTGTTTAATAAATGGTGCTGGGATAACCGGCTAGCCATATGCAGAAGTTTGAAGCTGGACCCCTTCCTTACACCATATACAAAAATAAACTCAAGATGGATTAAAGACAAATGTAAAACCCAAAACTTTTTTTTTTTTTGGGACAGAGTCTTGCTCTGTAGCCCAGGCTGGAGTACTCACTGCAAGCTCCGCCTCCCGGATTCTCGCCATTCTCCTGCCTCAGCCTCCAGAGTAGCTGGGACTACAGGTGCCTGCCACCACACCCGGCTAATTTTTTGTATTATTTAGCAGAGAAGGGGTTTCACCGTGTTAGCCAGGATGGTCTCAGTCTACTAACCTCATGATCTGCCTGCCTCAGCCTCCTAAAGTGCTGGGATTACAGGCGGAGCCACTGCACCTGGCTAAAACCCAAAACTATAAAAACCCTGGAAGACAACCTAGGCAATACCATCCTGGACATAGGAATGGTCAAAGATTTAATGGCGAAGACACCAAAAGCAATTGCAACAAAAGCCAAAATTGACAAATGAGATCTAAATAACTTAAGAACTTCTGTACAGCAAAAGAAACTATCAACAGAGTAAACAGACAACCTACAGAAAGGGAGGAAATATTTGCATACTATGCATATGACAAAGGTCTGATATCAAGCATCTATAAGGAACTTAAATTTACAAGAGAAAAACAACCCCATTAAAAAGTGGGCAAAGGACATGAACAGACACCTCTCAAAAGGAAGACATACATACGGCCAACAAGCATATGAAAAAAAGCTCAATATCACTGATCATTAGAGAAATGCGAGTCAAAACCACCATGAGATACAATTTCACACCAGTCAGAATGGCTATGACTAAAAAGTAAAAAAAAAGAAAAAACACGTGCTGGTGAGGTTGTGGAGAAAAGGGAAGGCTTATACAATGTTGGTAGGAGTGTAAATTACTTCAGCCATTGTGGAAAGCAGTATGGCGATTCCTCAAAGAGCTAAAACTACAATTCAACCCAGCAATCCCATTACTGGTTGTAGACCCAGAGGAATGTAAAGCATTCTACCATAAAGACACATGTACACAAATGTTCATTGCAGCACTGTTCACAATAGCAAAGACATGGAATCAACTAAATGCCCATTTATCAGTGACAGACTGGATAAAGAAAATGTGGTACATATACACCATGGAATATTACGCAGCCATAAAAAATAATGAGATTATGTCCTTTGCAGGAACATGGATGGAGTTGCAGGCTATCATCCTTAGCAAACTAACACAGGAACAGGAAACCAAACACTACATGTTCTCACTTATAAGTAGGAGCTAAATGATAAGAATTTATGAACACAAGGAACAACAGACACTGGGGTCTACTTGACGGGGGTGGGTGGGAGGAGAGAGAGGAGCAGAATAGGTAACTATTGGGTACTGAGCTTAATACCTGGTGATATGATAATATGTACAACAAACCCCTGTGACATGTGTTTATGTAACCTTCACGTGTACTTCAAACCTAAAATTAAAAAAAAAGTAACATCAAAGATTACTGATTACAGAGCACTATAACAGATATAATAATAATGAAAAAGTTTGAAAAATTGAGAGAATTACCAAAATGTGACACAGACATTGAGCACATGCTGTTGATAAAAAGGCGCCAATAGGCTTGCTTGATGCAAGGTTGCCACAAACCTTCAATTTGTAAAAAAAAAAAAAAAAATGCAGTATCTATGAAGCAAAATACAGCAAAATGCAATAAAACGTGTGCCCATATATAATATTTTTCATTAATCATATGTGGTTAAGTCCAGTTCCTAAAAATCTAGTTTCTGCTCTCCTTTTGCAGTGTTTTCATGGAAAATTTGTGTTAATGGGAAAAGGTGAGGAAATTTATTTTATGAAAGGAAGTTGTTTTGGTCTAATGCCCTGTGTTATTGGGTGTAGATTTGTGGGAAACAGCAGCTATATGCAGACAGGTCAGCATGGCATGCCTCAAATGGGAACTCGGGATTGGCAGGATGTGAGTCTGAAATAGAGAAGTACATGAGGTGAGGGTTGGCTAGACTACTTCAGCAAAGATTCAGCAGTAACGCATTGTTTTATATCTGTGAGGTTAACAGTCCAAGGTAAGCATTCTGGATAGACAAGTGATCTGGTGCCCACTTGGTCCCTTCCACGGTATTGCTCTGCCACCCCCAGGGCATATATCAGCTGCGTGGCTGAGGGAAAACTGGGAAGTCCAGCAGCTGGGAAAGGGAGAGCACCAAAGGCCATGGCAAGGGGTCTTCTTTTAACCAAGGGATGCCAAAGTGTCCATGTCCCTTGTGGGAACATTTTGTGATGAATAGTCACTTGGCCATATACAGCATGTAAGGTGACAAATGTGATTTTAACTGAACAGCCTGGTGCTCTGGGAAGAAGGAAACAAGTTTAAAGGGGACAGACAGCAATTTCCACCTAATGTGGCTCTGTCGGGATCTGTGTGAATTGCACGTAGCATGTTTCTGTTACACCTCTGTGCCCAGCAACCATTTTCATTGGTTGTGCCAGTGAACAGGGGTAAATTTAATAAGAGCTAGCATGCTGTTATGCTCTCATAGAGTCAGGGCAGCTCTCAAATGGTCATGTTACATCTTGTGGCATGAGAATATTTTATTAAGCACTTCATAACTGTCTAGTTTTCACGTGTGGCTAATTGTAGTGTTCAAATACTATTCTTAAGTCTCACTACCAGTAACTTTTCCTCTGAATTAATTAGGTAACTGTATATTCCAATTTGGGAAATTATTTTTTGCTTGACCTCATTTCTGGTGGTGGTGCTAGTGAGCTGTGAATCTGTCACCAGGCAGCCTGCAGGAAAGGGATGCCAAACATGAAGCAAGAGGCCTATCAAAGACACTGAAATCTGCAGAGTGAACCACACTCTATACTAAGAGTTAACAATGTCTGCAAAGCAGTGTAAAATATCCTAGATATATATTGCTTTAGTTTAGGGCAATGTTTAAGAAATGCAGAATTGTTTGAATATTCATATATTTCATCTTTTGAAAGAATACTACATTGATTATGTAATTTTCTATTGGTATGCCAAAAAGTGTTCTTTATGTCTTCCTAATGTTCTGAAAGTATTTTTCTCCCTTGAGGGTTTCCTTACCCAAAAAATGGCCAGAAGCTGAGAGCATTGGCTTTGATTTTATCTCCACTAGCCAGGTCATGAACTAGTTATATACTTGCAGTATCTTTTTCATATTTCTTATAAAATGGGAAATTTAAGAAGGGTTACTTTGTAACAAGACTGAGAAAAGAATTTTAGGCTCTAAAATGATTTTCCATGATATCTGTATCACCTATTAGAGATCGTAGAACATCTGCGGAGACCTTGAATTTCTGTTACTGTGAATAACTATTTTCTTAGTCTTATTAGTGATAGAATTTGGTTGAGAAAAAATAAAAATTATGCTATCTCTAGCTAGTCATTAGGCGCATTGAATCCTTAGATCCCTTGGACCTCATGTAAGATCATAAAATCTTTTTTTTAAATATATTTTTATTTTTTAAAGAATCGGGGTCTCATTCTGTCGCCCAGACTGAAGTGCAGTGGCGCAGTCTTGGCTCAATGAAGCCTTGACCTCCTGCATTCAAGTTGTCCTCCAGCCTCAGTCTCCCAAGTAGCTGAGACTACAGGCACACACCACTATGGCCTGGCTAATTTTAAAATTTTTTTTGTAGAGGCAGGGTCATGCTATGTTGCTCAGGCTGGTCTCAAACCTCCTGGCCTCAAGCAATCCTCCTGCCTCAGTCTCCCAAACTGCTGGGATTACAGTTGTGAGCCACCACACCCAGCTCAAGATCATTCTTAATTGCAGAGTAATACCTTCTGAAGGAAAGAGGTGGAGGAAAAACTGGAAGGGGTAAGTCTTGCTGTGACAGTAAGTCTGAGCTGCTCCCCTTTGCTTGCTAGGTGGAGGAGGAACTGCAGGAGCAAGACTTCTTGGACCGCTGCTTCCAAGAGATGCTGGATGAAGAAGACCAAGACTGGTTTATTCCCTCACGAGACCTGCCTCAGGCCATGGGACAGTTGCAACAGCAGTTAAATGGACTGTCAGTCAGTGAAGGTCATGATTCTGAAGATATTTTGGTAAGAGCCATATGTAGTTCCCCAGGTTATGTAGTGAAAAGAATATAGGATTTGGAATGACAGACTTTCTTTCCAGCCCTACAACCCTCAACAAGTCTGGAGCCCTGTGAGCTGTTGTTTCTTTGCTCGTTTTATGGGCATTATTAATAAGGGGTGCATTAAAGATGCATTGCTCCTCATAAAGCACTATAAAACATTACTGTTGCCAGCATCACGGGCTTTTTACTTGCCAAGATTGGACGCCACCAACCTTTACTTTCTAATGGGCTCTTCAAAGTAGAATTGGGATTAAGGATAACAATTTGAACACTGAAGAAGTTTCTTCTCAAATATCATTTGTTGCTATTCTTCTCTTTTACTGTCCCTCAAATCTGTATTTAATATACTTCTAAATGATTCTGTTATAAAAATTAGCTGTTCATTTTGGAAGAAATGTACTCCTGAGAGGTCATTTTCTCCACTTAGAATTAGAAAACCAGATAAATTAATTTCCTGCCTTTCATATTTATGTAACATCAGAAGTCTGTGAGCAGGCTGGGCACGGTGGCTCACGCCTGTAATCCCAGCACTTTGGGAGGCTGAGGCGGGTGGATCACCTGAGGTCTGGAGTTCAAGACCAGCCTGGCCAACATGGAAACCCCATATCTACTAAAAAAATACAAAAATTAGCCAGGCATGGTGGTGCGCGCCTGTAGTCCCAGCTTGGAAGGCTAAAGCAGGAGAATTGCTTGAACCTGGGAGGCAGAGGGAGGCGGAGTTTGCAGTGAGCCAAGATTGCACCACTGCACTCCAGCCTGGGCAACAGAGCAAGACTGTCTCAAAAAAAAAAAAAAAAAAAAAGTCTGTGAGCAATATAGTTTTCATACAACTCATATTCTGAACAATCTTGCCCTGTGGTTTGCTAAGGTTTTGGATATTCACAAGAGAGTAGAGAACCAAAGAGAGTACAGAAAGATGAAGAAAAATAGAGATTGTGGTATCCAGCCTGGTCTGATGGAGTACCCTGGTTTTCACCAAGTTAAGGTACTCAGTGAATTGAAAAATTATTCTTGGAGTTGAACTTACAGGCCTCTGATGAGATTTTGGAAAGCATCAGGAAGGAAACAAGAGTCCAAAGAAGGAAGGAGAAGATGAGCTTGCTCAGGGCTATGTCAGGTGCAGTTGAGATAACCTAGCAATAACAGCCTGAGTTACAAGGAATTTTCTTTCTCTCCCTAAAGCTAAGGGGAAGGTACTGATAATGATGGACTGGGTAAGTTTTAAAATGCAGCTTGCCTTAGGATTTACTATCTCTTGGTTCTTATTTCAGAGCAAAAGTAACCTGAACCCAGATGCCAAGGAGTTTATTCCAGGAGAGAAGTACTGAGCCGAGAAAGCTTTGAGGAAGACTTGTCTGTCCCCACATCTGGGGATAGTAATGCACAAAATGGTGGAGCTGAAGAGGGGGATGGGGCGGGCGAGGGGTGCACAGCGGGAAGGGGAGTGGTGGTCTCACAATACTGTGACTCTGAGTAACTAATATGCTCAGTCTTATTCTAAGCCTCTGAGTATTTCTATTTTGTTCTGCTGACTTTTGTTTGGGGAGTTTCCTGTTTTGTTTTTTTAAATAGCTCTTTCGAGTTAAGGAAATTGCATTTTCCCCCCTTCATCAGAAGTGTTCCGCGGTGTGTATTTAAACAAAATAAGCTGACTAAGAAAAACTGGATATTTAGGAAATGCCCCTCTCACCCTGCTGTATACTTATCAGGGACAGTGAGCACCTGGAGAGCTTTTTGTGGAATCTATTGAGTTGGATGGGAAAAGGGACAAGCAGAAAGAGCAGGTGGTGCAAACTGGAATTTGAGGCTCAGCTGCCCCACCCCCGGGGTCTCCTGCAATGAACTCGGATAACCAATGTGCTGTCAAGCCCTTGCCTGTTTGTCCTGAACCCCATTCAAGAAAACACAGACTTAAAGTACTTAGTTTACAGTAACTTTTGATGATTGTTGAAAGTTGTAAATCAGAAGGTAGGGCTGTGATGGTGGTTGTCACTTGAGTCATTTAGTTACTGTTGTCCTGTTCATAAGCCTGTGTTCACCACCACCATCAGACTCACCATTTATAAGTAGAAGAGCACTAGGGTTGATCTGCCACCTCATCTTTCATGAAGTCTATTCCCCAGCCTCCTTTTTAAGAAAAGATACTGCTACCAAAGGCATAGGGGAGGCCTGCTGTGCTGGCAATTAGCATGAGCCTGCAGAAGTCATCCTTGAATCTGTTGTGTCTTAATTTTATTTGGACAGTTTTTTTTTCCAGCCTCATCAACACTTGGTCTTCCTGGTGTCTTAATTCCCTCAGACAAGTTTATGCACTTTTTTAAGGAAATATTTTTCAGGACACTAGTAAGAAGCTCAGTTCACAGTTTGGATATTTCTTCCCACATTACAGAATTATGGAAAGGAACTCAAAATCAGCCTAGGAAAGTGAGTCCTGCTTGACCCATGTGACTGTGTACCTGACCTTCTGGGATCTTTTCAGCTATTAAAACATTTTACTGTTCCCACATACCCAGCTTTGCAAGTTTTGTAGATTGACCTCTTAGGGTGTGTTTCTTTGTCTTTCCTGCCTTTAACTTGCTGGGGTCTTTTGTTGCTACCCCTAAGGAACTAAACTGGGTGCCAGGAGCTACCTTCGTGTATAGAGATGTAGATGGCAGTGTGGGGTACAGGAGAGCCATCCAGGCCATTCTCCCAGGGATGAGGAATTGGAGAGCCCTGAAGATAATAGTGGCTTCTTTCTGATTGCTACTGTGCTGTGTGATAGGCCTAATAGGGAAAAGATATGTAACTTGAAACAAAGTTGGTATAAATTCAGTATGTGGCTGTGGGACAGAGGTTGGAAGGAAAGGACTAGGGTATGGAAAGCTGAAGAAATTCTCCTTATGAGCTCTCGTTGACTTTTTGAACAGTGATAAGCTAATGCCAGATTTAAAATACACATTTTTTCCTATTTGAGTCTTTAGGATTATATCATTTGAAAAAATTGCCTTCCTTGTTAGGTCACATGTCATAGGAGAGTAGCTTAGAGAACTTGCATTACCAGACAGACACATTAATTCCCAAAGCCTCTATGTTGAGAGAATGAAACTGTTAACTCTTTTTCAGAGAGGACTATGAATAAAGAAACTTCTTTATTCAAGCTTCAGCTTTCAGCTGGGTTGTTTCCTCTAAAAGGGAAAGGGCATTGCAAGTGCATAGAGGAAATCTCTCCCTTCTGGGACTGCTTTTCCTCCTTCATCCTCGTGAGCCTGTCCAAGCTCAGAATTCCGAAGGCTGTTAGAAATGCGTTGGGATTGCAGAGAGAAAGGAGCTTGTCTTTCCTTCTGCTGTGCTGGTCTGTTTTGGATGTCAGTCTTCAGGACTATGAAAACTTCCTGCCAGTTTAGCATGGACACTGAGGGCTGGCATTTCTAGTCTTCTTCAGACACTGAACATACTGACTCCAGGTATAGGAAGCAGCTAGCAAATTGATTCTTTTTTAAATGCATAGGACTCTGCTTCCGGCGGTTCCTCTTGTAGTCCAACTCTTTTTGCCATCTATTTATGTTGGGAGGTAGGGGCACAATTGTCACTCACAACACAGGCTAGTTAGAGTTTGCTACCTTCTTAGCAGAAAATGCATGTGTGTCTTGTTGGACCTTCACTGGGGAAAGGCTGGGAGCCTCTGGCTGTCAGTGACTTTTCTCACAGAAGAAGAACCAGCAAGCCAGACTGGACACCTTTACCCTTTAATGGTAAGACTTGTATTTATAAGGGGTAATTTTGATGTTGAATTTAAGCCACTACTTTGTTTAAACTTTTTTAAATTGGCAACTAGAAGTTTGAGAATTTGTATAGAAATGGAACATGTATTTCTAACAGTTGCCAATCTGGCTGGTCCCAATGTTAGTTTATTAGTGATTGATCTGTAATTATTGGGATTATTTATTCAACTCTAAAATTCCAAGATGAAAATAATTTATCTCTTTCTTTTCAAGGGAAAAAACCCAAATGAATGCATTTTCAGTTTCTCCAGGCCTTTGAACTGCAGCAGAAAATTCAAGGATACAGCCTAGGCCTGGGCAAATGCAGCCCTGGGTCTTTGGGCCAGTTTCTGACAATAATAGTTGAGTTTTGGGAATCACATAAGGGTGAAACCAGAAACGATCCTAAGGAAAGGCTTGACCTTTGTTAACACCTTTAGTTTCCAAAGTCACAGCAGCTGGGGTCCCTCTTTTTTTTTTTTTTTTCTTTTTTTTTGAGACATAGTCTCACTCTGTCACCCAGGCTGGAGTGCAGTGGTATGACCATAGCTCACTGCAGCATCAAATTCCTAGGCTCAAGCAATCCTCCCATCTTAGCCTCCCGAGTAGCTGGGACAACAGGTACGCACCACCACGGCCAGCTAATTATTTTTATTATTTTTATTTTTTGTAGAGACTGGATCTTGCTCTATTTCCCAAGCTACTCTTGAATTGTTGTGCTCAAGTGATTCTCCCATCTCAGCCTCCCAAAGTGCTGGGATTATAGGCTGGGTGTGGTGAGCCACCCCAGCCTGGGGTCTCTTTAATTAAGGTTATAATGCTAACCATGGCTTAAAATACTAAGCAACATTTTCCAAATTGTTTATTACTATTGCTTTGATTTTGGAGAAGCTGGGAAGTAAGGAGGTGAGGTGAATACTCTGATAATTAACACGTGTTAGAGAGGAAAGTTGTGTGAAGAGGCTGCCAAAGTAAACAGCACGAATGAATCTTCTTGTACTAGGGCTGCTGCAAACCCCAGGTAGACAAATGACAGCCCAGGCTCCTGAACCATCAGGAACCCAGGAATCTACCCAACTGTGAGGAGGGGGCAGGCCTTCGTCAATAAGGGTCCCACCATCACGGGCTAATAATCTTTCTCAGTTTAGGTGATATTGAGGTATTGAAACTGTTAGAAATCTGACAGATTTGACCAAGATTTGGAGACGTCCACATAATTGGGAAGGACTGAGTGTCCCTAGCCACTCTCCTCTGGGATAACGCGGACGTCATTAGTTTGCGAAGTGGGTGGGGAGAACAGGAGGATTGACTCTAATTTGGTGTGTAGTGGGGGCCTTGATGTCCTTCTGCCTCTGTCCACATTTCCCCATGTGACTCATTGCACCCTGCATTGCTCACAGGGATCATTAGTTCTCCCGGTAGACAGAGCACCTCTGCAGCCTCTGCTCTGCTGCCTTGTGAATTTCCTACACAGACTTGGTTAGTTACAATTTGGAAACAGTTTTTTTGGGTTTTTTTCCTTTGTTTTAATCTTCTCACAATGAAGCTGCTATTGGTGACAGGGACAGGGGAGCAGGAAGCCAACCCAGGGAAACATGCGAGTTTCCTGCACACCACTTAGTCACCTGCCCTCACTGGCCAACCCCCTACTGCTGTTCCCAGTCAGTCTGGTTTTTAGAGGCATCGTGGCAATAGAATAGCTGGATACACTAATCTCTACAAGGTGTCAGGCAGGAGATTCACCTTCCCCAGTCCCAGGGGACAGGAGAGAAATCTGTAAAGGGACAGATGCACCATCTTTATTTCAAAAGAAAAAGCTCCCTCAGATTGTGTTACTAGGAGTCTCTTTTGTGACATTTACTGAGCTTTCTCCCCAATCTTACCTTCCTATTGGCTACTTTTTAAATAAAAATAAACATTTTAGGCTAATATGACAAAAATGAGATAAAATCTTAAAAACATTGTACTAGTGTACAGTTACTAAAATGTGCTTACTACAAAACAGTAAAATATTTCACTCTGTAAATCATCACTAAGTAGTTATTCTGTCCTGTTGATTATGAGCCTCCAAAAATGTTTAATGCTTGAAGGATGGTTTGGGAGGCAGGGAATCCTTTTCTTAAAACAACTTTAATGAGGCATATGTTACATATCATAAAACACCCATTTCAAGTGTACATTTCAGTGATTTTAGTAACTTCCCTCAGTGGTGTAGCTGTAACTATTACTCAGTTTTAGAACATTTTTATCCCTCCCAATAAGATCCTTCATGCTCTTTTACAGTTAATCCTGTTCTTACCCCCGGCAACCACTAATCTACTTTCTCTATAAATTTGCCCTTTCTGGACAGTTCAAATCAATGGAATCATACAATATGTGGTCCCTTGGGTCTGGCTTTTTTACTTAGCTAATGTTTTTGAGGTTTGTCCATGACAGATAACGTCTTGGTAGTTTGTTCCTTTTATTGCTGAGTAGAATTCTGTTGATGGATGTACCACATTTTGTCAGCAGAGAGCCTTTTAAACTTGGATTCCAACTTCCTGTTGTCTAAACGGAACCCTCCGAACGTAGGACTTATAGGGGAAGCTGCTGTGCATGTCAAAAAAACTACTAATCAGAATGAGCTTTGTCATCCAGAGCCAGAACTGCTGCAGAAATTTTTATAATTTTGCAACTTCTTTTTTTACAAGGAACTTTTGTGCTACTACACATCAGGACTTTTGAAGCATCCAATAAATCCATTTAATAAGTATGAGCATGTGTCTGAGTGGACAAGAAAGTGAAACCATCCATGCTACATTGGATAATTTTTCCTCCCCCAGACTGGACAGGGAATCTCAGCTTTCAAAACAGAGTAACCTGGCTCCACTTACAAAGCTGCACAGGCATTAAAGATCGTGCTGCCTTTGTTAGGCAGATTTGGAGGGGAGGCCCAACAGCAAAGATGGAGAGGAAAAAGGGAGTGGAGCTTGTGGAACAGGAAGCCCCCCAGGGTCTGTGCAGGGCTGCTCAGCTCTTGAGGATGTTGTGGATGGTGAAGTGGTGATGGTGTCCCGGAGCAGCCCAGCACCTCCACTGGGCCCAGAAGGTCTTGACTTCGGACACTTACCCCTGTTTCACAAGTGTTTATAAAGCTGTTTTTGCTTTTTTTCCCCTAATCATTACTTGGTAGTTATTAATCCTTCTTTGGGGGAGGGACAGGGCTTTAAAACTGAAGAAAATAATTTTCATAAAAATATCAAAAATGGAAAAAAGTTACTTTGTAAAAAATTTGCTATACAAACCAAATGGCAGCTGTTGAGAATCTCAATAAAATGTTAAATGCATTTGCTGGCAGTGGTACCCTTTTGCCTAAGGTTGGGTCACTGTGTTATACCGTGTGTGTTTGGGGTGGGGGGAGGTGTGAAACTTTTTGTCTCACACATAAGTTGTCTCATGGGTCATAATCTTAGTTGCAGTTTTCCTTTCAAATAGGGTTGCAAAGTAGAAAACATGGGCTTGGAAGTGACAGACCTGAGTGAATCCCACCTTCACTACTTTGTGCCATTGGCCTGCACTTTATTTACAAATAACCTCTATTTGTAAAGGTGCAGCACCTGTCCCCTGGAACTATAACGACAGATTTTTAAAATACTGCCTGGCACATAATAGGCACTTAATACATGGTCGCCAGTAGTGGCAATTGTTATGTCCAACTTTGAACAAAGAGGCAGTGACATCTTTGGGCTAGAAGGGAAACTAGGCATTTGTTTTCCAGTTTCTGGGCAAAACTGACTACCTACCTAGAAAACAAGTATTCCGTATCTGCCTTTCAACTATTGAACAAGTTTGAGAGTGTGCTACATGTCAAGCATTCTCTTAGGGACAGGGGCTATGAGGGTTACCAGGCCCATTTTTTCCTCCCCCAGACTGGACAGGGAATCTCAGCTTTCAAAAGAGAGTATCCTGTCTCCATTTACAAAGCTGCACAGGTATTAAAGATTGTGCTGCCTTCGTTAGGCAGATTTGGAGCAGCAGCCACGTCCCTGCTGTTGTGATTATGGTTTGCTGATGCCTAATTATTTCAACTTAAACCTTGCTCAAATCTCCCAGTGATTTCTTGAGGGGCTTTATCATATGGTTAAAAAATTATATGGGACTAGCCTAGGGCCCATGGGTTTTGCTGAGCCCTATCATTTCTTTGCCTCCTTCCTAAAAGCAGAGGGTGGAGGTTGGGGTATTCTGAGCTTGCCTATTTACAGCTTTTTAAAATAGTATAGTTATATGTAGTTTTGTGTATATAGAGTTTATTAGAATGTAACTTTCTTGAAGAGGTGGATGGTGTATTCATTTTAAAAATTACATTAAAGATAAAATTTCATTAACTTAGTTGAAGTATGATGTTACAGAAAGGTACAGATATTTTGTGTGCAGTTCCATGAATTTTCACTACTGGGAAAAACGTGTACTTATTTTTAATCCCTAGAGTACTCATCACACCTACAAGACATTCAGTAAATATTTGCCGAATGAATGGGACAGATGAGGCTGTACTATCCCTGAGATCACACAGGGAGATAAGGCAGTGCTAACCTCATTCCAATGCTTGTTCTAAGTTCTCTTGTCTCATCACAGGGCTGTTGCAGGCTCAGATGAGATGAATGTATACATCTCTAATGCCTTGGTAATACAAAATCCCATGGATAGCTCCTGATAGTTTGTTGGGGAAAGGACACTAAGTTTAAAATTAAAGGGGGAGAAACTCAGCAAAAATCACTTATGGGCTGGGCATGGTGGCTCACACCTATAATCCCAGCACTTTGGGAGCCCAAGACAGCAGGATTGCTTGAAGCCAGGAGTTCGAGACCAGCCTGGGCAACATAGCAAGACCTGTCTCTACAAAAAAATGACAGAATTAGCCAGGCGTGGTGGTACATGCCTATAGTCCCAGCTACTTGGAAGGCTGAGGTGGGAGGATCACTTGAGCTCAGGAATTCAAAGCTGCAGTGAGCTGTGATCATGCCACTGCACTCTAGCCTAAGCAAAAGTGAGACCCTACCTGTAAAATAAAAAAAAATTTTTTTTTTTTTTTTTTGAGACAGAGTCTCACTCTGTTGCCCAGGCTGGAGTGCAGTGGCGTGGTCTCGGCTCACTGCATCCTCTACCTCCTGGGTTCAAGCAATTCTCCTGCCTCGGCCTCCTGAGTAGTTGGGATTACAGGTGCCTGCCACCACGCCCAGCTAATTTTTTGTATTTTTAGTAGAGATGGGGTTTCATCATGTTGGCCAGGCTGGTCTCAAACTCCTGACCTCGTGATCCACCTGCCTTGGCCTCCCAAAGTGCTGGGATTACAGGCATGAGCCACCGCACCGGGCCTGTAAAATAAAATTTTTAAAAATCACTTGTGATTTTCTGCACTGCAGCCTGTCTAATAGAGGCTTAATAACTGGGGAGTAAGGGACCTCATCACATCTCCTAAATGTGACAGGAACTAGGAACACATCTGACCTTATGCACTTTAATACTGCCTTTTTTCAGCATTTTTTTAACACGTATGCTGGGACTAAAAAAGTCAAGATGTGCTCCTCCACTAAAACCTCCACTGTCCAATTGGAATTGCAGTCTAGACAATTCTAAGGAAAAGTGATGACCATACTTTGAAGAACATAAGTAGATCTCAGTAGTTATAAACTCCAATTTATAAGCATTTGGCAAATAAAATATTTACATAATATTTAAAGCATTTGGTGAATAAAATATTCACCAAAATGCTGTTTGATCCTCATCCTGAGAGCATATTTTTAAAAATCTCCAAAGCTCACCACTCATTAATAACCTAACAGTTTTTCAAGACTGTGGGATATAGCAAAGATGCCTCTGCTGTGTCCTTGTTCTCTCTGCAAGCTTTTTACCAGGTGCTGGACTGGAGACTTGCTGAGTGCTAGACCACAGTGATTTGGTCATAGCTGGATGTGAAGATGGCTGGCTGTTCTTTCAGAAGAGACCTGGCTGGAGTTCTTATTGCTCAAAGCTCCAGCTTGCAGCACTGGGCTAGAGCTGATGGGAGGAGAGCTGTTACTATTCTGTTCTACGTGAATGCTACACTGTGAAAGAACAGCATCATCCGACTTGGGCAACAAGGTAGTATTCAAGATGTCTTCGAAGGCCTAATCAGAACTTACCAGCTGTAGCATAGAGCTCCCTCAAGTGCAGATACTGGACCTCTGCAGCAGAAATTACTCAAGCTGTTTAGTATAATAGAAATGAAAATTCCCCATCCCATCCTTAACCTATTATCATCAGATACCTTAGGGCAGGGGAGGGGAGTAGACAGAAACCCTGTTTTAAAACAAACTCTAGAATAACTGATGTCTGTAAGTTGGAGAACTGATGTGCAGGACATGATCCACATGCCTCTAATAAAACACCTGGAGAGGCAGCTATTGTGGATCGAGACTCCTGTCCTTAGTCTTCACCAAGCAGCACAGGCTGTGGAACCGAAGCTTCAGGTTTGCCTTCACTGGCTGAACTATGGTATCCAGAGGACAGGAATCATGTCTGCTCCTCACTGATGCTCCTCATTCCCAGGGACACACAACACATAGTGTCACGCTGTAAGCAGAGCCAGGCTAGTAGCCAGGAATAGGTCGGCCACCGAGGTGAGCGGTATCTAGTTGGTTTTCTTGGATCTCAGCCATCCTCATAACCTTTCAACAACTCATTCATAGGAGAAACTTCAAAATGTCCTGCTTACCTGCAATTACTAAATCCAGTGAGGCAAAGATGCTCCCAGTCTAGAATTGTACCCTAGCCCTTATGGAGTCTCAGGAGAGGGTGTGATATGCCTAAGGTACTCTCTGTGATGTTCTGCATGGCGAACACTTGTTTCTGGTGACTGTGGTCACCAGGGATCGTTACCTACTTGACACGACAGGAGAAAACAGGTCACAGATTAACTGGCAGCCACACAGTGCATATGTATGGTAGTGTGGGGGGAAGGGTAGCACACAGACAAATCATCTGCCCAAGTGCATGCTGAGTGGATGCAGATCACAGGCCGAGCACCTGGGGGCGGGGCTTTAAATCTTGGACTAAATTCACTCATGAGCCCTCCAGGATATCTGCTGGCAGGTGCACGGAGGATGTACACAGCGCCTGTGTTTGATAATGCAGTCCAATTGGGGAGTGGATAAAGTGCGTTTATTTTCTTCTATGTTTGTTTTTGTAAAAAGGAGAAAGGAAGCAAAAGACTCCTTCCTTCCAGACCCAGTGTCCACTGAGCTTGGAGTAGGTGGAGCCGGGACCAGCCCCCTAGGAAAAGGTGTAGGAATAGAAGGCAATGGCATTGGCGCTATAGTCCATGGGGAGGAGGTGCCCGATGTGCCTGGCCCCTAGGCTGGCCCCACCCAGAGCGGAGGAGTGCCTCAGCTTCATCAGGGTGAAGCTGGAGAAGAAATTCTGAGCCTGGATCTCTTTGCCCTGGGTCAGCGCCGAAGAAAACCTTTAAGGCTGTTCCCTTCCGCCGTGATTGTAAGTTTCCTGAGGTCTCCCCAGCCATGCTTCCCGAATAGCCTGCAGAACCAGGAGCCAATTAAACCTGTTTCCTTTACATATTACCCAGTTTCAGGTATTTCTTCACAGTAGTGTGAGAACAGACTAATACAGGTACTCAATAACTTGAGTAGGTATAGGGATGAATAAATGAATAAAGTGAAACAGTTAAACACTGCGGGCTATCAGAGGAGAGGACTTACTCCTGGAAGCCATCATCAGGGATGGCCTTTATGAGGAGTCTTTGAAGGACAGAGAGGATCTGGACAGGCAGAGGAGAGGGACCTAAAGACCTCAAAAGTGGGATCATAAAGGCATTGGGGACAATGAAGATGCCAGTCCGATCAGAGCAGAGGTTCCACAGAGAGGCAAGAAATGGCCGTATTTACAAACCAGAGAGAAAGATTTGGTACTGCTGGTCCTAAAGGGATAGGGATGGACTTGACCTTTTGAAATGATTCAAAACCAAATGGTCAGTGCCAAGTTTTTACAATGCAAGGTCCAGGGCTGGCCACTCAAAGGTAAAGCCTTTGGTTGAAAAGTGATAGTGCTGACCAGTGTAATTAATAGAACAGCGTCTAAGAGAGGTGTGTTCTCACTTGTGCATGCTGGAGAAGGAAGGGCTCTTAAAAATGATCTGGTCTAACTCACTTATTTGGCAGAAAGAGAAACAGAGACCAAGAGAAGGGAAGGCCGCCAGACAGAGGCAGTGGCAGGACTTGAATTTGGAGTCCTGTGAGATGTGCTGCCTGTGCTACCTTCCTGACTCCTCCTCCCCAGGGCAGCCAGGAAGGTAGTTTGCATTTCTCAGTTAAGCTGTTCCCAAGGAAATGGCTCAACCCAGACCCCATAGTCCCTCTGGCAAACACTGAAGGTATTATGTGGGGTTCAGCCCCATGGGTGATATTCTGTTCATGTAGAATGTGTCTGACCTACAGTCACATCGGGATCAGAGAAGGCCTTGTGTGCCTGCCAAGAGCTGGAGCTTTATCAGGCAGAGGGAGGTCTCTGGGGAGAAGGAGAAATGCAGGGCCTGGGGGCACACCCTGCTGTTGAGGAAGCTGGTCTGTGGCAGGTGGTCTGGGGGCTCCCTACTTGCACATCCAGGTGGTCCTAAAAGGGGTACGTCCCATCTGACTTTCTCCAAAAAGAGTTTGATTTCCTTTCCCAGTGCTGAGCTTGTTTCTGCCTTGACACAGTGACAAAATTGTGTTCCTTTCACCTGGGACTGGAAATCATTGAGCAGCAGGAGCAGCAATTTAAGAAGAAAAGGCTGGCAAAGGGAATGCAGCACTGAACTACCCAAAGACCAAAATCCTTTTGTGGCCTTCAAGGCCCCTGGTGTCTGGCTGAAAGGGAGAGCACAAAGATGTGCTGCTGAAGGTCTGTGCTCCCATCACATCTCTGCTATCATGCTACTATGTGCAAGCACTCAACCTCTCTGAACCTCAGTTTCCTCATCTGTAAATTGAGGAGAATATCACCACCCTCCCTGGGCTTATGGGAGGTTCAAACGAAGTTCAGCTCTACATAGATATTTGTCACTGATTTGCAGTCTTTCTCAACTGATCCCCTGCAAGCCCTCAGTTCCTTATCTGCTGGGCCTGGAGTTGAAAGGAACAATGAGGAGGCAGCTGAGACTTTCTGCAGAAGTGCCCCTGGATAGCAGAATCAGAGTATGACCAAAAAAGGTCCTCAGTGATAAAGGAGAATGACAGAAAGAAGGGGAGAAGGAGGAAGGGAGGTGGGTTTGGGAGGGTGTGCAAAATCCATTTATTCATCTCTCATTTATTTGAGCCTACTGTGTACCAAGCACCATGCTGGGCCCTGGGGACTCAGATGAACAAGATTCTCATTCATTCATTCATTTATTCAACATACAATTATTAAGGGACTTGTATGAGGCTGCCAGGTGCTGGCATAGAGAGGGAGTCAGGCAGGCAAATGAGCAATTGAAATGCAGGCTGGTGAATAGCCTAAGACAGGATATACAGAGGGAGGCAAAGGGCATTGCAGATGGAGGGAGGCCTCCTATTCTGAGGCTGCAAGGAATGCCCCAAGGCTGGAAGGGACAGTATGTGTTGTGGTGAGAGGGGAGCCTGGAAAGGCCAAGAAAGACCCTGAATGCCACCAAGAGTTTGAACCACATGTACACAGGGAGCCACTGAGCAGCTTCCCAAAGGGAAACACCAGACTCAGATTCCAGTTTGGCTACAGTGTGGCCAAGTGAAATGGAACTAGTGGATGAAGCAAAGAGGAAAGGAAGAAGGGATGAGACTCTGGAGATGGTTGGGAGGACTGGGTGACTGATTGGCCTTTATGGGGTAGGGAGAGGGGACAGGCAGCCATGCAGCCTGTATTCACTGAAATGTTAGCAGAGCATGGTATGGGGGAGTGGAGGGGTGTGTGGGCCATCTGAGTGGACGTGTTCAGTGGACATACCAGAGCTTGAGACTGATTGGAAGTCATCAGCACATTAATCCATGTCTCTCAATACTGCCTGCCTATCACAGGCCCCAGGGAACTTATTAACACATGGGTTCCTAGGCCCTCCCCAGGCACACTGAATCAGAATCTCTGGAGTGCGGCCCAGCAATGTGTATATTGCAGCTCAGTGTTCCTGGTCTTTGTGGTTGTGTAGAGGATCCCCAACCAGGCACAGGTTCAGTGATTGGCTATAAAGACCCAAAGGACTTAGAAAAGCCATTATGCCCACAGTTATGGATCATTACAGTGAAAAGATACAGGTTAAAACCAGAAAGGGAAAAGGGAGAAACGAGGCACTAGTTTCCAATTATCCTTTCCCAGTGGAGTTGTACAGACAATGGTTAATTCTCCCAGCGATAATGTGTAACAGCACATGCTAAGTGTTGTCAACCAGGGAAGCCCAACCAAGCCTTAGTGTTCAGGGTTTCTCTTGAGGGGTCAGTCATGCAGGCATGCAGCTCCTGGGGGATTGACCCCAGCTACTCAGGCTTCAGCCCCTAGAGAAATCAAATTGATACAGCAAGGCCCAAAGCCTCAGGCTTACAAAAACATTGTTAGAAGGCAGAATATTCCAAAGGCTTAGAGATCAAGCACCTCTCAAAAGCTGGTCAAGGACCAGTCCTTTTTTTGGGATGTGCAGGGTTGTTAGAGCTAACCAACACTTTACTGTCCAGTGGTCTATATTAGAATGCCCTGAGGAGCTTCCAGAGTGCTCTATGGCCAGGCTGCATCCCAGACCAATCACTCAGAGTCTCTGGAGGGGGGTGTGTGGGTCTGTCCAAAGTCAAGCCCCACTGCCATAGATTGTAATTGGTACCAAAGGAGGGAGTGAGCTCATCCCCGAGTGAATGAGGAGAGAGTGCTCACAGATGGAAGAGATGGCCAAGAACAGTGGACTAAGGAGCAGCACAGGCTGCAGACTGCAGGAAGGATGGCACACAGGGAAGGAGCGACCCAAGAAAGAGGCAGAGAACCAGGGTCCCCATGGTCTGGACAGCAAAGAGAGTGAGCAGGCAGTCAAGTCACTTAGGTGGCCTGGTGCCTTAGTCAGCTCAGGCTGCTGTAACAAATTATAATGAATTGCCAGGTAGCTTAGACAGTAATTTATTCCTCATAGTTCTAGAGGCTGGGAAGTCTGCGATCAGGCTGCCAGTATGGTTGGGACTGGATGAGGACTCTTTTCTTGGTTTCTCGTAAGGACGCCTCCTTGCTATATCCTCACATGGCAGAGAGAGAGAGAAGGCATGCTTGCTTATGTTTATTCTTATAAGGGCACTAATCCCATCATGCAGGATACAGACATTCAGTGCATAGCACCTGGGAAGGCTCAGTTAGGTCCAGGGGTAGGAGCAGGGTGCCAGGAAGAGCAAAAATTTCTGTCAGTCTACCACTCTCCTCCTCTTTCACCTCTACTTCCTCCTCCTGCTCCTCCTCCTCCTCCTTCTGATCCCCTCCCTCCTTCCCCTCTGCAGCTCTCCACTCCCCTCCTAGACTTTCTTGATAGAACCAGAAGGGAATGCTTGAATTGGCCTGGACTGCCCAGCCTGTACGGTTCTGGGAGTGGGGTGGGTGGATGGAGTGACCTCCACAGGCCCTCCCAGCTCTGCCCTTCTGTGGTCCTGTGGTTGTGACTGGATCTCCAGGATGGACGTTGACCTTTCCAGGTCTAAGCACTGAAGATGCTTTGGTGCTTCTCCCCAGGAAGAAATTCAAAATAAAAGCAAAACCACAAACCACACAACTTTTATATGCACGCTAAAAATAAAATGGCTTTTTTGTTAAATTTTCCAATTGCAAAAGTCTGAATATTTGAAAGCTGTACCTCCTTTGCCCTCTTTTGAGTCTTGCTCTGTCACCCAGGCTGGAGTGCAGTGGCTAGATTCTGCTCACTGCAACCTCCGCCTCCTGGGTTCAAGCGATTTTCCTGCCTCAGCCTCCAGAGTAGCTGGGATTACAGGTGTGTGCCACAACGCTGGGCTAATTTTTGTATTTTTAGTAGAGACGGGGTTTCACCATGTTGGCCAGGCTGGTCTCAAACTCCTAACCTCAGGTGATCTGCCCACCTTGGCCTCCCAAAGTGCTGGGATTACAGGCGTGGGCCACCACATTCAGCCCAAGCCGGTTCTTTTGTTAACCCTTTGTTCTGTGATCTTTGTCACGCCATCTCTTTTCAAAAGCTGTGTGCTATGTTTTGTTGTTATTGTTGTTGTTGTTGCTGTTGTTGTTTGAGACAGGGTCTCCCTCTACCACCCAGGCTGGAGTGTAGTGGTGCGATCTCAGCTCACTGCAACCTCTGCCTTGAGGGCTCAAGTGATCCTCCCACCTCAGCCTCCTGAGTAGGTGGGACTATAGGTGTATGCCACCATGCCCGGCTAATTTTTGTATTTTTTATTGTAGAGACAGGGTCTTACCATGTTGCCCAGGTTTGTCTCAAACTCCTGGGCTCAAGCAATCCTCCTGCTTCAGCCTCCCAAAGTGCTGGGATTATAGGCATGAGCCACTGTGGCTTGCAAAAGCTGTGATATTTACGGGTTGGGGGGAACATCAAGAAAGTAGAAGCTTGCTTGGCTTGCTGGATCTTGGGAGATTTTGTTGCCATCCTAAGTCTTGGGCCTCTCTCACCTGGAGCTACAGCAGACATTTCAGCCACACCTCACAATCCTGATTTCAGCTCTCCCCTCTGCCACCACATGACAACCAGGAGCTTCATTAGAAAGCCTTAGCCTGACATTGTAACCTTTGCCCTGCATTGGGCAATGCCTCCCCGGGAGCCTCCCACCCTCCACTGGCCTCTATTTGTGACATTCACCTTAATGTTTGAGTGCCAAGTTCCTCCCTCTTGGTGTCCCACATCAACAAATCAGATGAATACAAAAAAAATTACATAATTCCTATGAGCCAACCAGGGGGAAAGTGAAGACCAACCATCTAAGGAAATGGGGGGTGGATTATCTATCACCCCTGGTTCAAGTCAATTAAAGACATACAGACTGATCATGGATTCAAATATGGCCTGATCTAGAAGTGTGGGGAAAAAATGCCAACTCTATCAGCTTTGTCCTCAGAACCTGACACGAAAGCAGAGTTCACATCTACTGTCCCGATTCTGACGGAGGCCACCTGTGGTAGGCAGTTCCACTGGTTTGCGCTGCGCATGTATGAATATAGCCTCCAGATCTCCCCCAGCTTCCCACCCTATCCTTCATGCAGAGGTCACTATATGTTTGGATAGATGCCAGGGTGCCACGCGGCCATGTCTGCCAATGGGCAGGGGGACAACTATGAAAAGGCTCTGCACTTGGGGCCCTCAGGGGTACCACTGGCTCCATGAGCCTCCTATGGCAGGACAGGCTGATCCTGGTGTGCAAAGCCTGGTCATCTCACTTCCATTCCTATTCTGGGCCAAGCACTCCTGGGGCCTCAGTCTCCTGCCCCTGTGCCAGCCTATGGGTGGTAGGATTCTGAGGTCCATGCTGGGTTAGAGCAGTAGGTCTCAGCCAGGAGATATTGTCACAACTAGGGAGAAGGTGCTGCTGGTATCTAGTGGGTCAAGGTCAGGGATGCTACTAAACATGCTACAGTGCACAGGACAGCCCTCAGAACAGAGGTCTATCTAGTCCAAAATGTCAAAGAGAAAGCCTGGGTTATGGGAAGGGGTGTCCTCCAGAGAGCATGGCCTTAGATTTTCAGCCCCTCTAAGAATGAGATGTTCCTTGTTTATTTTCTCCATCTCTCATTGGCCTAGTTGTAGGGGAGGGAAGAGTTAGACCAGGGTAGGATCCAAGCACTCCTGATCCTCTGAGCCAAATATGGTTCTCCAGATAGCACAATTTCCTCTAAAAATGCAGTCCGAGATGGAATGGGTAAGAAACCTGCTTCCTTCCATCTTCTAGTACATTGGCTTTAAAAACTCATCGTAAAAATATGAAAAAGACATTTACTGTAGCACTGTTCATAACTGAAAAAGATAAAAAAAAAAAACAAAAAACCTAAATGTCCACTTAAAAGGACCGGATAAATAAATTATGATACATTCATGCAGTGGAATTATATGCAGTTGTTAAAAGAGTGAGGTAGCTCTAAATATAATGATATGAAACAATCTCCAAGACATATTATTAAGAATCCCATGGCCAGGCACAGTGACTCACACCTGTAATCCCAGCACTTTGGGAGGCCCAGGTAGGAGGAGGGCTTGAGCTGAGGAGTTTGAGACCAGCCTGGGCAACATAGTGAGACCATATCTGTACGAAAATAAAACAATTATCTGGGCATGGTGGTGCACACCCGTGGTCTCTGCTACTTGGGAGACTGAGGTGGGAGGATCACTTGGGTCCATGAGGTCCAGGCCGCAGTGAGCTATGACTGTGCCACTGCACTCCAGCCTGGGTGACAGAGCAAGACCCTGTCTTGAGAAAGAAAAAGGATACCAGCAAGATGCAGGAACAATATGCCTGGTGTACTAATACTTGTATGAAAATATTTTAAAATACTATGTAAACCTAGATGCTGAGTGTGAATTAGACACGCTCAGAAAAGACACTGGTTGTCTCTTGGGAGGGGAGCTGGGGCTGGGACGGGGAAGGGATAGAAGAGAGATTTACTATTCACTCTAGGTCCTTTGCAGAATCATCATTGTGGTATGTTTCATTGAATAGAAGTTTAAATACCTTACTGAAGTCAAATCTATCACCATTTTTCTTTTGAGCTTACACTTTTAATATTTTTTTCTTGAGACAGAGTCTCGCTTTGTTGCCCAGGCAGGAGTGCAGTGGCTCAATTATAGCTCAATGCAGCCTCAAACACCCAGCCTCCAGGGATCCTCCCACCTCAGCCTCTTGAGTAGCCAGGACTACAGGCATGCAGCAGCACACCCAGCTAATTTTGCACATATATATACACACACACACACACACACACACACACACACACATATATATATATATAGAGAGAGAGAGAGAGAAAGAGAGAGATGGGGTCTTGTTGTGTCACCCAGGCTGCTCTGGAACTCCTGGGCTCAAGCAATCCTCCTGCTTCAGCCTCCCAAAGTGCTGGGATTACAGGCGTGAACCACAACACCCAGCCACTTTCAGTATTTTATTTAAGAAATTACTTTCTACATGTTATGGACTGAATGTTTGCGTCCCCTCAAAATGTATATGTTGAAATCCTAGCCTCCAATATAATGGTGTTAGGAGGGGGGGCCCCTGGGAAGTAATTAGAAGGGAGGAGCTCGCATGATGGGATCAGTACCTTTATAAGGAGAGATTCAGGAGAGTTTCTTCCTGTCTTTCTTGCTCTCTGCCGTGTGAGGATACAAGAAGATGGCCCTCTGTGAACCAGCAGGTGGGCCCTCCCCAGGAACCAGCCATGCTGGCACCCTGATCTTGGACTTCTAGCCTCAAGAACTTGGAGAAATCAATGTTTGTTGTTGAAGCCACCCAGTCCATGGCATTTTGTTAGAGCAGCCCCAACTAAGACACTGCTCCAATCATAAGGATATCCCCCTACGATTCCTTGTAATTGCTTTCAAAGTTTTGCTTTTCACAGCTAGATCTTTAATCAACCTGGATTTTATTTTTGGTATGATGTGAACTAGGGATCTAGTTGTATTTACTTTCCATATGGAAAATCAATTGTGCCAACACCATTTGTAGAATATTCCATCCTTTCCCCAACAATCTACAATGCAACTTCTGTCTCATTCCAAGTTTCCATGTGTCATGGGTCTTTTGCTGGGTTCCTGTTCTCTTCCAGTGGTCGATTTGTAAATCCCCTTGACAACACATCACTGTCCTAATTCCTATGACATTATAGTATGCACACAAATCTTAAACGTTCCATTACCCACCGACCTCTATGTTACTCTCATTCTTTAAAAATATTTTCACTTGTGGCTGGGCATGGTGGCTCTCACCTGTAATCCTAGCACTTTGAGAGGCCAAGGTGGGCGGATCAAGAGGTCAGGAGATCGAGACCATCCTGGCTAACACGGTGAAACCCCATCTCTACTAAAAATACAAAAAATTAGCTGGGCATGGTGGCGGGCACATGTAGTCCCAGCTACTCGGGAGGCTGAGGCAGGAGAATGGCATGAACCTGGGAGGCGGAGCTTGCAGCGAGCCGAGATCGCACCACTGCACTCCAGCCTGGGCGACAGAGTGAGCCTCCATCTCAAAAAAAAAAAAAAAAAAAAAAAAATATATATATATATATATTCACTTGTGTTCCACTAGAAGCAGAGCCTGAGTCAAGGATTTGGGTGCAAGCATTTTTTTAGAAGGTGATTCCAGGAAGCCCAGGTAAGAGGGTGGGAAGTGAAATAGGTAAGGGAAGAAAGCTAACAGACAGTGCATTAACGAGCAGGTTGCCACAAAGGGTAACTGGGGTTCAATCTCACTGGGCCCTTCAAAGTTATTCCAACTGAGGGGTGGGGAAGCTGCAATATTTATCCACCAACTCTCATTCCTCATGGCTGTTTTAAAATGCACTGAACATTTATTTTAATCAGATATGGTAAGACACACAGACATGGACATGACTGTCCTGAAGGAAAGAGTTTTTTTATACTCAAAGTTTCCTAGAAACAAGAGCCACGGCATGCTATGCAGGGATACATAGGGAGGCACCAGGGTTGGTCAAGAAGTCAAAGGAGTGAGGGGAAAACATGGGCAAGAGCTTTATTTGTGGCATCCAAGGGAAAGGCAAGGTAAGCAGGCACAGGATTAGCTATTAATAGTTTGAATAATTTCATTCCGCTCTGGGGCCTAGGGCTCTCCCCAGTTGTCTGGCTCATGGCCCTGGGATGATGAGGGCAGAGGGACAGTGGCCCAGTGTAAGAGCCCGATGAAGGAAGTGGTTGGGTCTACGGGCTTTGGATTGGCTGGTTTGCATATGGGAGGTGCACTTGCAGGTGAGTCCTTTACTATCTCTAGGAACTGGCTAGCCCTGGGAGGAGCATTCTCTCCAGGATCAGCAAGGCTCCAGCTGTCAAAACATCAGGAAATACAGGAAATGAAAAGGAATGATGAATACATTGAGTGTGCTCTTGAAGGCATGTATGTGGCTGGCAATGCTGAGGGCTATGGGGAGGGCACCAATGGTGTCTGCTACACTATTCTTGGCCCCTCAATGACTACATGAATTTTAGGATCAGCCTGTCAAATTCCACAAAAACTTCTATTGGGATTTGTGTGGGAATTGCTTGAATTTATAGATTAATTCAGTGAGAAGTAATATGTTTATAACATTGAGTCCTACTATTCATAATATATACAGTATATATTTCAATTTAGTCAGTTCTTCCTTTAAGTCCCTGGGTAGTTTTTATATTTGTCTTAGTCCCTTTGTAGTGCTATGACAAAACACCTGAGACTAGGTAATTTACAAACAACTGAAGTTTATTTTCTCAGTTCTGGAAGTTGGGAAGAACAAGATCAACGCTCCAGCAGGTACAGTGTCTAGTGAGGGCCTGGTCTCTGCTTCCAAGATGGTACCTTGAATGCTGGTTCCTCTGGAGCAGACAATGCTATGGTCTCATGTGGCAGAAGGCAGATTTACCACCATCCCTAAGCCCTTTTATAAGGCACTAATCTCATGCATGAGGGCTTGCCCTTATGACTTAATCACTTTTTAAAGGCCCCACTTCTTCATACTATCACCTTGGCAATTAAGTTTTAACACATGAATTTTGGGAGACACATTCAGGCTATAGCAATACTCTTCATGAAAGGTCTTGTGTATATTTTGCTAGATATATTCTCAGGATTTTGTTGCTATTGTGAATAGAATCTCTTTTTCTATTACATTTTCTTAATTTGTTATTACTGATGTATAGGAATGCTAATCTTTTTTTAAGTTGATCTTGAATTCAACAACCTTGCTAACTCTCTTACTAGTCTTAATAATTTATCTGTATATTCTTCTGGATTTTCATCATAGGCAATTATATGGTCTGCAAGTACAGGAATTTTTCTTTCCAATTTAAAATTATTTCCTTCGTTTTTTTTTTTTAAGATGGAGCCTCACTCTGTCGCCTAGGCTGGAGTGCAGTGGCACGATCTTGGCTCACTGTAACCTCCACCTCCCAGGTTCAAGAGATTTTCCTGCCTCAGCCTCCTGAATAGCTTGGATTACAGGCACCCACCACCATGCCCAGGTAATTTTTGTATTTTTTTTTTAGTAGAGATGGAGTTTCACTATGTTGGCCAGGCTGGTCTTGAACTCCTGACTTCAAGTGATCCTCCTGCCTTGGCCTCACAAAGTGCTGGGATTACAGGCATGAGCCACTGCACCTGACCTTTATTTACTTTATATATCTCACCTATTACTGCTGCAGTTTGCAGAAGAGAGGATGCCCTCAAACCTAACTTCTCCAAACCATCCCAAAGGGGAAGTCTGCTCCACATCAACAATGTTATTGTTTTTAAAGACCATAAGTCAACATGTTAGATTATAGCAAAATGATGTCCAAGGGGCAATATGAAAGCAAGACTGAGAGTCCTGGAAAGAAGGTGGCAGAGCTGCCTTTTTAAAATTGTCATCCCCTCAGACCCTACCCTTCCTGCCTTCTTCCTCCAGTTGTCAGATTTGCCTGTTGGGGTCCACATGGGGAAGGAGATAGGGGGCTGGACTGAGAGGGAGATGGAGAAGCTGCCAGAGGCCCTTTTGGATCCAGAATTAAGGCAGCAGTTCCAGCTAGGTCCAGAGGTGGGGGCTGCCCCCCAACGCCCAAGGGAATGGCACTGATTCCAAAACGTGGCAAGAACTCTCTGGCTGGGAGAGGGATGTGCTTGCTCCCTTGAATCACCTGAGACCAGGCTGGAAGGCCCAAGGGGGAGCACAGGCCAGCCCACTCCAGCCCCATCCCCTCCCTTTAACCCTAAGCTATTCACTCTCCCAGATTCCACTCCCTTTTCCTAAGTGACCTCCCTGCAAAGTCTGCAGAGAGCAGCACTCCTTTGTGCCAGCTCACCCCGCACTGTCCTGTCTTTCAGCAACCCCCATGGGTATGAACTTGAGATGATTCATTTTCCTAAAAGCCTCTTTCGGGTGAGGGAAGGCGTGGGTGGCTCTGCAAGGTTTGGAGTGGGGGCTGCCTCTTCTCAGAGCCACTGGGAGAGCCAGTGTCACCCTCCATGGTGGGTGTCTGCAGGCTGGGGAGCAGCCATGGATGACACCATCTTTGCAGGCAGCCCAGGTCATCCCCAGTGGTCTGGGAGACTGGGGGTGAACCAACTCCCACTCCCAACAGGGCCGAGACTCCTTCCTCACCTAAGAGGTGACTTTCTTGAAGAGTGGGGACAGAGGAGCCGGCAACCTGTGCGGCGTAGGCACCTGGGAACAAATCTGCGGCTCAGTCTCAGAGAGAAGTCTCCTCCAACACAGCTATTGCAGAAATGGGGAAACTGGGCCTAGAGGGAAGGGGGCTTGCCCAAATCACCAGCCCTGGAATGTTTTGCGCTTTCAGGGTGGATCTCCCAAGAAATGCATTTTATGGCACTGATGCCTCTGGTCACCCACCTCGAGGTGTGGTGGGCCTGGACAGTCACCTTGACTGAGGGCCAGGCTGATGAAGTCAAACCTACCACTCAGGAAGGAGACCCAGCCCTTCTCCAGGCAGAGTTCAAATGTGAAGACTGCCTTCTTTGGGCCTCAGTTTCCCCACCTGAATTGCAAGGGCCCTTCTAGCTCCTACAGTCTGGGCCAGGCTTTTCCTCTGAGCCCCAGTCAGCCTGGAGGACCAGGGCTACATCTTCCTTGGACAGAGACCCACCATAGGGGTGGCAGGACATAGGGGTGGGGGTAGGCAAGGTTCCTGTAGGGAGGTGAAGCTGTCATCAGGGATGGTGTCTGCAGGCAGTGGGTGTATCATGTCTCTGCTACTACTTGCTGGGTGATTTCCCCATTCTGGACCTCAGTTTCCCCATCTGTTTTACGGAGATAATATGCCTGCCTACATATCTGGGGACTTGGATGTGTGTGTGGGCTAGTTGCAGTGTTTCTTAGGTGTGGTCCTGGGGCAGCCTGCACCACCCCATAGAGATTTCTGGGCCCCATCCTAGGCTCACAGGATCAGAATCTCTGGGAATTTGCATTTACACAGGCATCCGGGTGATTCAGACACATGATTGAAGAAGCACTAATAGTATATTGTAAGCTCTTTATAAAAGGTAAATTCATAGCTGCCTTTTAATAAACATAAATTTCATCTTCCCTTCCTCAGTTAAGGACACACAACCCAGTTGAAAATCACTCTGCCTTTCCAGATGTGGAATCTTATCTTTCCACTAAGATTCTGTTAACTGTTACTTTCTGTAGTTTGTATTCCAAAACAATGGGTATATCTTTCCATTTTTTCATATAAATGTTTAGGTTGGATGTGCTTTTTCAAATGGGACACACACTCACACCGTTTAGAATTCCAGCTATGGCTTCTGTCAGGCCTCTGAGCCCAAGCCAAGCCATCGCATCCCCTGTGACTTGCACATATACACCCAGATGGCCTGAAGTAACTGAAGATCCACAAAAGAAGTAAAAATAGCCTTAACTGATGACATTCCACCATTGTGATTTGTTCCTGCCCCACCCTAACTGATCAATGTACTTTGTAATCTCCCCCACCCTTAAGAAGGTTCTCTGTAATTCTCCTCACCCTTGAGAATGTACTTTGTGAGATCCACCCCTGCCCGCAAAACATTGCTCTTAACTTCACCGCCTAACCCAAAACCTATAAGAACTAATGATAATCCATCTCCCTTCACTGACTCTCTTTTCGGACTCAGCCCACCTGCACCCAGGTGAAATAAACAGCTATGTTGCTCACACAAAGCCTGTTTGGTGGTCTCTTCACAAGGACGCACATGAAATTTGGTGCCGTGACTCGGACCAGGACCGCACCCTGTAGCCTTTCTGTCCAAACAACTTGACCTTACTGTTTTAGCCTAACCCTCATGTCTGCATGCAGTGGCTGCCACTGCTTTAATACTTTTAGAGGCCCTAAAAATCACAAACTATGCTCAACTCACTCTCTACATTTCTCATAACTTCCAAAATCTATTTTCTTCCTCATACCTGACGCATATACTTTCTGCTCCCCGGCTCCTTCAGCTGTACTCACTCTTTGTTAAGTCCCACAATTACTATTGTTCCTGGCCCGGACTTCAATCTGGCCTCCCACATTATTCCTGATACCACACCTGACCCCCATGACTGTATCTCTCTGATCCACCTGATATTCACCCCATTTCCCCATATTTCCTTCTCTCCGTGTCTCTACCCCTTCTCTGCTTTTCTGGGGGAGGGGCAAGTACCCCTCAATCCCTTCTCCTTCACCCTTAGTGGCAAGTCCTGCTTTTCTGGGGAAGGGGCAAGTACCCCAACCCCTTCTCTCCTTGTCTCTACCCCTTCTCTGCTTTTCTGGGGAAGGGGCAAGTACCCCAACCCCTTCTCTCCATGTCTATACCCCTTCTCTGATTTTCTGGGGCAGGGGAAAGAACCCCTCAACCCCTTCTCCTTCACCCTTAGTGGCAAGTCCCGCTTTTCTGGGGAAGAGGCAAGTACCCCAACCCCTTCTCTCCTTGTCTCTACCCCTTCTCTGATTTTCTGGGGCAGGGGCAAGAACCCCTCAACTCCTTCTCCTTCACCCTCAGCGGCAAGTCCCACTTTTCTGGGGGAGGGGCAAGTACTCCAACCCCTTCTCTCTGTGTCTCTATCCCTTCTCTGCTTTTCTGGGGGAGAGGCAAGTACCCCAACCTCGTATCTCTGCACCCCGATCCCTTATTTCTGCACCCTGACCTCGTATCTCTGCACCCCAACCCCTTCTCTGCTTTTCTGGAGGGCAAGAAACCCCCACCCCTTCTCCGTGTCTCTACTCTTTTCTCTGGGCTTGCCTCCTTCACGATGGGTAAGCTTCCACCTTCCATTCCTCTTTCTTCTCCCTTAGCCTGTGTTCTTAAGAACTTAAAACCTCTTCAACTTTCACCTGACCTAAAACCTAAATGCCTTATTTTCTTCTGCAATGCCGCTTGACCCCAATACAAACTCGACAGTAGTCCCAAATAGCCAGAAAACTGCACTTTGAATTTTTCCATCCTGCAAGATCTAAATAATTCTTCTCGTAAAATAGGCAAACGGTCTGAGGTGCCTGAAGTCCAGGCATTCTTTTACACATCAGTCCCTCTCTAGTCTCTGTTCCAATGCAACTCATCCCAAATCTTCCTTCTTTCCCTCCTGCCTGTCCCCTCAGTCCCAACCCCAAGCGTCGCTGAGTCTTTCTAATCTTCCTTTTCTACAGACTCTTCTGACCTCTCCCCTCCTCGCCAGGCCGAGCTAGGTCCCAATTCTTCCTCAGCCTCCGCTCCTCCACCCTATAATCCTTTTATCACCTCCCCTCCTCACACCCAGTCTGGTTTACAGTTTCGTTCCGTGACTAGCCCTCCCCCACCTGCCCAGCAATTTACTCTTAAAAAGGTGGCTGGAGCTAAAGCCATAGTCAAGGTTAATGCTCCTTTTTCTTTATCCCAAATCAGATAGTGTTTAGGCTCTTTTTCATCAAACATAAAAAACCCAGCCCAGTTCATGGCTCATTCAGCAGCAACCCTGAGACGCTTTACAGCCCTAGACCCTAAAAGGTCAAAAGGCCGTCTTATTCTCAATATACATTTTATTACCCAATCTGCTCCCGACATTAAATAAACTCCAAAAATTAAATTCCGGCCCTCAAACCCCACAACAGGATTTAATTAACCTCGCCTTCAAGGTGTACAATAATAGAAAAAAGTTGCAATTCCTTGCCTCCACTGTGAGACAAACCCCAGCCACATCTCCAGCACACAAGAACTTCCAAATGCCTGAACTGCAGCAGCCAGGCGTTCCTCCAGAACCTCCTCCCCCAGGAGCTTGCTACACATGCCGGAAATCTGGCCACTGGGCCAAGGAATGCCCGCAGCCTGGGATTCCTCCTAAGCCGCGTCCCATCTGTGCAGGACCCCACTGAAAATTGGACTGTTCAACTCACCTGGCAGCCACTCCCACAGCCCCTGGAACTCTGGCCCAAGGCTCTCTGACTCCTTCCCAGATCTTCTCGGCTTAGCGGCTGAAGACTGACGCTGCCCAATCACCTCGGAAGCCCCCTAGACCATCACAGGTGCCGAGCTTCCAGTAACTCACAGTGGAAGGTAAGTCCATCCCCTTCTTAATCAATATGGAAGCTACCCACTCCACATTACCTTCTTTTCAAGGGCCTGTTTCCCTTGCTTCCATAACTGTTGTGGGTATTGACGGCCAGGCTTCTAAACCTCTTAAAACTCCCCAACTCTGGTGCCAGCTGAGACAATACTCTTTTAAGCACTCCTTTTAGTTATCCCCACCTGCCCAGTTCCCTTATTAGGCCGAGACACTTTAACTAAATTATCTGCTTCCCTGACTATTCCGGGATTACAGCTACATCTCATTGCCACCTTTCTTCCCAATCCAAAGCCTTCTTTGCGTCCTCCTCTTGTATTCCCCGACCTTAACCCACAACTATAAGATACCCCTACTCCCTCCTTGGTGACCGATCATGCACCCCTTACCATCTCTTTAAAACCTAATCACCCTTACCCCACTCAATGCCAATATCCCATCCCACAGCACACTTTAAAAGGATTAAAGCCTGTTATCACTCGCCTGCTACAGCATAGGCTTCTAAAACCTATAAACTCTCCTTACAATTCCCCAATTTTACCTGTCCAAAAACAGAACAAGTCTTACAGATTAGTTCAGGATCTGCGCCTTATCAACCAAATTGTTTTGCCTATCCACCCCGTGGTGCCAAACCCATATACTCTCCTATCCTCAATACCTCCCTCTACTACCCATTATTCTGTTCTAGATCTCAAACATGCTTTCTTTTTTTTTGAAACTTTTTATTTTTTTTGGAAACTTTTTACTTTGATATGATTTATTTATTTATTTATTTTTTTTTTTTTATTGATCATTCTTGGGTGTTTCTCGCAGAGGGGGATTTGGCAGGGCCACAGGACAATAGTGGAGGGAAGGTCAGCAGATAAACAAGTGAACAAAGGTCTCTGGTTTTCCTAGGCAGAGGACCCTGCGGCCTTCCGCAGTGTTTGTGTCCCTGGGTACTTGAGATTAGGGAGTGGTGATGACTCTTAACGAGCATGCTGCCTTCAAGCGTCTGTTTAACAAAGCACATCTTGCACCGCCCTTAATCCATTTAACCCTGAGTGGACATAGCACATGTTTCAGAGAGCACAGGGTTGGGGGTAAGGTCACCGATCAACAGGATCCCAAGGCAGAAGAATTTTTCTTAGTACAGAACAAAATGAAAAGTCTCCCATGTCTACCTCTTTCTACACAGACACAGCAACCATCCGATTTCTCAATCTTTTCCCCACCTTTCCCCCCTTTCTATTCCACAAAACCGCCATTGTCATCCCGGCCCGTTCTCAATGAGCTGTTGGGTACACCTCCCAGACGGGGTGGTGGCCGGGCAGAGGGGCTCCTCACTTCCCAGTAGGGGCGGCCGGGCAGAGGCACCCCTCACCTCCCGGACGGGGCGACTGGCCGGGCGGGGGGCTGACCCCCCCATCTCCCTCCCGGACGGGGCGGCTGGCCAGGCAGAGGGGCTCACTTCCCAGTAGGGGTGGCCGGGCAGAGGCGCCCCTCACCTCCCGGAGGGGGCGGCTGGCCGGGCGGGGGGCTGATCCCCCCACCTCCCTCCCGGACGGGGCGGCTGGCCGGGCGGGGGGCTGACCCCCCCACCTCCCTCCTGGACGGGGTGGCTGCCGGGCGGAGACGCTCCTCACTTCCCAGACGGGGTGGCTGCCGGGCGGAGGGGCTCCTCACTTCTCAGACGGGGCGGCTGCTGGGCGGAGGGGCTCCTCACTTCTCAGACAGGGCGGTTGCCAGGCAGAGGGTCTCCTCACTTCTCAGACGGGGCGGCCGGGCAGAGACGCTCCTCACATCCCGGACGGGGCGACAGGGCAGAGGCGCTCCCCACATCTCAGATGATGGGTGGCCGGGCAGAGACGCTCCTCACTTCCTAGATGGGATGGCGGCCTGGCAGAGACGCTCCTCACTTTCCAGACTGGGCAGCCAGGCAGAGGGGCTCCTCACATCCCAGACGATGGGCGGCCAGGCAGAGATGCTCCTCACTTCCCAGACGGGGTGGCGGCCGGGCAGAGGCTGCAATCTCGGCACTTTGGGAGGCCAAGGCAGGCTGCTGGGAGGTGGATGTTGTAGCGAGCCGAGATCATGCCACTGCACTCCAGCCTGGGCACCATTGAGCACTGAGTGAAGGAGACTCCGTCTGCAATCCCGGCACCTCGGGAGGCCGAGGCTGGCGGATCACTCGCGGTCAGGAGCTGGAGACCAGCCCGGCCAACACAACGAAACCCCGTCTCCACCCAAAAAATACGAAAACCAGTCAGGCGTGGCGGCGCGCGCCTGCAATTGCAGGCACTCAGCAGGCTGAGGCAGGAGAATCAGGCAGGGAGGTTGCAGTGAGCCGAGATGGCAGCAGTACAGTCCAGCTTCGGCTCTGCATCAGAGGGAGACCGTGGAAAGAGGGGAGGGGGAGGGGGAGAGGGAGAGGGAGAGGGAGAGGGAGAGGGAGAGGGAGAGGGCATGCTTTCTTTACTATTCCTTTGCACCCTTCATCCCAGCCTCTCTTTGCTTTCACTTGGACTAACCCTGACACCCATCAGTCCCAGCAGCTTACCTGGGCTGTACTGCCGCAAGGTTTCAGGGACAGCCCTCATTACTTCAGCCAAGCTCTGTCTCATGATTTAGTTTCTTTCCACCCCTCCGCTTCTCACCTTATTCAGTATATTGATGACCTTCTTCTTTGTAGCCCCTCCTTTGAATCTTCTCAACAAGACACACTTCTGCTCCTTCAGCATTTATTCTCCAAAGGATAGCGGGTATTCCCCTCCAAAGCTCAAATTTTTTCCCCATCCATTACCTACCTCGGCATAATTCTTCATAAAAACACATGTGCTCTCCCTTCTGATCATGTCCGATTAATCTCCCAAACCTCAATCCCTTACAAAACAACAACTCCTTTTCTTCCTAGGCATGGTTAGTGTGGTCAGAATTCTTACACAAGAGCCAGGACCACACCCTGTAGCCTTTCTGTCCAAACAACTTGACCTTACTGTTTTAGCCTAGCCATCATGTCTCCGTGCAGCGGCTGCCACTGCTTTAATACTTTTAGAGGCCCTAAAAATCACGAACTGTGCTCAACTCACTCTCTGCATTTCTCATAACTTCTGAAATCTACTTTCTTCCTCATACCTGATGCATATACTTTCTGCTCCCTGGCTCCTTCAGCTGTACTCACTCTTTGTTAAGTCCCACAATTACCATTGTTCCTGGCCCGGACTTCAATCTGGCCTCCCACATTATTCCTGATACCACACCTGACCCCCATGACTGTATCTCTCTGATCCACCTGATATTCACCCGATTTCCCCATATTTCCTTCTTTTCTGTTCCTCACCCTGATCACGCTTGATTTATTGATGGCAGTTCCACCAGGCCTAATCGCCACACACCAGCAAAGGCAGGCTATGCTATAGTACAAGCCACTAGCCCGCCTCTTAGAACCTCTCATTTCCTTTCCATCGTGGAAATCTATCCTCAAGGAAATAACTTCTCAGTGTTCCATCTGCTATTCTACTACTCCTCAGGGATTATTCAGGCCCCCTCCCTTCCCTACACATCAAGCTTGAAGATTTGCCCCCACCCAGGACTGGCAAATTAGCTTTACTCAACATGCCCTGAATCAGGAAACTAAAATACCTCTTAGTCTAACTAGACACTTTCACTGAATAAGTAAAGACCTGTCCTACAGGGTCTGAGAAGGCCACCGCAGTCATTTCTTCTCTTCTGTCAGACATAATTCCTCAGTTTAGCCTTCCCACCTCTATACAGTCTGATAAAAGACCAGCCTTTATTAGTCAAATCAGCCAAGCAGTTTTTCAGGCTCTTAGTACTCAGTGAAACCTTTATATCCCTTACGGTCCTCAGTCTTCAAGAAAAGTAGAACAGACTAAAGGTCTTTTAAAAACACACCTCACCAAGCTCAGCCACCAACTTAAAAAGGACTGGATAATACTTTTACCACTTTCCCTTCTCAGAAGTCAGACCTGTCCTCAGAATGCTACAAGGTGCAGCCCATTTGAGCTCCTGTATAGACGCTCCTTTTTATTAGGCCCCAGTCTCATTCGACACCAGACCAACTTAGACTGTGACCCCAAAAAACTTGTCATCCCTACTATCTTCTCTCTAGTCATACTCCTATTCACCGTTCTCAACTACTCATACATGCCCTGCTCTTGTTTACACTGCTGGTTTACACTGTTTCTCCAAGCCATCACAGCTGATATCTCCTGGTGCTATCCCCAAACTGCCACTCTAAACTCTGGAAGTAAATAAATAATCTTTGCTGGCAGGACTATGCTGAATCTCCTTAGGCACTCTCTAATCAGATGTCCTAGGTCCTCCCAATTCTTAGACCTTTTATACCTGTTTTTCTCCTTCTCTTATTCCATTTAGTTTCTGAATTCATCCAAAACCGTATCCAGGCCATCACCAATAATTCTATATGACAAATGTTTCTTCTAACATCCCCACAATATCACCCCTTACCACAAGATCTCCCTTCAGCTTAATCTCTCCCACTCTAGGCTCCCACGCCACCCCTAATCCCGCTTGAAGCAGCCCTGAGAAACATCACCCATTCTCTCTCCATACCACCCCCCAAAAATTTTCACCGCCCTAACACTTCAACACTATTTTGTTTTATTTTTCTTATTAATATAAGAAGGCAGGAATGTCAGGCCTCTGAGCCCAAGCCAAGCCATCGCATCCCCTGTGACTTGCACATATACAACCAGATGGCCTGAAGTAACTGAAGATCCACAAAAGAAGTAAAAATAGCCTTAACTGATGACATTCCACCATTGTGATTTGTTCCTGCCCCACCCTAACTGATCAATGTACTTTGTAATCTCCCCCACCCTTAAGAAGGTTCTCTGTAATTCTCCTCACCCTTGAGAATGTACTTTGTGAGATCCACCCCTGCCCGCAAAACATTGCTCTTAACTTCACTGCCTATCCCAAAACCTATAAGAACTAATGATAATCCATCTCCCTTCACTGACTCTCTTTTCGGACTCAGCCCACCTGCACCCAGGTGAAATAAACAGCCATGTTGCTCACACAAAGCCTGTTTGGTGGTCTCTTCACAAGGACGTGCATGAAAGCTTCCTCTCAAATTATTAGCCCTTTTCTGCCAGGGAGTAGTTTTTCCCAAGGAGGTCTGGAAGACAAGACCCTGGATAGAGGCTGGTGGTACCCCGCCCCGCTCATCAGAATCGCTGGATCATGACTGACCCCTAGTGGCGGCTTCTCTGCTTAACTGTCAGCCCATGGACTGGGGTGTGACCCCCAATGCTGCTGCAGAAGCTTTCACCCGTCCTGGGCCACCCCTGCCATCTGTGGAGAAAGGCCTGTCCCTTGTCTTCTGAGCCCAGCTGGCCTCACAGGCATTCAGCAGATTGGAAAGTCTAATCATGTGCTGCGCTGGGCTCCCCCACGCCCCTTTTTGGAGTGAGGCAGAGTGCATTCCAGCCCCCAGCATCCCTGCTGTTTATTCCCATCCCTCACCCCCACCCCCATACACACTCACAAGTACAAACACGGGCGCAGTCACGGGCACACACCGCCACGGAGAGCATTTCCATTTCCAGCCTCGGCAGAGCAGTCTCCTTATAGGGAAGTTAACGAGGCAGTAAAGGCTCAGGGGTCAGGGAGGCCCTCTGTCGGGAGGAGGCTGCTAGACCCAGTTCTGCCTCTGACTTGCTGGGGGTCCTTGAGAAAGTTGCTTCTCCTCTTTGGTTTCAGTTTCCCCAGCTGAGAAATGGAGGGTTTGGCCAAATGGTCTAAGGTTCTGGGAACCTCTAACTTAGAGCCCGTAACTGGTGGTCAAGATGAGGGAGAGTCCCTCGGGGTCAGCTGAATGCCTGAGAGGCAGGACAGGCCCAAAGGTGAGCAACTTGAGCACACCAGGTGGGCTCCGAGCTGGAGGTGAGCCCCACAGCCTGCAGAGCAGCCCTGGACTCGTGAGCCCCATCGCACCAGTCCGGTGGGACTTCAGAGATGTGGAATCCAGCCTCCTCTAGTATTGCAGAGCTGGGGGATGGGAGCTGCGGATTCTGACACCACAGCTGCCTTATATATGCCAGATGGGCTGGGGCAAGACACACCCCTTTCTATGAAATGAGCAGTCAGTCCAAATAGATGAGCTAAAGAAAGGCTGTGGGAGGGACCCAGCTCTAGCCTGAGGCTACAGACTGGCTTCCAGGGTACTCAAGCAGCTGCCTCTGGGGGAGGGGTCCCAGGTATGAGAGGCAGGGCTCAGAATCTAGGCCAAGCCTCCACAGGACCCCCCTCTGGAGAGCTCGGAGCAGTCTTGGGGGGAGGGTCAGCAGGCAGCAAGTGCACTAGGAGCATCTTTCACAAGGCACCCAATATTGCATCTGCTCCAATAGGCAGCGAGTTGGAAAGTGGATGGAATAGGCAGGGTGGCAGCTGCTCCCCAGGGCCAGGAGTCCAGCCCAGCTCCCACCCAAGTCCACCTCAGGCCTGCTCAATTGGGTTGATCAATGCTCTGGGCCCTCTGGCCCCACCCTCAGAGGGAGGGGTTTGGGGCAACCAGGTGAACTGGCCCTTGCGGGAGGCAGGCAGCCCCTCACCAGGATCCCCACCCCCACCTCTCCAGCCCCCCTCATTCCCTGATCCTTCCACCTGCTCTCCTGCCCCAGTAGTTTCCTCTGCTCACTCTCATCCCTTTTCCTGCTCCCAGGCTCACCTGCTCAGATGTCCTTGACTCTCCTCTGAGTCTCCCTCTTTCCAAGCCGCCTCCCCTCTACCTAACACAGTCTCCCTGAAGACACCACAGTACAAAAGCTCAACTTCCCGCACCTCACCTTTACTCCCAGACATGGGAGAGAGATGACATGAAGACCCGAACGCCACTTGGCAAAAGATCTGGGGTGTGCAGGGGGCAGATCTGAGGCTGTGGAAGCTCCAGGGGCTCCCTGCAGAAGGCTGCATTTAAGCTGGGTTTTGAATGTGGCTCTGAGCTGAGACCTCTCCTTGAAGCTCCAGACCAGGAGCCAGCTGCCAGCTGGACCACTTCATTTGGTGTCTCAGAGGAACCTTGCACTCCATAGGTCTAACTCTGAACCCAGAAAATGCCCCCATCTCAGCCCTGTTTCTTCTCAGGGAAAGCACTACCTCATACCCAGTTCTGCACCAAACCCAAACTATGAGCGCTCTGGATAAGCCAGTGCCAAGAGGGAACGAGCTCTGAATGCCAAGCCAAAACATGTGAGTTTTAACTCCACCTCCAGCTCCGAGAGTTGTGGGTAGGGAAGGGCCTTAGTCCATTTTGCTGTAGAAAGACCAGTCTGGCACTGTATTGTACATGGATGACAGGGGAAGAGTGAGGGTGGAGAGACCAGAAGGACGGCAGGACTGGGGAGGTAGGGACATGGCTGTAGCGGTGGAGATGGGGGAACAGACAGGACTTGGTGGTTACTTGGATGAACCAAGGGAGGGATCAGGAAGAGACACCCCGTTTTGTACCAGATGTCTAGAGTGTGGGATGCCATTTATTGCTCGAGGGAAGAGGAGGAGGAAGAGGTATGGCATGGGAGGAGATAGCTGAGCTCTCTCTTGAATGTCACTTGAAGTCCCCAAGGAGAGACAGGCCTGCCAGCACCTTCATGAACTGCTTCAGCCAGCCCTTGGGGCACCTGTGGTCCCTGGCCATCTCGACTCTCCCCTTTGTGCCTGTCAGCTGCCATGGGGGTCAGTTGCACAAGGGCCCAGCAGGTCTGTGTGTTTTCCCAAGGGACTGCCGCATGGCCAATGCTGAGGAGAAGCTGATGGACGACCTTCCCTTCTGAACAAAACCCGTTACAACTACCTGATCTGCCCAGCCACCAGCAGAGGCCCTCACAGCTCATCTCCATTGAGATGGAGCTCTCCCTGGCCTAGCGTGTCAGCATGGTAGGTGCAGAGGGTAGCTGTGGCTCAGGCTCAGGCGAAGAGGCAGCTCATGGCCACACCCCAAGCGATCATTGGCCAGAGGAATGAAATTACTAGGGTTGACTTAGATTTACCATTACATGGCAGGGAGGCTGCAGAAGAGTCCATGAAGTTCATAGGTGTCCAACATTTAATGAAGTCAAGGTTTTGTCTACAAAGAAGAAATAAGGGTGGGAGCGGGATGACCACTGGGTAGGCAGCCAATGGGGCTGCTCAGCTGAGTCTCCAGCACGACCATAAGCTTCTCCTCATCCTCACAGCCCCACCTTATTATCTCCCTCAACCCTGCTCAACAGATGACCTTACATGCTGCCTACTTGTTGGGGGAAATAAGAACCAGACTGGGGGAATTGACGGGTACAGAGGCCCAGGTGTAGGGGCAGGACCAGAGGCAGTGCAGCGCCTACTGAGCCAGGCGGGTGAGGGTCTGGACAGTGCGCGTGGCTGCTGCAGGCATGGAAAGGAGGCGCAGATGGAGGCACTCCCAGGGGCCATTGTCAGGCTCTCCATATGTGGACGCGTGCAGAGGTGGGGGTGCTGAGGAGGGAGGAGGTGCAGGGAATTTCTCTTCTCCTCTCTACTGCCTCTGAGTTGGAGATTTCAGATGAAACCATGGCCCATTGTAAATGAACACAATGTCCCCACTCACAGGGTTAGAACCCCACCCTTGGAAGCAGCTCTGAGGGGAGCATTCACATGGGGAGAGTGCAGGAAGCTGTGTCCAGCAGGGGAAGGAGATCACCAAGGGGGCTGACCCTCCCCTGGTGAGGTGGCTGCCTTCTGACACACCAGATGCTCTCTTTAGCATGGTTGGCCCCCACACACCAAGCCTGTCAAATTTACAGCCTTCAAGAAGGCTTTGGCCAATTAATGAGCAGCTCCCTCTCCTAGGAGGAAGGACGTCTAAAGGATGAGGAGGGCAGTAGAACCCCGTACGCTCTGCCCCCTCCCTCCACAGTTGGACCGAAAGGAAGGGGGCTTTCAGACAGGCTTGCCCAGGCTGGGGTCTGAGTGTCACTGTCCAGCCAATGGTCATCCCGCTCCCATCCTCACCTTCTTGCTTAACGGGTGAGCCCAGCTGCTGCCGCAGCTGCCACCCTAGTGAGGGTGAACGAGCAGGAGGCTGCGCTGCACTTCCAGGCTCAGGCTGCCTGGCCAGATCTGCTCTGAGAGCCCTGTAGGCTGATAGAGGCTACCAGGAGGAGGATGGGATGCAGCTGCCAGCCCCCACCTGTGCAAGTCGTACTTCTAAAAGCTTGGGTATATAGTAAATATTAGGTGCTGGGCTGCGGGGCCAGGAAGGGGTATTCTCCTATTTTTCAGGGTTTATTTATTTGATGAGGGAGGGTTATAGGTACAACCAGTTTAAAGATGGAAATTTTTAGAGTGCAGGCAGGGATTTAGGGTAAGCCAAGCAGACTTGTCCAAGCAGCTCTTTTGGGGAGGCCAGAGTCCTGTACCAATGTCCTCAGGCATGTTCAGCAGCTGCTGGGGGAGTGCTGGACAGGATTAAAGCACAGGAGAACTTTCTGGATGACAGAAATGCTCTATATCTTGAAAGGAAGTAGGTTACATGGGTAATGCGTTTGTTAAAACTGATCAAAATGTGCACTTCACATCTGTGCATTTCACTGAATATAAATTATACCTCAAATTAAAAACATTTTTTAAAAGACAGATGGGTCAGGCGCGGTGGCACACGCCTGTAATCTCAGTATTTTTGGAGGCCGAGGCGGGAGGATCACGAGATCAAGAGCTCGAGACCATCCTGGCCAACATGGTGAAACCCTGCCTCTACTAAAAATGCAAAAAAATAGCTGGGTGTGGTGGCACGCGCCTGTAGTCCCAGCTATTCAGGAGGCTGAGGCAGGAGAATCGCTTGAACCCAGGAGGCGGAGGTTGTAGTGAGCCGAGATCGTGCCACTGTACTCTAGCCTGGCGACAGAGTGAGGCTCTGTCCCCCCAAAAAAAAAAAAGCCCTGAGGTGGAAGATTGCCTAGCAGGCTCTAAGAAAACCAAGGAGGCCAGAAGACTAGAGCAGAAACAAAGCAAGGGAGGCAGCAAAGAGCCAGATCATGGAGGGCAAGTGTTAGCAAATTTGTTCTGTGAAGGGCCAGATAGTAAATATTTGAGGCTTTGGGGGTCACGTGGCCTCCATCATAACTAGGCAACACTGCTATTGTAGTGTGAAAGCAGCCACAGACAATACGTAACATATGAGTGTGGTTGTGTTCCAATGAAACTTTATTTACAGAAACAGCTGGCTAACTTGCCATCCAGCTACTGTTTGCCAGCACCTGATGTAGGACCCTGCAGGTCATTGCATGGATTTGAGCATCGACTTTGACTGAGATGGGAGGAGGGGAGACAAAGATTTTGAGCATAAGCTCTGAAAGGACCCCTTTCCCTGTTGCATTAAGAATAGATCATGGGGTACACAAGGATGGAAGCAAGAGAGGGAGTGAGGAAAACAGAAGGCTGATGCAGTAATCCAAGGGGAGATGATGGTGACATTTTGGGTCGGGATGTTGGCATTGCCATTGATAAGAAATCGTTATATTCTGAATATATTTAGAAGACTGAGCTAGCAGGATTTGCTCATGGTAAAGGTGGTAATGTACAAGAGAAGAGTCAAGGGAAACTCTGAGGACTTTAGCCTAGCAACTGGCAGGATGGAGCAGAAAGAGTAAGAGTTCAGTTTCGGACATGTAAATGTGAGATACCACTTAGACGTTCTTGAGGATGAAAACCCTTGAACTGATGTAATCAAGTCAGGTCAGACTGGAAATACAAATTTGGGAGTTGTTGGGGTTTAAATGGTATTAATACATGGGACCAAGGATTGACTGTAGATAGAGAACTAAGAGGTCAAAAGACTGAGCATTTCATTAACAAAAGGCAGGGCAGTAAGAAGGAGCCTGCAAAGGAGACTGAGCTAGCGCAGTAGGAGGAAGAGACTTGGCAGCCAGAAAACCAAGTGAGTGATATATGTCAAGGACTGAGGGGCATCAAATGCAGGCAGAGAAATGCTGTGGGGCAGGGCCACCACAGAGAACACCTTCCCAGGCAATGCCCAGCACAGCCACTGGGGCAGGGCTGCCCCTGAGACCCTGGACCTATACAGCCACCAGTGTGCAATGCCAGGCTGGGAGAGCTGCATGCACAGGACTCCAACCAGTGAGAGCCAGGGCATGGGCTGCACCCAGTAAAGCTATGGGGGTGGAGCTGCCTGGAGCCTTGGGGACCCAACCCTCACCCCAGTGTGACTGGAAGGTGAGACATAAAGTCAAAGACTATCCTCAAGCCTCAAGACTTAATGTTGTTTACCTGGTGTGTTTTGGACTTACTTAGGACTAAGCTACTTCTTCCTATTTCTCCCCTTTAAATGGGAATATCTATCCTATGCCTATTCCACCGTTGTATTTTGGAAGCACGTAACTTGTTTGATTTGACAGCTGGAGGGAAATTTGGCTCAGGATGAATCATACCTTGAGTTGGTCTTACCCATGTTTACAGACTTTGGACTTAGAATTTAAAGTTGATGCCGGAACAAGTTAAGATTTTGGGAGCTATTGGGATGGAATTAATGTGTTCATTTAAGAACGTACACTTGAGAAGCCAAGGGTGGAATGCTATGCTATGATCTGAATGTGTCCTTCAAAATTCCTGTGTAGAAACTTAATGGCCAATGAGATATTAAAAGGTAGGACCTTTAAATGATTAAGTCTTGAAGGCAGAGCCCTCATGGATGGGATCAGCATCCTTATAAAAGGACTGAAGGAGTGAGTTTGATGGCTTTTTGTCCTTCCACCTTCTGCCAAGTGAGGACATAAGGCACCACCTTGAAGCAGAGCAGCTCTTACCACTCAACTTGCCAGCACCTTCATCTCAGACCTCTCAGCCTCCAGAACCGTAGGAAATGTTTCTATTGTTTATAAATGACCCAGTCCCAGGTATTTTGTTATAGCAGCACAGATGGACAAAAGCCAGTGCTTAATGTAGCCCCCAGCCTAGCTCTACCCTGCTGCAGCCAGCTTCTGCAGTAACAGGAATGCAGAGTGCAAACTTCCACAGGCTCTTCTGGACCACTGATTGACCCCTTGTAGACAAAAAAACCAGAAGGGCTTCACCTGTTGCTTTGGTGGAATCTTAGTCCACATTCTCTACCCATCTGGACTAAGGCTTACTGCATTTCCATCAAATCAGTATGAGAGCCTATCAGACAAAAGGCATTTTTCCCTGGATGGGGAGGTTGAAACAATGAGCACCTGGTGGTCACAGAACACTCTGCAGACTGCAGTTTACATTACTGGCTGTATGGAGCTTCTGTTGCTTCTAGATTCACTTCTCCATCATACCTGTCCTCTGCAGCTGATTGTGGATAGTGCTCTACAGCCTACATTAAACCTTTGTTCAGATGACATGAGATCATTTCCCAAAGGGGAAGGAAGGCACAGGCATGAAAATGCTACTGTTTTATGAAATGACAGGGCAATGGGAGAAGGAAATCAAGAGCCCAAAGAGTGAGGACCTCTGCTGTAGACAGCTGCTTGTGAGGGGGTTGGCTGGCTCTGTCCTCTTCACAGCCTGCAGGCCAGTGCTTGCTCACCAGCCCATGTGGACAAGCTGGCCTGGCCTTCACACAGGCCTGGGCCACGGCAAGAGCACAGCAGGATCAGCTCAGGCAGTGCCTGAACAGGAAGGGCCTGGGGAGGAGCCAGGTCCTGCTTCATACCAGTGAAAACCGGAAGGGCTTTGCAAATGGTTAGGGGTTTGTCTTTTCACACTATGGAACCCTCAAATATCTGTCATCGATGCAAAGGAAGGTTCTCAAGAATTTTATTATAAAACAGAACAATGACACAATATAAGCTTACACATTAATATTTACATTATATTCAAAATATATTACAGCTTTAATTTATGAACAGAAATATCCTGTCTTTTCTTCTTTTTCTTTTCTGTTTTCTTTGCATCATTGATTTGCATTTTTACTTGATCTTGTAATTTAGAAAAGAATGCTTGAGAGGACTTTAAGGCCTTGTCTTTACCTTCATCCTGCAATTAAAAACACCACATGCTTATGCTGTAAAATGTACTTATAAGTGAAAAAAGCCAAAAATAGTACATCACCATTACAACAATGTATGCAACCATAAATATGAAAAAGGACTAGAATTACAGAAAACTGAATCAGTTAGCATAGAGGTATTCTGCACTGCTACAATGTTCTTATAATCTAAGAGAGAAAGGAGTGGAAGACAAGCTGCTGCCAGGACCCAGGTTATTGTGAGGACCCTACATGAAAAATTCTAGAACATTAAAGGTTGCGATTCCAGCCAGTCAGCATCATGCATCTCTATCCCGCAGGTGGGCTGTCAGCTGGCTCAGACATTCCAGTCACCCAGCACTTGCTATCCACTTCCCCCACAAAGGTCCCCTTGAGCAGTTTTCTTTCCCTTGTCCTTACCTTTATGAAGGAAGCTTTGCCAGTTTTGGTCAGCTGTTTTAACTTCTCCGAAGCTACTGTTTTGCTGTATTTCCCTGCTTGATCTACACTGCTCTTTTCAAGCAGTTTTCTCCGCTTCTCCTTCTCTTTTATTTTCATACGCTTTTGATATTTCTTTTTCCTTCGCTCTCGTTTCTTGTCTGTAGCTGTTTTTTCAGCAGCTGTTTTTATATCTCCAGCTTTATTTTTCTCCTATTAAAAAAATAACCACCAACATATTCATTCATCAAGTTTAACAACTAGGAAACTGGAATGGAAGAAACTGCAGGGTAGCCAGCAAGCAGGCTGTGCATCTGTGGCCAAATGCACAAAGATGCAGAGCAATCCCCACCTGCATTCCAATGAGCGTTGGTAACTCAGCTCTTTAAAACCTGAAATGCATTCTTTGACAGGCACAGACTCTTATAGTGACGGTTCAGTTCCCAAACTAATTCACAAGAAGGCAACATGGAGAGTTGGGTTCTCAACCTAACAGCACAAGAGGAGCCAGCCCTCCACAGCATTTAGATTCCAATGGGCTTCAGGGACATGCCAGAGGCAGCCTCAGCTCTGAGCTGCTAATGACAGCAACTGGACTGAGGCCAGAGGGCAGAGACCAAGGAACAGAGGAAGGGAAGGGAAACATCTCTCTAGTGAGGATCAATTCTATCTCTTTTCTCCTCAGCTGCCAGCCTATCCTGCCAGGGCTGTCACCTGCACTGAGGTGGCAGAGGCTCAGACAGAAGGGGTGAGTGTAGGTGTAGCAAATCAAGTGAGGAGGGAAAAAGAAGGCCCTGCTGCTAAGCCAGCCAGGAAGATGAGCACCTGGCAGAAACCATTATTACTGTGTAAGGCATAAGCTTCAATGTTCACATGGCAGGGATTGCTGCATTTGATATATCTAGCCTCTTCTGATAACCAAATGCTCGATTCTAGATTCAGATTCCATTACTAATTAGCATTACATGAATAAAATAAGGGGGAAATGCTGACACTAAACTATTGCTAGTATATATGCAATGCAAGCCATTTGTTTTCAACTTAACATCACTGCTAGTATTCAGATTGGATTATAATAAGATATTGATACTAGCTATTTTAAAACTGCTCTTACAGTAACTCTCAAACCTGTACCTCATAATAAAGCCAGAATATAGGAGACTGGTATTTGAATATTATAACATTACTAGTTTGCTTATACTTAGAAACTGCTGAGATACATTGGAATAAGAACTACAAGTGCAAGGCAAATGACGTCAAATAAATGGAGTCTGGCTATGATCAACTAACTTGTAACAGACATTTAAGGTTTCAACATTGGCTTCTTACCTTGATCTCCTCTGGGGCCAGGAGAGCTGCATCACTAACACTCACTGGGGCTACTTCCTCCATGGTTATGGCTGGCAGATTTGACACAACTTTAATCTCTGGTACAGGCTAGAAAAGAGATAATACATTCAATGGGAAGCCAGAAGGGACTCTAACACAAAATGTGTGAACTGTGAACCTATTAACTTAAAGTATAATATATAAAATACTTTATGGAGATTATCTTTTTTTCACTTGCTTGAAAGTCAGCAAACCTAATGGAGACTATTTAAAATGTTAGATATGGTGACAGCCAAAGTCCTAAGTGGACTGGCATGACGGCAGTGCTGAGGGGCAGCACTGCTTCAGGATCCCAGAGACCTGGGTATTTTAGGGTTTTCTGTCTCAAAACCATTCCAACAGCATGTATTTCTTTTTCTTTTTTTTTTTCTTTTGAGACAGAGCCTTGCTCTGTTGCCCAGGCTGGAGTGCACTGGCGCTATCTCGGCTCACTGCAAGCTCCCTCTTAAGGGTTCATGCCATTCTCCTGCCTCAGCCTCCCGAGTAGCTGGGACTACAGGCGCCTGCCATCACACCTGGCTAATTTTTTGTATTTTTAGTAGAGATGGGGTTTCACCGTGTTAGCCAGGATGATCTGGATCTCCTGACCTCGTGATCTGCCCGCCTCGGCCTCCCAAAGTGCTGGGATTACAGGCATGAGCCACCACACCCGGCGTTTTCTACATTTTTACATAACATTTCTGCCATCTTCAAACATCAGTTCTTCCATCTCTTCCTCAACTATTCCTATCTACCATGCATGTGGACATTCTCAAACAACCATTAATGCTGTTTGGTAAGATTTACTGATCTCTATTAATATTATCTTGACTTTGCTTACAGAAAAAAAAGCTAGCTCTAAGAAGTATATGGAAAAAGATGCAAGGAAAGATGCTTACGGGAACAAGAGTCAAAAATAGACTACTGATAAATTTCCTCATCTTTCAACTACTGAAAACATCTCTATAAACAAATATGAAATAATACTGAAAAACTCAAACAGTATCAAAATAAATCAAAGCTATCAATTACAAAAAGGGGGAAAGAATGCAATGTTAATTGAAGGACCATCTGCTTCAGATTTTTGTCTTTTTTTGAAAGAACTACCCAAGAAATCCAGTAATTAAAACAGGTTTCATACTGATCCTGCAACTAAAATGGTGACTATATATTGCAGTTACATTAGCATTCTTTCTTCCTTATCACCATCCTGTCCATGGAGTTATTTGCTCAAGGAAACTTCACAAAGAACAAAAACAAGCCATAAACACAATAGGATCCTGGATTCTAAGTGAGAGAAAAATGAGAGTGTGAAAGAAATCATTTCTTCCACTGGACCACTGTTCAACTGTTATTAAAAACACTGTGTTCCATTCTAGTGTTTAAAGAGAAATATGGAGAAAAAGAAGACAGTCCAAAAAGCCACAAAATGCTGGGCACGGTAACTCACGCCTGTAATCCCAGCACTTTGGGAGGCCAAGGTGGGCAGATCATTTGAGGTCAGGAGTTTGAGACCAGCCTGGCTAACATGGTGAAACCCCGTCTCTACTAAAAATACAAAAAAATTAGCCAGCCGTGGTGGTGCATGCCTGTAGTCCCAGCTACTCGGGAGGCCGAGGCAGGAGAATCGCTTAAACTTGGGAGGCAGAGGTTGCAGTGAGCCAAGATCATGCCACTGCACTCCAGCCTGGGCAACACAGTGAGATTCTGTCTCAAAAAAAAAAAAAAAAAAAGCCACAAAAAATAATGGCTGTGATTAGTAAATGGAGTCTACAGAGATGGTGTGAAATACCAACCTGAACATGAAAAAAGTAATATCAAGGGGAACCTACACTAGCAATTCTACATTTCTTAAGGGAAAAAAGAAAGGCTTTTCATTTGGGCACATAGACACATATACATTCACTTCTCCTTCACTTCCCAGTATTCCAAGGAATGTCTAAAGGCTTCCGTGTGTTAGATCCTAGCTAGTGCGAGGAACAGAGTGGAACAGTAGATGCATTTCGTGCTGCCTGAAGACAAGTAGAGAGCAATGAACAACTAGCGAATGACTGCAAATGTGCAATGCAGCTATGAGGAAAAGGAGCCAAGTGGTGAGACATGCAGCAAGGTGGGAAGGGGAGTCTACCCTAGGTAAGGAGCCAAGGAACATCTGCAAGGAGGGAAAGGCGTCTAGCCTGGGCAATAAGGAGCCAGCCATGCCAAAAAGGAAGTGCAGCCTACTGGGCCAGGGGAAGAGCACAGTGAGAAAGCGCAAGGGACTTGGCCTGCTCAAGGAATCAGAAGATCAGTGGGGGTGGGGGTAGCAAGCCAAGGGAGACCAAAGGGGTGGGAAGAGCCAGATCACACAGGTAAGGCCCAGAAAGGCCCACGTCCTTCATCTCAGTAAGACCTGCTGGACAAGAGGAGTTGAGAAATTCCACTCATCTCTTCACCTGTTTATTTTACACAGCCCATAGCAGGGACTTTGGGAATCTAAAGATGGTTCCTGCCATCAAGAACTTACTTGCATGTAATTACAACTGGATTAAAAGCATACATATATACCAAAAAAAAAACCAAACAAACAAAAAAAAACAACCAGGTTAAAAAAGCTTACTGTCTGAGAAGATAAAATATTTGCATGGGAATCACCTAGCCATCAACTAATAATAAAGGATCTTGGAGATTAGCTCTTCGGTACAAATGAAACGTAAAGCGATTGCCTGCATCATAAAGCTAGTTAGGAGCAGAACTCAGCTCAGGTTCTGACTTCTAGACTAGTCTTTAATTCATGACATTCCATTTCAGACAACAACACAGGCACCAAAGGGCAACAGGTGAACAAGTACCAAAGGATGGTACAAGCATGTTTTATGGGTTCACAGAAGCTGGTAAGCAGGAGATGAGGCTCCAAGGAATAGACAGGTAGAGCCAAGTCTGGGTGACAGACAGACAGGGGAGGAGCATTTGAGAGGGCTGGGCCTGGTGAAGGAACATCATGCGGAGACAGCTGGGCCCAGAGTTAGTTCTCACTCTCCCACCTCCTAAACCTTGGTTTTCTCCCCTGTGAAATGGAAACTATAGTACCTGCCTCAGTGTTGTGTGCATTAAGTGTTAGTGTATGTAAAGAACCTAATATGACACATAGCAGATACTCCATAAATGCTGGTATAGATATCCATACATCTCCAAACCCATTATACAATGAAAATGCAACAGAAGACTGAGAGGGTAGGGAAAGGAGGAGTCCCTGTGGCTACGGCTGAGGATCTTTTAAAGTGTGAGGTAAGTTAAAACAGTAAGAGGCAGTACTAGCATGATGCCTGACCATGCCCAGCCCCAGCTGGCAGGGGCTCACTGAAGATCTGGGTAGAGCCAGAACTGTCATGGGACCAGAAGTGAGCTTTCCTCATGGAGACCCTGCCTGGAATTTACAGCAAACTACAAGTTTGTATCCTGAAACAAAATAAAGAGCTAGTCTCACAAAGGATCAAAGCTATGAAGGTCACCCTGCTCTAGCTACACACTGAACTGTTAACACACTTACCGGTTTAGGGATAAAGTGGAAGTTTGAGAGGGCATCCAATTTTAAGAAGAGGGAATCCATCATCTTCTGAATTTCTACATGTTCTGGATTTTCTTCTTCTGCTGTTTTTTGCTTAGGAAATAAGTTCAACAATGTCAAACTAAGCGACTTGATATATATCACAGGACAAAACACTAAAGGTCAATGAGAGTATTTCTAACTTCTCATCACTAAAGCTTCAGCTACAAAGAAACATTCCAAAAGCAAAATTAAAAGCAGCAGTACCATGAGGGTTCCAGCACCTACCAGAGATGTGATGTGCATTTTAGGAGCTACAGTAACCATTACCTCTAATACTCAGAACTTAAAAATTTAATTACCTTGGTATTTACTTCTGTCAAAAACTAAGCTATTCCTAAGATGGCTACAGTTGTTTTTAAAAGGAAAATAGCAAGTGATAACAAGTGTTGGCAAGGATGGAGAAACTGGAACCCTTGTGCATTGTTGATAGGTAGGAATGTAAAATGATGCGGCCACAGTGGCAACAAGCTTGGCAGGTCTTCAAAAAGCTACACAGAGAATTACCATCTGACCCAGCAATGCCACTCCTAGGTGTACAACCAGGAGGATTAAAAATAGATACTCAAACAAATACATGTACATGGCACTATTAACAGTCAAAAGGTGGAAACAGCCTGAATGTCCACCAGTGGATAAGCAGATAAACTGTGGTAAATACACACAACGGAATACCGTGTAACCATAAAAAAGAAATGAAGCACTGACAAATGCCAGTCTTGAAAACACAACACTAACTGAAAGAGGTCAGAAATGGAAGGCCACATATGGTATGGTTCCATTTATATCAAATACTCAAAATAGGCCAATCCACAGAGATAGAATGCAGACTGGGGTTTGTTGGGGCTGGGGCAAGTGAGGAAAGGGTAGCAACTGCTTAATGCGTATGGGGCTTTATTGTGGGCTGATAAAAATGTTTTAGAACTAGAGAGAGCTAGTAGTTACATAACACTGTCCTAAATGCTCCCAATTTGTTCACTAAGTGGTTCATTTTATGTTATATAAATCTCACATCAATTAAAAAGAAAAAAAATGGCCCAGCATGGTGGCTGGCTGGGCGCGGTGGCTCATGCTTGTAATCCCAGCACTTTGGGAGGCCGAGGCGGGAGGATCACGAGGTCAGGAGATCGAGACCATCCTGGCTAACATAATGAAACCCTGTCTCTACTAAAATACAAAAAATTAGACGGGCTTGGTGGCATGTGCCTGTTACTCAGGAGGCTGAGGCAGGGGAATTGCTTGGACCCGGGAGGCAGACGTTGCAGTGAGCTTAGATCACGCCACTGCACTCCAGCCTGGCAACCGAGCAAGACTCCGTCTCAAAAAAAAAAAAAAGAAAAAAAAGAAGTAAAGTGTTAATATAGACTTCATAAAATTATCCAAATACCCATTTGGATGGTAGGGACTTTTTTGTTCTTTTATTTACATGTAATGTGTTAAAGATTTATTCTCACAAATCACATTGAAAAAACTGACAGCAATTTTAATTCTACTGAAGAGAAAAAGAAAATTTCATGCTTCTCTCTCTGTCCCCTTTGGCCCCAAATGCTTATTCTAAATGCCTAAGAGGGCTTTTTGTTTGTTTGTTATTAAGACATGAAAAAAAGAAACCCACCAGAACTAGGAAACGATAGGCTCTTTGCCTCCTGATCCTGATGACAGAGATGCATTCAGGTCTGTTTCCAATGTCCATCATCAGCACCCACCTTCCAGCCATAGTCAGGCATCACGCTACTACTGCTTACTATTTTAACGTACCTCACACTTTAAAAAATCCTAAACATGTCCTTTCACCTCATTCTAGGTAACAATATCTGTAAAATCAAATATGTAGCTATATATTGGCTACACAGCATTTTTCTGAGCCACATTACATACACAAATGTGAGTAAAGGGTCCTACATGTGCTGTTTACCATCATTTCACTTCTAGAACTAGCCTAGCTACTAGAACTCCAAGTCCATCCTCAAAAACTTCTGAACTGGCTGTTGACTTCTAAGAGAGAAATGAAACTAACATTTAGAGCTGGCATAAGCTATTGCATTACCTATCTAATTTTTAATTCTCGTGGTCATCAAATACCTTCTGTATCTACCCAATCTCCTCAAAGATTCAAATGAAACTGTACACATCCTCCTTCAGCTACCACCTTGGATTGCAAGGCAGCCAGGAAGAATTTTAATTCAAATCTTTTCAGTTCTTCAGTTTCACAGTGGCATCAGGGCAATTTGCTGTTGCTAACTGAGGGGCATTCATTAACAAAATCTGGTGGGAATCGTAAATGGCTTTTGCAGAAGAAAAATGCCATCTGATCCCTAAGTACCCACATTCCCAATAAATCAAATGTGAAGGAATAATTCGATTATTATATCAGCATATAATATTCCTAGGAATAGGACCTTGTCCTATTATTTAACCAGCGATTTCTTCCTTTCTTTCTTTCTTTTTTTGAGATGGAGTCTCACTCTGTCGCCCAGGCTGGAGAGCAGTGGCGCGATCTGGGCTCACTGCAACCTCCACTTCCCTGGTTCAAGCAATTCCCCTGCCTCGGCCTCCCAAGTAACTAGGATTACAGGCACATGCCACCACGCCCGTCTAATTTTTTCGTATTTTTAGTAGAGATGGGGTTTCACTATGTTGGCCAGGCAGGTCTAAAACTCCTGACCTCAAGCAATCCGCCCGCCTCAGCCTCCCAAAGTGCTGGGATTACAGATGTGAGCCACCATACCCAGCCCAGAGATTTTAGTTAAGTGAAAGAAAAAACAGACCTAAAAATCAGAATGAATTCATAATCATGTAAAATATATCAGTTACTTCAAAATATCAATGAGAAATGCTTTTAAAGTTGTAGCACCACCATAATTGCTAGAAAGTTAATGAGTTGTAAAAGTATCAGGTGACCAAAGTCTAATTGCAAAGCAACCCCCCTCAACCCCTCACATCCAGCGGGAATATTAGAACCCTTCTATTCCTAGCATGCTCTGTCTCATACTTACATGAGGTAGCCAAAGAGCTCAAGATTTCTGTTTCACGATTTCAACAGTCACAAAAAGCCTAGTTCTCTACTTCTATTTCTTTAATAATAATGGCTTGGCCTTACAGGCTTCCTCACCTGGTTGAGTTTGATGTACTCCTGTTCATAAATTTCAGCAAGGCTCAATTTACTCTTCTCATGGTCTAAGGTTAAACGCTTTTTATATTCATATGCATCCTCTTTAGGTTTTTCTTTACGTACTACATCATCCCAAGCCTGAAACATAAAGTGCAGGTAGAACATAACAAAACCTACAATTTATTTCTAGGTTCACTTAAGAATCTTCCTCTGGAATATTATTATAATAAATATTATCAATATATTAATAAATTATCATTAATATATTAATAGTAAATTATATCATTGTTATAATAAATATTTATTATTACTTATTACAGAGTAAGCAAATTATAGCAAAAAGAAAATTTTCAACTCCTGAAATAACTATTCAAGTCACAAAGAATAAACATTAGGAAAGCAAAGAAACCATTACTCAAATATCTTTTTCTGTTTTAAATGAGTCTTCCTACCTGGTTACCAACTTTAATTCCACATTTCCCCATCACAGTTTGTTTAAAAGTCAAGCCTTGAGTTAGTTTATCATGTTTCATTTCAAATTTTAAGATGTTCTGCACATGATACTCACCCTTTAAACCCTTTCTATTTTAGACCCACAAGTGTAGGCAAACATTATACACATGTTATAAGGCCATCTCTTACTGTACATGCCATATATCTAAGTTTTATTCTAAGTTTACAAAATCAGATCAATTCTTCAACAAAAACCACTAGGTTTTTAACATTTGAAAAAAATACACCATTGAGAAATGGTTTTAAAATTGTAGAACTACCACAATGCTAGGGTTTGAATGTCCCCTCCAAAACTCATGTGGAAACTTAATCCCTGATGTGGCAACACTCAGATGTGGGGCCTTCTAGGACGTGACTGGATCACCAGGGTTTTGCCCTCATGAATGGCAGTTGCATTTATGGATTAATGGGTTATCATCAGTGGGGGAATGGTGGCTCTTAAGAAGAGCAAGAGACACCTGAGCCAGCATCTTAGCATGCTCAGCCCTTTCACCATGTGATGCCCTGCACCACCTTGGGACTCTGCGGAATCCCCACTGGTAAGAAGGCCCCTCGACCTTGGACTTCTCAGCCTCCATAACTGTATTCCTTTTAAGTCACCCAGCTTCAGATATTCTGTTATAAGTAACAGAAAAAAGACTAGGACATATATACTGAATAATTTACCACACCAGATACTGTGCCTAAGCCAAGGGTTCTGGGTGCAACCATCACAGGTCAGCCACCAGCTTCACTGAGCACCGCCCAAAAGGTCAGCAAGACTCACGAGAAAGGATAATGGCTTCTTGCTCCTCTCAGGCACAATACTCGTCTTTCCTGGATACTACTGAAGAGCAGTACCTCACACAACAAAAGCTGACTAGGTAGCCTAGATTTAAGGTTTGTGAACACTAAGTGAAAATAAAAAGCAATAGTCCTACTCTCAAAGTACTCTCACATTATTTCTAAAAATCTTGGTGACATTTTGATTAAGTTAAATTTAATTCTTACTGACCTGATCTCTTATCCTCTGTTTAATGATATCTTCCAGTTGAAGGGTGGTTTCCTCTGTAATCACAGGTGCTAAAGGATATACAACGTTTATTCATTAGGTAGATATCCACTAGACCATTGATTCAGTGCAGTCCTTGGACCCACAGCATCAGCAACACGTGGGAACTTGTTAGAAATGCAAATTCCTGGGCCACCCCCATACTTCCTGAATCAGAAAGTGGGGAAGAGGGACAGCTATCTGTGCTTTAACAAGCCTTGTGATGCTCCCTGAAGTTTGAAAACCACAAAACTAGGATACATATGGTAGTAAGTGCTAATACTTTACCCAAGGTACCCAGGGACTCTTCCCCTCTTTTCCATTCTCTCTTCCATTGAAATAAAATGAAAACTCATTTTGATGTAATGGGTACAAGAAAGAAGTCAATGAGATGACCACAGTTTCAGGTTGAAGTTCAAAATTTAATCAGTGGACCATGACAGGATGCAAGCCTTCAAAACAGATTACTACAAGAAAGCTGATTACAAACTATACATTAGGTATCATTAGCGTATTGTTAAATTTTTTGGGTGGATTAATGGTACTGTGATTACATAGGAGAATGTCCTAGTTCTTAGACGATATCTGCAAAAGTACTTAAAAGTGAAGTGCCATGAGATTGGCAACTTACTTAAAAAAAGGGCACATATACAATCTTACATATGCTAGGGAGAGAAAGCAAATATAACAAAATGGTAACTGGTGAATCCAATTGAATAGCATATAGGTGTTCACTGTAGTATTTTTTCAACTCTTCTGTGTTTATAAGTTGATTTTTTCTTTTTTGACAGAGTGTCGCTCTGTTGCCCAGGCTGCCCACGCTGGAGCACACTGGCACAACCTTGGCTCACTGCAACCTCCCCTTTCTGGGTTCAAGCAATTCTCCTGCCTCAGCCTTCCGAGTAGATGGGATTCTGAAATCTGCCACCGTATCTGGCTGATTTTTGTATTTTTAGTAGAGACGGGGTTTCACCATGTTGGCCAGGCTGGTCTCAAACTCCTGACCTCAGGTGATCCGTCTGCCTCGGCCTCCCAAAGTGCCGGGATTACAGGTGTGAGCTACCATGCCAAGCCATGTGTTTACAAGTTTTTAAAATAAAAAGTTGAGGGAAAAGAAACACCACCCCAAATCTTTGTATGAAATGGAACCATGGAAAAAGCACAGACATGAAAACTACAGAAGAGGGCACCATACCCATCCGGACAGCATGGTCAAAGTGTAGGGTCTCCTCCAGGAGGCTGTTCTCTGGCCTCTTCTGTGCTGTCACTTCCCCCTGAAGCTGCCACGGCTTTTTTTCTAACAACTCTTTTTCTAAAGATGCAATTTTTTCATTCATCTAAGAAAGAGATAAAATAACTAGTATACATTTAGAAAATAAAATCTTATATTTGTGTAAAAGCAAAAAATAATTTAAAAAGTGGGAAAGCAAGAAACGTACTGTTCTACGATTCTGTTCTTGCCATCTTTTTATTCTGTCGATGACTTCCTATTTCTGCTGCCTATGGTGGGGTGAGCTGCAAACAATTTCTTTTCCTGATTAATTTAAAATGCCATGTTTATAATATACTAAACGCCCCCAGAAGCTTTTGAGTTTGTTTCTGGGCTCTATTCTATTCAAGTGATCTATCTATTCGCAAGTCAAGTAATTCTTTGATTAGAATATTAGTATCTGATGGAGTCTGACCCTTTTGACTCCAAACTCAAATTCTTACTCTAACTTCTTTTTTTAAAATTTTTTTGAAGCAGAGTCTCGCTCTGTCGCCTAGGCTGGAGTGCAGTGGTGTGATCTCAGCTCACTGCAACCTCCGTCTCCTGAGCAATTCTCCTGCCTCAGCCTCCCGAGTAGCTGGAATTACAGGCGTGTGCCACCACGCCCGGCTAATTTTTGTATTTTTTAGTAGAGACGGGGTTTCACCAAGTGCTGGGATTACAGGCGTGAGCCACCATGCCTGGCCATTATCTCTAACTTTTAAAAGACAACAATGATGACTTCAGTGTATAAAATGCCAGCCTTTTCAGCTACCTTACAGAATTCTCTTATTTTCCTAATATCAATTCAGTTTATCCATTCGGTTTCCTCTCCAAATACCAACACTTTCATTTTTCACTCTTAGTGGAATATAAATACATCTGCAGTATTCCTAATCTTTTTTTTTTTTTTTTTTTTTTGAGACAGTCTCGCTCAGTTGCCTAGGCTGGAGAGCAGTTGCGTGATCTCAGCTCACTGCAACCTCCACCTCCTAGGCTCAAGCAATCCTCTTACCTTGGACTCCCAAATAACTGGGACCACAGGCGCGTGCAACCACGCCTGACTAATTTTTGTATTTTTTGTAGAGACGAGGTCTTACCATGTTGCCCAGGCTGGTCTCGAACTCCTGAGCTCAAGCAATCCTCCTGCCTTGGTCTCCCAAAGTGTTGGGATTACAGGCATGAGCCACCGCACCTGGCAGTTTTCCTCATCTCTTATCTTTATCTTTTGTAGTTACACTGGCCTATGCGTCTAAAAGAATGTTAATCAACAGTGGTAATTGTAATACTGGACATCTTGTCTTATTCCTGATCTTAAAGGGATGTTTCTAGAATGATGCATGCATCATGCATGATGGCAGTTTTTGGCTTAAATGTATTTATATTCCGCTAGGAGTGAAAAAAAAAATTAGAAATGAATATTGAATTTTATCAAATGTCTTTCTGACATATATGGAGGTGACTATATGTTTTTTCTCCTTAATGTCTTGCAGTCAGGAATCATACTAGATTTTCTAATACTGATTCAAGAGAATAAGGTTCATGCAGTTGTGTGGCATCATTTTTCCACTGTGCTGTAGGATTTTTGCATCACTGTTCATGAATGAGACTGTGCTCTGTGTGTGTGTGTGTGTGTGTGTGTGTGTGTGTGTGTGTGTGTGTGTTTTAATGCTACCTCTGTCAGGTTTGGGTTTTCATGACCTAACAGTTTCAAAAAAAAAAAAAAAAAGGTTGAAAGTTCTACTTTATTCTTTATATGTGGAAATTGAAATAAATTATTTTTGATTTATTGAAACTTAACTTGAAGGTCTGATATAATTTCACAATAAAACCAAACCTTTCTTTCTTTATTTGTTGGGGAAGGGCGGGAGGAGTGGGGTGGAAGGATACTAACTCATTGATATTTTATAATGGTGCTTTTTTTCCCTTAGAATTTCTCTATCTTCTGGGGACAATCTGACAACCATGGATTTAATTCAGATTCTTAGATTTTAAAAACAATTCTTTTGATATTCTTGGTATCTTTCATTCTCTGCCTGTTCTCTTTTTTTTTTTAATTTTTTCAGACAGTCTCTAGCTCTGTTGCCCAGGCTAGAGTGCTGTGGTGCAATCATAGCTCACTGCAGCCTTGAACTCCTGGACTCAAGAGATCCTCCCCCATCAGCCTCTCGAGTAGCAAAGACTATAGGCACACACTACCATTCCCAGCTAACTTTTTTAATCTTTAGTGGAGACGGGCTTTTGCCCTGTTGCCCAGGTTGGTCTCGAATTCCTGGGCTCCAAACAATCCTCCCTCCTCAGCCTCCCAAAGTGCAGGTGTGAGCCACTGTGCCTGGCCCTATTCTCATTTTTATTGTGATAAAAATTTTAAGGTAAATAAATGATAGAGCCAAATTATTAGAGCCAGACTACATCTACAAAAATTTAATGAAATTTCACTTGTCTGAAATCATGACACAAAGAAACAATTTTTACCAACTTTGAAAGATATGTTTGTGATGGTATAAATTAAAATTCTGGCTATTTGGCACTCACAAAAATCTGTGGAGCACCTTAAAGACATAGGTGGTATCCGCTGGGCGCAGTGGCTCACGCCTGTAATCCCAGCACTTTGGGAGGCCAAGGTGGGTGGATCACCTGAGGTCAGGAGCTTCAGACCAGCCTGGCCAACATGGTGAAACCCCGTCTCTACTAAAAATACAAAAAAATTAGTTGGGCGTGGTGGCGGGCATCTGTAATCCCAACTACTCAGGAGGCTGAGGCAGGAAAATTGATTGAACCTGGGAGGTGGAGGTTGCAGTGAGCTAAGATCACGCCACTGCACTCCAGCCTGGGTGACAAGAGTGAAACTCTGTCTCAAAAAAAAAAAAAAAAAGAAAAAGAAAAAGAAAAGACATATGTGGTATCCTCCAAAACAGTGGAAACAGTTAAGATGCTCACAGGACAGCTTTATCAGGAGAGACATGCTATACATATAAAGATATTAGGGACAGAGAAAAAAACAATTATCTTTAAAAATTTTTTTATTTTTGAGACAGAGTCACACTCTGTCGCCCAGGCTGGAGTCCAGTGACACCATCTCGGCTCACTGCAACCTCCGCCTCCTGGGTTCAAGGGATTCTCCTGCCTCAGCCTCCCGATTAGCTGGGATTACAGGTGCCCGCCACCACACCTGGCTACTTTTTTTTTTTTTTAGTAGAGATGGGGTTTTACCATGTTAGCCAGGCTGGTCTCGAACTCCTGACCTGAAGTGATCCACCTGCCTCAGCCCCGAAAAGTGCTGGGATTACAGGCATGAGCCACCACGCCCAGCAGAAGCAACTATTTTACTCACAGGCCCCAAACTGAAATGCAGGCACTGATTTTGCAAATCAGATGCTTTCCATATGGCAAGATTTTTGGTTTTTTGTTTTAAGACAAGGTCTTGCTTGCCGCCCAGGCTAGAGAGCAGTGATGCAATCTTAGCTCACCGCAGCATCAACCTCCTAGGCTCAAGTGATCCTCCCACCTCAGACACCAGAGTAGCTGGACTACAGGCACACATCACCATGCCCAGCTAATTTTTGTATTTTTGGTAGAGACAAGGTCTCACTATGTTGCCTAGGCTGGTTCTGAACTCCTGAGCTCAAGCGATCCTCTTGCTTTGGACTACCAAAGTGTTAGGATTACAGGCGTGAGCCACTGCACCTGGCCAAGATATTTGTTTTCAAAGGATGGTTAATAGTTTTCAAAGGATGGTTAATATCAAGTATATTAAAAATTCCTTAAATTACTAATTACCTTTTCCTGTCTTTTTTCAAAGGAGGATTTAACTTCATCAGAATTTTTCTTTACATTTAAAACACCTGTATCTTCAGTTTCCGCATCATCTGGTAAAGCAAAGGTCACTCTTTTCAAGCTTTCTTTATGTTGTTTATTGTCTTCATTTTCTTGAAGGTCATCATCTTCATCCCTACAATACCAAAACTCTTATAAAAAGAAATATACTACTTTCCATTAGAAAAACAAAAGGAAACAAATTTTCCCTTAATAAAGTTCTTATTTTATATACCTAATGCAACCAAATACTCAGAACTTCCAAAATCATTCAGTTATTAAGGAACAAAAGGTATTATTTAGGTAAAACGCTATGTAAGAAACAGAAAAAAAAGTGTCCAACATATAGAAAATAAATTATTCATCAATCTATAATACAAATCTCTTATCTCACAAAAATAACAGGATTTTATTGACACAAAACCAAATCAAAGTTCCTGGTAAGGAAGGTTTGATTGCTACTACCAGAGATATTTTTCTTCATTAAGTGATCTCTAATGTCCCTTTACAGTCAGAGACTTTCCTCTGGCTATCTTGAGAATATCTGATATTAGAGAATAGAACTTGCTAAGACAAACACATTTGATAACTACGAGTACACACACATGATTGGGCAATTCCAGCTTACAATGTAAAGGATGGTTCAAAATACTCACGTTTCCGAAATACTTAGTTCTTCTGCTTCTTCTTCAGCAATTTCATCATCTTCTTTGTTTGAATCCAGCTCATCATCATGAACATTTGTTATGTCTTCATCACTTTCAACTGGATCAAAAAAATCTTTGTATTTCAGATTTCTGGAACTTTTACCTGACTAAAATAAAAAGATATTAAAAACTATTAATTAGGGATAGAAAAATATATTAACACATGCATATAGATTTGCATGTATATTGTATGTATATATTACTTTCTGACTTAATAACACTACAAGCTAATAACTAATAACCAAACTAATAACTAAATAATTATTAGGTGAAAATGGCAACTAATAACACTACCACAAAATTATAAGACCAACTGGAACATAAATTGAATGGAAGTACAGATTCATTTATAACTGATAAGATAGAGCACAATATTTCTTATCACTAAATCTTCTAACTACAATTAAATCTCTCCTAGAAAAACAGAAGAAAAGCTAATTTGAGGAGGAAAGTGCTCTCTCTTCTCTCAAAACTTTACCTTAAGTTTTTTACTTCCAAACAGTCCCCCTTCATCTTCATCAGAATCAATATCTTCAAAAAAATCAATATCTTCCTCCTCCTCATCATTATCATCTTTTCGTTCCTCTTCTTTTTCTATGTTTTCTAAATAGGCCTCCATTTCAGAGAGTTTGAAGAATTTATCATCTACTATGGACTTTTCTCTTGGTTTTCCCTGTCCTTTGTTTTGCACCTTGCTCTGCTGTTCCAATTTGCTGATATCAAAGTCAAGGTCAGAATCCTCATCACTGAAAACGGGGCTTTTCCTCAGATCAGATTTGCTTGAGTTTTCAGCTCTCTCACCCATTTCAGGATCATCATTACCCATGTCGGACACTTCCTCCTCCTCTAAATCTTCTAGGTCCTCCTTGTCATCAGCCTCTATCTCTGAACCATCCTCTTCACGTTCCTGTTCTTCACTCTCTGGGAGAAGACTGATATCTTCATCATTAATTGTTTCACTAACTGCATTCTGAAAGTATTGTAAAATTGGTTCATTTTGCAATTCCAGTTGTTGCCAAATCTGCTCATCATCAAAATTTTCTATCACAAGTTTTTGCAAGGGGCTTCCATGGATCCTACCATTCTCTAATATTTTATTAAAGTCATAAAGCACTTTTGTTAAAGAAGTGAACTTTGATGCCAATCCCTCTTGAATCCTATTGGGAGGAATTAAGTGAGATTTAGAATTACAGGTAATAATTTCACAGCACTCTTAATAAAAATAAAAAAAACCCAACTCTTTTGTAAAATAAAATTTGAATGAAGTATAAGTATAGATTCTGGCCCCCAACAACATATAAGCTGATGAGCTACACTGATATATAAAACCTGTCAACCAAGTATCTGTGAATCGGCTGTATAGATTTTAGGCAGGAAAACCATTATAAATCTATTTGCTTGGAGATATATAGTGAATTAACCTTAAATTATCAATTCTGCTACATTATATACCACTCCATTCATTTGTTCACTTATTCATTCAATGATCAACATTTGCTTTGGCTACAGTGGTCAAGGAAAACCTCTCTTAGATGTCACATCTGAGAGGAAACCTACAGATAAGGAGATAGTCTTATAAAGGTTGGGAAACATGTATTCCAGGCAGAAGAAATCCTCTAAGATGCAAATCCTCTAGAGGTGAGCTTGAGGAAACAAACAGGTGACCATGGCTAGAGTGTGAAGGAGGCAGAGGGTGAAGCTGGAGAGACTGATGGGAGCCAAATTATGCATGGTTCAGGAGTAAGAATTTGTCATTTAAAGTGTAAAGAGAAAACATTTTAAGCAGAGGGATGAAATGATGATTTACACGAAGGAAGGAGAAAGGGACGAGGGAGGAGGAGGAAAGTACAGTGATTAGAAGGTTGATGCAGCATTCCAGCGAAAGGATAATGGTGATTTAGACTGGAGTTAGAGCAGTGAATATGCTGAGTATAGTTTGGAGGTAGAACTGACAGGATTGCTAAAGAATTAGATATAGAATAGAGAAAAATGAAGACATTAAAGTAGCAGCCTAGTTTTATGTTTGAGTACCTGAAAAGACAGAAGTGCCATTTACTGAGATAGGGAAGGCTTGGGTGGTGGTGTCAGGCCTCTGAGCTGAAGCTCAGCCATTGTAACCCCTGTGACCTGCACATATATGTCCAGATGGCCTGCAGGAGCCAAGAAGTCTGGGGCAGCCGAAAAACCACAAAAGAAATAAAACAGCCAGTTCCTGCCTTAATTGATTAATCAACATTACAACATTCCTCCATTGTGACTTGTCCCTGCCCTACCTTAACTGATCAATCGACCTTGTGACATTCTTCTTCTGGACAATAAGTCTTATGATCTCCCCACCATGTACCTTGTGACCCCGTCCTCCTCTGCTAATAGATAACCACCTTTTACTGTAATTTTCCATTACCTACCCAACTCCTATAAAGCAACCCCTTCCCCATCACCATTAGTTGACTCTCTTTTCGGACTCAGCCCACTTGCACCCAAGTGAATAAACAGCCTTGTGGCTCACACAAAGCCTGTTTTAGTGGTCTCTTCACACAGACGCGCTTGACAGGTGTAGCATGGGAAAAGGACTTCAGGGGATGGCAGAGTATAGGTGGGTAGAAACAACAATTCTATTAAACAGACACAACAGCTCTATTTTGGACGCAGTGAATTTGAGATGCTTGACAGTACCAAAATTTTAAAAATCGTTAAAAGTTGTACAGTGTGGATATCCCAGTTGTGTGCTACGGAATTCAAACTAAGCTCAGTCTGTAGTTGCTGTGAGCTGGGAACTCAGGGAAAGGTTGGGGTTTGAAACATAAATGAGTAATAATTTCATAGATCACATTTTAAATTCTTCAACAAAATACATATAAAACGCTTGTGTTGGGAAGAGACATGGAAGTTCTATTTCTGAAGAAGCTTAGTCATGGGGGGTGGACAGACAAGTGACAAGTTCGTACTTTCAATAAAGTATGCTAAGCGCTAAGTGCTTTGAGAGCACATAGGAGGAAGGAGAAACCAACAGTCTGTGTGTAGAGGGATGGGGGCGTAAGAAGCCCAAGGGAAGCTTCTAGGTGTTAACAATTGAGGTTAGAGTGATTTCAGTAACACTCAACTGAGAGATCCATCTATACAAATTTTAACAGTTTTTAAAATTTTGATAGCCTAGGAAAGCATAAACTCTGAAATTTGGGGAAAAGCGATTTTACGTTTCCCCTTACCTTCCCCCAGCTCCACAATTTGCCGGAGGCCTGCAACCCGCGTCCACGTGAGACCCCGGTCGCACCCCGAGCCCGGGATCTGCGCACTTACGTGAGGAAGCACTCGGGCCGACCCGTGGCTTTGCCGACTTCCGTCAGACACCGCTCCAGGGTCCGTCGACGCCAGACCTGCGGCGCCATGGCTGTCAGCAACTCCCGACACAATGCAGCATGCAAGGGAAGGGAGCCGCCCGGAAACCGCGCGGCAAAGATGCGCCCAGCGCAACTTGGATTTCAGAGCCGAAAGTTCCGCGGCGCACAGGTTCCGGACTCGCCCTCAGCCAGAGCCAATGGCAGCGCGAGCGCTTTCGCAGGAGGGTGGGAAACAAAAATCTCCATGGTCAGCCCAAACGCCTTTCAACTCTCTCCAAACTTCGTTTTGTATTTTTCAGGGGCCCACAAAGGGTGACCCGTCCTGGCCTTACGTTTCTGTTTTAGCTAAAGTAGGCCCGTTGTAGCAGGAAAGCAGCGACCTTCGCCACGCCCCTGACCTTTCTGTCCCCGCCCCCTCTGCCTCCCGCCCCGCCCTCTGCCGCGCGTCTCTCAACCTCCGTGGCTAGTCTTGACGTGGCGGGTTGCTTTCCAAAATGGCGCGGGTGCTGAAGGCTGCAGCCGCGAATGCCGTAGGTGAATACCGGGCACCGGCGACCTTCGCCATGGGACAGGGAGCGTGGGAACGGCGGTCGGGGGCGGAGGAGGCCTCGGCGTGGCCAAAGCACCTTGATCTAATGTCCTCCCCCGGGGGCGCGTTCCACAGCAGCTGCTGTCACTTAGGCAGAGGGTGCCTTCCAGAAGCGCCACCGCTTAGTAGCGGGGATTGCCTTGTGCATGAGTCCCATTTCCATCCGAGAGCTGTGCGCCTTGGGCTCTGCACCTTCCAGTATGTGGGCGGGAGAGTCGAGGGAACTTGCCCGGCAGGTCAGGCAGGGCAGGGACAGAAGTAAATAGAAGCGGATCGGTAAGTTATTTTACCGCGCACCAATAAAGAGACTGGGGAGAAACCAGAAAGGAGAGCACGTTCCGTAAAAACAACAACTACTAGTCGGCCGAACTCCAAGCGTGACCAGCTTTCTGTTGGGAACACTCAAAGGTCAGTGGTGTAAAGAATACAAAAGGAGTGGTTTTTCCACGTGCACTAATATATTTATCGCGTACACAGATAAAAGCATGTGGATTTGGAAACTTTCTTGAGTTCTCTCCCCCTTCATTTTTTTTAAAATATGTACATAGAATCAGTTATGACAGAAATAACTGTAATAATTGTCACGTTTTCTGACTCACTTTCTCCTCTTTTTATCCTTTTTTTTTTTCTCTTCCTCCTTTTATGAGAGGGCAAGTATTTCCCTTAATCTGAGATTCCCTATTAGGAAGAAGGTGCCAAGTGGTAATGCCCCAGAGTTACTCCGGGACATTCGTGATAAATCCTTCTAGCACCAGAGCCCACATTCTTAACCGTAAGGCATACCTTCCTCTTAGGTGATACACAAGATAGGAACGTAAAACTATAAATAAATGAATATTTGGGAAAAGGCATTTTTATGTCTATTTTTAGAACTGCACACTTTAATGATTGACAGTTTGGGAAAAAGTATGACTTCCAACAGGTCATATACATACTGCAAGAACTCAATACAGATAAAGGTGCATGTTTGTTTTGTACTTACATACACATCTTGGCATAAAGGAAAAATGAAGACAGTGTATTCCAAAGATTGCCTTTGATTTGTCCTATTAAGATACTTGAAGCTTAATGTCTCCACTTGTGTGTGTGTGTGTGTGGTTGAATATACATAAAGTAAAATTTACCTTTTTTTTTTTTTTTGAGACAGAGTCTCACTCTGTCGCCCAGGCTGGAGTGCAGTGGCGTTAGCTCACTGCAACCTCTGCCTCCCAGGTTCAAGCCATTCTTCCGCCTCAGCCTCCCGAGTAGCTGGGATTACAGGCACCCGGCACCACGCCCGGCTAATTTTTTGCATTTTTAGTGGAGACGAGATTTCACCATGTTGGCCAGGCTGGTTTGGAACTCCTGGCCTCAGGTGATCTGCCCACCTCGTCTTCCCAAAGTGCTGGGATTACAGGCGTGAGCCCGTCTCTACTAAAAATACAAAAATTAGCCGGGCGTGGTAGCACACGCCTGTTATCCCGGGTACTCGGGAGGCTGAGGCAGGATAATCGCTTGAACCCGGGAGGCGGAGGTTGGCGTGAGCCAAGATCGCGCCACTGCACTCCAGCCTGGGCAACCAAAGCGAAACTCCGTCTCAGAAAAAAAAAAAAAATTGCTTTTTAAGACTGAATAATATTCCATTGTGTGTGTATACCACATTTTGTTTATCCATTCGTCTCTTGATAGACATTTGGGTTATCCCCACCTTTTGGCTATTGTAATACAGCTATGAACGTGGGTGTACAAATACTTCTGAATTCCCGCTTCTTTGGGGGTGTGTATACTCATAAGTGGAATTGCTGGATTACATGGTAATTCTATGTTATGGCCCCTCTTTTAAGGAACATAAAACTTCGCCGAAAAACAAAAGCACAGAAAAATCAGAGTGAACACGTAGAAAAGTTCTGAAAATGGAAATTGAACCTGTTAGGTGGGAGACAAGAATGACCAACTTACATGACTGCATAGGTTTACTTTCATTAATCGTCTGTAAATGGGCTAACAGAAATGTAATCTGTTTACTTACTGTAATGAATAAAAAAAATTGATCATAGTTTGAAACAAGTTGAAGATATATATATGGTGCTGTGAAATTAACTGGTCAAATGTTTAAGAGAAAACTTACCAGACTAACTTGAAAGCACTTCTAATGAATGACTTTCTAAATACGTATGTTTCCTCAAACCAGATATTCAGTGAAAATTCAGACTTATGTTCGGCCAGGCGCGGTGACTCACGCCTGTAATCCCAGCACTTTGGGAGGCTGAGGAAGGTGGATCACCTGAGGTCAGGAGTTCAAGACCAGCCTGGCCAACATGGCAAAACCCATCTCTACTAAAAATACAAAAATTAACCGGGCGTGGTGGCGCGCTCCTGTAATCCCGGCTACTCCGGAGGCTGAGGCAGGAGAATTGCTTGAACCTGGGAAGCAGAGGTTGCACTGAGCCAAGATTGCGCCATTGCACTCCAGCCTGGGCTACAGAGCCAGACTCGTTTCAAAAAAACAAACAAACTTATTACGTGTTCTAAAATTAGATTATGTGAAGGTCGCACAACTTTGCAAAGATGCAAAGAAATGAATTGTACACTTCAAATGGGTGAACTTTATGGTATATAAATTTTAAGTCTGTTTAAAAACTATTAAGAGATAAAGCTGTTAAAAAACCTATTACAAGTGATTATTCACTTTTATAGTACTTTTTATACAAATTTAACATCTAATGTCTTTAAATAGTAAGTACTCTTAATGCATTTGAGTATAGATCCTTGCAGCTAAACCTTTATGTATTCAGGGACAGTGTCTAAAAAGTGTGATCTGAAATAAATGCAAAATCTGAACTGAAAGAAATGCAATGTTGTTTTTAAGTCAGGACACTAAAAGTGATTAACGAGAATTGATATTGAAAGGAAGATTGGAATGAGAGTTAACATACACATCCGATTTTGATCTTTTACTTGTATACCAGCTTCCTGACATGTGAAAATAGTTTCTTTAATCTGTATTCATCTTTACATGCGTTTTTTATTAACACTTCTGTTTTTAAATATCTTATGCATTTATTTGCACATGGTTTTACACTGTAGTATATTCATGCAAAGCAACCTTTATTGGAATAATCACAAATTAAACATTGCAGAATTCAAAATAATGCAATTCTGCTGCACTATTCTGAAATGGGAGGCAGAGAAATCTAAAACTAAAGAGCTGTGAATTCCTGCTAGTTGGAGGGCAACCTGAAATAAAAATAGCTTTAAAAAGGTAGCTTCAGTGTTGGTAATCATTTTCATAATTTATGCATTTATTAAAACATCACATTGTATACCTTAAAGATACACCGTTTCTATTAGTCATCATACCTCAAGCTGGAAAAAAGTTTCTACAAGTCAAAGGAGAAATATAATAATTAAGAGTTCAATTCACAACAAACTTTTCAGGAACACATTTTTATTAAATATAAAGCTCTGTCTCTTTTTAACTCCTTTATTCAGTGTTCTCTACCCAGTTTGCTTGGTCTACACAATTTCACCTTTGGATTTTTATTGTTGGATCTTTTTTTTTTTTTTTTTTTTTTTTGGTAAAATGTACATAACAAAACCCTTTAAAAATGTACAGTTTAGGCTGGGCACAGTAGCTCATGCCTGTGATCCCGGCACTTTGGGAGGCCGAGGTGGGCGGATCACGAGGTCAGGAGTTCGAGACCAGCCTGGCCAACATGGTGAAACCCTGTCTCTACTAAAAATACAAAAATTAGCCGGGTGCGGTGGCATGCGCCTGTAATACCAATTATTCAGGAGACTGAGGCAGGAGAATCGCTTGAACCCGGAAGGTGGAGGTTGCAGTGAGCCGAGATCACACTATTGCACTCCAGCCTGGGTGAAAGAGCAAGAGTTCGTCTCAAAATAAATAAATAATAAAGTACAGTTTAACAGTAATTATTACATTCACTGGGTTAGTGCAACTATCACATTTGTCTATTTCAAAACATTTTCACTGGCCTAGTGCTGTGACTCACATCTGTAGTCCCAGCACTTTGGGAAGCCAAGGTCGGAGGATCGCTTGAGCCCAGGAGCAACATGGGCAGCCTGGGCAACATGGTGAAACCCCATCTCTACAAAACGTACAAAAATTAGCCAGGCATGGTGGCTCATGCCTATGGTTCCAGCTACTCAGGAGGCTGAGGTGGAAGGTATTCTTTTTTTGCAATTTAGTTTCAATTGTACATTTATGTATATGTGTACTCGGTTGTAATCCACTTGGATTTCATGATAACAATGAAACTTACTAAGTTTCTAACTTGGTTTGTTGTGAATATTAGATAGTTGGTGTAAAAAAATAAATACAGTGCCAGACAGTAGGTGCACAGTAAATTCAGGCCATTCTTGTTGTTAATGACATGCAATGACTGTTTGCTAAATGAATGGAATGCAGAGTTATCTGTGGAGATCAAGAAACTATCTGATGAGGACACAGCGACAGTGAATTTTAAAAATGCTAAAAACTGACTGGAATGGTGGCTTACACCTATAATCCCAGCACTTTGGGAGACCGAGGTGGGTGGATCACCTGAGGTCAGGAGTTTGAGACCAGCCTGACCAACATGGTGAAACCCCATCTCTACTAAAAATGCAAAAATTAGGGTGGGCACAGTGGCTCACATCTCTAATCCTATCACTTTGGGAGGCCGAGGTGGGTGGATCACCTGAGGTCAGGAGTTCGAGACCAGCCTGGCCAATGAGGCGAAACCCCATCTCTACTAAAAATACAACATTAGCCGGGCATGTGGCAGGTGCCTGTAATTCCAGCTACTCGGGAGGCTGAGGCAGGAGAATCGCTTGAACCTGGGGGGCGGAGGTTGCAGTGAGCCCAGATCGCGCCACTTCACTCCATTCTGGGCGAAATAGTGAGACTCCGTCTCAAAAAAAAAAAAAAATATATATATATATATATATATATTTATATATATACACACACATACACACACACACAAATTAGCTGGGTATGGTGACAGGCACCTGTAATCCCAGCTACTTGGGAGGCTGAGGCCAGTGAATCACTTGAACCCAGGAGGCAGAGGTTGCAGTGAGCTGAGATCGCACTGTTGCACTCCAGCACTCCGGCCTGGGCAACAGAGCATTAAAGAGTACTGTATGTACTCTTTTAATGTATATTTATACCTTTAATGAACTTATTACAAAATATAAGACAAAAAATTGGGTACAGGTAGAGAAATTGCTTGCTCTTATTAAATATATGTTGTTTCATTGTGAAATGCAGAGAATAGCAAGTAATGCTTAATATGCCACTATTTAAGTGTTACCAGTAAATATGAATTGTTATGAAAAAATGTTATCCTGTGTTTTAAATCTAACTGCAGCTCAGAATTAGCTTTTTTATTCCAGTCAGTTATTTGAATGGGCAGAGCAGAGTAATTCTGATGTAAGTTTTTCCATTTATCTCCTGGTTTCATTTCAATAATTAAAAAGAACAGATATATAAATAATGAATTTTTGCATGCATTATTTGTTTAGTTTTTAAAATTCAATTTAGAAGTGCGTTAATTCTCAAAAGAAGGATATCAATGGCTGTTCAATTTTTCAGGGCTTTTTTCCAGACTTCAAGCTCCCATTCCAACAGTAAGAGCTTCTTCCACATCACAGCCCTTGGATCAAGTGACAGGTTCTGTGTGGAACCTGGGTCGACTCAACCATGTAGCCATAGCAGTGCCAGATTTGGAAAAGGCTGCAGCATTTTATAAGAATATTCTGGGGGCCCAGGTAAGTGAAGCGGTCCCTCTTCCTGAACATGGAGTATCTGTTGTTTTTGTCAACCTGGGAAATACCAAGATGGAACTGCTTCATCCATTGGGACGTGACAGTCCAATTGCAGGTTTTCTGCAGAAAAACAAGGCTGGAGGAATGCATCACATCTGCATCGAGGTATTTTAATTATTTTAATGCCTGGTATTTTAAATCTCTCTTTTAAAAAATGTCTTCTACTTTTTAAGTCTATTTATGGTCACTGTCATTAGAAACTTTTGTAAAGTTCTTTAAGGAGAATGATAATATTCATCCTCCTCAAAGGTGGATCCTTACATACATTTCTTTTCCCTTTAGAAAATTCTAACATATAATATTAATGTATTTTTTTGAAGTCTGGATTCAGTGACCACTGTAAGTGCCACCAAAGTTAGCCACAATGTAGAGTCTGCTTTAGAATTGATCATGTTTGACCTCCCATGTAACAGGAATACAGCTGTTTTCACTGTCATAAGGCAATTAGGAGAAACAAATGAAAAGACTTTAAAGCTTTCAGTGTACATGCTAAGTATTCTTTATAACTCTTTTCTCTCTTTAAAATGCTAATAACTTCTTCGTTATTACAAAGTCAATACATTTTCAATTACTGTAATTTTTAAGATCTTCTGAATTGCACCTGCCAACAATTTTTAAAGGAATGTGAAGAAATGTTAGACAAGAAAAGTCCATTAGAGAACATTTCTATAGATGTTCATGTTCAGATAACTGCCTTTTAGAATATCAGCAATGACAATTATGCATCGATTTAATTTGCTAGGACAATTCTTTTTATAGAAAGAATGACATAATTGTTAAGCCAAATTTCTTTTTCTTTTCTTTTTTTTTTTTTTTTTGAGACGGAGTCTTACTCTGTCGCCCAGGCTGAAGTGCAGTGTGGCGTGATCTCGGCTCACTGCAACCTCTGCCTCCTGGGTTCAAGTGATTCTCCTGCCTCAGCCTACCAGGTAGCTGGGATTACAGGCATGCGCCACCATGCCCGGCTAATTGTGTATTTTTAGTAGAGATGAGGTTTCACCATGTTGGTCAGGCTGGTCTCAAACTCCTGACCTCAGGTGATTCACCTACGTCAGCCTCTCAAAGTGCTGGGATTATAGGCGTGAGCCACCTTGCCTGGCCTGTTAGGCCAAATTTCTAATACAGAGGAGAGGTCATTTGATTCTAGAGTGAATTCAAGGATGTATTCAGTTCATTATTGCAAACATGTATGAGACCCTATAATGTGTATTCTGCCAAGTACTTGGGATTTAGCAGTGAATAAGACATGAGTCATGTCCATAGTGAGGAGGGTCAGAAATTTAAACACCCAAGTGCAATATACTATGATAAGTAGAATTGATATATGTGACTTTGCAGTAGCACAGATGAAGGAGATTGATTGCTCCTGGCAGATTGAGTTGCTGGGAAGGCCTCACAGAGCATAAGTTACAATGAATGTGAAGGAATTCCCTAGGTGAACAAAAGGAGAAAGTTATTTCAGGCAGAGGGAATTGCATGTGGAAAGGCATAGAGTTATCATAACAGCTAACACTTAGTGGCTGGGTGTGGTGGCTTATGCCTCGACATGGCTTGGCTGTGTCCCCACCCAAATCTCATCTTGAATTCCCACATGTTGTGGGAGGGACCAGTGGGAGGTAATTGAATCATGGGGGCAGGTCTTTCCGTGCTGTTCTTGTGATAGTGAATAAGTTTCACAAGATCTGACAGTTTTATAAGGGGGATTTTCCCTGCCCAATCTGTCTCTCTTTGCCTGCTGCCATCCATGTAAGATGTGACTTGCTCCTCCTTGCCTTCTGCCATGAGTGTGAGGCCTCCCCAGCCACGTGGAACTGTAAATCATTAAACCTGTTTCTTTTGTAAATTGCCCAGTCTCGGGTATGTCTTTATCAATAGCGTGAAAATGGACTAATACACACCTGTAATCTTAGCACTTTGGGAGGCCAAGGTGGGCAGATTGCTCGAGCCCAGGAGTTTGAGACCAGCCTGGGCCAAATGGCAAAACCGTGTCTCTACTAAAAATACAAAAAGCTAGTCAGGTGTGGTGGTATGCACCTGTAGTCCCAGCTACTTGGGAGGCTGATGTGGGAGCATCACTTGAGCCCAGGAAGTGCTGAGGTGGAGGTTGTAGTGAGCCGTGATCACACCACTGCACTCTAGCCTGAATGAAAGAGCGAGACCCTGTCTCAAAAAAAAGAACTAACATTTAGTGAGTCCTCTAGTAGTATGTCTACAAAGTAACTCAACACATACTATTTTCTTGAATTTTCATAGCTACCCTGTGAGGGCCCTATTATCCCCATTTGACAGGAAAGGAAACTGAGACAGAGTAGTTAATTTGCCCATGGTCATATCAATAGCAGGTATGGGGCTGAATCCCAGATTGGTTCTGATTCCAGGGTCTGCACTCTTACCCATGATGCCAGTTGCCTTCATTATATTAACTGAGTTTTAAATTTGCGGTGGGGAAGCTATAAGACCTTAAGCAGGGAACTAAACAAGTCCTAATATTAGCCTTTATTTTATTTTTAGGGAGTTACTTTTGGCTGCAGGTCTTTGTCAGTGGACCTGAGTGTTTGTCTAAGCCCTACCCCACCCCCCAGGATGAGAAGCAGGACCTTTGAATCCACTCCCCCCTCTCCCACACTGCACTATCAGTATTCCATCAAGAGAGCCCATGCTTTCAAAGGAGTTCAGCTATGTGATTTAGTTCAGTTAAGTAAGGAATAGTGGAAGTTCAGTAATGGCAGATTCAAAAGCAGAGATTATAAGGGGGACATGCAAATGTATTGGATATAAAATGAAGGTAGGTAAGAGGAGAAGGTGTGAACAGTGGTTAGTTAGGTGCTATTTTAGTATAATACCCCCATCATCATTCTCTGCCCTCCACAAAAAAATTAAGTGGCTTAACAAGATTTTATTTTTCTGTTTTCAGTCTAATATTAGCTATCCCAGGCTGATGGGCAGCTCTGCTGTCCATGACACATGACTTACAAGGTTGCTCCAGGCATCACCATTTGCCAGCCAGAGGGAAGGGAAGGGAAGGTGGAGTGGGAATACCTGGCAAGTGGCTTTAAGGAGATGCTCTAGGATCACTTCTGTCCTTATCCCATTGGCCCAAGCTTAGTTACATGACACACTTCTCTGCAAGGGAGGCTGGGGAATGTAGTCTCTAGCTAGGCAGTTATGTGCCCTGCTGAAGCTTGGGGGTTGCTGTAATTAAAAGGAGGAAAAGGAGAAAGGTACTGGAGGCCATCAATGGATGCCACGCTTGGTGATTTTTAAAAAGTGGTGTGTCACCTGGGCATGGTGGCTCATGCTTATTACAGCACTTTGGGAGGCCGAGGTGGGCAGATTGCCTGAGCTCAGGAGTTTGAGACCAGCCTGGGCAACACGGTGAAACCCCATCTCTACTAAAATACAAAAATTAGCTGGACGTGGCGGCGCACACCTGTAATTCCAGCTACTTGGGAGGCTGAGGCAGGAGAATCGTTTGAACCTGGGAGGCAGAGGTTGCAGTGAGCCAAGATCATGCCACTTCACTCCAGCCTGGGCAACAGAGCAAGACTCCATCTCAGGAAAAAAAAAAAAAATGTTGAACCACTCATCAGAGAATTGGCTTTCCCCTCTGTAATCACAGGGCTACTTTCTGTCCTTTTTCACCAGGATCTTATAAAACCTCTGACTTAGCATATATCTGTTGGTGCATGCTCCATGGTTTTTGTTGACTCACTTGACGAAATGTTCCTTTCTCACATGTGGATTACGATCTCAATAGTTAATTAGCATTTTTCTGTCGAGGTTGAGTTGGTTTCTACTTTTTCTTGTGAGGTTTACTCATATTTCTTGTGTGTCTTTGCCTCTCACTAGAGGAATTTTAGAGGGCATCTTGTCCCATCTCTTCTCTTGCTCAAGTATGGACTGAATCACCCACTGTTTTCTGGCACAGCTTGTGTTTGTGCTCCTAACTGCTGCCTGCGATGGCAAGAGGGGGGTCACCTTCCCTGCCTTCTGCGTGCCTCTGCTTGAGGAGACAAAGCTGGCCGTGCTTTCTCTGGAGAACTTAGCCAGACAGCACAGTGTGTCACAGTGAAGACTTTAAGGGCCACCAGAAATACTTACTCAAATTTGTATTGAGTTTGTAAAAATATTTAAATGCTTCCGTGTTGGTTGGTAAACAGCTGCTGCTCTGTAACACCTGAGTAACATTCCTTTTCCAGAAGGACCCTTTTCTGGGACCCTTCAGACACCCTTCTCCCTCTACAATTTTTTTCCTTCAGAGAGAGGGTCTCACTGTGTCACCCATGCTGGAGTGCAGTGGCACAATCATTACGCACTGCAACCTGGAACTCCTGAGCTCAAGCGACCCTCCTACCTCAGCCTCCTGAGTAGCTACGGCTACAGGCAGCACACCATCATGCCCAGCTAATTTTTTTTTTTTTAAGAGACAAATTCTTGCTATATTGCCCAGGCTGGTCTCAAACTCTTGGCTCAAGCAATCCTTCTACCTCAGCCCTTCCAAAGCACTGGGATTACAGGCATGAACCACCATGCTCAGCCGCACAATTCTATCTGATTAGTATCTTTGTATTTTCCTGATTGTTAAGTATTTTTGGTATCACTCTGTCCTTCACTGTACAAGATGCTGGGGATATGTGGCTGAACAAGCAGAAAGTTCCTGTCTACCCAGAGCTTGCCTGCTTGCTTCATTTATTCACACATGCTCCTCATTTTCCAGAGAGGATTAAAGGTGACTGACTAAAACACAGCCTACAAAGTACAAAAGGATAAACAGAAGTAATAGTGCTAGTTGCAACAAAGAGGAAATATAAGGGATGATTAGCATACCTTACTAGTTTAGCCAAATACAGTCCCACACCGCATAACAATGTTTCAGTCAGTGATGAGTCCACATGAGGTCCCATAAGGTTATACACTGTATTTTTATTGTACTTTGTCTGTGTTGAAATGTGTTTAGACACCATTGTGTTACACTTGCCTACAGTTTTCAGTAACATGCTGTACAGGTTTGTAGCCAAGGAGGAATAGACTGTACCCTGTAGCCTAGGTGTGTAGTAGGCGCCACCATCCAGGTGTGGTGATGTTCGCACAACAATGAAATTGCCTAGTGATGCATTTCTCAGGACTCGTACCCATCAAGTGACACATGACTGTATTTCTTTCTACTTACCAAAAACAAAAAAGGAAATAAACAGTATTGAGTACCTATGACTCCTCCCCATTCCTTCCCTTCCTGAAGACTTCAGGTAGGACAGAGCAGAAGAGTCATTTTTGTTGATGGGGAGAACCAGACTGGCCTAAAGCAGGGTGTTGGGATCCTGGCAAGGTGAGGAGGGCATCCATGAGTGAGAGCTGCCTGCCCCGGGGAAGCCAGAGACTGAGTGCCCATGCATGGGGAGTTCCAGTGCAAGGTGTCCGAGTCTGAGCAGGGTTTGTGCGTTTGTGCCCAAGGGAGCATCTTGACTTGCAGTGTCAGAGTGAGGAGGGCATCAGCATGGGAGGCCAGCTTAGAACTAAATGCTTATGTCCCCTCAAAATTCATATGTCGAAATCATAACCCCAAAGTGATGGTGTTAGGAGGTGGGGCCTTAGGGAGATGATTCCTGAGGCCTCATTCATGAGCAGTAGGCCTATCCCTCATGAATGGGATTAGTGTCCTTATAAAAGAGGCCTCAGAGACACCCGTTGCCCCTTCCGCTACGGGAGGACAGTGAGAAGGTGCTGTCTGTGAACCACCAATCCCCCACCAGATGTTGAATCTGCCAGCACTTAGATCTTGGACTTCCCAGGCTCTCAAACTGACAAATTTCTGTTTTTTCTGAGCCACCTAGTTTAGGTATTTTGTTCTAACAGCCCGAATGGACTGAGACACAGCTCAGAGCAGGGAGCTGGAGCCCAAGGATGTTGAGAAGAGCGTCCACCTGAGGGGCAGCGGCAGCAAGGAGTGGGAGAGCCAGAGCAGGGTAGGGGCACCGACACTGTGGGGAGGGCACGCCCAGCATGGAGGGCCAGGGCTGGTCCTGTGGGGAGTGCATCGTTGCAGGGGAAAATGGTGACTAATGTGGGGAGTTGAAGCCCAGGTGGGATAAGCTGGGTGTCCTCGCAGGGAGTGGCCTGGTATGGGAGCAGGGCCTGAGAAGGGTGAGGCAGATGTTCACATGGGGTAGGGGGCAGGTATGGGGAGTCAGAGCCACACAGGGTGAGGAGGATGTGTATCCACTGGGACGCTTCCGGGCGGGATGTTGAATCCCACAAAAGGCAAGGAGGACTGCAGCACAGGGAGTGGCCCAGCTCACATGGGGTAACAGGCCTCTGTGCAGGGGTGGTGTGGCCTGGAATTGTGAGTGGGAGCTCAGATGGGATGAAGAGGGCAGCCCCACGGTTGGAGCACATGGAGGGTGATGAGTGCAGTGCTGAGGCTGAGGGAGGGGCTGCAGAATCATAGGGACCGGTGACAGAGAAGGGGCTGGTTAGATGAGTAGGTAGTAAGGATCATGGGAGCCTGGCTTCCCAGTGGCAGACAGAGATGTTGGATTTGATTTCAAGGTAATCTTGAAATTACTGTTGCAGGCTGCTGGGGAAAAGCACATGAGAAAAATATTAATAGTATTTAAAAACTAAGACAAAAGGTAGAGAAATGCAGCAATTATAGCAGTTTTATTTTCTGAGTGATTAGACAATAGATGACTCATTTTCTTGTTTGTGCTTTTATATGTTTTGCAGATCTTTTTTGACAGCATATATTCCTTAGGAAAGAAAAAATTTATAACTTCAAAGTAACAGGCTAGTGAGGTAACTCATTTCCTACATACTGGGTAATGTTTGTTCTTCAATCAAGAAAGGAAAATATTCTCCTTTTTAAAAAATTTTATTCTCATTTTGGCTTTTCACAATAAACTAGGGAATTAAAAAAATATTTTACTATCCACTGTGAAAATTTCAGCAGAGACAAGCATTTGATGGATACTCCACATAGCCCCCACTAGACTATATAGTCATTGTGGAAGCTTAGGTAACATGTGCTCTTCTGAAATAAATCCAAGAAGACTGGAACCATCTGAACCCTATGTAAAGTGAGACAGTGTTAGGCTTGCATAATTCACTCAGCTTTTAGCTTTTGAGGAGATACAGTTGGAACAAATACAACAAATACTTAATCCAGACTTTTCACTTTAACTTTCATGGATTTATACCAATTTGAGGATTGAAGTCATTCATTATATCAGCACCATTACAACTGTATATAAAATTAAAGCTTATGTTTGTTAAATCTGTCCAAATGTCATGTATAGTTAAGAGGGGTACATTATTACTTTTTCATAAAATTTGGTCATTGAGGATTACATACCTTAAGGTTAGAGTTATTTAGCCCAATTACTTGGCTTGAAATAAACAAGATTGTATTGCCATTTTCAGATGGGGAAGCTGAGGACCAAAGAGGTTATGAGATGTACCTGAAGATTGTGAATTCTGGCCGGGTGCAGTGGCTCACGCCTGTAATCCCAGCACTTTGGGAGGCCGAGGCAGGATCACCTGAGGTCAGGAGTTGGAGACCAGCTTGGCCAACATGGTGAAACCTATCTCTACTAAAAATATAAAAATTAGCCATGGTGGCACGCGCCTGTAATCCCAGTTACTCGGGAGGCCGAGGCAGGAGAATTCCTTGAGCCTGGGAGGCGGAGGTTGCAGTGAACTGAGATCGCACCACTGCATTCTAGCCTGGTAACAGAGCGAGACTCCATCTCAAAAAAAAAAAAAAAAAGTTTTGAATTCTGATTGTGACAATCCAAACATTTTTTATTCGGGTTATTGTCACTCTTAATTTGCAGGTGAAGGGGCAGAATCAAGATAAACTCTCAGATACAGATAAATACCAAAAAAAAGAAAGAAAGAAAGAAAAAGGAAATAGCTGGTAAGAAGTTGAAGTGAAAAGTAAAGGGCCGGGCATGGTGGCTCACGCCTGTAATCCCAGCACTTTTGGGAGGCCGAGGCGGGTGGATCACGAGGTCAGGAGATCGAGACCATCCTGGCTAACACGGTGAAACCCTGTCTCTACTAAAAATACAAAAAAATTAGCCAGGCGTGGTGGCGGGCACCTACTACTTGGGAGGCTGAGGCAGGAGAACGGCATGAACCCGGGAGGCAGAGCTTGCAGTGAGCTGAGATTGCACCACTGCACTCCAGCCTGGGCCACAGAGCAAGACTCCATCTCAAAAAAAAGAAAAGTAAATAGCCCCGATTTTCACTAGTGGTATGCAAAGTCTTCCAGAACTATATGGTACACTCTGTAATTGTTTGAAGGACTATAAAAGCAGTTTTAAAAAACCATAACCCCCCCCTTTTTTAAATTAATACTTTAAGTTCTGGGATACATGTGCAGAACGTGCAGGTTTGTTACATAAGGTACACATGTGCCATAGTGGTTTGCTGCACCCATTAACCCGTCGTCTACATTAGATATTTCTCTTACTGTTATCCCCCCCTTTCCCCCACCCCCCAACAGGCCCCGGTATATGACTCCCCACCCTGTGTCCATGTGTTCTCATTCTTCAACTCCCACTTATGAGTGAGAACATGCAGTGTTTGAAAACCTCCCTTTTTTTAAAAGATGGGTTATTACTGACTGTGTTACTTTCATCCTTACTTAGAGGGACTGATTTAATTTCCCAAATCAAATTGCTCTGCATTTCTTACAACTATTGCATCTACTTTCAATTCAGAAAATTAAGACATTTTAATTTTATTCTTTTTATTACTGCCAAACAAAGCATTAGGAGTACTCTTAAAAGAATCATAAAATGTATAGCAACACTAACAGAAGGATAAATATGGTAAAAGAGCTTTAAAATTGAAGTTAGTGATAGAAATAGTAACAGAAGTAGAAGTAGATGCTAGTGCAATGTCATTTAGACATTTATTAGTTTTTTGAGACAGGGTCTCACTCTGTTACCCAGGCTGGAGTGCAGTGGCACCATCATAGCTCACTTCAGCCTCAACCTGGGCTCAAGCAGTCCTCTCATCTCAGCCTCCTGAGTAGCTAAGACTACAGGTGTGTGCCACCACACCTGACTGATTGATTGATTATAGAGATGGGGCTTCACTATGTTTCCCAGGCTGGTGTCAAACTCCTGGGTTCAAGCCATCCTCCCACCTTGGCCCCACCTAAGTGCTGGGATTATAGGCATGAACCACTGTGCCCAGCATGAAACACTGTGCCCAGGCTTGAAGTAATTCATGATTGAGGGATATTGAAGAAGGAGTATACTAAAACATTGGGTTGCAATGTCAAAATTATAGATACTTGTACTTGGATAGAATGTTCCATAAATGAAAATATTCATAATCACATGTAGCATAGGAGTTATCAAAAGGGCACTATGGAAAAAGTCATGATTATATCATGAAATTGTTCAAACATATGAGAAGTAGAAAAAAAATCATGTCAGTACTTTCATCACCCAGGTTCAACAGTTTTCAAGCTCTTGCTACACGTCATCTTTTTTTCTTTTTTCCTTAAATTATTTTAAATGAACAACATGTCATTTTACCCTTACTCAGTTTGGGTCTCTAAGAAATACAAAAATAACCACGGTGACATCATCTTTATTTTCTGGCACTTCAGTCAAAATTAAAGGGAAATCTTTTGGCACCATCTATACACAGCTCATAAATTAAATTTCCCAGATTGATTTACAAATGTCTTTTTATAGTTGATTTGCTCTAATCAGGATAAAAACAAGATCCACTCATTATAAACAGTGGTTAATCTCATCAGATGCTTTAAAAAAATTATGAACATCTTATAATAGTTTGATACATTTATCACAATTAGTGAACCAATACCAATTCATTGTTATTAGCTAAAGTCTGTACTTTATTCTGATTCCTTTAGTTCTTACCCAGTGTCCCTTTTCTATTCCAGGATCCCATCTAGGATTTCACATCACATTTTTTTTTTTTAATTTTATTTTAAGTTCCAGGATACAAGTGTAGGACATGCAGGTTTGCTACATAGGTAAACGTATGCCATGGTGGTTTGCTGCACCTGACAATGCATTACCTAGATATTAAGCCTTGTATGCATTAGCTATTTATCCTGATGCTCTCCCTTCCCCCACTCCTCCACCCCTAGCACATCACATTTAGTCATCGTATCTGCTGAGGCTCCTCTTGCATGTGGCAGTTTCTCAAACTTTCCTTGTTTTTTTGTTTTGTTTTGTTTTCTAACCTTTTTCTAGGATCTCCTTTCCTTGTTTCTGATGACCTTAACACTTTTGAAGATTACTGTTCAGTTATTTTGTAAACTGTCCCTCAGTTGAGATTTGTGTGATATTTTTCTTATTAGACTCATGTTATTGATTTTGGGAAGACCATAGAGGTAAAGTGTCATTTTCATCACATCATATCAAGGATTCATACTATCAACATGACTTACTACTGTTGATATTAACCTTGATCTCCCAGGTGAGGAGGTGTTGTCAGGTTTCTCCACTGGAAAGCTGTTCTTTTTTTCTCCTCCATACTATCCTCTTTTGGAAGGAAGTCATTATGCAAGGCCCACACTTAAGGAATAGAGAGTTATATCAGTATGGACTTGTGGATATTTATTTTATGACTTGCATTACAATCTAATACTACTTTTTTTCCCCTCAGATTGTTCCAGCTTTGGCCATTAGGAGCTCTTTCAGTTGATTCTTATGTCCCTTTGACATACCCCGATCATTTTTGGTTTTGTGTTTTGTGTTTGTTTTTTAAGCACTTCCTTTCTTTTTCTGGCACTGTAAGATACTCCAAATTCATCTTCTATATGAGATGCTCCAAATTCATCTTCTTTACTCTTTGCCCTAGCCATATAATTAGACATTTCATCTAGGAGCCCTGGTTCCTACTACTGGAGAATGGTATTAGAAGCCAAGATCTAGGTTCTAAGTGTGCTTATTGCTACTGGGTGTGTCATTGGTTCTTGCCCTACTGAGCCAGGACAACAGGGAGATATATATGTGTGTATACTGTATATATACACATATCTATACACATTTCTGTATATAACTATATTATAGAATTCATGAAATGTCATAAACTCCTCAGAGCATACTGACGTCTCCAGCTCTAATCCATTACCACATAGACCACACTAGCCTTTATCTTCTCATTCCAACAGTGAGAAACTTAGCTCCCACTATCAGCCATCCATCTACTTCGTTGTTCAATTTCGGTATGATGTGTGGTAGTTATATTTGTCTTCTAGGGCTGCTATAATAAATGATCACAAACTTAGTGGCTTAAAACAGAAATTATTCTTTTCACAGTTCTAGAAACTAGAATTCCAAAATCAAGAGGTAAAAAATATGGAAGAAAAAGAAAACAGAATAGAGCATAAGACAGATGTAGGACATGGTCAAAAGTTCTAGCAGAATATAGTTGGAGTCCCAGAAAAGGAAGAGAGAGAAAATAGAACAGAAGCAGTAATTGAAAAAATAGTTGACAAGGACACTACCAATCTGATGTAAAACATCACTCTATGGTTTCAAGAAAGTCAGCAACCCCAAGTAGGGCAAACAGAAAACTACACCAGGCCGGGCAACAGTGGCTCACGCCTGTAATCCCAGCATTGTGGGAGGCCAAGTCGGGCAGATCACTTGAGTTCAGGAGTTCGAGACCAGCCTGGCCAACATGGTGAAACCCAGTCTCTACTAAAAATACAAAAATTAGCCAGGCATGGTGGCACATGCCTATAATCCTAGCTACTCAGGAGGCTGAGGCAGGAGAATCGCTTGAACCCAGGAGGCAGAGGCTGCAGTAAGCCAAGATCATGCCATTGCACTCCAGCCTAGGTGACAGAGTGAGACTCTGTCTCAAAAAAAAAAAAAAAAAAAAGGCAGGTGCAGTGGCTCACGCCTGTAATCCCAGCACTTTGGGAGTCAGAGGCGGGCACATCACAAGGTCAAGAGATCGAGACCATCCTGGCCAACATGGTGAAACCCCTTCTCTACTAAAAATATAAAAATTAGCTGGGCATGGTGGCGTGTGCCTGTAGTCCCAGCTACTCTGGAGGCTGAGGCAGGAGAATTGCTTGAACCCTGGAGGCAGGGGTTGCAGTGAGCTGAGATCGCACTACTACACTCCAGCCTGGGTGACAGAGTGAGACTCTGTCTCAAAAGAAAGAAAACCACACCTAAGCACACCATAGTCAAACTGAAAATCAAAGATGACAAGAAAATCTTAAAAGCAATCAAAGTAAAAAAGACATATTATAGAATGACATGTAATGACACTTTTTAGTTGCTGACAGAAAAAACCTGCCAATTTAGAAATCTGATTCCGGCCAAGTTGGTGTAAAAGAGATCAGTTTATCCTCCCTGAAACAAACAAGCAACCTAGACAAAATACATGACATAATGGATTTCTGGCATTGGACATCAGGCAGCACAGGAATTGATTTCTGAGAGAGGGTAAACAAACAAGATGAGCCCTACAATTACCCAGTTTACTGGCTGTAGAGAGTTTCCAGACTGCAGTGCAGGAAGGGGGAATCCACGTGGAACTTAGTGGTCTCCCTGAGTTGCGGAGATAGGAGTTGGAAGTCTGAGGAGGCCATGGTGCTAGAGTTCACAGCTCTCTCCTGGAAAGGAGAGCTGCACAGAGAGTGAACTCTAAAGATCTGTAGTACCTTTCATGTCTTCATCGGAGCTTCGAGTATTGCACGCATGTTAGGAAGCTAGAATAGAACCCCTTGAAAGGATTAGAGGGAATAATCCACACACAGAGGTGGGGATAGTTTTTTCTTACTAGTCATAGTAATTTCCGTAACATTGGGAAGAGTACTCAGAAGGGCTTTGGCTTGGTAGTGAGGAAAATTAGTCCTAGACTAAAAGCTGCTCCAATCCCACCTAACGCAGCAGAAGAAAAGCTTAATAATATTGATATGAATTTAAAAATAAGATAAAATTGACAATGTCTGACATCAGTGAGGACCAATTTTCCTCACTAAGTGGGTCGAGCCGTTCCTGCCACGAGCTTCTAGTGCATGTTCTATTCTGAAAAAGATGAGAATTAACCAGCTACAGTGCAAGATGTCATGAAATGAGCTGTGTTCAGAATCTAGGCACGTGTGACTTTGACATATCTATGAGGTTTAAAAAAGAAATATCAGGAATACAAGTAGAATATGTGCCATATGAAGAAATCATAGCTTATTTATGTAACATTTAGTATCCTCATTAGCTGTTTGACTGGTTTTAGAATTCAGCATATAATCCTTGGCTCTTTGGAAATAAAATTGTATAAATACTAATATTTATTAGATCTGAATGGTAGGTACATGGGTGTTAAACTAGTCTCTGTGCTTTTGTGTGTTTTTTTTAATTAAACTAGTGATTTTAATTAAACTAGTGATTTATGACTGCCTAGGAATGTGGCCATTCATATCATACCTTTTCATCCATTTCTTAGGTTCCCAGTCTAAGTGGGTGACTTTCCAAGATAGAGGCAGATCATTTCTCCGTCAAGTATAGAGAGACACATCTGCTCCTCCTAGAGTGTCCATAAGTATGAAGAAAATAGAAATAACTTAGAAGAGGCTGCAAAAACATTAAAGTTTGAAATTTTTTTGGGTGGGGAATAACATTTTGATGGCAATTTAATAGTGATTTTCATGTGTGTCTTGATAATGTCAAAGGTAATAACCAGGTGTTTTGGCAGGGCAAGTTTTGGGGATCAGGGAAACACTCATATTTGCTAAGTACCTATTATGCCATAAACTGTACTGAAAGCTTTTTATCTGTTACCTCATTTTAATCTGTAGTCAATTTATGTGGTAGACCTCATTTGCCTGTTATAGATGAGGACCCAGGGTTCTCAGGAAAAAGCAATGTCTTCAATCTCACTAATAGTACTGCCAGAATAAACTATTATAAAGTATATCATACATGATTTAGATTATAAGAAGAAACATTTACTAATGGTGAAAATTCTGAGCATTGTGGTTGCTTACCTAGAAAAATTTAGTAACTTCTCTTACTTCTCTGAAAATTTTAAGCTTATTTTTTATGATGATTTAAGAATGGTCCTGCCCACAGGCAGAGGAGATAGACTGCATGAGCTCTCAAAGTTTTTTCTAAGTCTTATGATACTATAAGTTGGTATTTTTATGATCTCAAATGTGTTCAATTTATTTCCCTTTCTTAAGGTGGATAATATTAATGCAGCTGTGATGGATTTGAAAAAAAAGAAGATCCGCAGTCTAAGTGAAGAGGTCAAAATAGGAGCACATGGAAAACCAGTGATTTTTCTCCATCCTAAAGACTGTGGTGGAGTCCTTGTGGAACTGGAGCAAGCTTGATTTATATTTGCAAGCAACTAAATTAATTGACCTGAAAAAGCCTATCAAATACTATCAAAATGTACTATGACATTGAGTCCTTCACTGCTTCCATCATGTAAAAGTTCACAGTTAAAGACTGAATTACAGAAAGATTAAAATATATACATATATAAATACATAAATATGTATATTATTTAGATTAACAAACATATTTGTTAATTTGAATTTGAAGAAAATCTTGATTACTAATTACTTAGGGAACATTATTAAAATCATATAGAAATAAATTATTCCTCTTCTACAATGGGGTAATTGAATGTAATGTGTTAGCTGTGTACAAGGGTATGTGTGTGATGGATGGATACACAAAGGAGTTATGAAAGTATGACAATTTTGTGGCTAATATTTGGGGCAAAAGTTTCTAAGAATGTTTTGGAATACTTTTTTAGAGCAAGCTGTGTAAGATTAGGGAATTTTAATCTCAGAAGTTTTGCTCTTCAAAAACAACTCGTGGTCACAGTTTCCTCAGGGTCCAGGTGTTTTGGGTGCTAGGGCTAGATGTATAGGAAGTTTTGTGGAAAACCTGGTGCGTCATCTAGTAGGCATGTAGATGTCTGAATTATTTTTTTAAATCAGTAGTAATTTGTAGAGTTAGGTATCACGTAGATGCTAGAACACCACAACAGGTCCTAGGGGAATATACAAAATGAATAGAAATCCACTGCCAAGATGCTTATGGTTCATTTGGGGAGAGTACTGCTTGAAATAAATGTAAACACTTACAAAACAACATCTGAATGAATTAAAAAGGAAAGGAAAGAGAGAATAGATCTCAGAGGATAGTCAGACTCAAATATGTTAGAAACAAGTTTCAGATGAATTTCAAGGATTACAGATGGATGCATTGAATGCATAGTGGATGGAAAAGTGGCTAACAAGTTCATGGATGAGTGGATGTTGAGTAAATGAGTAGATATGTAGACATTGAACTTGTTATGGAAGACAAGTATAATATCCAATTATACTTTTCATTTAAAAGTTAAAGTAAAAATTACAACATTGATGTGGTTCTCAGTGTATGTAGAGGAAGTATTTTAGACAATTACATCACAGAGTGGGGGCAGTAAAAGGGACTTAAATGGTGGTTAAATATCCACATTCCACTTCAAGTGGTAGATGTTGATAGTAGTAGACTGCAGTAAACTTCATGTGTGTATTGCAGTCTGTAACCACTGAAAAACTATATGAAGAGATACACTCAAAAATGTAGATAAATCAAAATGGACTACTAAAGAATGCCCAAATAACCCACTTGAAGACAGGTAAGAGGAAACAGGAAAAAAGCAAAACAATAAAATGACTGACCTATAACCTCACATATCAGTAATTACATTCAATGTAAATGGTCTAAACACACCAAGATTGTGAGAGTGAATTTAAAAACCTGACCCAACCAAATGCTAACTACAAGAAACTCAAAATATCAGTAAATTAACAATGATTTATCAGTAAATCTCAATATCAATAAACTAAGAGTAAAAGGATAGAAAAGATACACCTTGCAAACAGTAATTCAGAGAAAGCTGGAGTGGATGACTTACTATCAGACAAGGTAGACTTTAGGACAAAAGAAAATTGCCAGGGACAAAGAAATACATTACATAATGATGAAGAGGTCAGATCACAAAAAGACAACAGGTGTGCATTAACCAAATAACACAGCTGCAAAGTATATGATCTAAGAATTGATAGAACTAAAAGGAAAAAATGGACAAGTTTACAGTTTACAGTTGGGGACTTCAACACCCCTTGTTTAGTAATGGATAAACCCACTAGACAAAAAGCAAGTGCGTGGGAGAACTGAACAGTACTATCAGCCAATACGTAATACACATTTTTTGGGCATTTATGGGACATTCACCAAGATAGACCATATCTTGGGTTATGAAACAAACTCTAACACATTTAAAGTAAGTGAAACATATAAAATATGTGACCATAAATGAATCAAACTAGAAATCAATAACAACAGAAAAACCTCCCCAAACTTGTAAGTTGTCAAAGAGGAAGTCTCAAGAGAAGTAAAATACATCCTGAGCTGCATGAACTTGGAAATACAGCAATCATTTTTTATAAAAGGTATTTATTGCTTTAATCTATGAATCAATAAAATTTTGCTTTCATAAGAAGAATGAAATGTGATCACAAGAAATGCAAAACAGTATGTTTAGTAGATGCTGGTGTTAGCACCCATCCACTATTTCTTCTTTAATAGAGTTCTGACTTGGTTAGGTTCCCATCCTTATCCTCTCCCACACAGGTAAAATTCTCAGGTAAAGCCCCAGGATTAGACTGAAATTACATCACCCTTGCCAGTGATGGGTTCAATGATGTGGTTCATAACTACATATGGTTATGTAATTCATATGTGGACTAAAAGCATGAAGAAAGGTTTTCTAGAGACATCTGGAAATGTTCTTTCCCACATCTAGGTGAGAACTATGAGAAGTCAGCCTCTCTCCCAACAGAGTTGAACAAGGAAAACAGGTAATTTGGTTGCTACCAGCAACTATCCAACAACTATGGGACAAACAAAAACCCAAAAACCTTTAGGATAATGGTGATCCTGGTTGGCAGAGTAGAGAGGCAGAAAAAAAAAAACTTTTCAATGACACTTTAAAAAAAATTAATTCATTGGCTGGGATTGGTGGCTCACTCCTGTAATCCCAGCACTTTGGGAGGCCATGGCAAGTGGATTGCCTGAGCTCAGGAGTTCAAGACCAGCTTGGGCAATATGGCTAAACCTTGTCTCCACAAAAAATAGAAAAATTAGCTGGGCATGGTGGTGTGCACCTGTAGTCTCAGCTACTCAGGAGGCTGAGGTGGGAGGATCATTTGAGCCTGGGAAGTCAAGGCTGCAGTGAGCTGTGATTGTGCCACTGCACTCCAGCCTGGGTGACAGGGTGAGACCCTTTCTCAAAAACAAACAAAAAACGTTTATTGAATAACAAGTTTAATTTATCAGTGGGCTTTTTAAAATTAAGAAACTTTTCACTAATCAAAATTTTTAAAGATAAATAACAATTATCCAGAATGTTTACATAATTGTAAAAGCTTGATATGGATTATTTGAACATTAAAAACAATAGGCCGGGCATGATGGCTCACACCTGTAATCCCAGCACTTTGGGAAGCCGAGGTGGGTGGATCACCTGAGGTCAGGAGTTCGAGCCCAGCCTGGCCAACACGGTGAAATCCCGACTCTACTAAAAATACAAAAAATTAGCCAGGCATGGTGGTGGACTCCTGTAATTGCAGCTTCTCGGGAGGCTAAGGCAGGATAATTGCTTGAACCTGGGAGGTGGAAGTTGCAGTGAGCCAAGATCACACCACTGCACTACAGCCTGGGTAATAGAGCAAGAAACCACCTCAAAAAATAATAGTAATTCTTGTTATTTATATACTTCAATCAGTGCCTTAGCCATGTCTGTTTGTAACACCTTGTTGCATTTTCCTGAAAATTTTTTTTTCAGTATAGTCATTTAATTTTTTTAAATAAAATTGTTTACAGTTTTCTTCAAATTACAGTTTATAGTTTACATATTGGAAATTGTTGATATATCTAATTGACTCTTCTCTTCCTAACTGAAACTTCATACTTTTAGACCAACATCTCCCTCTTCCCCCCACCTTCTTCAGTCCCTGGCATTTCTACTCTCTGCTTCTATGGGTTCAACCTTTTTAGAGTCCTTGTATAAGTGAGAGCATGCAGTATTTTTCTTTCTGTGCCTGGCTTATCTCACTTAGTATAACATCCTCCAGATTCATCCATGTTGTCACAAATGACAGGACTTCCTTCTTTTTTAAGGCTGAGTAGTATTCCACTGTGTGTGTGTGTGTGTGTGTGTGTGTGTGTAACATTTTCTTTATCCATTCATGCATTGATGGACACTTAGGTTGATTCTGTGTCTTGGCTATTATGAATGATGCTGCAACAAATATGGGAGTGCAGATATCTATTGGACATACTGGTTTCATTTCGTTTGGAAATATACCCAAGTGTATATACTCAAGTGGAATTGCTGGATCATACGTGCCATGGTTTGGATATGGTTTGTTTGACCCTGCCAAGTCTCATGTTGATATTTGATCCCCATTGTTGGAGGTGGGACCTGGTGGGAGGTGTTTGAGTCATTGGATCCCTAAGGAATGACTTGGTGCTATCCTCAAGGTAATGTATGAGTTCTCACTCTATTAATTACCATGAGAACTGGTTGTTAAAAAGAGCCTAATGCCTGCCTCCTCTCTCTCTTGCTCTCTCTTTCTCTCTCACCATGTGATCTCTGTACATGCCTGCTCCCATTTGCTTTCCACCATAAGTGGAAGCAGTTTGATATAGATGCCAGTACTGCATCTTGTACAGCCTACAGAACTCTGAGCCAAATAAACTTATTTCCTACGTAAATTATCCAGCCTCGGCAGAGCGCAGTGGCTCACACCTGTAATAGTACTTTGGGAGGCTGAGACAGGAGGATTGCTTGAGGCCAGGAGATAAAAACCAGCTTGCACAACATAGTGAGACTCCTGTCTCTACAAAAAATAAAATAATAATTTACCCAACCTCAAGTATTCCTCTGTAGCAACACAAATGGACTAAGACAATATGGTAGTTCTATTTTTTAATTTTTTGAGCAACCTCTATACTGTTTGCCATAATGACTGTACTAATTTACCTTCTCACCAAAAGTGTGCAAGGAGTTTTCTTTTCTCCACATCCTTATCAACCTATCTTTTGTCTTTTCAATAGTAACCTTCTTTTTTTTTTGGGATGGGGTTTCACTCTGTCGCCCAGGCTGGTGTGCACTGGCATGACCTCGGCTCACTGCAACCTCTGCCTCCCAGGTTCAAGTGATTTTCCAGCCTCAGCACCCCCAAGTAGCTAGAATTACAGGTATGTACCACCACACCCAACTACATTTTGTATTTTAGTAGAGATGGGGTTTCACTATGTTGCCCAGGCTGGTCTCGAACTCCTGACCTCAAATGATCTAGCCATCTCGGCCTCCCGAAGTGCTGGGATTACAGGTGTGAGCCACTAGGCCTGGCTTTTTTTTTTTTTTTTTTTTTTTTTTTTTTTTTAAGACAGAATCTCAATCTGTCACCCAGGCTGGAGCGATAACTCAGCTCACTGCCACCTCCACCTCCTGGGTTCAAGCGATTCTCTTGCTTCAGTAGCTGGGACCGAGTAGCTGGGATTATAGGCATGCACCACCATGCCTGGTAAATTGTTGTATTTTTAGTATTTTTAGTAAGGACAGGGTTTCACCATGTTGGCCAGGCTAGTCTTGAACTCTCACCTCAAGTGATCTGCCCACCTCAGCCTCCCAAAGTGCTGGGATTACATGTGTGAGCCACCATGCCCAGCCAATAATAGCCATTTTAATAGGTATGAGATGATATCTCTGTGGTTTTGATTTGCATTTCCTGATGATTAGTGATGTTGGGCGTTTTTTCATATACCAGTTGGCCGTTTGTATGTCTTCTTCTGAGAAATGTCTATTTAGTTTTGGAAATTTCTATTGACTTATCCTCAAGTTCAGAAATTCTTTCCTCAGCCATGTTCAGGTTACCTTTGATGCAGGATTTTTCTCAGCCCCTTTGCTGGACTCATGGAAGGGGTGCCCATCTACTCCGCCCACCATGCTCAACCCCTTGTGGGAGGGAGAACATGAGAGAGTGAGTGCAGGCTCTGGCTGGCTGCTTCAGGCACTGACACAGGAGCAATCTCTGTGCAGGGCCTGCACAGACCAGGCGTGTCGCCTTGAGGGGAACATGGTGGCACCCAGGTGAGGGTGCCCACAACCTTCCTTCCTGAAGTCCCAAGGAAGTGTTACAGTGCTCCTTTAGTTCTGCACTGCGGACGGTGGTGTATTAGCAGCTCAGTTGGCCCCTTGCCTTGTTGTGTGGGGTGGCTGCCCTGCACTGACAAGCACAAAGGGCTGATGTGACAGCCTTTCTGGGGACTTGAATTCCATGGGTCCTGAGCATTTGTCTGGTTTCCAAAAAGAATGAGATCATGCAAATGAAGGAAGGTGAAGGCAGAGAATTTTATTGAGTGATGAAAACTGCTCTCAATAGAGAGGGGAGCTGGAGAGGAGATGGGAAGGGCAGGTCGTCTTCCCTGGAGTTAAGTCATCTTTTCCCCAAAGTCAGGCCATCTCCTCCTCTTCCAACTGAGTCTGGGGTCTTTATAGGCACAGGAAGGGGGGTGGATGCTGATTGGTTTGTGTGTATGCAAGAAAGGTTAAAGTGAAGCCTCCACTCAAAGGTGGGCATGACAGTGTAGAAAACCTATTAGAAAAGGATAGGTATATGTAAAATAGGTGAAGGGTGGGGCCCAATCAGAGGAAAGCATGCCAAACAGGAAGATGATTTCTCAATCCGTTCCGAGGATTTAACCTGTAGCTTGGCTTTCAGGCTTTCAACTGTCTTCAGCTTGGAGGTGGGGTTTCACTGGAGATCCACCCCTATCTGCCCAGGAATTTGGCTGCCTGCTGTCACTATCACCTTGAGCTCATCAAAGGCATTCTTCATTGTTGTTTATAGCAGTTTTGATTGTGTGTTAGGCTGTCTTTGCATTACTATAAAGAATACCTCAGGCTGAGTAATTTATAAAGAAAAGAGAGTTAATTAGCTCATAGTTCTGTAGCCTTTACAGGAAGTGTGGTGCTGGCATCTGCTTGGCTTCTGGTGAGGGCCTCAGGAAAGTTTTACACTTGGCAGAAGGTGAAGTTGGAGCAGGAATGTCACGTGGTAAGAGCAGGAGCAAGAAAGCAAGGAGGGCGGTGCCACACACATTTAAACAATGAGATCTCTCATGAACTCACTCATCACCAAGGGGATGGTGCTACGCCATTCATGAGGCACCCACCCCCAGGATCCGTATACCTCCCACCAGGCCCACCTCCAACAACTGGGGGTCACATTTCAACTTGAGATTTGGAGGAGACAAATACCCAAACCATAGCAGATACCTAGCATTTCTTTTTCATTCTTTCTTAGAATTTATATCTCTCTGCTTACATTATCTATCTGTTCTTGCAGTTTGTCCAATTTTTTCATTAGAGCCCTTAGCATATTAATTTAATTAAGCAATTAAAGTTGTTTTAAATTCCCAGTCTGATCATTCCAACATCCTTTGCATGTCTAAGTCTGGTTCCATGCTTGCTCTGTCTCTTCAAACTGTGTTTTTTGCCTTTTAGTGTGCATTGTAATTTTTTATTGAGAATTGGACATAATGGGCTGGGTGAAAAGGAACTCTGGTAAATAGGTCTTTATTACTAATGTGTTTGTATGTGCTTGATGGGTCATAGTCCTACGATTAAGTCAGTCTTTTAGTGACCCTGTGTACCTAAGCTATAAATTTTGAAGTGCCTGTCAGTTTTTCCCCACCTTAGGTGGGATGGGGGGCTGAAGTTGGGTATCCCTTCCCCTAGGTAAGTTAGACCCAGATAAAACACCAATAGGTTAGGCTCTGGTAAACTAGTTTATCTTGAGGACAGGCCTTTTAAGAAAGAACAGAATGCCAGTCGCGGTGGCTCACACCTGTAATCCCAGCACTTTGGGAGGCCGAGGCGGGCGGATCACGAGGTCAGAAGCTCAAGACCAGCCTGACCAACATTGCGAAACCCCGTCTCTACTAAAAATACAAAAATTAGCCAGATGTGGTGGCACGTGCCTGTAGTCCCAGCTACTCAGGAGGCTGAGGGAGGAGAATCGCTTGAACCCAAGAGGCGGAGGTAGCAATGAGCTGAGATTGTGCCACCGCACTCCAGCTTGGGCGACACAGCAAAACTCTGTCTCAAAGTAAAAAAAAAGAACAGAATGCTCTGGTATATTTTTTTAAATGGTTACTTCCCACTCTTTCTGCTGGAAGCCAGAAGGGATTTTTCTGCTATGCACTGGAAGAACCTGGTAGAGGTCCCAGAGGAAAAAGTCACAAGAGAGCAGTGGGGGTGGGGGCTATGACTGAGTCATGTTGGAGTTTTTAACTCATAGACTTGTCCATACAGAACCACAAACGATTTGTCAATTACAGGGCAGCTTTCCTGCCCTGGAATGGTTCCCACAAAGCTTTCTGCTTGTGAGTTTCCTCCCCAGTAAATTGTGGTTCTCTGTGTCCAGCTGTCTGTTTCTCTGTCTGGGGGCAACAGTTTGCCCTGTGACCTCACTTCCCTGACAGACCTGAGAAGAGTTGTTTATTTTTCAGTTTGTCCAGCTTTTGACGTACTAGGATGGAATGGCATCTTTGAAGTCCTTACATGTTAGATCAGGATTTCAATGGCATTTTAATCTGCTGGATTATTCAGTCCTGAAATCACCCTCTCTGAACTGCTTTTTATATGGGCTAATTTCTTTATTTTTTGAAGTCAGTTCGAGTTGAGGTTTTGGTAACTTGAAACTGAAAGCATTCCAATAAAGTACAGTTGACCATAAAAATGAGACAAAAACCCTCAAAATTACGTGAGGAAGCTCTAATTAGTATCAAATACAGAACAGAAGACCAAGTACTCATGGCTGACTAACTCGGGCGCAGTGGCTCACGCCTATAATCCCAGCACTTTTGGAGGCCTAGGCGGGCGGATCACGAGGTCAAGAAATCGAGATCATCCTGGCTAACACGGTGAAACCCCTTCTCTACTAAAAATCCAAAAAAATTAGCTGGGCATGGTGGCGGGCACAGTTATCCACCCTCCATGGCCTCCAGAAGTAACATTTTAATGAAAGAGATCTAGTCTTGAAAAGTATCCTTGGAGTCTGGGGTAAGAGAGTAAACTTTTTTTCCTATATCTCTGCCAAAATGTATTCCAAGTTACCTGTCTCAGAAATGTTGAAGCAGCTATAAAATTATCAAGATGAACTGAGAGCTTTATGAATTTATATGTCCTCTTCAGTCAGACAACCATATTCACCTGGAGGTTACAGAAACAACAGGTTTCTGTGTCTCAAGGTGACCTATAAATGTGACACAGATTACCAGCACTATAGGTGTGCTAGTATAGATCATATGAATCTGCTGAGTTTTAAGCCAGAATAGCTGTTAGTGCTGTGCCTTTCACCCATTGGACATATATTTTATTTTAAAATGCATATTGTATTCAGAAAGCTACCTCTCAGTTTTAATTTAAACCTTAGTTATTTAAAAGCCAAATTTATTCTAGATTTTTATAAACAACAAGAAATAGTTTTAGTAAGGGAAGACGGCTGCCATGTTTTTGCTGAGGTTCCAAGAAGTGCCTCCTGAGAACCTGGGGATGAGGGAAGTAGGGTCGCCCTCTGCCGGGTACACATGGAACAGCTACAAGGAATGGAAGTGATTGGTGATCCTTTTCAGGGAATAAACCAAGAGATTGTTTTCAAATGTTTGACTAAGTCATTATCCCCAAACTCCTGTTAAGGTGATGAGAATAGAGACTGAGGCTCAAAGTGGAAGACAGCAATGTAGACATAATTTATCAACTAAAAATTTAATCTTTTGGAATGAGACTAAAGGGACATATTAAGGTCAATCCACTGGGAGCCAGAAGAGAGATGCCCAGAGAGCTGGAGGTTGGCAGGACCTTTCTAACCACCATCCCTGAGCACACCATCCCATGTGTGTGTCCTGGGCCCTGGGGTTTTTGTATTCCTGTTGTTGGGCATGATATTAACTCCCTTTGTTATCATTCCATCTTCATCAAACATGTCAGTGCCAGCATTTGAGGTTTACTTGACAGATACATCTTTCATTATAAACTCATAATATGAAATTCTGGCTTATATATCCATCTCTAATGAGTTTGGTTAATGTGAATCTACCCCATAAGACAAAATCAGTCAGGCTATGCCCAAATCTGTCTTTTGAGCTAGCAGGTTGGGAGACAGACCAAAGTAAATGTCGCTTCCAAGACTCTTGGCAGTTAAAGTGCTGGGCTTCTCAGTCAGTACTCATTTCTGCAACACAGCTTAATATGAACTGCAGCAGAAGACAATGGAAAATGCAGTTCAACATTTCACTCGCTTTTGGCTCTGAATGCATTTTATACAACATTTCGTCATTTGAGGGCAACACTATGTATGTATGTACATTACAAAGATACATACAATGCAACAATTAAATAGATTTTAGATGTCACAGTAAATAGAAATTTAGGGTATGATAGTCAAGTAACATACTTTATCAGTGCCTGTGCAATTTCCAAAGGACAGCCATACATTTGTCTCTGATCTTAGTAGCCAGATACAGGAGCACAATTAATTCCAAATTTAATGGGTTCCTAAAGATAAAAGTTAGCTTGTTGTCTAAGACAAGCCAACTCTACCCAGTAGAGCTGAGAGAGTATTTTCCTCAGGTTCCCATAAAGAAGACAATTTGAGCTTATAGAAAATGTTCTCAACAGCTGGGTGCGGAGGCAGGAGAATCATTGGAATCCAGGAGGTGGAGGTTGCAGTGAGCCAAGATTGTGCCACTGCACTCTGGCCTGGGCAACAGAGTGAGACTGTCTCAAAAAAAAAAAAAAAAAAAAAAAAAAAGTGTTCTCCACAGCACCCCTATGATAAATAAGGAACACATTTCAAATAGTGTTTTCTTTCTTGTAATGTCTCTTTGTGCAGACTAATGGCATACTCTGCAGTCCAGTAAATAGCAATTCTATGAGGCATCAAGACTCCCCAATCCACATGAAATAAAATGAGAAATGTCATTGTGCAGGACTTCAGGGGCTACTCCCGCGGGAGAGAAGCTGTCAGAATGGGACACCAGGCCCTGCCTCTCAGGGGCGCCCTGAGGGACAGAAGTCAGGAGCAGAGTGCAGGGGCCGCTGAGCTGGAGAACAAGAGAGGAACACTGTGTGCAGGAGTCACAACGAGGGGCCCAATGAGAGAGACGCTGGAGTAACTGCTGTGCAAACTTTGGGGAGCAGATGGGCCAAGGACTATTTTAGGAAGTTAAGATGTTTGTTGTGTAGACAACAGCCCGGCCATACCCTTCAAGACAACCAGGCAACATGGCATGGTGGTTTGGAGCAGTGGCTTCAAAGTTATAGACTTGCACACCTCATAAAATTACTAGGAAAAAATTGTGTGCCTCCTTTCTCATTTTAACAAATGTGACAAAAAATTGTTTTATCACAAGTTCAAATAATTATGAAGTATATAATTTCTGGGGTACTGTAAACACTGACATTTTAAAACAAAACTGTCTCATCAGTCTTTTTACATGTATAGTAGAATATTAATACAATAGCAATTTGAAACCCTCCATTATCCACTTACAAATTACCATAGGCCCATCTCTACTAAAAATATAAAAATTAGCCAAGGGTAGTGGCGGGCGCCTGTAATCCCAGCTATTCAGGAGGCTGAGGCAAAAGAATCACTTGAGCCTGGGAGGTGGAGGTTGCAGTGAGCCGGAGATCACGCCACTGCACTACAGCCTGGGCGGCAGAGTGAGACTCTGTCTCATAAATAAATAAATAAATAAATAATAAAATAAAATACCATAAACAAGCTCTTCATTAAGGGTCAGAAATTGTACCTTGTGCATTTTACCTATTGAAATTTAACTTCCATTCCAACTCTCCCACATAACTTTACAAATTTTATATATTTTTTATGCATGAAAGTCTTATTTTGATCATCCAGTTAACCAACAGAATGTGACACTGGCGATGAGATATTACTGCTGAGATTTGGTTGCATAAAGACTCTGGCTTCTGTCTTGCTGGTGTTGTTCCACTCCCACACTTGCTGGCTTGCTCTAGCCAGCTGACATGTTGTGGACTGCCCCATGGAGAGGTGCGTGTGGCCAAGAACTGAGGGAGGTTTCCAGCCCACAGTGAGGAGCTCAGGCCTTCAGTCCAATTGCCTGGGAATAACTGAGTCCTGCCAACAACCCCATGAGCTTAGAAGTACATTCTCTCTCAGGCTGGGTGCGGTGGCTCACGCCTGTAATGCCAGCACTTTGGGAGGCCGAGGCTGGTGGATCACATGAGGTCAGGAGTTCGAGACCAACCTGGCCAACATGATGAAAACCCGTCTCTACTAAAAATACAAAAATTAGCTGGGTATGGTGGCACACGCCTGTAATCCCAGCTACTCAGGAGGCTGAGATGGGGAATCATTCATTGAGATGGGGAATCAATCCCAGGAGGCAGAGGTTGCAGTGAGCGGAGATTGTGCCACCACACTCCAGCCTGGGCAATACAGTGAGACTCAGTCTCAAAAAAAAAAAAAAAAGAAAAAAAAGTACATTCTCTCTTAGTTGAGCCTTCAGCTGACACCTTGACTGCACACCTTGAGGTCACATTCAGATTCTAGACTCACAGAAACTTCTCAATAACTGTGTGATAATGTCTGATGAGTGGTTTATCAATTATATTGATCTCAAAGTACGAGACTTTGATTTCATTGATTGTCTCTATTATTTTTCTGTTTTCTATTGTACTGACTTTCACTCTGATCTTCATTATTTCCTTCTCTCGTCTTACCTTGGGTTTAATTTGCTCTTCTTTTTCTATTCCTCCCCCCCTCCCTTCCTTCCTTCCTTCTTTCCTTCCTTCCTTTATTTTTCCTTCCTTCTTTTCTTTTCTTTTCGACAGAGTCTTTCTCTGCTGCCCAGGCTGGAGTGCAGTGGTGGGATCTTGGCTCACTGCAACTTCTACCTTCTGGGTTCAAGCGATTCTCATGCCTCAGCCTCCTGAGTAGCTGGGACTACAGGGCGACATCATGCCTGGCTAACTTTTGTATTTTTAGTAGAGACAGGATTTCACCATGTTGGCCAGGCTGGTCTCCAACTCCTGACCTCAAGTGATCCATCTGCCTCGTCCTCCCAAAGTGCTGGGATTACAGGCATGAGCCGCTGTGCCTAGCCATGCTCTTCTTTTTCTGGTTTTTAAAGGTGGAAGTTGAAGTAAGTGATTTGAGACCTTTCTTCTTTTCTTTTATAGGCACCCAGCATTGTAAATTTTGCTCTAAGTACTGTTTTAGTTGGATCCTGCAATGGAAAATTATAAGCTGTCTAGAAACAATGAAAGGTTAGACATTACATGCCAAAATCTATGGGACACAGGGAACGTTTAATGTACAATACAATAAATATTATAAACCTAAACATCTTAGTAATTAAAGATGCTTAAAAATAAGATACGTGCCCATCTTTAGGAATAGACAATACAAAAATATAGGTTAATAGGAATGAGAAAGAAGACATAATAAAAATCTAGGGAGGATTATAAACTAATTGTACAAACTGGCCAGGCATGGTGGTTTATGCTTGTAATCCCAGCACTTTGGGAGGCCAGGGCAGGTGCATTGCTTGAGCTCAGAAGTTTGAGGCCAGCCTAGGCAACATGGTGAAACTCTATCTCTACAAAAAATAGAAAAATTAGTCGGGCATGGTGGTGCACACCTGTAGTCCCAGCTACTTGGGAGGCCGAGTTGGCAGGATCACTTGTGCCACGGAGGTCGAGGCTGTAGTGAGCTGTGATCGTGCCACTGCAAGTCAAGGCTGCAGTGAACCATGATTACCCCACTGCACTCCAACCTGGGTGACAAGTGAGACTGTGTCTCAAATAAAATAAAGTAAAATAAAATAAAATAATTGTACAATAGTACATGTTACTCCATAGCAATATATTTGAAAATCCAAAAGAAATAGATTATTTCCTAGCACAGTATGAATTATGAAAGTTATCTGAAGAAGTTGAAAACATGAATAGATCAGTTTCAACAGAAGAGACTGAAATTGTGATTAAAATTCTGCCATTGAAAAGTCACCAGGAACAGTTATGGAATGTAAAATTCTGTTATGTATGTAAAATTCAGTTATAGAATAGTAAGTCCATGACTGAATTTTACATAGGCTTTAAAGAACAGATAATTCATATGGTATTTAAACAATTCCGGGAAAATAGAACGGGGTTCAAAGCTCTCCCAGTTCATTTTATGCTGCCCTAGAACTTCAAGTCAAAACCTGACAAAAATATTTTTAAATGCATACATCCTAAATTTAAAAATAGAAAATAAATGGGTATGCATAGGAAAAAAAGGAAAAATAAAATTTAAAAACATAGCAAATAAAATTCAGGAATGTATCAGGAAAAATCAGATACTTTATCTACATAATCCATTACATTCAGCATGAATTGGGGTTACATACAAATTCCCCATTAAGAGACATCTCCACAGCACACTGCAAGATGGAATTGTTAAAATACTAATCTGATTATTGAGGATTGTCATTCATTTGTTTTTTGTTTGTTTTTGAGATGGAGTCTCACTCTCTCACCCAGGCTGGAGTGCAGTGGCAGGATCTCGGCTCACTGTAATCTCTGCCTCCCAGGTTCAAGCAATTCTCCCTGCCTCAGCCTCCCGAGTAGCTGGGATTACAGGCGCCCACCACCACGCCTGGCTAATTTTTATATTTTTTGTAGAGACGGGGTTTCACCATGTTGGCCAGGCTGGTCTTGAACACCTGACCTCAAATGATCTGCCCACCTCGGCCTAGTGCTGGGATTCCAGGCATGAGCCACCGTGCCCAGTCTTTGTTTTATAGTTTTATCACTCTAGAAACTGGAAACCCAAAATGATTTTTACTGTTACTAGTTGTCTGGTTCTACTTTTGTGTGAAGTATCAAAAATATTTGTCCCAAGATTAGAGAACGGACAAATGGTTTGACTCTTCAACTTCATTTGCAACATGTGCATTCACTGTGCAAAGACAGGCCTCCTCCACACTCTGCTTCTGAGCTGTTTGGGGACCAATCATGCTTCCATGTGAATTGAATCATCAGGGGACCAAACCCTGGTTATTCACTTAATGAACACTGGTGTTTCCTTATCATCTGCTTTTCTTTCTTGGGCTTTTTGCTCCCGATTTCCTTTCTACAAACATAGTGTTTTTATGACCATATGAAATGAAACTGCACTTTTAATCTAATAAGTTGCTTAATTTTAAAAATTGGCTGCTTATGTAAGCATTCTCTTCCCCAAATATATGGCCCTCCAGTTTCCATGCCCTCTCAGACCTGGCACCAGGCACTCTTTTCAGATTCCCTTGCTAAAAAGCTAATAAACTTTGATGTGTGCTCAACATCAGTTTGTCTAAGAAAGTTTGTTTGTAACAAAAGATGTGCTAAAGTGGGTCAAAATAATTAGACCACAGCTTGCTTCACTGTGACCCGTGATCCAAGGCCTTTATGTCACAAATTTTGCCCACTGCCTTAGTTCATTCAGACTGCTACAACAAAATACCATAAACTGGGTACCTTATAAAAAACACAAATTTATTTCTCATAGTCCTGGTCCCAAATCTCAGCTTGAGACTACAAATGACGATTTTTTTGTCTTTCAGGTTTAAATTTTTTTAAAAAAATTGTATTAAAGTTTGTAGGCACATAATTTAAATAAAACACTTCTCCAGACTTTTAATGGAAAAAAGGCAATCTTTGAGTACCACTGCCTACTCCCCCCTTCTCCCATTCTGCCCTCTCCAGACACAATCCCTTTAAAATATTTTAACTGCTTTTTTAAGTATTAATATTTACCTTCAGCTGGGTGCACTGGCTCACACCTGCAATTCCAGCACTTTGGGAGGCCAAGGTGGGTGGATCACAAGGTCAGGAGTTTGAGTCCATTCTGACCAATGTGGTGAAACCCTGCCTCTACTAAAAAAAAAAAAAAAAAAAAAAATTAGCCAGGTGTGGTGGCACATGCCTGTAATCCCAGCTACTCAGGAGGCTGAGGCAGGAGAATTGCTTGAACCCAGGAGGTGGAGGTTGCAGTGAGCTGAGATCATGCCACTGCACTCCAGCCTGGAGTGAGACAGAGTGAGACTCTGTCTCAACAAAAAAAAAAATAAGAAAAGAATTACCTTCATATCACTAAATAACATGCTTCTATTACTATTTCTTGATTTTTTTGGTTCCTTGTATTTTCTATTGACTCCCCACTGTGGAAGATAACATTTGTCTCTCTTTCAATAACTTCTTTTCTCCTGGTGTGTTATCTCTCACACACACAACCCATTCCCTTCTTTCCATCTTCCAAACATAATAATTTTGGTTAGATGTATATTAGGTGTTTTTATTATTATACTCTGTTATTATTACCATGTATGATTACAGCAGGGTCATGTAGTATACTATGATTTCCTTCCCTGCAAATAATTTATTTGTGGCTGGGGGGAGGGTGGGAGTAAATAAGTTTGGTTTTTGTTTGTTTACTTGATTAGTTATATATGTACCCCAAACTCTCAATTGTTTTACCCTATCTCAAGAGGTACTGTTTCTTAAATGATGCTATCAATTTCATCTTCTTTTTATAAAAAAAAAAACAGAGGCTGGCTCCGTTGCCAGGCTGGAGTGCAGTGACACGATCTTGGCTCACTGCAACCTCCATCCCCTGGGCTCAAACGATTCTTGTGCCTCAGCCTCCCAAGTAGCTGGGATTGCAGGCGTGTGTCACCATGCCCGGCTAATTTTTGTATTTTTAGTAGAGACGAGTTTTCGCCATGTTGGCCAGGCTGGTCTTGAACTCCTGGCATTGTGATCTGCCTGCCTCAGCCTCCCAAAGTGGTAGGATTACAGGTGTGGGCCACCACGCCCAGCCCCAATTTCACCATCTTTAACATGTGCCTCCTAAAGCCCTTTGACCTGCTCCAGTATGGTTGAGTGTGGTCCTCTGCACTCAGCTGGGATAACTGATACCAAAATACCTTCCTGTCCTTGTACTACACATTACTGGAATCAGGAAAAAAGAACTTAGTACTTACTCCAGGAAACACTTGCTCTGGGAGTGAACCAACTAAAATAGTTTATTTCTCAAGACTTACAACTTGCTTGCCAAAGCTGTTCAAGAAACTTGCCTCACTGTTCCCAATGACCCATAGCCATCATGTTGAAAGGTGACAGCGTGCTGGCAGTCCTCACAGCCCTCGCTCGTTCTTGGCGCCTCCTCTGCCTGGGCTCCCACTTTGGCAGCACTTGAGGAGCCCTTCGGCCCACCGCTGCACTGTGGGAGCCCCTTTCTGGGCTGGCCAAGGCCGGAGCCGGCTCCCTCAGCTTGCAGGGAGGTGTGGAGGGAGAGGTGCCAGCAGGAACCAGGGCTGTGCGCCGCGCTTGCGGGCCAGCTGGAGTTCCGGGTAGGCGTGGGCTTGGCGGGCCCCACACTCGGAGCAACCGGCTGGCCCTGCCGGCCTGGGCAGTGAGTGGCTTAGCACCCGGGCCAGTGGCTGCAGAGGGTGTACTGGGTCCCCCAGCAGTGCCAGCCCACTGGCGCTGTGCTCGATTTCTCGCCCGGCCTTAGCTGCCTTCCCGTGGGGCACGGCTCGGGACCTGCAGCCTGTCATGCCTGAGCCTCCCACCCACTCCATGGGCTCCTGTGCGGCCCGAGCCTCCCCCATGAGCGCCGCCCCCTGCTCCACGGCGCCCAGTCCCATCGACCAGCCAAGGGCTGAGGAGTGCGTGCACACGGCGTGGGACTGGCAGGCAGCTCCACCTGCAGCCCCCATGCAGGATCCAGTGGGTGAAGCCAGCTGGGCTCCTGAGTCTGGCGGGGACGTGGAGAACCTTTATGTCTAGCTCAGGGATTGTAAATACACCAATCAGCACCCTGTGTCTAGCTCAGGGTTTGTGAATGCACCAGTCGACACTCTGTATCTAGCTACTCTGGTGGGGCCTTGGAGAACCTTTATGTCTAGCTCAGGGATTGTAAATACACCAATCGGCACTCTGTATCTAGCTCAAGGTTTGTAAGCACACCAATCAGCACCCTGTGTCTAGCCCAGGATTTCTGAATGCACCAATCGACACTCTGTATCTAGCTACTCTGGTGGGGACTTGGAGAACCTTTGTGTTGACGTGCTGTATCTAGCTAATCTAGTGGGGAGGTGGAGAACCTTTGTGTCTAGCTCGGGGATTGTAAACGCACCAATCAGCGCCTGTCAAAACAGACCACTCGGCTCTACCAATCAGCAGGATGTGGGTGGGGCCAGATAAGAGAATAAAAGCAGGCTGCCGGAACCAGCAGTGGCAACCCGCTGGGGTCCCCTTCCACACTGCCTCTTTGCAATAAATCTTGCTACTGCTCACTGTTTGGGTCCACACTACTTTTATGAGCTGTAACACTCACTGCGAAGGTCTGGAGCTTCACTCCTGAAGCCAGCCAGGCCACGAGCCCAGGGGGAGGAACGAACAACTCCAGACGCGCGGCCTTAAGAGCTGTAACACTCACCGCAAAGGTCTGCAGCTTCACTCCTGAGCCAGCAAGACCAAGAACCCACCAGAAGGAAGAAACTCCAAACACATCCGAACATTGGAAGGAATAAACTCCAGACGCGCCACCTTAAGAGCTGTAACACTCACCGTGAGGGTCCGCGGCTTCATTCTTGAAGTCAGTGAGACCAAGAACCCACCAATTCTGGACACAATGTCATAAATTTTACCCACTGCATTGGCCCATTTAGGCTGCCCAAACAAAATACCATAAACTGGGTACCTTATAAAAAAACAAATTTCTCAGTTCTGGAGGCTGGGCCGATTTGGTGTTTGGTGAAGGTTAGCTTCCTTCTAGCTGGTGCTTTCTCCTTGGATAGTAGCTTCTCCCTGCATCCTCATATGGTGGAAGGGGCAAGGCAGCTCTCTGAGGCTTCTTTTATAGGAAAACTGATCTCATTCATGAAGACTCCATCAATCTTCCTGGGCTCAAGCTATCCTTTTAGCCCAGCCTCCTGAGTAGCTGGAACAACAGGTATGCACCATCAGGCAGAGCTAATTTTTTTTTAAATTTAAATTTCTTGTAGAGACTGGATCTTGCTGTGTTTCCCAGGCTGTTCATAAATTCTTGTGCTCAAGTGATCCTCTCACCTCAGCCTCCCAAATTGCTGGGATTATAGGCTGGGTGTGGTGGGCCACCTCAGCCTGGGGTCTCTTTAATTAAGGTTATAATGCTAACTGACAGGCCTCTGAGCCCAAGCCAAGCCATCGCATCCCCTGTGACTTGCACGTATACGCCCAGATGGCCTGAAGTAACCGAAGAATCACAAAAGAAGTGAATATGCCCTGCCCCAACTTAACTGATGACATGCCACCACAAAAGAAGTGTAATTGGCCAGTCCTTGCCTTAAGTGATGACATTACCTTGTGAAAGTCCTTTTCCTGGCTCATCCTGGCTCAAAAAACACCCCCACTGAGCACCTTGTGACCCCCACTCCTGCCCACCAGAGAACAAACCCCCTTTGAGTGTAGTTTTCCTTTACCTACCCAAATCCTATAAAACGGCTCCACCCTTATCTCCCTTCGCTGACTCTCTTTTCGGACTCAGCCCGCCTGCACCCAGGTGAAATAAACAGCCATGTTGCTCACACAAAGCCTGTTTGGTGGTCTCTTCACACGGACGCGCATGAAATTTGGTGCCGTGACTCGGAACAGGGGACCTCCCTTGGGAGATCAATCCCCCATCCTCCTGCTCTTTGCTCCATGAGAAAGATCCACATACGACCTCAGGTCCTCAGACCGACCAGCCCAAGAACATCTCACCAATTTCAAATTCGGTAAGTGGCCTCATCTTACTCTCTTCTCCAACCTCTCTCACTGTCCCTCAACCACTTTGTCCTTTCCACTCTTCAATCTCTCCCTTCTTTTAATTTCAATTCCTTTCATTTTCTGGGAGAGACAAAGGAAACACGTTTTATTCGTGGACCCAAAACTCCGGCGCCGGTCACGGATTGGGAAGGCAGCCTTCCCCTGGTGTTTAATCATTGCAGGGACGCCTCTCTGATCATTCAGCCACGTTTCAAGGGTGTCAGACCACGCAGGGACGCCTGCCTTGGTCCTTCATCCTTAGCGGCAAGTCCCGCTTTTCTGGGGAAGGGGCAAGTACCTCAACCCCTTCTCTCCATGTCTCTACCCCTTCTCTGCTTTTCTGGGAGAGGGGCAAGTACCCCTCAACCTCTTCTCTCCTTGTCTCTACCCCTTCTCTGCTTTCCTGGGGCAGGGGCAAGTACCCCTCAACCTCTTCTCCTTCGCCCTTAGCGGCAAGTCCCGCTTTCCTGGGGCAGGGGCAAGTACCCCTCAACCCCTTCTCCTTCACCCTTAGCGGCAAGTCCCGCTTTCCTGGGGCAGGGGCAAGTACCCCTCAACCTCTTCTCCTTCGCCCTTAGCGGCAAGTCCCGCTTTCCTAGGGGGCAAGAACCCCCCAATCGCTTATTTCCACGCCCCAACCTCTTATCTCTGCGCCCCAACCTCTTATCTCTGCACCCCAATCGCTTATTTCCATGCCCCAACCTCTTATCTCTGCGCCCCAATCCCTTATTTCTGCGCCCCAACCTCTTATCTCTGCGCCCCAATCCCTTATTTCCGTACCCCAACACTTTCTCTGCTTTTCTGGAGGGCAAGAAACCCCCACCCCTTCTCCGTGACTCTACTCTTTTCTCTGGGCTTGCCTCCTTCACTGTGGGCAAGCTTCCACCTTCCATTCCTCCTTCTTCTCCCTTAGCCTGTATTCTTAAGAACTTAAAACCTCTTCAATTCTCACCTGACCTAAAACCTTATTTTCTTCTGCAATGCCGCTTGACCCCAATACAAACTCGACAGTAGTTCCAAATAGCCAGAAAATGGCACTTTGAATTTTTCCATCCTGCAAGATCTAAATAATTCTTGTCGTAAAATAGGCAAACGGTCTGAGGTGCCTGACGTCCAGGCATTCTTTTACACATCAGTCCCTTCCTAGTCTCTGTGCCCAGTGCAACTCATCCCAAATCTTCCCTCTTTCCCTCCCGCCTGTCCCCTCAGTACCAACCCCAAGCGTCGCTGAGTCTTTCTAATCTTCCTTTTCTACAGACCCATCTGACCTCTCCCCTCCTCGCCAGGCCGAGCTAGGTCCCAATTCTTCCTCAGCCTCTGCTCCTCCACCCTATAATCCTTTTATCACCTCCCCTTCTCACACCTGGTCGGGCTTACAGTTTCGTTCCGTGACTAGCCCTCCCCCACCTGCCCAGCAATTTACTCTTAAAAAGGTGGCTGGAGCCAAAGGCATAATCAAGGTTAATGCTCCTTTTTCTTTATCCCAAATCAGATAGCGTTTAGGGTCTTTTTCATCAAATATAAAAATCCAGCCCAGTTCATGGCTCGTTTGACAGCAACCCTGAGACGCTTTACAGCCCTAGACCCTAAAAGGTCAAAAGGCCATCTTATTCTCAATATACATTTTATTACCCAATATGCTCCTGACATTAAATAAAACTCCAAAAATTAAATTCCGGCCCTCAAACTCCACAACAGGATTTAATTAACCTTGCCTTCAAGGCGTACAATAATAGAAAAAAGTTGCAATTCCTTGCCTCCACTGTGAGACAAATCCCAGCCACATCTCCAGCACACAAGAACTTCCAAATGCCTGAACCGCAGTGGCCAGGCGTTCCTCCAGAACCTTCTCCCCCAGGAGTTTGCTGCAAGTGCCAGAAATGTGGCCACCAGGCCAAGGAATGCCTGCAGCCCAGGATTGTTCCTAAGCCGTGTCCCATCTGTGCGGGACCCCACTGGAAATCGGACTGTCCAACTCACCTGGCAGCCACTCCCAGAGTCCCTGGAACTCTGGCCCAAGGCTCTCTGACTCCTTCCCAGATCTTCTTGGCTTAGCGGCTGAAGACTGACGCTGCCCGATCGCCTCGGAAGCCCCCTAGACCATCACGGACGACAAGCTTCGGGTAACTCTCACAGTGGAAGGTAAGTCTGTCCCCTTCTTAATCAATACGGAGGCTACCCACTCCACATTACCTTCTTTTCAAGGGCCTGTTTCCTTTGCCTCCATAACTGTTGTGGGTATTGACGGCCAGGCTTCTAAACATCTTAAAACTCCCCAACTCTGGTGCCAACTTAGACAATACTCTTTTAAGCACTCCTTTTTAGTTATCCCCACCTGCCCAGTTCCCTTATTAGGCTGAGACATTTTAACCTAATTATCTGCTTCCCTGACTATTCCTGGACCATAGCCGCATCTCACTGATGCCCTTCTTCCCAATCCAAAGCCTCCTTTGCGTCCTCCTCTTGTATTCCCCCATCTTAACCCACAAGTATAAGATACCTCTACTCCCTCCTTGGCGACCGATCATGCTCCCCTTACCATCTCATTAAAACCTAATCACCCTTACCCCGCTCAATGCCAATATCCCATCCCACAGCATGCTTTGAAAGGATTAAAGCCTGTTATCACTTGCCTGCTACAGCTTGGCCTTTTAAAGCCTATAAACTCTCCTTACCATTCCCTCATTTCACCTGTCCTAAAACCAGACAAGGCTTACAAGTTAGTTCAGAATCTGCGCCTTATCAACCAAATTGTTCTGCCTATCCACCCCGTGGTGCCAAACCCATATACTCTCCTATCCTCAATACCTCCCTCTACTACCTGTTATTCTGTTCTGGATCTCAAACATGCTTTCTTTACTATTCCTTTGCACCCTTCGTCCCAGCCTCTCTTTGCCTTCACTTAGACTGACCCTGACACCCATTAGGCTCAGCACATTACCCGGGCTGTACTGCCGCAAGGCTTCACAGACAGCCCCCATTACTTCAGTCAAGCCCAAATTTCATCCTCATCCGTTAGTCATACTCCTATTCACCATTCTAAACTACTCATACATGCCCTGCTCTTGTTTACACTGCTGGTTTACACTGTTTCTCCAAGCCATCACAGCTGATATCTCCTGGTGCTATCCCCAAACTGCCACTCTAAACTCTTGAAGTAAATAAATAATCTTTGCTGGCAGGACTATGCTGAATCTCCTTAGGCACTCTCTAATTAGATGTCCTAGGTCCTCCCAATTCTTAGTCCTTTTATACCTGTTTTTCTCCTTCTGTTATTCTATTTAGTTTCTCAATTCATCCAAAACCGTATCCAGGCCAACCAATATTCTATATGACAGAAGTTTCTTCTAACATCCCCACAATATCACCCCTTACCACAAGACCTCCCTTCAGCTTAATCTCTCCCACTCTAGGTTCCCACGCCGCCCCTAATCCCGCTTGAAGCAGCCCTGAGAAACATTGCCCATTGTCTGTCCTTATCACCCCCCAAAAATTTTTGCTGCCCCGACACTTCAACACTATTTTGTTTTATTTTTCTTATTAATATAAGAAGGCAGGAATGTCAGGCCTCTGAGCCCAAGCCAAGCCATTGCATCCCCTGTGACTCGCACGTATACACCCAGATGGCCTGAAGTAACTGAAGAATCACAAATGAAGTGAATATGCCCTGCCCCACCTTAACTGATGACATTCCACCACAAAAGAAGTGTAAATGGCCGGTCCTTGCCTTAAGTGATGACATTACATTGTGAAAGTCCTTTTCCTGGCTCATCCTGGCTCAAAAAGCACCCCCACTGAGCACCTTGCGACCCCCACTCCTGCCCGCCAGAGAACAAACCCCCTTTGAGTGTAATTTTCCCTTACCTACCCAAATCCTATAAAACGGCCCCACCCTTATCTCCCTTCGCTGACTCTTTTCGGACTCAGCCCGCCTGCACCCAGGTGAAATAAAGAGACGTGTTGCTCACACAAAGCCTGTTTGGTGGTCTCTTCACACGGACGCGCATGAAACTAACCATGGCTTAAAATACTAAGCAACATTTTCCAAATTGTTTATTGCTATTGCCTTGACTTTGGAGAAGCTGGGAAGTAAGGAGGTGAGGTGAACACTCTGACAATTAACACGTGTTAGAGAGGAAAGTTGTGTGAAGAGGCTGCCAAAGTAAACAGTACGAATGAATCTTCTTGTACTAGGGCTGCTGCAAACCCCAGGTAGACAAATGACAGCCCAGGCTCTTGAACCATCGGGAACCCAGGAGTCTACCCTACTGTGAGGAGGGGGCAGGCCTTCGTCAATAAGGGTCCCACCATCACGGGCTAATAATCTTTCTCAGTTTAGGTGATATTGAGGTATTGAAACTGTTAGAAATCTGACAGATTTGACCAAGATTTGGAGATGTCCACATGTTGGGAAGGACTGAGTGTCCCTAGCCACTCTCCTCTGGGATAACGCGGACGTCATTAGTTTGCGAAGTGGGTGGGGAGAACAGGAGGATTGACTCTAATTTGGTGTGCAGTGGGGGCCTTGATGTCCTTCTGCCTCTGTCCACATTTCCCCATGTGACTCATTGCACCCTGCATTGCTCACAGGGATCATTAGTTCTCCCGGTAGACAGAGCACCTCTGCAGCCTCTGCTCTGCTGCCTTGTGAATTTCCTCCATAGACTTGGTTGGTTATAATTTGGATACGGTTTTTTGTTTTTCTCCTTTGTTTTAATCGTCTCCCATATTGAAGCTGCTATTGGTGACAGGGACAGGGGAGCAGGAAGCCAACCCAGGGAAACATGCGAGTTTCCTGCACACCATTTGGCCACCTGCCCTCACTGGCCAAACCCCTACTGCTATTCCCAGTCAGTCTGGTTTTCAGAGGAATCATGGGAATAGAACAGCTGGATACACTAATCTCTACAGGGTGTCAGGCAGGAGATTCACCTTCCCCAGTCCCAGGGGACAGGAGAGAAATCTGTAAAGGGACAGATGCACCATCTTTATTTTAAAAGAAAAGGCTCCCGCAGATTTTGTTACTAGGAGTCTCCTTTGTGACATTTGCTAAGTTTTCTCCCCAATCCTACCTTCCTATTGACTATCTTTTATATAAAAATAATAAATATTTTAGGCTAATATGACAAAAATGAGATAAAATCTTAACATTTTACTGGTGTACAGATACTAAAATGTGCTTACTATAAAACAGTAAAATATTTCACTTTGGAAATCATCACTAAGTAATTATTCTATCCTGTTGATTGTGAGCCTTCAAAAATGTTTAATGCTTGATGGATGGTTTGGGAGGCGGGAGTCCTTTTGTTATTGGGGGAGGGTGTCCAGGTTCTTGGCATCTGGAACAAAGAATTGGACAAAATGCACAAACAAAGCAAGGAAGGAAGGGATTTACTGAAAAAGAAAGTACACTCCACAGTGTGGGAGTGGGCCCAAGCATAGTTACAGAATTTTGGGGAGTTTAAATACCCTCTAGAGGATCCCATTGGTTACTTGGGGTAAGCCCTATGTAAATGGGAGGATGAAGTAAAGTTACAAAGTCATTTACTTGGTCTATGCCCTATGGAGAGGATCTTTCCTGTCGCAGCTGAAGTGTGAATTGGCCTTATGTTCCCTGCCTCCAGACCCTATTTTCCTGCCTCACTTAAAACAAAACAAAACAAACCAAAAAACAAAAACAAAAACAAAAAACTTTAATGAGGCATGTGTTACATATCATAAAACTCACCCATTTCAAGTATAAAATTCAGTGATTTTAGTAACTTCCCTCAGTGATGTAGCCATAACTATTACTCAGTTTTGGAACAATTTTATCCCTCCTGATAAGATCCTTCATGCTCTTTCACAGTTAATCCTGTTCTTACCCCAGCTCCAGGCAACCAACAATCTACTTTCTCTCTATATAAATTTGCATTTTCTGGACACTTTGAATCAATGAAATCATACAATATGTGGTCTTGTGTCTGGTTTTTTTTTTTTTTTTTTAGACAGAATCTCGCTCAGCTGCCCAGTGCAGTGGTGTGACCTCGGCTCACTGCATCCACCATCTCCGTGGTTCAAGCGATTCTCCTGGCTCAGCCTCCCGAGTAGCTGGGATTACAGGCACCCGCCATCATGCCCAGCTAATTTTTGTATTTTAGTAGAGATGGGCTTTCACCATGTTCGCCAGGGTGGTCTTGAACACCTGACCTCAGGTGATCTGCCCGCTTCGGCTTCCAAAAGTGCTAGGATTACAGACGTAAACCACTGCGCCCAGCCGTGTCTGGCTTTTTTACTTAGCTAATGTTTTTGAGGTTTGTCCATGACAGATAACGTCTTGGTAGTTTGTTCCTTTTATTGCTGAGTAGAATTCTGTTGATGGATGTACCACATTTTGTCAGCAGAGAGCCTTTTAAACTTGGATTCCAACTTCCTGTTGTCTAAACGGAACCCTCCGAACGTAGGACTTATAGGGGAAGCTGCTGTGCATGTCAAAAAAACTACTAATCAGAATGAGCTTTGTCATCCAGAGCCAGAACTGCTGCAGAAATTTTTATAATTTTGCAACTTCTTTTTTTACAAGGAACTTTTGTGCTACTACACATCAGGACTTTTGAAGCATCCAATAAATCCATTTAATAAGTATGAGCATGTGTCTGAGTGGACAAGAAAGTGAAACCATCCATGCTACATTGGATAATTTTTCCTCCCCCAGACTGGACAGGGAATCTCAGCTTTCAAAACAGAGTAACCTGGCTCCACTTACAAAGCTGCACAGGCATTAAAGATCGTGCTGCCTTTGTTAGGCAGATTTGGAGGGGAGGCCCAACAGCAAAGATGGAGAGGAAAAAGGGAGTGGAGCTTGTGGAACAGGAAGCCCCCCAGGGTCTGTGCAGGGCTGCTCAGCTCTTGAGGATGTTGTGGATGGTGAAGTGGTGATGGTGTCCCGGAGCAGCCCAGCACCTCCACTGGGCCCAGAAGGTCTTGACTTCGGACACTTACCCCTGTTTCACAAGTGTTTATAAAGCTGTTTTTGCTTTTTTTCCCCTAATCATTACTTGGTAGTTATTAATCCTTCTTTGGGGGAGGGACAGGGCTTTAAAACTGAAGAAAATAATTTTCATAAAAATATCGAAAATGGAAAAAAATTACTTTGTAAAAAATTTGCTATACAAACCAAATGGCAGCTGTTGAGAATCTCAATAAAATGTTAAGTGCATTTGTTGGCAGTGGTACCCTTTTGCCTAAGGTTGGGTCACTGTGCCATCATACTGTGGGGGGCAGGGGTGTGCGGTATGTGTGGTGTATATGTGTGAAACTTTTTGTGTCAGGATGGGTCATAATCTTAGTTGCGGTTTTCTTTCCAAATAGGGTTACAAAGTAGTAAAACATGGGCTGGAAGTGACAGACCTGAGTGAATTCCACCTTCACTACTTTGTGCCATTGGCCTGCATTTTATTTACAAATAACCTCTTTATTTGTAAAGGTGCAGCACCTCTCCCCTGGAACTATAATGACAGAATTTTAAAATGCTGCCTGGCACATAATAGGCACTTAATACATGGTAGCCAATAGTGGCAATGATATGTACAGCTCTGAACAAAGAGGCAGTGGCATCTTTGAGCTAGAAGGGAAACTAGGCATTTGTTTTCCTGTTTCTGGGCAAAACTGGGGCTCTTACTACCTAGAAAACAAGTATTCCATATCTGCCTTTCAACTATTGAACAAGTTTCACATCCTGCTATATGTCAAGCATTGTCTTAGGCACAAGGGTTACGGGGGTTACCAAGCAGCCACAGTCCCTGCTGTTGTGATTATGGTTTGGCAATGCCTATTTAAACTGAAACCTCACTCAGATCTCCCAGTGATTTGTTGAGGGGCTTTATCATATGATAAAAGACGATATGGGACCAGCCCAGGACCCATGGGTTTTGCTCTGAGCCCTATCATTTCTTTGCCTCCTTCCTAAAAATGGAAGGGGGCGGGGCGGGGGGCTTGGTGGATCCTGAGCTGACTTGCCTATTTACAGCATTTTAAAATCCTATAGTTACATGTAGTTTTGTGTAAATAGGGTTTATTAGAATGTAACTTCCCTGAAGAGGTGGATGATATATTCTTTTTTTTTTTTTTGAGATGGAGTCTCACTCTGTCACCCAGGCTGGAGTGCAATGGTGTAATCTTGGCTCACTGCAACCTCTGCCTCCTGGATTCAAGCCATTCTCATGCCTCACCTGCTAGCATGCCCACCTAATTTTTCTACTTTTAGTAGAGACAGGGTTTCACCATGTTGGTCAGGCTGGTCTTGAACTCCTGAACTCAAGCAATCCACCCACCTCACCCTCCCAAAAGTGCTGGGATTACAGGCTTGAGCCACTGTGCCCGGCCTGGTGTACTTATTTATTTTTTTGAGACGGAGTCTTGCTTTGTCACCCGGTTGGAGTGCAGTGGCGTGATCTCGGCTCACTGCAACCTCCGCCTCTTGGGTTCAAGTGATTCTCCTGCCTCAGCCTGCCGAGTAGCTGGGACTACAGGTGCGCCCCACCACGCCCAGCTAATTTTTGTATTTTTAGTAGAGATGGAGTTTCACCATGTGGGCCAGGATGGTCTCGATCTCTTGACCTCGTGATCTGCCTGCCTCAGCCTTCCAAAGTGTTGGGATTACAGGCATGAGCCACCACGCCTGGCCTTGGTGTACTTACTTTTAATGCTTAGAGTACTCATCACACCTGCAAGACATTCAATAAATGTTTGCTGAATGAAAGGGACAGATGAAGCTGTACTATCCCTGTGATCACACAGGGAGATAAGGCAGTGCTAGCCTCATTCCAATGCTTGTTCCAAGCTCTCTTGTCTCATCACAGGGCTGTTACAGGCTCAGATGAGAGGACTGTATACATCTCTTAATGCCTTGGTGATACAAAATCCCATGAATTTCTTCTGATAGTTTGTTGGGGGACACTATAAGTTTAAAATTAAAGGGGGAGAAGGCCGGGCACAGTGGTTCACGCTTGTAATCCCAGCACTTTGGGAGGCCAAGACGGGCAGATCACCTGAGGTCAGGAGTTTGAGACCAGCCTGGCCAACATGGCAAAACCCCAACTCTACTAAAAAATACAAAAAAATTAGCAGGGCGTGGTGTTGCATGCCTGTAATCCCAGCTACTTGGGAGACTGAGGCAGGAGAATCACTTGAACCTGGGAGGCAGAGGTCGCAGTGAGCCGTTATCACACCACTGCACTCCAGCCTGGGCAACAGAGTGAGACTCTGTCTCAAAAATAAAATAAAATAAAATAAAATAAAATAAAATAAAATAAAATAAAATAAAATAAAATAAAATAAAATAAAATAAAATAAATAAAATAAAATAAAATAAAATAATAAAAGGGGAGAAACTCAGCAAAAATCACTTTTGGGCTGGGCATGGTGGCTCACACCTATAATTCCAGCACTTTGGGAGCCCAAGACAGCAGGATTGCTTGAAGCCAGGAGTTTGAGACCAACCTGGGCAACATAGCAAGACCCATCTCTACAAAAAAATGACAGAATTAGCCAGGTGTGGTGGTACATGTCTGTACTCCCAGCTACTTGGAAGGCTGAGGTGGATCACTTGAGCTCAGGAATTCAATGCTGCAGTGAGCTATGATAGTGCCACAGCACTCTAGCCTAGGCAAGAATAAGACCTCACCTCTAAAATAAATTTTAAAAAATCACTTGCGATTTTCTGCACTGCAGCCTAATAGAGCTTTAATAACTGGGAAGTGACCTCATCACATCTCCTAAATGTGACAGGAACTAGGAACACATCTGACCTTATGCACTTTAATACTACCTTTTTTCAGCATTTTTTTCAACATTTCTATGCTGGGACTAAAAAAATCAAGATGTGCTCCTCCACTAAAACCTCCACTGTCCAATTGGAATTGCAGTCTAGACAATTCTAAGGAAAAGTGATGGCCATATTCTGAAGAACATAAGTAGGTCTCAGTAGTTATAAACTCTTTTCACCAAAATGCTGTTTGATCCTCATCCTGAGAGCATTATTTAAAAAAATCTCCAAAGCTCACCACTCATTAATAACCTAACAGTTTTTCAAGACTGTGGGATATAGCAAAGATGCCTCTGCTGTGTCCTTGTTCTCTCTGCAAGCTTTTTACCAGGTGCTGGACTGGAGACTTGCTGAGTGCTAGACCACAGTGATTTGGTCATAGCTGGATGTGAAGATGGCTGGCTGTTCTTTCAGAAGGGACCTGGCTGGAGTTCTTATTGCTCAAAGCTCCAGCTTGCAGCACTGGGCTAGAGCTGATGGAAGGAGAGCTGTTACTATTCTGTTCTACGTGAATGCTACACTGTGAAAGAACAGCATCATCCGACTTGGGCAACAAGATAGTATTCAAGATGTCTTAGAAGGCCTAATCAGAACTTACCAGCTGTAGCATAGCACTCCCTCAAGTGCAGATGCTGGACCTCTGCAGCAGAAATTACTCAAGCTGTTCAGTATAATAGAAATGAAAATTCCCCATCCCATCCTTAACCTATTATCATCAGATACCTTAGGGCAGGGGAGGGGAGTAGACAAAAACCTGATTTTATTTTTATTTATTATTTTTTGAGGCAGAGTCTCGCTCTGTCGCCCAGGCTGGAGTGCAGTGGTGCGACCTCGGCTCACTGCAAGCTCCACCTCCTGGGTTCATGCCATTCTCCTGCCTCAGCCTCCCCAGTAGCTGGGACTACAGGCGCGCGACACCACGCCCGGTTAATTTTTTGTATTTTTTAGTAGAGATGGAGTTTCACCGTGTTAGCCAGGATGGTCTCAATCTCCTGACCTCGTGATCCACCTGCCTCGGCCTCCCAAAGTGCTGGGATTACAGGCGTGAGCCACCGTGCCCGGCCAAAACCGTGTTTTAAAACAAACTCTAGAATAACTGATGTCTGTAAGTTGGAGAACTGATGTGCAGGACATGATCCACATGCCTCTAATAAAACACCTGGAGAGGCAGCTATTGTGGATCGAGACTCCTGTCCTTAGTCTTCACCAAGCAGCACAGGCTGTGGAACCGAAGCTTCAGGTTTGCCTTCACTGGCTGAACTATGGTACCCAGAGGGCAGGAATCATGTCTGCTCTTCACTGATGCTCCTCATTCCCAGGAACACACAACACATAGTGTCACGCTGTAAGCAGAGCCAGGCTAGTAGTAGCCAGGAATAGGTCAGCTACCGAGGTGAGCGGTACCTAGTTGGTCTTCTTGGATCTCAGCCATCCTCATAACCTTTCAAAAACTCATTCATAGGAAAAACTTCAAAATGTCCTGCTTACCTGCAGTTACTAAATCCAGTGAGGTAAAGATGCTCCCAGTCTAGAATTGTACTCTAGCCCCTAAATCTTGCTGGGAGTCTCAGGAGAGGGTGTGATATACCTAAGGTTACTCCCTGTGATGTTCTGAATGGTGAGCACTTGTTTCTGCTGACTGTGGTCGCCAGGGATCGTTACCCACTTGACACGACAGGAGAAAACAGGTCACAGATTAACTGGCAGCCACACAGTGCATATGTATGGTAATATGGGGGGAAGGGTAGCACACAGACAAATCATCTGCCCAAGTGCATGCTGAGTGGATACAGATCACAGGCTGAGCACCTGGGGGCAGGGCTTTAAATCTTGGACTAAATTCACTCATGAGCCCTCCAGGATATCTGCTGGCAGGTGCACTGAGGATGTACATAGCACATGTGTTTGATAATGCAGTCCAATTGGGGAGTGGATAAAGTGCATTTATTTTCTTCTATGTTTGTTTTTGTAAAAAGGAGAAAGGAAGCAAAAGACTCCTTCCTTTCAGACCCAGTGTCCACTGAGCTTGGAGGGGGTGGAGCCGGGACCAGCCCCCTAGGAAAAGGTGTAGGAATAGAAGGCAATGGCATTGGCGCTATAGTCCATGGGGAGGAGGTGCCCGATGTGCCTGGCCCCTAGGCTGGCCCCACCCAGAGCGGAGGAGTGCCTCAGCTTCATCAGGGTGAAGCTGGAGAAGAAGTTCTGAGCCTGGATCTCTCTGCCCTGGGTCAGCGCCAGAAGAAAACCTGGAGGGAAGAACACAAGGACAGAGATAAGAGGAGAACAGCAACCTGTACTGGGGCCAGGAAGGAAGACAGACAAGGACGCCCAGACCCTGAGGTACTCCTGTAGAGATGCTGGAGGGGCCTACATGCCAAGTGCCCAGCACACAGGGTGCACTGGGTACTCGAGTATTGGAGCCAGCAACATAGGGGGCCTGCTCTCCTCTCAGCTCCAAAGGACCCAATGCCAGGAATTCCATGGTAGCAATGGGAGTCCTTGAGCTACTTCAGAATGTCCGGTAGAAACCATCCAACTGCCTGGCATAAGGCTGCCAGGGCTAAGAAGCCAGGCCTCTTTTCTTCTAGCTAGAATTATGTTGACTAGGGATGTCCCCCAGGTTATCACATGCCAGTCAGTGCTCCAATTTTAAGTCTGATTTGTCTTTAACTTTTTAAAAGTAGCTATTATTCAATAAATCATTTGGAACACAACATCTTTTCAAGAGTTCAAGGAAGGTGGATGGGACATCATTAAAGGGCTCAATGGCAGAATGAGGTTGAGGGCCTTAGACGGGAGCATCAGTGGCCTGTCTAGGCCTCAGGGTCCAGGAAGCAGGTTCTCTCTGGGGCAAAAAGCTTTCCTGGGCCACCTCCTTTCCAGCCCCGTCCCCTGCCCTTGCCCTTCCAGCCTCCCCCCAGGCTCACCTTCCTTCAGCAGCTCCCAGCTCTTCCACACAGAGCCCACGCACAGGATGGGGAGTCCAATCTTGCCCTGGAACAAGACCTGGGTGGAGAGCAGAAAATGGATATGGGGGCCAACCTAGCCTCTCCAGTGCTGAAGGCGGGAGTTTCCTATGACCAACCCACTCTATCCCAGTTACTCGCCCTCAAGCCAAGAAACAGTAGACAGACTCAGGAAAGGGGAAAAAAAAAGGGAGGAAAATAGGAGACATTTGTAAAGGGCAAGGAGAGAAGAGGAAGGAAAAAGCGTTAAGCAACAATAGAGAGGAAGGAAAGACAGAAGTGAGGGAAATGAACAGAAACATGACTGAACTGAAATTAACTGAAAGAAAGGGGACAGGCTGGGCGCGGTGGCTCATGCCTGTAATCCCGGCACTTTGGGCCAAGGTGGGTGGATCACTTGAGGTCAGGAGTTCAAGACCTACCTGGCCAACATGGCAAAACCAAAAATACAAAAATTAGCCGGCCATGGTGATGCGCGCCTGTAATCCCAGCTACTGGGGAGGCTGAGATACGAGAATCACTTGAACCTGGGAGGTAGAGTGGGAGGTGGAGGCTGCAGTGAGCTGAGATCACGCTACTGCACTCCAGCCTGGCTGACAGAGTGAGACTGTGTCTCAAAAAAATAAAAAATAAAATAGAAAGGGGACAGCACACACACACACGTACATTAAACTAATTTACTATACATAAATACAGATTACAGGCCAATTACAGAGGGCGGCATTTGACCAAAGAACTTTTTTGTTACAGACATTCTGCAGAATGCTTCTTAGACCCTAAGTTCATTTAAAATAGTATCCAATCTATGCAGGGTTTGATGGGATAGTCCCATCCACAGTGGGAAAGGACCACTCCTCACCCAGCAGCTCCCCACCTTCACTCCCACCTCAACTCACCGGGTCAATCTCGGGCAACACTGCTACGATGTGTCTGCCCAGCATCTCCCCAGCCTTCCTGAAGATATAGCGGGAAAGGGGGTCTCCCTGCTGAGCACCTGGGGTAGGGAGGACGGAAGAAGGAAACTGGTGAGAAAGGAGGGAGCTGCCATTCCTGGGCTATCCTCTCTCTGTTGCAAGGCAGCCATCACAGGAGCACCCTGAGCTAGGAGTCTACTGCCGGATGGATGCCCGCCTCGTGGCAGGTGGAGAAGCAAGTCTCCACTGACAAACATACCAGCTACCTCCCTCTGTAGAGGGGTGCCCTGTACAGAGGTGCTCACTCAGGCCCCCAACTCAGGAAGGGAGGGCAGCACCCACTAAAGGAATGCACTGGCACCTAGTATGCATCCAGCTCACACTGAGTTACTGTAAGTCTGTTCCTATGAGGCTGTCAGCTCTGGGGACCCAGGATCCTAGCTGAACAGCTGGCTGGTACTCCTGTCAGTGCCCTCCACCAACTTCTAACAGTCTGCTGTTGGTTAGCCTGTTCCTGCTTCTTTTCTAGAGGGGACTCAGTCCAGCAGGATCTAAGAGAGCCCTAGAATGCCCTGAGGCTGCAGGAACCCAAATTAAGGCAGGATGGACCTCACAGTGGAGAAAGAGCAATGTACAGATATACAAGCCCTCTGTTCAGCATCTCCTGACACCCAACAAAATATGCCTAACCTCTCTATAATCCCCTAGTTCTTTGAGTATAATTGGCTAGGAAAAGAAAGTTATAGATTTGTCCAAAGGACAACTGCTTCATAAATTCCTCAGAAACAGGCATACAGCCTAAGCAAGCCATGATAGCTATTAAAGAAAAAAACACAGGTAATACAAAACTGTCAACACGACCCACGTGCCCTTCTGCCTCCACCCCAAGGCCCACCACCACCAAGGCCAGTGGTGGCAGAGAACTGAGGTCACTTGGTGAGAGGAAAATTGTTGTCAGTCCTGTCTGAACCCCACTCAATCTCCCAACTGGGGATCTTTGGAGAACAAAGCCAGATAAAACCCACCCCCCACCTCCAGTACCTTCTGCAATTTTCCGGCAAAACCCAGCAAACCTGCATTTATCAAAGTCCCTATACAGGTGAGTGAGTATCCCTAGCCGATCTGGCACCTGAGAGGAGAAAGGGCACAAGAGAGTCATCAGAAGCAAAGGAAAATCCCCAATCTGCCCACCAAAGTTGGCCTTCCTAATGTCTCTACTGTTGGAAAAGCTAGAATAATTTTTTTTAACTCCAAAGTACAGGGATTTGAGATTTCTCATTTGAGAAAAGTTATCTGTGTTCCCTAACATGGACTTCATTATTTCTTATAGATTAGTTTGAAGGCAGCACAGAGAACAGATTTGTGTTAACCAAAGTGTTTCCTATAGTTTCTTGAGCTGCTCTTTTTTTGTAATTTTTTTTTTTTCCTTTTTAGGGACAAGGTCTTGCTGTTGCCTAGGCTGGCCTTAAGCAATCCTCCCACGTCAGCCTCCTGAGTAGCTGGGTTGGGGTGCTCTTGAAAAGATTTCTTTGGTCAAAGGAATCCAAGGAATATTGCATATTGTAACTCTCCCTTGGGGAGTCACAATGCACATTAGCAAATTAAAGGCTCTGAGAAGTCCTGCAATCAAGAAATCAATTTGTTTCTCCCAAAACTTATTTGACCACAGAAGGTAGGTCCTTCCAATCCCAACAAACTTATACATCTTTAACACCTCTAAGGTCCTGAGGAACCAATGGTTCCCCAGAATATTTTTTTTATTTTTTTTGAGGCAGAGTCTCGCTCTGTCACCCAAGCTGGAGTACAGTGGTGTGCTCTCACCTCACTGCAACCTCCGCCTCCCAGGTTCAAGCAATTCTCTCTGCCTCAGCCTCCTGAGTACCTGGGATTACAGGCACCCGCCACCACGCCTGGCTAATTTTTGTATTTTTAGTACAGACGGGGTTTCACCATGTTGGCCAGGCTGGTCTTGAACACCTGACCTCAAGTGATCCGCCCACCTTGGCCTCTCAAAGTGCTGGGATTACAGGTGTGAGCCACCGTGCCCAGCCCCCAGAATATATTTTAAGTAAATGTCTGAGGGGGTGGGTGGTAAAACTTGAGCACCTACAGCAATGTAGTAAGCACGTTATATACTATCTCATCTGATCTTTGAAACAACCCTGTAAGAATGACTAAAGGATAGAAGAGGGAGCAGTAGACCTATCAGTAGAGTTTGGAACCAATTGGCTGAGTCCGGATAGCTTAACAGTTACTAACTGCACTTCCTATGACAACTGCTCATCAAGTGATTTCTCTTCCTGGTCCCCTCCTATTCCTCACCTTGGCCTAGCCGGGCCCCTCTTTAATCATCAATCCCTCAGCCCTGATAATCCAGGCCCTACTTCCCAGCATCTCTATTTTCCTTCCTTGGTCCTGGTCCCAGCCCCAGCCCCAGCCCACCTAAATGTCTGGACAGGAAGACTAACTGGGCCTCACAGGTAACTATCAAACTCATCAACCTTGTCCTCTCCCTTTCACCTTCTCTCCCGCCTTTTACCTCTGGTTCCGCTAAAGGCAGATGTTTCCTAACTTACCACAAATGAACACAGCACAGACAAGGAGGAGTCAATCCCCAACGCCCAGAGGAGGAAGATGCATATCCCCCAGAACTCTCCCTGTCCACCTCTTTAAGGGCTCTCTTGACCCATCCAGGCCAGAAGCAGCTCACAGCCCAGTGCACACATTCATACTCTACCTGCTGTCTCTGCCCTGTGATCTCATCCTGCACTTTTCATTCTAGCCTAGAATGCCATCTCTTTCACCTCCCAGCAGGTTCTAGCTGCCCAAGAATGAAGTCTGGCTAATCACCTGTCCCCAAACCATCGCTTCCTCATGACTGACACCCTCCTAGAATGCACTGCCCTGTCCTAGAATGCACCTCCTAGAATGCACCCTGTCCTCACCTATGACTTCACCCTGCAACTCAGACCCACAACTCACCCTATTTCCTGCCGGTCCGCCCAGGCCCTCCCCTGCATCCACTCTTACTTGGAGTGTTTCACTGCCCTACCCCAGGTGCGCATGTTTACTGGGAGCAGGAGGAGTACCTGGAAATAGTGGAACATGGCCTGTTTGACGTAGCCGATATCATGAGGAGCCGCCTCTAGGTTGTCAATGGAGTCAAACACTATTTTCACTGCTTGGTGTGCGATCCAGTAGGCTGCAGGGAGCAGAGAGGGCTAAGAAGATGGGAGCAGTCATCCTGAGCTCACGAGGAGGGAAACTCAGATCCAGACAGGTTAGTGATCTGCTTGAATTTTATACAAATTAGGTTTCCTGATTCCCAGCCAGGGGTGGCAGGGGGTGGGAGAGGGGGGTGGGAGGGTCTCTATCAAACTGTATCTGACTGACCAAGATAAGGGAAAGTTGGAGGGGGAAAACAGAATAGGTGAGGCTGTGTCACACCAGCTCCTACCCAAGGATAAGGCAAGGTCAGTCTGTTGTCACAAATACCACCGGAGTCACTGCCATGAACTGGACCTCAAGGGCCCCTATGAAAATAAACACACACTACCTAGAGAGAGGTGATGTTGGAAGGGCTTCTACACCCTTTCCCCTAGCAGACTGGTATGGCATCTCCTGGCATCTATGGCCTTACCCTCAGTTTCAACTCCTCCCTAAGGACAGCAAGTCAACACAGGCAGGCCCCTGTGCTGAGGGATGAATCTGAGTCCTGGGTGCAAGTCACTGCTGGAGAGCAGGGTCAGCAGCTCGTCCAGCATTTGCACCTCTATGATCTCAGTCATGATCCTGCACATGGAATGGCCAGGTTCAGGAGTTGTCCCCAGGAAGCCCCAAGGGCTCAGTGAGCCAAGGCTAAGGAGAGAAAGACAGGGAGTGAAGGAAGGAGCAGATCCAGGACCTGGAGCTGGGCCAGTCAGTGAGCTCACCTGAACCCTCATCACCCATCATATGGCCCCAGCCGCCGCAGCCACTCTCGGAGCCATCAGGGTTGATGAGCCTGCAGTTGGAGCCTGTTCCAGATATGAGCACAACTCCACCTGGGGAAAGGGAATAGGAGGCTCAGTGTGGCCGAGGCCTGGCACAGAGCAACAGCTTGCCACTGTGGAAAGACAGGACAGAAAACAGCCCCAGGCAAGGGAATCACCACCCAGTCCTGTAGAGGAGAAAACTGAGCCCAGCTAGTTTCCTGCCTGAGGGTGAGAGCCTGGGTCTCAGAAAAACTCTAATCCCATAACGCCCTCGTCTAGGGGGACAAAGAGAAATGCAAGCCTGCACCTCTTAGAGGGAATGTGGCTCCTTGCCCAGCCGGTCTTCCAGTGACTCTACCTGCTTTACTGGGATTGTGCTAGACCCGTTCTCACAGTGATATTCACTCATACCCTAAACCATCTTATGAATACAACTTCCTCTATTTTATAGATGAGAAAACTGAAACTCAGAGTTTTGGAACTTCGCCAACATGGTATAGCAGGCAAAACAGGAACTGGGATTCAAACACCAATCCCATGACACCAAAACTCTTTACACTATCACAAGGCCACCCCACTTCCTCCTCAGCACTGACAGCTTCCCCAGCCTGCCTTCCTCACTACACCGCCCCCAGGTGGTCCCTCATCTGCAGGGGAGTTATGTTTGACCCCACTCCTGGATTCCCATCAAGAGACCTTTCTTGCCCTTCCTCCTGCTGCCTGGTCCTTGCTCTGGCAGAGACTTAAACTACTTAAAGAGTTGAGGGGAATATAAGAGTGGCTGCCTTCTGGATATTTGCAGAACAAGTTTTGTCAGCTATATCTAAGGGGCTTTCCCAAAAAAACCAGTTCTCACTCTCACCCCTCCCTCCACTTCCTCACCATCCGGTGTAGCTGTGGCGATGGAGCCGGCGGCATCGGTGGTGATTAAGTAGCTTTCACTCAGGTAGGGAAATCGGTCCCTCAGCTCCTCGATCAGGATCCTCCCCGCGTCCTCCTGGTCCCCACCGCTCAGAGATAGGCCCTAGGCCACGCGGGAGGTGAGCGAGTGTGCAGAGCCCCAGCCCCAGCTCTTTTCTCAACCCCCGCCCCCTCCTGATGCCTGATTCCTGTTCTCCCCATCTGGCCATACCCTGTTCACCCAGCCCCAGTCCTCCTTTCTCCCCACACAATGACCCCTCAGAAGGCTGTGGTTATAAGAACAACCTGGACTGGGGATGGACAGAAGAAAGAGGGGATTCAACAATGCCAGCTTTGGAGCTTGGAAGGGCAGTAGTGCTCTTAACAGAAAGATCAGGCAGCGGGGCAAGGTGAGGGGAGATGGAGAGAGGTAAGCTTGGTTTGGTATACACGAGGTTTGCCTGTGTCTGCAGAACATCTCACATATATGTCCAGGGAGTAGCTGGAGCTACCGCAACTTGGGAGAAAGATCTGAACCAGGAGTAAATAATAGCTAACATTTAATGAGTGCTTATGGGTCAGGCTCTATACTAACCACTTTGCAATGTATCATGCCATTTTACTTTCCCAACAACTCTGAGGTAGCTACTATTCACATTTTCCAAATGAGGAAACTGAGGCTTAGAGAAGGTGAGTAACCTACACAGGGTTACGCAGATACTGAGCAGCAAAGCTGGGATTCAAACCAAGGTCTCAGCAGCTCTCCAAAGCCCTGTGCTCTTCCAACACATTTGTAGTTTGTAGGTGGCAACTGAAGCCATGAGACTGGGTGAGATTATGACAGTTTTGACACCAGGGACTAAGTCTTGGAGGTCTTTCCCTCTGCAGTCATCAAACTCATCTAGTCCAAACTTGCTAGCTGTCTCAGTGTCACAGATGGCTGAATTCCCAGGCTCCGCCCCAGACTCACCAAGCTTCGCAGCGGTACCAGAGGATCCACCCCTGCTTTCCGTTTGGCCCTGTTCACCATCTCATTGATCCTCTCCACACACTTGTCTGTCCCGATCAGCTGGCCCCAATCAAGGGAAGAAGGAGTTACAAAGGCTTACAGAAGCTATGTTGCCCCCACAGGCTGCTCTGTGAGTCCCAGCCACCACCTCAACAGGAATTACAGAGAATAAAATCAGAACCAAGCCCTCTGATCCCCTCAGTGTGGTTTTTACCCAGTGGTTTGTGCTCAGTCCATCTGCTTCTGCCAGGATCTTCCCATCCTCTGAGACTAAAAGGACCTCGGATCGTGTGCCTCCCCTACAGAACACAAGAGGGCACTTGATCTTGCTCGGAAAAACCCACAGAGAGAGCTAAGCTTGTGCTGTCCACACTGGCAGAGCCCAGTATGATGGAGGAGACAGCTTCGACAAACTCAATCACCACTCCCAAACCCGCCTCTGTGGTTCAGTGTTTGAGTGCTCTTTAACTGAAACATAATTCTCACTCCTCTTCCCTTGGGGATGTCCTCCTTATCCTGCAAGACTCTACTTACGCTTCACCTAGTCCTCGAAACCTTTTCTGAGGTGTGGCCCACCCCAACGAATTAGTTAAGTCTCCGTTAGTTAAACCTTCATAGTGCCTCCAAAGTTATTAAAGTCTCCTCTGTATGAAGTGTGTGTTCAGACGCTTTGTGTCCGCCTCTCACTAGACTTCAAGCTCCACTGGGTCAAGCTCCTGATCACTTACTTACCCTCTCAGAACGAGCACAGGAGCTGGCACAGGCAATGCTCAGCAAACACTCCTAAGAAAAATGGCACATCTCTCTGCTTCCCTCACAATAGCTAAAGACTGCATTTCAAGATCCAGCTGCCAAGGTCTTCAAGACACCTTTGCTAGAAATGCTGACCAGATGGCAGGGTGACTTCATACATACTTAAGCAACTAAACCTTCAAATGTTGATTACTGGGGGTCACAGTAGTTCACAGGGAGATCTGTGGTGATGGGATATATGTTTCTTTATTGATCATTACTTTTAGGAATGGCAGAAGAAGACACTGAAGACCGCTCATCAAACTCAAAGAGGACATGAAATTTCAAGGGGGTAGTTAATACATGAGGTGGCAGATTCCACATCCAAAAGCATGTCTTGACGAACTGGAAGAAACGGGTCATATCTTACAGATGACTATAACAAGGATGAATGCAGACTCCTATACTGTTTTTTTTAAGTGCTACAAATACAGGATGGGAAAGATCATTCCTAACAATTCATGTGAAAAGACTTTGGGGTCTGTGAATCAGCAGTGGGGTGTGGCTGCCAGAGAAGTGAAAACAATCACAGATTCGAAAGTACAGTGCCCTGGCTGAGAGGCCAGCGACCCCCATTATTCCCTGATTTGACAAACTCAGATTCACAGAATGTTGCCACTGGCAGGGACATAGCGATCTTATTTATCCCTATCCTCACTTTGCACATACGGTAACTGTAGCCCAGGGAGGGTAAATATCTTGTCCATGGTCATACCCAGGGGCAGAGCTATTACAAAAAGTTCAGTAAACAAGCTTCTGAGCAGAAAAATGCAATCTAGTGAAAGCAGCATGGAAGGCCAACAGGGATGGAGCGGTTTTCAGACATCAGGACAACCTAGTACTCTGGCTCGCAGCTGCTCCAGCTCCCGGATAACCTCAGCCAAGATCTTTGTCCCGCTTCTCCCCACTCCCACTCCCCACCCTGCCCGCGCTCAGCAATTTCACACCTGACACCTGTTCTGCAAAACTCTGTCCGAGGTCAGGAATAGGAAAAAGGAGCTGCTTCTCCAGCTGAAGACAGCGGAGTGGGTGTTTCGTGGAAGAAAGGGGCGTGGTTCCGCCAAGAAACACAAAGGATCCCCAACCCGGGGTGTGGCTGTTGCACAGGCAGAGTCCCCGTAAGGCATACAGCTGTGCGCTCCAGGGCGCCCCTGCGCGTGCACACACCTCTTCACCGCAAGGTCCCGCCGCCCAAAGTGCCCGGACGCCGAGGATCAAGGCCACCAGCTTGCCAGGCTGGCCACGGCCTTCCGCCCCGCCTTCGGGCCCAGGCTCCCTCCGCCGGGCCGCACTCACCCCTCTACACCCCCATAGATCGCGGCCATGCTGCTGCTACCGTCGCTGCTGGTCCCGCCGTTTGCGTCTCTCCCCGCCTGACACCTCCTTCCCTCCAGCTGTCTGGGCACCGCCCCACTTCCCGTGACCTCCCGCGCAGCCAGCTGACTCCCTGTGCGCGTGCGCATGCGCGGGGCGGGGCGCCGGTAGGAGCCGGGGATGGCTGCGTCCCTCAGGCTGTCTTCCTTCTGGTGTCTCCTCCAGGTGGAGCGACTGCGGTCCGCAGCGGCCCCTCCCGTCCTCCTGGATCCTGCTTCCAGAGATGGACACTAATCCCAAGAGGAGGAATCAAAGAGGGGTATCTAGGTCGGTCGGACCCTTAGGACACATCACTGACCTGCCTGCCTGTAAACGCCCGGAAGTTGCTGGCAGTCCCGCGTTAGGTTGCGCGTGCGCACTGCTCTTGGCCGCGTAGGTTGTGACGCATGCTCGGCCAGACCCCCGCGAAGCTGTGGGCTCAGGGACCTGCGCCCATGGACCTGTAACAGAAATTACTGTAATGTTCTACTGAACATCTGCCACGCGATGGCGAGTCACACGGGCACACACGAACACTCGCTCAGATTGTTGCCCTGCGCTCGTGTGAATGTACGGATCCGGGAGGAATTGGGACCTAAACAGACAAGCCCTCGAGGCGGTCCCGGCAGCCCTGAGGAGGGAGCCTTCACCTCTTCCTACCCACCCAGTTTACTTCTTGTGGAGGATATTTGCAGGGACATAGCCCACTGGGAGAACTAGCAGATACGGCTTTACAAGTTTTTTATTGCCTTTCAGCCCCCATTCCGCTCCCCTTCCTTGCGCTGCGTCGGGAAAGGGAATGGGATCCCTAGGGGTGCAAATACAGGCCAAGTCAGGGAGAGCTGTGGCTCCTGAGGGCCTCCTCTGGCTCCTCCGGGAAGTTTTGGGCCCTCAAGGAGCAGCTTCGCGGGCCAGGAGGGCGGTTAGCTGCCCTTGGCATCTTTTTGGGGAAATCAGTTGGCCTGTCGCGGGTCGAACTCTGTCCCCCTTGACTGCCTGCCATCTTCTGGAGAAACCCCTAATAGGCTGCTGTGTCTGGTTATGCTTTAGTGAGAAAATTAGGCTTTTTAAGCTTTCTCATTTCCTACCCTACCACGTTGTAATTCACAAAAGTAAAAAGTAAATCACTACATGATAGACTCTGTATCATGTATTCATTTATAGAATATATATCATATATTCTATATCAGATGGAGAATATAATAGAGGGTAGGATTTTTTTATGCCTGCCTATGGCATTTTTTTAATTCACAGCACTTTAGAGCTGGAAGATTATCCAACATACACATTTTTAGAATTACAGTTAGTAGATTGTGGTGCAATTAAACTGGGCAGGATTTTTGGAGACTAGATTGTAGGTGGATTTTGAAATAATTGTTTCTGTCCTGTACTACTGCAATGAGCCATGGGACGTATGTGTATAAATATTAAGTTTGTCTTTGTATTGCTTGTTTAGGCAAGCAAGCAAAAGGGAAAGTGCCCAGGTTTAAGACAAGAATTGAGTTCACCATTTACTAGCTGGATGAGCTTGGGTGACTTACAGGTAATTGCTGCAGCCTCTCCTCTACAAAATGGAAATGATAAACATCTACCTGCTGGGGCTGACGCAAGATTTAAATGCCAAAAGAGTTTTGGAAACCATAAAGTACTTCACAGATCTTAACTAACTTGTATTTACATTACCAATTAGTGTGTGCTGTCCTGCACAGTATCCATATGTGAATACTGAGCACTTGAAATGTGGTTAGTCCAAAATGAGATGTCCCGTCAATGTAGAATACACACAGGATTTCAAAGACTTACTACAAAAAAAGAGTGTAAGATACCTCATTAGTCACTATTATATGAATCACATGTTGAAATAACATTCTGGATGTAGTAGATCAAGATTATAGATTACTAAATTTTGCCAATCTATTATATTTTTTAGTGTCACTACTAGAATATTTAAAATTTTGACCTACATATTTCTGTTGTACAACCCTGTTGTCTCTATCTGGACCATAATATTTCAAAGTCACTGAATGCCTATTTATGAAATAAATAATGGCCATATAATTGATTTAAAGAAGAAAGTAGCCGGGCGTGGTGGCTCATTCCTGTAATCCCAGCACTTTGGGAGGCCGAGGGGGTGGATCACCCAAGATCAGGAGTTCAAGACCAGCCTGGCCAACAGGGCGAGACCCTGTCTCTACTAAAAATACAAAAGTTAGTTGGGCGTGGTGACAGGCGCCTGTAATCCCAGCTACTTGGGAGGCTGAGGCAGGAGAATCACTTGAACCCAGGAGGTGGAGGTTGTGGTGAGCCAAGATTGTGCCATTGCACTCCAGCTTGGGTGACAAGAGTGAAACTCCGTCTCAAAAAAAAAAAAAAAAAAAGAATAAATAAAATACGTTTATGTTGTACATTATAATTCTTTTTGTTTGTTTGTTTGTTTGTTTGTTTTGAGACAGAGTCTTGCTCTGTCGCCCAGGCTGGAGTACAGTGTGGCGTGATCTCAGCTCACTGCAAGCTCCGCTTCCCGGGTTCACGCCATTCTCTTGCCTCAGCCTCCCCAGCAGCTGGGACTACAGGTGCACGCTGCTACGCCTGGCTAATTTTTTGTATTTTTAGTAGATACGGGGTTTCACCGTGTTAGCCAGGATGATCTCGATCTCCTGACCTTTTGATCCGCGTACCTCGGCCTCCCAAAGTGCTGGGATTACAGGCATGAGCCACTGTGCCCGGCCTTGTACATTATAATTCTATAGAGCTCTTTTATGTACCTTTATCTTGTTTGATCATCCTAACAACCTTATGAGAATGACAGATTTTTTTTTTTTGAGACAGAGTTTCACTCTGTGGCCCAGGCTGGAGTGCAGTGGTGGGATCTCGGCTCACTGCAACCTATGCCTCCTTGGTTCAAGTGATTCTCCTGCCTCAGCCTCCCAAGTAACTGGGACTACAGGCATGTGCCACCACGCCCAGCTAATTTTTGTATTTTTAGTAGAGACAGGGTTTTACCATGTTAGCCACACTGGTCTTGAACTCCTGACCTCAAGTGATCTGCCTGCCTTGGCCTCCCAAAATGCTGGGATTATAGCAGTGAGCCACCGCGGCAGGCCGAGAATGACAGATTTCTGATCACATATTACAAATGAGGAAACGAGAGGCTCTAAAATAAAAGTAAAAAGCATAGGCTCACACAAATAATAGATGTGGCTTATTATGTGTGGGTAGTTAATATAAAGGGAAGGAAATTCAAGATGTTGCAATATAGCAAGATATACCAGTTTGCACTGGGCTTGCAACATCCCAGTAGCTGCTTCTATGACACTCACAAGGTTAATAAAGTTCTTTAAGAATCTGCAAGCCACAGTCTTCTTCTCTGTCTTCTGTACTTTGTTCCTATGACCCCAGGGAGGCCATAGTTTGGGAGTCAGGGGGAAGAGTGTTAAGAGAGACAATGGGAAAATATCTTTCCTCACAAATCCACTTAGGATTTTGGGACAGATGACTTTTGGTCAGGGTCCTCAACAGATTTTGTTGACTTTATTCATGAAACACAGCCACATCTGTTTTTACTCACCACAGCATGTCCAGGGCTAACCTCAGTACTCCACAAATAGCTTTGAGAGTGGTTTATAAACTATAAACACGGTGTCACAGACATGAGGGGTAGCAAATGCCTGATTTGAACTAAAGAAGGGAGCAAGCAAATTCCACAGCAGAAACTAAATTTACAGAACAGATCAGGAAGAGAAAGAGAAAATAAGGAGAAGTGAAATTGTGAACTGAGGGAGGAGTTGTTGGACGTGTGGTCAGGGAGCCTCAAAGAGATCTAGCCCTAGTCGGTCTTGCATTAGAAGTTGCCAGTACATGTGTGACCTCAGCACTGTGCTTTAAAATAATCTGGCAGGTTACTTATAGGGTGACAAATGGGAAGGGAGAGTTTGGAGAAGGGAAACACTTAGAAGGCTGGACATTGGCCCAGGTGAGAGATGAACAAGCAAGTGGTGGAGGTGGAGGTGGAGGTGGGGGGCAGAGCTGGAGTCACGGAGGGAGCCAGGAGGGGGGTCATACTAACATCTGCTGTTGATCTGGGATGAGGAAGGAGAGAGAGGCTGGAGTTCACTTTCCCACAATTGAAAGAGGCAGGGGTGAGGGGCTTCCTTACCAACGGTGGAGGTGGGACTCTGGGGCTGGCATCTGCAAAGCAAGGGAAAGACAGCCTACGGGACTGCCAGGCCCAACCCAGAAGGGACGAGGGGTGCATGGGGTCTTCAGAACACAGAGGCAGCCGTAGACAACTGCTGTAAACGTTCTGTCCTTCAAGTCTCTTCAGCCATGTAAGGGAACTGAAAGAAAAGAGGGACCTTATCTGCCTTGATCTTAAGTTGTTCTGAGGGATGTGGGGCCTCAGGCCAGGGCAGCAACCTGAGCAAATCCGGTTGGTTTACTCCCTCTTCTTTTCTGAGCATGTGGGTGTCTATGTGTGAGCTTATATGCGTGTCCTGGCCTGCATCAATCTGCGTAGGTGTGTATTTTTTTATATATTCGAACTTCTCTTTGTGTATGTTTCTAAGTGACTGAAGGTGTCTACAGATGCATATAGTTGAGATGATGTCCTCACGTATTTTTCTATACTAATGTGTCTACAGATTTCATGTTAACGTTTCAGTTCTTGAAGAAACCTAAGCAAGCCTGCATATTTAGGCAACTTTAGGCAGATGCATAAATGTGCACCTATAACTTATGCTGGAGCCAGCTCACACAGCTCACAAAGACCCAGTTTTATGTACAACTCTTCCATCTTCCATGAGGTGTAATTATGTTGGTAGCTTGAAATCACCGTGGTGGGAGTATTTACACCACAGAAATCAGTAACTGCTACAACTTAGGTTGTTGTTATTGTTGTTTTCCAGAAAGCTGGCTGTTAACACTTACCAGCACACCACTGGGTATATGCCTGTGAGAATGCCCATGGTCTGTGTATATCAGTGTATAAGCACACACTGTATACGAAAGTGTGTATCTGTGTAGTGGCTCCAATGTTTTACAGACTGCAAACTCAGGGGTACAAAAAGATAACTTTTTCTACAACTAAACTTGATTTCTGACTCAATCCTCCACTCTTCCCTAAAAGCAGAAAAACTTAATCTAGTTAATCACTTACAGATGAACTCAGTCATTTCGGGTTTCAACTTAGGTCCAACACTTGTCCTCCTCCTCTTGGCTCACTAGGGTGACATGTGACAGCCAGGGTTAAACCACTGCAGCAGCACTGAGGAGAGGCATCCACCAGCCTCTGCTGAGATGCACAGTTTTCCCACTGGGGCATTTGGTCTCCTGACATCTCCTAAGATTCCCAAGGCACCATGAGCCCTCCAATTGCCCAGTCTGTACTGCCATTTTGGGAATGTGTCTCCTTGTCAGGTGTCAGGGATGTTTATATGTCTTTCATAATGCCTAACTATATAACACTCTGTAAGATAAAGTGTATGTCCATTTTATAGCAGCAGAAATGCTCAGAGGTTAGGGACCAGATTGCCACAACACCCTGTGAATTATGTGCACTAGTACATGCTTTTGGTAATGATGGATTAGGACATTGGTGCTTGAATAATCAGAATCCCCCATTCCATCATTGGGCCCTGCACCAACTGTGATGTCTCCTATGCTACGGTATAGCAGGAAACCCAAAAATAAGTGTACATGGAGAGAGGGCTGTGAGGTTGAACCAATAAGAATTCTGTGCCATGTAAAACCAGTGGAATAAGTTTCACAGACCTCCCCTCCGAGCCTGTCTGGTTCCTTTATCAGGATTTAGTTATCTGGCTTCTAGATGGAGCTCTGGTACTGAGCTACCAACATTGTGTGTCCCAGAAGAAAGAGGCAAAGAACTACAGCAGTGGGGTGGATTTTTCCAGAACAGACCTCCTCTGGAAGAGGTTCTGTAAAGTTGCTGCAAGGAAATGGTGGGCAAGGGATAGAGGGAGGGTGATCTCTTCCAGGCTGCCTTGCCCATTAGCAAATGTGTGGAACCCATAGTTCCCCCTTTTATAAAATTGTATTTTTTTAAGAGATAGGGTCTCATTCTGTCTCCCAGGCTGGAGTGCGGTGGTGTAATCATAGCTCACTGTAGCCTCCAGCTCCTGGGCTCAAGTGATACTCTTGCCTCAGCTCCAAAAGAGTTAGGACTAGAAGCATCCACCAGCACGGCAGGCTAATTTTTAAAATTTTTTTGTAGAGATGAGGTCTCGCATTGTTACCCAGATTGATCTTGAACTTCTAGCCTCAAGTGATCCTCCTGCCTCAGCCTCCCAAAGTGCTAGGATTACAGGGGTGAGCCACTGCACTTGGTTGTATTTATTTTTTGAAAAAAAAAATTATAATTTTTTGAGATAATTTTAGATTCACATACAATTGAAAGAAATACTACAAAGAGATCTCAGTTTCCCCCAGTGGTAACATCTTTCACAACTACAATATCACTACTCAGATATTAACAGATACAGTCCATCAATCTTTCAGATTTCTCCATTTTTTATCGTACCCATTTTTTGTTTTTGTTTGTTGAGATGGAGTTTCGCTCTTGTCGCCCAGGTTGGAGTGCAGTGGGGCCATCTCGGCTCATTGCAACCTCCATCTGCTGGGTTCAAGAGATTCTCCTGCCTCAGCCCCCCTGAGTAGGGATTACAGGCACGTGCTACCACGCCTGGCTAATTTTTGTAGTTTTAGCAGAGATGGGGTTTCACCATGTTGGCCAGGTTGGTCTCGAACTCCTGACCTCAGGTGATCTGCCCGCCTCGGCCTCCCAAAGTGCTGGGATCACAGGTGTGAGTCATCACTCCCAGCCTGTCGTACCCATTTTTATAAATATGTGTGTGTTTAATTCTAGTTTTATCACACATGTAGGTTCATGTATCCACCACCGCAGTTGAGATACCGAGCTGGAATCCATCTCCAGCAGTATTCCTCCAGTTCTCCTCCTTTTATACTCACACTCCCTTTCTGCCCTGAACCCTGGCAGCAACTAATTTGCTCCCCATATCCAAACTTTAGTCATTTCAGGAATGTTATATAAATAGAATTGGGCCGGGCACAGTGGCTCATGCCTGCAATCCAGCACTTTGGGAGGTGGGATGATCACTTGAGGCCAGGAGTTCAAGTTCAGCCTAGGCAACATAGCGACCTCCCCATCTCCCTGTATAATTTTAAAATAAAAATGAATTTAAAAATTATAAATGGAATCATAGAGTATGTAACCTTTTTTTTTTTACCCATCTTAGTTCTCTGGAGATTTACCCAAGTTTTGTTGCCTGTCTCAGCAGTCATTCCTTTTCATTGCTGATTAGAATTCCATGGAATGGATGTAGTGCCTTTTTTAGTGACATAGTCACACATACAAATCTCTATATACTCTAAAGGTTATAAAGTCATGGCTCCTTATCTGCGAATCCTTGAGCCTAAGGAAGAATGCAAGACAGAGCCACTTCTGGAGCGTTCTTTTCAGCTCCTGGAGCTGAGCCTGGCTGGAACCCGCCTTCCCCATCTGCCTTTGGGCATCTGGGAAGCAGCCCAAGCTTGGTGCTGAGTGAGAGCTTCTGGGAGAGCTCCTGCTGAGACAAGGGACAGTCCCTGGTGGGTGGAGGAAAGGATTGTTGGGGGAAGGAAGAAAGCAGAGGCTGTGAGACTTTCTCCAGGCAACTGTCTCCACTGGCTTTGTCACTCCCTACCAGGTTCCCAGAAGACTGTACTTCCAGCCAGAGTGCCTCCTCCCAGAATCCTGAGGGTTCTCAACCCCTTTCCAACTTAGCAGTTCCATCCATCACAGCTACATGTGTACATGAGCGAAAGCCTGCTCCCATCTAACTTGATTCTCTCAGGATGCTTCTAAGGATGCCTCCTCCCCTGTTGCCCAGGCTAAAGTGCAGTCATGTGATCATGGCTCACTGCAGACTCGAACTCCTGGACTCAAGTGATCCTCCCACCTCAGCCTCCCCAGTAGCTAGGACTCCAGGTGCACACCACCACATCTGGCTAATTTTTTATAGATACAAAGTTTCCCTATGTTGCCCAGGCTGGTCTTGAACTCTTGCCTCAAGCAATCTTCCTGCCTTGGCCTCCCAAAATCCTGGGTTTACAGGCATGACTCCCTCTCTGACACTCTCTGAAGCTAGAAAGTTAGAAAGGGGGGCTGGGAGAGTCAACCAGCTGGGAGCATTGGGAGGCTAGAAAAGGGGTTAGAATGGACTGGAGCAGTCAGGAAGGCTTCCTGGAGGCAGTAGTCTTAAGACTGGTGAGAAATGAATGCATAGTGAGAAGGAGCAGGAAGGGCACTTGGAGTGAAGCAAGGGTGGGGCGGAGGAGGGGTTTGTGCAGGAGACGGGGTCAGAGCTGGAACTCAGAGTGTCATGCTTGGGTGCTTGTGGGTGGTGGGCAGGGCCAGGCAGCTTTCCTTCCCCTCACCTGCCCAGGAGAGCTGGACAGTGACCTGCAGGCAAGAGACTGGACAGAAGAAAGAGGACGGGCCGGCCAGTAGCTTAATCAGTGATACCAGTCCCCTTGCATCATGACCTGTAGGTCTCAGAGAGTTCCTGGGGCTGACTGCAGCCAGTCCTGGCTCTTCCAGTACCTGCTAGAGGAGAGTGAGCCCAATAGTCTGCGCAGAACTGAGGAGGGCTCTTGGGACATAGGACTTTTCCATTTTTAAAATGGGAGGAGTTGGTCACTCTGTGAAGGAATCTCTTCCAGAGAGGGGGCCCAGAGCAAGGCTGAGGGCGCGACCCCAGTGATCTATGCTATCGGTAATATGACTTGAGTGTTTTTAGGAGGGAAAATGTTTTGTTTTCAGTTTTATAAAATTGTCTTCCAATAACTTAGGGCAGGATTTATATGTTACTGCAAATAATAAAATGAGCTATTAATAAAATGGATTAAACTGATCCATAGATCAGTTTGGCAGTGTTTCCCAGTATTTCCTCAAGAGATATTAATGGGTATCTCCAGAAGACAGGATTCTTATGGTCCTTGGGAACACTGAGACTTCCCAAATCCACCTGTCCCACCCTTACCCTGGAGAGACACAATGTACTGCCCATCAGTAGATTGAGGCTCAGAAAGCCCCAAAGGAGAGAAACTTGTTTTTTCCTGTTTAATGGCTAGATAAACAAGGTTATTTGCACAGATGTAGTCTGGTCTCTCAAGTGGTATTGAGTCCCTAATACGTGTTCCCTGCTACACACACCACAAATTTTCTCTTCCATCCAGTTTGGAAAACTCTGGAAGTGAACATAGATCTACAGGCTGCCACCTACTTTATGGCCATGGAGTCCCTGTATCAGCTCAATAATCCCACAGCCAGGTTTTAAGGATAAATCAACTAGAAGTGTAATTTCTATTCTTGTTCGATTTTTTTTCTTTAATAATCCACTGGCTGGATTATTACTGGATTAATACTGGATCCTATTCAAAGGCCACAAAATTTCTACTCCCCACATGCCTCATACTAAAGCCCTAGGCCTGGGCTTTGTTTCCCTCAGGTTGGGACAAGCAGCAGCAGCAGGGTCCATGCCCTGGAGCCGCTCATCACTTCTGAAGGCCTCAAGAAGATGCACCAAGCTGAGGCCTGGCAGCGTAGGAGAGTGGGGCTGGCAGCCCTCCACTCTTTCTTTCCCTTACCTTCTTTCCTGAGTCAGCCCTGAATATACCGCAGATACTGTTTCCGAAAGACTTCGGCTGCTCCAGCCTTTTCTGGCCCCTGTGGAAAACAAGCCAGGTGGCTTTCAGTTCTCCAGACCCAGGCTGGGGCCAGACCAGGGCCAGGAGTTGTCACCCAGGGTCTCTCATGGGCCCTCCCCAGCATCCTGCATCTGTCTACATGATGGACTATATCAAGGGAGGCCATTGGAGTTGTTGACACAACGGGTTTTTTTGCAGTCATGAACCCCCAGTTGGAGCATTGGGAGAAGAAAGGCAGGAGAGGCAGGCCTTACCCAAGATCTGCCCTCAGTTCTGCAGTCCCCTGACTGGGGCAGGTGGGGCAAGGATGTAGTCATAGTGTGCAAGAGCAGGTAAGAGAAGCAGTGGAAAAGGCAGGATTGGAGGATGGCTTGGAGAGTGAGAGGTGTTCTAGTCCCAAACTAGGAGGAGATTTGGGCCCTGGTAAAACTGTGAAGTGGTACAAGTTGGGCTCTGGAGGCATGAAAAGTGGGAGTGGAGTGGGCACCTTCCACAGGAAGCCAGGTCTTGTGCTCTCTTGTGGCCCAGGCACTGTCCCCCTCTCCACCTTCAAACCCCATTGGGAGGAAAGTCAGATGAACCAGCACCCACTGAGGATCCCAGCCTTGGCTGAGGAAAAGCCACCTCACCTTCCCCAGAGGACTGAGATCCCGGACATGAGCATGATGGCTGGTAAGCTGGGGCTGCCACTTCCACCCCAAAAGCCATCCACCGAAAAGCCCCGGAAGCGGTGTCAAGGGACATGACAGCATCAAGCTCAGAGACCTGACAGTGGATACCTGCAAGGATCGATTGTGTATTCCAGGGAGCCGGCCTTCCTCTCCCCACCCTTCAGGACCCTGCCCCAGTTAAGGCTGTGCACTTTAAGAGAAGCCCCGAGGGAGAGCAAGGATTGACCTGGAGGGGTGTTCTTCTGATGGCAGTCTCTTTCTGTTGCCCAGGTTGGAGCATACAGGCACAATCCCGGCTGACTGCAACCTCCGCCTCCTGAGTTCAAGCGCTTCTTGGGCCTCAGCCTTCCGAGTGGCTGAGACTACAGGCACGCATCACCACGCCTGGCTAATTTTTTGTGTTTTTAGTAGAGACGGGGTTTCACCATGTTGGCCAGGCGGGTCTCGAACTCCTGGCCTGAAGTGATCTGTGTGAGTCGGCCTCCCAAAGTGCTGGGATTACAGGCCTGAGCCACCACACCTGGCCAAGATTTTCTTTTTTCTTCCTACACATAAGTAAGGACATGTAATATTTGTCATTCTGTGCCTAGATTATTTCACTTAATATACATACCTGCAATCTCATCCATTTTCTCTGCAGTGGAGAGGATTTTATTCCTTTTGAGGCTGAATAATACTTCATTGTGTGTGTATACCACAGTATTTTAATTGAAACAAATTTCGAAAAAGCAAATATTTTTCAAATGTCTCGGAATGTGAAAGTTTAGGGATACTGTGCCCATTTTATTCTTTTCTATTTCCCATTTTATGTATATGCAAGTGTATCATAAAGCAGAAATCAATGGGTAAATAAATTCATAACTTCAACAAATGTAAAATGAAAATGCTAAGTGGTGGCTGGGTGCGGTCGCTCACGCCTGTAATCCCAGCACTTTGGGAGGCCAAAGCAGGCGGATCACCTGAGATCGGGAGTTCAAGACCAGCCTGACCAATATGGACAAACACTGTCTCTACTAAAAATACAAAAAAAAAAAAAAAAAAAAAAAAAAAAAAAAAATTAGCCGGGCGTGGTAGCACATACCTGTAATAGCTACTCAGAAGGCTGAGACAGGAGAATCACTTGAATACGGGAGGCAGAGTTTGCAGTGAGCTGAGATCGTGCCATTGCACTCCAGCCTGGGCAATAAGAGTGAAACTCTGCCCCCCCCCAAAAAAAAAAGAAAAGAAAAAAGAAAATGCTAAATGGTAAGAAAAAACAGCATAATAAAAATTTGTGTGGTGTTGAAGGACAACACATTTGAAGATAATATTTGAAGAAATCATTATTACAATTAACTTCTTTTCTTACTTATTGGAGCTTGATGCCTCTAAAAACTTCATCATTGGAATCACCTCTGGTGCTTTAAAAAAAAAAAAAAAAAAAAAATCCACTTACCTACACAGGTGCAAGTAAATCAGACTTTCATGTAATGAGACGCAGGCCTCATCATTTGTAAGCTCCCCAGGTGATTTGATTCAAAGACAAGCTTGAGGACCGGTGACATGGATCTCTACACATAACCTGCCTAAATAGATTCTCTAGAAGCAGTTTATAGAGAAATTCCACATGAACTCTGGAAGAGGATATGAATTTGATGTACAGTATGTCCTCACTTATCGTCTTTGAAAGTCTCTTGGAAACTTCACTTTTAAGCAAAATTATGTATACTGAAACCACTTATTCCTCATCAACATCATAACAACTTTGAACACAACAACAGTGTTGGAGGACCTGCTGTACATTGTTTCCATAAAGTCAATGTTCAGGGAATTCCAAAATGAAGTGAGGACTTCACGTATATAAAAAGATGGTTATGATTCCACCTGGATGACAGGGTTACTGGTCAGAAACTAAAGGAGGCCACCTAGGTATAGAGGATTCAGTTATGAGGTTTCTGCTAAACAAAGGATCCCAGAATCCTCACCCATTCCAGTTAAAGGCATAACGATGAAAGCAATATTCACATAGGAAATGTGGAAAGAAATAAAAGCCATCAAGCCACAAAAATAATGTGACTAAGGGGCAGGATTTGCAGATGTAGGGATTTAATGTGCTTGCCCTTTCTTACCCACACAAGAAAAAGGATGGAACAGATCATGAGATTCGACTGTTCTGCTGCGCAGCCTCCACAGGGCGCTTTGAATGTCCCTGTTTCTCAGGCAGTAGATGAAAGGGTTCAGCATGGGGGTGACCACAGTGTACATCACTGACACCACCACACCACTCCTGGGGGTGGTGCCACAGCTGAAGTCAGGTACACGCCAATGCCTGTTCCATAAAATAAGCAAACAACTGCCAGGTGAGAGCGACAGGTGGAGAAGGCTTTAGACTTCCCATCTGATGATGAAATTCTTAGAATGGAGGGGACAATGTTAGAGTAAGACAAAAGGATCCCTGAAATCGGAAGAAAACGAAACATAGTACTATCTAAATATATGAATATGCTATCGATGACGCTGTCAGAACAGGCAAGGTTGAGAAGTTGAGATGGGTCACAGACAAAATTAGAGATTTCCACATTCTTGAAGAAGGTGAATTGTAACACAGTCCAACTGTGCAGCTGGGAATCCAACAGGCTAAGGAAAAAGGACACCAAAACGAAGAAGACACCGAGGCGAGGATTCATGATGACTGGGTAGTGTGGGGAGTGACAGACGGCTACAAATCGGTCATAGGCCATCACAATCAGGAGCATGATCTTCTATGCATGCAAAAAGGGCAAAGAAAGACATCTGTGTCAGGCAGCTTGCATAAGAGATGACTGCTATGCGACTGCATGTCCACAATCATCTTGGGAACTGTGGCCGAGGTGAAAGCGATGTCAGCCCATGACGGGTTGGAGAGGAAGAAGTACATGGGGGTGTGGAGGTGGGAGTCAGAGCTGACAGCCAGGATGATGAGCAGGTTCCTCAGCACCGTGAGCAGATACATGGACAGGGACAGCCCAGGGAGGACAGGCTGCAGTTCTGGATCCTCTGAGAGTCCCAGGAGGAGGAATTCTGAGACACCTGTGAGATTCCGTGGCTCTGTGTGACTTGGACACCTTGAGAAGAAAAGAGGATTGGAAAAATAAAAGATAAAAACCAGCCCTTAATGCTGTGTGTATATTTTGGATGCAAGCAATTCACAAGGAACATTTTCACACTTGAGGACCATACACCGTCAGCAATATTTCTCAGTTGTGACAAACCCAAAAATCCCAGAATTATTACGTGATGATTTACTGTTTTCTATTCAACTCCTTCTGTACGTACTACTTTAGAGAAAATCCACTGAAGAATGTTAGAAGACCAAAACATAATATATAACAAATCCGTGATCTCAGTAAAATACGGCCTACTCTTTTCAGAAACAATAACATGCAATAAAAACGTTCTTCTCTCTTTAAGAAAAAGATCTCAGTCTAATTGAAAGAAATTAAGAAGCAGTGAAATACCCTTTATTTTATTCTGACACCGTGCTACAAATTCCTCTGATGTAGAATATTTAAAAGGATGACACAAGAGCTAGGACCACATTATCTAAAAACTAAGTCAAACCTTAGAGTTCTTAATCGGAAGACCTTTTAGCATGCCAGTTACTTTTCATATTTATTGCCATCTTTAGGTTTTCTGACATCATTTCTTCATAAAAATACATGCACAGTCAAATGTGGGAGCTGTGTCTCCAAATTAATTGAATATATAACTCTTGGCCGAGCGCCATGGCTCACACCTGTAATCTCAGCACTTTGGGAGGCCGAGGCTGATGGGTCACCTGAGGTCAGGAGTTCCAGAGCAGCCTGGCCAACATGGTGAAACCCCGTCTCTAGTGAAAACAAAAAAAAACAATTAGCCGGGCGTGGTGGCGGGTAACTCTAGCTACTCGGGAGGCTGAAGCAGGAGAATCCCTTAGAACCTGGAAGGCAGGGATTGTACACCCTGTGATACTAGTTTTGATATCCTAGGGAGATATTGCTCCTGACAGCAGAGTGGGCGAACAACCACTTTGTTCTAGGATATTTGCAATATCCTAGAAAGATATTGCTCCTAATATCACAGTGGGTGTACACCTGTGATATTAATTGTAATATCCTAGAGAGATATTACTCCTAATAATACAGTGGGTGTACACCCTGTGATATTATTCATAATATATTATGGAGATACGACTCCTGATATCACAGTGAGTGTACACCCTGTTTGTACACCCTGTGATATTATTTGTAACAACTTAGAAAAATATTACAGCTAATATCAAAGTGGGTGTACATCCTGTGATGTTATTTGTTATATACTAGGTAGATATTACTCCTAATATCACAGTGAGTGTACACCACGTGTGTACACACTGTGAAATTATTCGTAATACCCTAGGAAGATATTACTCCTAATATCGCAGTGGGTGCACACCCTGTGATATTATTTGTAATCACCTAGGGAGATACGACTCCTAATATTACAGTGGGTGTACACTCTGTGATACTATTTGTAATGTCCTAGGAAGATATTACTCCTAATATCAAAGTGGGTGTACACCATGTGTGTACACTCTGTGATACAATTCGTAATATCCCAGAGAGATATTTCTCCTAATATCACAGTGATATTATTCATAACATCCTAGAGAGCTATTGCTCCCGATATCACAGTGGGTGTACACCCTGTGATATTATTCAGAATATCCTAGAGAGATATTTCCTCTAATATCACAGTTTCTGTACACTTTGTGGTATTATTTATAATATCCTAGGGAGATATTATTCCTAATATTACAGTGCATGTACACCACGGGTGAACACCCTGTGATGTTATTGGTAATATCCTCTAGGGGGATATTACCCGTCATGTCACAGTGGGTGTACACCATGTTTGTACACCCTGAGATGCTACTCGTAATATCCTAGGGAGAAATTACGCCTGATGTTACAGTGGGCGTACACCATGTGTTTTTATTCTGTGATGCTATTCATATCTCAGAAAGTTATTATTCCTAGTGCTACAGTGTGTGTATACCATGTGTGTACACTCTGTGATATTATTCGTATTATCCTAGGGAGATAGTTCTCATAACATCACCATGGGTGGACATCATGTATGTACACCCTGTGCTGTTATTGGTTATTTCCTGGGTAGATATTACTCCTAGTATCACCGTGGGTGCACACCATGGGTGTACATCCTGTGACGGTATTCGTAGTATCCTAGGGAGATATCACTCCTTATGTCATACTGGGTGTACGGCCTTGTGATATTATTGGTAATATCCTTGGGACATATTACTCCTGTTATCACAGTGGGTGTACACCCTGTGATAGTATGTGTCATATCCTAGGGAGATATTACTGTATACCCTGTGATATTATTTGTGACATTTTAGGGAGCTATTTCTCCTAAAGTCAGAGTGGGTGTACACCCTGTAATATTCTTCCTGATATCACAGTGGGTGTACACCATGAGTGATATTTTTTCTAATATCCAGCGGGGAAGAGGATGATATTGCTTCCAATATCGCAGAAGGTGTACACCCTCCTGTGATATTGTTCCTAATATCCGGGGAAGGAGAGGATGACATTATTCCCAATATCACTGGGGTTGTACTACCCCCCGCCGGGATATTGTTCCTAATACCCGGAGGTGGAGAGGATGATAATACTCCCAATATCACAAGGGGTGTACACCACCCCTGTTTGATATCGTTGGTAATATGCCAGGGGGCAGAGGATGATATTACCTCCAATATCGCAGGGTGTGTAAACACCCGCTGTGATATTGTTCCTAATGGCCTGTGAAAGAGAAAATATTACTCCCATTATCGCAGGGGGTATTCAGCCCTGATGAATATTGTTTTCTAATATCCAGGGAAGGAGAGTATGATATTACTCCCAATATCGCAGGGGTTGTACACCTTTTTGTGATATTGTGTCTAATAACCAGGGAAATAGAAGATGATATTACTCTCAATATCGCAGAGGGTGGACACCACCCTGGGATATTGTTCCTAATGTCCTAACGGGGAGAGGATGATATTACTCCCAATATCAAAGTAAATGTACACCACCCCTGTGATATTGTTCCTAATATCCAGAAAGGAAAAGAATGATATTACTCCCAACAGCATAGGAAATGTATACCCGCGCTGTGATATTTTTCCCTATATCCAGGTGGGGAGAGAATCATATTACTTCCAATATCGAAGGGTGTGTACACCCACTCTGTGATCTTGCTGCTAACATCCAGGTTTGGGGAGGACGACATTACTCCCAATATGGCAGGGGCAAGTTCCCCCCCGTGACCTTGTTAGTCATTTCCTGGGTGGAGAGGATGATATTACTCCCAATATCGCAGCGGGTGCACACACCCCTGTGAAACTCTTCCTTATATCCAGAGGGAGAGGGGATGATATGACTCCCAATACCGCAGGGGTATACACAGCCCTGTGATACTCTTCCTAATATCCACAGGGAGAGAGGATGATATGACTCCCAATATCCCAGGGGGTGTACACAACCCTGTGATATTGTTCCTAATATCCAGAGCGAAAGAGAATGATATGACTCTCAATATCGCAGGGGGTGTACACCCCTCCTGTAATATTGTTCTTAATACCCTGGGAGGGAGAGGATAAGATTACATTGAATATCGAAGGGAATGTACACCCTCCCCCTCTGATACCCTTCCTAATATCCAGGGGAAGAGAGGATAATTTTACTCCCAATATCGCAGAGACACTACACCCCACCTGTGATACTGTTCCTAATATGCAACGGGGAGAGGATGATACTACTCCCAATATCGCAGGGCTGGTCACATCCCCAGTTACATTTTTCCTAATATCTAGGGGAGAGACAATTATATGACGGCAAATATTGCAGGGTCTGCACATCCCTTCCTGATATTGTTCCTAATATCCAGGGGGGAAGAGGATGATATCAAATATGAAAGGGGGTGTACACCCCCCACCCCTACGATGTTGTTCTTAATATTCATGAGGGGAGACGATGATATTACTCCAAATATCGCAGGGGCTGTTGACACCCCCTGTGATATTGTCTCTGATATCCGGGGGGGAGAAAATCTTATTACTTCCAATATTGCAGGTGGTGTATACCCCACCTGAAATATGGCACCGAATATCCAAAGAGGGAGAGGATGGTATTAATACCAATATCGAAGTGTGTGTACAAGCCCCTTGTGATATGGTTTTTCATATCCAGTGGGCGGGAGGATGATATTAGTCCCAACATCCCAGAGGGTGTACACCACCCCTGTGATACTGTCCCTAACTTCCAGACGGGAGAGGATGATATCACTCCCAATATCTCACAAGTTGTACATCCCCCGTGATATTGTTCATCATATCCAGGGAGGCAAAGGATGACATTCCATTGAATTTCACGACAGGCGTACATGCACAGTGTGATATTGTTCCTAATATCCAAGAAGGGAGAGGATGATATTACTCCCAATAAAGCAGTGGGTGTACATTACCCCTGTGTTATTGTCTCTAATATCCGGGGCCGGGGGAGGTGGGGAGAGGATAACATTCCCTCAAATTTAGCAGGTGGTTTGATGCCCCTTGTGGTGCTGTTTTAAATATCCAGCGGGGAAGACAATAGTATAGCACTATTTTTGATAGTCCGATTCATCCGCTCCACCTTTCCGGAACTCTGAGGCTGGGAGGCGGCATGCAGTTTCCGTGTGATCCCCAATACCTTTGCCGTCTTCTGTACCAAGTCAGCCACAAACACTGGCCCGTTATCTGAGCCTACCCATAAGGGCAGTTCAAACCTAGGAATAAGATCTCGAAGAAGCAGATGGGTTACTTCACGAGCTTTCTCAGTTCATGTTGGATAAGCCTCCACCCACCCAGACTAGGTACACCCAAGAACTAGTAAATACTTGTTACCTCCACACTTTGGCATCTCTCTGAAGTCTACCTGCAGATCTTCAATGGGGGCTGCTGCATAAGCTTGTATGCCGGGCGGAACAGCTGGACCTTGCCTCGCATTATGGTGTCGGCAGGTAACAAACCGCTGCCTCATGGTTTTGGCGAGGGCTGACAAATGCGAGATGTAGAAATACCGGCCTAACAACTTTTCCAGTGACTCCTGACCTAGATGGATGGTTTCATGCACAGCCAGTACAACTGCACCTCCTAGGAGCTGTGGCACAGCTACTCTCCCATCTGGTAACTGAATCCATCCTTCCTCTGTCACTTGTCCTCCCCTTTACCTGGAGAAAGTCCTTTTCTTCTTTAGAAGAAGTAGGTACAAGATCAGGTGTTTGAGGGAGCAGAGGGGCTGTGACTGATGCCTGGAAGGGGACAGATGCTGCTTTTTGAGCCTCTGAGTCAGCGTGGGAATTCCCCAAACCCAGCAAGGTGGAAGCTTGCTGATGCCTAAGTGCCACCTTGTGGGGTTTCCATACTGCTTCTAATAATTGCAAGATTTCTTGTTGATATTTTATGTCTTTCCCCCCAGAGTTCAGTAGGCCCTTTTCTTTCTATAATCCTCTACGCACTTGAAGGGTTAAAAAGGCATACCGAGAATCAGTGTCAATGTTGACAGTCTCACCTTCACTGAGTTCTAAGGCCCCAATTAAAGCAATGAGTTCAGTTTTCTGGGCTGAAGTGGCCTGGGGCAATGATCTGGCTTCAACAACAGTATCCAGGGCTACTACTGCATCACTGTATATCCTGCACATCTCTCTCCTTGTGGGTTGATGAAGCTGCTCCTGTCCACGTATAGTTCCCAGTCTACTGATGCCCAAGGCTGGTCCCGAAGGTCAGGTCTGCTAGAGTCAACTGAATCCAACACTTCTACACAATCACGCTTGACAGGCCGCTCTGATACCGGGAGCAAGGTGGCAGGGTTTAGGGTGTTACAAACTTCAGTGGTTATACGGGGATTTTCACAGAGCACACTTTGGTACTTGATGAGTCTAGCATTCATTAGCCAATGATGTCCTTTAGTGTTCATTAAAGTCACCCCAACATGGGGGGCCTTTATGTTCAGGTTTTGCCCAAAAGTCAGCTTATTTGCTTCTTGGACTAGCAGGGCAGTTGCTGCCAAGGCCCTCAAACAGGGGGGCCATCCTTTAGAAACTCCATCTAGTTGTTTAGAGAGGTAGGCCACCGGCCTCGGCCAGGGCCCCACAGTTTGGCTTAAAACTCCAACTGCCATCTTTTCTCTTTCTGACACATACAATGTAAAAGGCTTTGTCAGATCGGGTAGCCCCAGGGCTGGGGCTGACATAAGTTTTTCCTTTAACTCATGAAAGGCTTGCTGTTGTTGGGATCCGCATTCAAAAGTTTCCCTGTCCCCCCACCCCCAAACTTTGTGAGGTCATACAAAGGCTTGGCTAATACTGCAAAGTTTGGGATCCACAGTCTATGAAACCCCACAGCTCGTAAGAATTCTCTCACCTGCCTTCTGCTCTTAGGCTCTGGTAGATTGCAAATGACCTGCTTTCTTTCTGATTCCAGGCCGCGTTCCCCCTGTCGGATACTAAATCCCAAGTAAGGTACCTGCTATCAGCAGATCTGAGCTTTTTTCTTGGACACCTTATACCCACAGTCCTCCAGGTGCCAGAGTAGGGCATCCGTTCCCTTGGCGCACCCGACTGCCATGGGGTGTCCCAGCAAAAGGTCATGAACGTATGGGAGCAACACGCTCCAGCAAGGAGACTGACAAGGAATTGTAATTCCCAAAGTTCTTAGGTGCTTGAGATGGCCCTCGATACCTTGAAGAGCTTCTCTGGGGACCGGGTCCTGGTTTTGCCTAACCAGCTGGGCCCCAGGCTTAACTTGTATGAGTATGGGGGCTTGGTTGACTGCCAACCCTGGAGGGTTGTCTTCTGCCCGTACTCTTCGCCACCACTTAGCCAGAGGTGATCTTATCTCTCCGCCCGGCTCAGTTAAAAAAAAGTCTCCATTCCTCCTCTCCGGGGATGGTAAGGGTCATAATGACTCCCGTTCTGGGGAATTTTAGCAGCAAAGACAGTTGCTCTCAGCTTGCTGAGCAAGTCCCTTCCCAACAAGGGCAAGGGACAGTCAGGCATGTACAAAAACTGATGAATCACTTTATGTCCTCCTACAGTACAAGTCTGAGGCCAGCAGAAAGCTTGCTTTGCTGAAACCCCCATGGCTCCGATGATATCAATAGTCTTTTTGGATAAGGGGCCGACCAGGGCGGTTACTAGCGAATGTTCAGCACCGCTACCTACAAGAAAATCAATGTCTCTACCCCCGACTGTCATTCTGACCATAGGCTCTTTGGGGACACTTGAGCCTGGTCTCCCTCAGTCCAATAACCCTTCTGCCAGGTTGAGCAGGGCCCCTTCCTCCTTGTCCGGGGCCTCCTGCTCTGAGTCACCTTGTTTTCTTTTGAGCTGAGGGCATTTGTTCTTCCAGTGTCCTATTTCTTTACAAGAAGCACACTGGTTACACTGCAAACTCTGACAGCCAAGCTGAGTTTCATTCCCAGGGCCCCCCCTTCCCTTGCCTCCTTCGGAGGACCCCTCTGATTGCTGCAGCTGACAACCAGGTCGGTGTTTCGCCGGGCCTGATGTCCATTCTCTTTGCGGTTTTCCTCAAGGCTTACTGCAGCCCTGTTTACAAACACCTGGTTGGCTATTTCTAATAATTGTGATGTATTCATCCCTGCAAACCCAGCCTGTTTCTGCAGTTTTCTTCCAATGTCTTCTGCGCTTTGACTGACTAAAGCCATGTGAATCATGCGCTGATTTTCAAGACTATCAGGATCAAAGGGAGTATACATACAATAGGCCTCACACGGTGTCTCGTAGAATTGTGCTGGACTTTCTTCTTTTCCCTGAATGACCTCAGAGACCTTGTTAACGTTTGTGGCCTTCTGTGCTCCCCTCTTTAATCCTTCCAAGAGAGCTTCCCTGTCTCAGTTTAGCGGTTTAGCCTTTGCATAGCCTCTCTTTCATTTGGGTCCCACTGGGGTTCGGTTCCTGGTAACTGGGTCCTTAGGGGGGTTTTTGATAATCAGCTGGTGCATGTTCCTCTAGCCACTTAGTTGCTGCTTGGAGGACTCTCCGCCTTTCATCTCTGTTAAAGAGGAACATGAGCAACTGGTGCCAATCAGCCCAGGTGGGGTTGTGGGTCTGGATAATAGTTTGGAGCAAATCAATTAGAGCTTGTGGCTTTTCGGTATTGCACAAGGTATTGTTTTTCCAGTTGAGAAGGTGGTCAGAGGTGAAGGGCTGCTACACAAAAACACGCCTCTCCACCAAGTGACCATCCTCATCTATCCCAGTATACCGCTGCTCTCTCAGGGGCATTTGTATCCCAGTTTCGGGTCATAAACCAGCTGCCAAGGGAGGGGTTTCTCCCGAGTCTCCACCTCCTCTCTTATCTGCTCTGGGTGGCCTAGGGATATGCTTGTCTTGGGGAGGCACAAGCACTGTGGGCTCAAGAGTGGGGAGCCTCTTTCCCTGGTAAGGGGAAGGCAGCACTGGGATCACTGGTGCCATCTCCTGTAATGGATCTTCTGATGTTGGGTCGAATAGAACTTCAGGAGTTGATTTCCCTGGGTGGGTGGAGCCGGATCCTTCCTTAGCTATCTGTCCCTTTGCTCCTAGTACTGCTGCTGCCTGGCCTCTTAGCCACTGTGGGGGGTCTAGCACCAGCTGTCACCAAGTGTCTATGTATGGGAACTGGTCTAGGTATCCTTTACCAGTCACCTTTTGCCACACCTTAGAAACAAGGGACCTGTCCAGGCTTCCTTCTGATGGCCAACCCACTATTAAAGTTGGGCAATCTATCTCTCACAGAGTTCCAAGTTCCCCTGGCGGTCTAGTGGTTAGGATTCGGCGCTCTCATCCACCGCGGCCTGGGTTCGACTCGTGGTCAGAGTGAACCAAGTAAACGTTCTGGATGAGCCAAAGACAAAACCTCTCAGACACCGGATTTAAAAAGGAAGAGAATTCTTTTTCGACCGGGAGCGTCTGCAGACTCGCGTCTTAAGAGCCGAGCTCCCCGAAGGAAGACAGACTCCCTGGCCCTTTTCAGGGCTTACAACTCTAAGGGGTTCCACGTGAAAGGATCGTGATGGATTGAGAGCACATGTGCTTAGAGTTGGGCGGGGGGGGGTTCATCTTTTCACCTCGGGCCAGCTCATCAGTGGCAACAACTGCTCTTGACACTGACTTCATCCTGTTCTTTTTCAACTTTTACTTCCTTCTCCTTTTCAGAGACAGGAGACAGTCAGAAAAGTGGCTTCCCTCCTCAGGGCGACAGGATGATATTACTTCTACTATCGCAGGGGGTGTACACACCCCTGTGAAACTCTTCCTACTATCCAGAGGGAGGGAGGATGATATTACTCCCAATAACGCAGGAGGTGTACACAACCCTGTGATATTGTTCCTAATATCCAAGGTGGGAGAGGATGATATTTCTCCCAATATCGCAGGGGTGTTCACATCCCCCATTACATTATTCCTAATTACTAGGGGAGAGACAGTTATAGGACAGCAAATGTCTCAGGGTCTGTACATCCCTTCCTCATATTTTTCCTAATATCCACCGGTGAAGAGGATGATATGAAATATCAAAGGGTGTGTTCCCTCGACCCCCCCTTGATATTCTTCTTAATACTCATGAAGGGAGACGATATTACTCCAAATATCGCAGGGGTTCTTCACACCCCCTGCGATATTGTTTCTAATATCCGGGGGAGGGGGGCAGAAAATACGATTACTTCCAATATTGCAGGTGGTGTATACCCCAGCTGGATATTAGGAACAAGAGCACAGAAGGGATGTACACCCAGTGCGATATTTGGAGTAATGTCATTGTCTACCCCTGGCTATTAGGAACAACATCACAGAGCGGTGTACATTTTCTGCGATATTGTGAGGAATGTCGCAATATTACTTATCACAATTAATAATATCAATTATTAATTGATAATAATAATCAATATTAATAACTGATAATATGATTTAAAAAATCAATACCGATAATAATGATAATTACTATTAAATAGTTATACTAAGAATAACAATAAATTATTAATATTATTAATAACACCAATTAATAACTGATACTGATGTTATTCATTAGAAACAGTAATATTAGCTCCTAATAATTAATATTAATATTAATAATCTGAACACTTTTTGTTAGCAATTATTTATTAATATTAATATTGGTAATTCATATTGATGTTAATAATCAAGGAGTAATAATTAATACCAATACTACTCCTAATACCACAGTGGGTGTACACCCACCTGTGATATTGTTCCTAATGTCCACGGAAGGGAGACAGCACGATATTACTTTCAATATCGCAGTAGGTGTACACCCACCCGGTGATATTGATCCGAATATAATATCCAGGCGGTGGAGTATGACGTTACTCCCAATATAGCAGTGAGTGTACATCCACCCGGTGATATTGCTCCTAATATTCACGGAAGAAGAGAATGCTATTACTCCCAGTATCGCAGGAAGTGTACACCCCTTCTGTGATATTGTTCCTAATATCCGGAGGGGGAGAGGGTGATATGACTCCCAATATCGCATGCTGTGGACACCCACCCTGTGATACTGTTCCTAATAGCCAGGAAGGGAGAGGACAATATGACTCCCACTACAGCAGGAGGTGTACACCCACGCTGGGATATTATTCCCAATATCCGTGGAGAGGAGAGGCTGATATCACTCCCAATATCGCAGGGGGTGTACATCCATTCTGTGATATTGTTCTTCCTATTCAAAGGCGGAGAGGTTGATATTATTCCCAATATCACAGAAAGTGTACAAACCTGTGTGATATTGTTCGTACTATCCAGAAGAAGGGAAGATGATATTACCTCCCATATCGCAGGAGGTGGACACCCACTCTGTGATATTTTTCCTAATATGCAGGGCGGGCGAGGATAATATTCTTCTTAATAGCGCAGGGTGTGTACAGCCCCCCCAGTGATATTGTCCTTAAGGTTCCAAGGCGGAGAGAATGATATGACTCCCAATACCGCAGAAACTGGACACCACACCAGTGACATGTTTTCCATCACCCAGGAGAGAAAAGGATGACACTACTTTCAATATCGCATGGGGTGGACACGCCCCCAGTGATATTGTTCCTAATTTCAACGTGGGAGAGGATGATAATACACCCAATGGCACTGGGGGTAGAGACACTCCTGTGATATTGTTGTTCATAACAAGGGGGAAGAGGATGCTATTAATGCCAATAGTGCAGATGATGTACACCCATGTGTGATATGGTTGGTAATTTCCAGAGGCGGAGAAGATATTCCTCACAATAACGTAAACAGGCTGTGTGACCACCGTGGATCGTAATAACCAGGGGGAAAGGGGGGGATGATATTACTCCCCGCATCACGGGGGGCGCCCGCCCCCTGCCATGTGGATCGTCATATCGGGGGGGAGAGGGGGGTGATATGACTCCCCGCAGCGCGGGCGGCGCCCGCCCCCCTGGGATGTGGATCGTCATATCCGGGGGGGAGAGGGGGGTGATATGACTCCCCGCATCGCAGGGGCCTCACCCCCTTGCGATGGGGATCCCAAGAGCCAGGGGGGGATAGGGGCTGGCTCTTACTCCCCGTACGGCGGGGGGGCCTCACCCCCCTGCGATGGGGCTCCTAAGAGCCAGGGGCAGAGAGGGGCTGGCTCTTACTCCCCGTATCGCAGGAGGTGTGTACAACCCCTGAGATATTGGGAGTAATATCATCCTCTCCCCCTGAATATAAGAAACAATATCACAGGAGGATGTACACCCCCTGCGATATTGGAGGTAACATCATTTTCTCCCCCTCGGGATATTCCGAACAATATCACAGTGGGTGTGTACAGCCCCTGCGACATTGCCGCTAGTATCTTCCTCTCCCTCCCAGGATATAAGGAAGAATGTCACAAGGGGGTATACACCGCCTGCGATATTGGCTGTAATATCTTCCTCTTCCCCACTGCCCTTTAGGAGCAATGTCACAGAAGGGTTGTACACCCCCTGCTATATTGGGAGTGATATCATCCTCTCCGTCCCTGGATATTAGGAACAATCTCCCTAGGGAGTGTACACCTCCTGCAATATTCAGACTAATTCATCCTCTCGCCGCCTGGATATTAGGATCAATATCACAAGGGTGGTGTGCACCCCCGGCGAAATTGGAAGAAATATCATCCTCTCCACCTTTGGATGTTAGGGACAGTATCACGGGGGAGGTCTCCGCCCCCTGCGATATTGGGAGTCATATCATCCGCTCCCACCCAGGATATTAGGAACAAGATGACCGAAGGGATGTACACCCACTGCGACACTGCGATATTTTCAATAATGTCATCTTCTACCCTCTGGCTATTAGGAGTAACATCATAGAGGGGTGTCCACTTTCTGCGATATTGGGAGTAATATCCTCTCCCCCACGGATATCGGGAACAGTTATCTCAATTATTAATATTAATAAATATAATAACAATTAATAGTAATCATCGATATTAATAATTACAGTAGAGACAATAAAACATCGGGATTAAAAATATTAAGGGTTACTATTAATAATTAATAGCAATATCACTATTAATAATACAATAATGATATCAGTAATTAAAGTTAC